>NC_000012.12:20834650-21459650 GCF_000001405.40 Homo sapiens
CTGAATGACTGATGCAAGAGGTGGGTCCCTCAGTCTTGGGCAGCTCCACTCCTGTGGCTTTGCAGGGAACAACCCTCCTCCCAGCTGCTTTCATCAGCTGGCATTGGGTATCTGTGGCTTTTCCATGTGCACAGTGCAATCCACAGTGTCAGTGGATCTACCATTCTGGGATCTGGAGGATCGTAGCCCTCTTCTCACAGCTCCACTAGGCAGTGCCCCAGTGGGGACAGTTTGTGGGAGCTCTCGCCCCACATTTCCCTTCTGACTGCCATACTGAAATTTCTCCATGAGGGCTTCACCCTTGAAGCACACCTCTGCCTGACATCCAAGCATTTCTATACATCCTCTGAAATCTAGGTGGAGGTTCCCAAACTTCACTTCTTGACTTCTGTGCACCTGTAAGCTCAACACCATGTGGAAGCTGCCAAGGCATGGGGCTTTTACCTTCTGAAGCCACAGTCCAAGCTGTACCTTGGCCCCTTTTAGCCATGGCTGGAGTGGCTGGAATGCAGGGCACCAAGTCATGAGACTGCACACAGCAGGGGGGCCCTGGACCAGGCTCAGGAAACCATTTTTCCCTTCTAGACCTCCAGACCCGTGATGGGCGTGGCTGCTCCCAAGGTCTCTGATGTGCCCTGGAGTCATTTTCCGCATTGTCTTGGCAATTAACATTTGTCTCCTCATTACTTACTCAAATTTCTGCTGCCTGCTTGAATATCCCCCCAGAAAATGGGTTTTTCTTTCCTACTGCATTGCCAGGCTGCAAATCTTTCACACTTTTATGTTCTGCTTCCTCTTGTACACTTTGCTGCTTAGAAATATCTTCCACCAGATACCCTAAATCATCTCTCTCAAGTTCAAAGTTCCACAGATCTCTAGGGCAGAGGCAAAATTCTGCCAGTCTCTTTGCTACAGAATAACAAGAATCACATTTGCTCTAGTTCCCAAAAAGTTTCTCATCTTTATCTGATACCACTTCAGCCTGGACTTTATTGTCCATATCAGTATCAGTGTTTTGATAAAAGCCATTCAACAAGTCTCTTGGAAGTACCAAACTTTCCCACATCTTCCTGTCTTCTGAGCCCTCCAATTCTCTAGGAAGTTCAAACTTTCCCACATTTTCTTGTCTTCTTCTGAGTCCTCCAAACTGTTCCAACTTCTGCCCATTACCCAGTTCCAAAGCTGCTTCCCCATTATCAGGTATCCTGTAGCAATGCCCCTCAGTACCAATTTACTGTATTATTCCATTCTCCTGCTGCTAGGAAGAAACACTGAAGACTGGGTAATTTATAAAGAAAAAGAAGTTTAATGGACTCACAATTTCAAATGGCAAGGGAGGCCTCACAATCATGGTGAAACGCAGAGGAGCAAAGGTACATCTTACATGGCAGCAGGCAGAAGAGTGTGTACAGGAGAACTGCACTTTATAAAATAATCAGATCTTGTGAGACTTATTCACTATCACAAGAGCAGCATAGGAAAAACCCATCCCCATGATAAAGTTAGCTCCCACTGGGTCCCTTCCATGACACATGGGGATTATGGGAGCTACAATTTAAGATGAGATTTCAGTGGGGACGCAGCCAAAACATATCACTATTATAAATATCATCTTTTCAAATTAAGTTTATGTGATAGATTACATGAATTGATTTTCATACATTGAACCAGCCATGCATACCTGGAATAAATCCCATTTGATCATGGTATTTAATTATTTTATGTTTCGTGTATTATTGAATTTTTTTACTAATATTTGTTGAGGATTTTTACATCTATGTTCATGAGTGATATTGGTCTACATTTTTTTGTTATTGTAATATCTTGGATTTTAGTATCAGGGTAATGCTGGCCTCATGGAATAAGATAGAAAGTATTCCTGATGCTTTTATCCTGTGAAGAAGGTTGTATACAATTAGTATAACATGTTTCTTAAATGTTTGGTATAATTCACCAGTGAAACTATCTGGGCCTCATTCTTTCTGTTTTTTGTTTTGTTTTGTTTTTTTGAGATGGAGTCTCGCTCTGTTATCCAGGCTGGAGTGCAGTGGTGCTGTCTCAGCTCACTGCAACCTCTGCCTCCCTGGTTCATGCCATTCTCCTGCCTCAGCCTCCTGAGTAGCTGGGACTACAGGCACCCACCACCACGCCTGGCTAATTTTTTGTATTTTTACTAGAGATGGGGTTTCACTGTGTTAGCCAGGATGGTCTCGATCTCCTGACCTCGGGATCCGCCTACCTTGGCCTCCCAAAGTGCTGGGATTACAGGCGTGAGCCACTGTGCTAGGCCCATTCTTTCTGTTTTTGAAGGTTATTACTTGACAATCTAATTTCTTAAACAGATAAAGGCCTAATTCAGATCATCAGTTTTTTCTTGTAGGAGTTTGAGTAGATTGTTTATTTTGGGAAATTGGTCGATTTAATTTAGGTTATTATAATTGCAGGTATAGTTTTTTCATAGTATTTCATTATTATCTTTTTAATGTCTGTGGGATTTGTAGTGGTATCCCCTCTGTTATTTTTGATATTGGTAATTAGTATTCACTCTCTTTTTTTTTCCCTTAGTTAACCTGGTTAGAAGCCTATAAATTTTATGGATCTTTCTAAAGAACAAGTCTTTGGTTGTGTATATTTTCTCTATTGAATTCCTGTTTTTAATGTCATTGACTTATGTTTTAATTTTTATTATTAACTTTCTTCTTCTTGCTTTGAATTTCATTTGCTGTTTTTTTCCAAGTTTCCTAAGGTAGAAACTTAAATACTGATTTTAAATGTTTCCTCTTTTCTCATATATGTATTCAGTGTAATAAATTTTCCTCTAAGCATTGCTTTTGCTACCTCCCACAAACTTTGATGAATTGTGTTTTTATTTTTATTTAGTCAAAATATTTAAAAACTTATCTTGAGATTTCCTTTGACCTAAATGTTACTTAAAAATGTGTTACTTAGTCTCTACATATTTGGGGATTTTTCCAGTTATTTCTGTTATTGATTCTACTTTAATTCTATTGTTGTCTGAGAACAAATGCTATCACTTCTTTTTGAAAATAAATTGGATAAGATATATTTTATGGCTTAGAATGTGGTCTTTCTTGGTGAATGTTCCATGTGAGCTTAAGAATGTCTATTCTACTGTTGTTGGATGTAATACATGAAGTTGTAAAGTAATATATAGATGTTAATTATATCCAGTTGATTAATGGTGTTATTAAGGTCAAGTATTTTCTATCTGTTTCTGCCTGCTGGATTTGTTCCCTTCCCACAGAGGAGTATTGATGTCTCCAACTATGATAGTGTATTCATCTATTTCTCCTTGCAGTTCTACCAGTTTTTACTTCATAGAATTTGATGCTCTGTTGTTGGGTGCATATATGTTAAGGAGTATTATATCTTTTTTGAGAACTGATGTCCTTATTATTCTGTAATGCCCCCTCCCACCTTTTTTTTTAAATCAATTTCCTTTTGCTTTTCTTTTTTTTTAAATTTTATTATTATTATACTTTAAGTTTTAGGGTACATGTGCACAACATGCAGGTTTGTTACATTTGTATACCTTTTTTTAACCTCTGGTAACTTTCCTTGCTTTGAAGTTTGCTGTGTCTAAAATTAATATAGCTATTCCTGATTTCTTTTGATTATTGTTAGCATAGAATATTTTTCTCCATCCATTTACTTTTATTCTATATGTGTTTTTATATTTAAAGTGGGTGTCATGCACACAACATGTAGTTGGCCTTGTTACTTGATTTACTGTCACCTTCTATCTTTTAGTTGGTGCATTTAGATAATTGATGTTAAAGTTCATTATTAATATACAGTCATGGAACATTAAATGACAGGAATGCATTCTGAGAAGTGCACTGTCATACAAATTTTTTAATTTTGCAAACATCATAGACTGTACTTACACAAGCCTAGATAGATTAGCCTGCTAGACACCTAGGCTATATGTTATAGCCTATTGCTTTGAGGCTACAAACCTTTACAGCCTGTTATTGTACTAAATACTGCAGGAATTGTAACACAATAAGTATTTTTGTATCTAAGCATAGAAAAAGTACAGTAAAATATGGTGTTATAATCTAATGGGACCACTATCATATATGCAGTCCACTGGTAACTAAAATGTCATCATGTGGTACATGATTGTAGTTGAATTAATATCTACCATACTTCTTACTGTATTTCTGTCTTGTTCTTCTTTGTTTCTATATTTGTATTCCACTCTTTTTGTGCTTTTTGTGGTTTCAAATGAGCATTTTATATAATACCATTAATTTTTTTTCTCCTTTCTTAGCATATTTGTTATATTTCTTCTTTGACTTATATAGTAGTTGCCCTGGTGCTTGTAAGATATATTTACAACTATTTCAAGTTTACTTTCAAATTACACCATACTGCTTCATGGGTAGTGTAACTTGCAAAACAAATTATTTTTATTCTTCTCTCCCGTTTATTGCATCATTGTGTCATTCTTTTTATTTTAGTGTAAGCATACATAATCAAATACATTATAGATATTATTATTTTGAATAACTGTTATTTCTTAGATCAATTAAGAATTAAAAAAAACTTTTTAATTTACCTTCACTTATTTTCTGCAGTGTCTCTCTGTTTTTATGAAGTTTTGAGCTTCTGATCTATATTATTTTCTCTTTCTCTAAAAAACTGCTCTTAACATCTTGCAAGGCAACTCTGACGAGAAATTCCTTTAATTTTTGTTTATCTGAGAAATCCTTATTTTTCTTTCATGTTAGAAGATAATTGCACAGGTTTCATAATTTTAGGTTGTTGTTTTCTATCAATGCTTTACATATTTTTATTCCACTCTTTCTGTGCTGGCATGGTTTCTGAGAAGTCAAATGCAATTCTTATCTTTGTTCCTATATAGGTAAGGATAGGTATTTTATTTTCCCTCTGGTTTCTTTTGGGACTTTTTTCCCCTTGTCTTTGATTTTGTGTAGTTTGAAAATGATATTCCTAGGTGGACTCTTTAAAGCATTTATTCTGCTTGTTTTTCTATGAACTTCCAAGATCTGTGGTATGTTGTCTGACATAAATTTGGGGAAATTCTCAGTTATTATTGTTTCAAATATTTATTCTGTTTCATATTCTATTTTTGGGGTGTCCCTATTATGTGCATGTTGCTACTTTTGTAGTTATCCCTTAGCTTTTGGGTATTTTCTTCTGATATTTTTCTGTCTTTGTTCATTTTGCTTTTTACTTCTGCAGATTTTAATTGGTATATTCTGAAGCTCATATAGCCTTTTCTCAGGTATGCCAAGTATACTAATATGCTTGTCAAAGGAATTACTTATTTCTGCTACAATATTTTGATCTCTAGCATTTGTTTTTGGTTCTTTCTTAGAATTTTTATCTCGGCTTAAATTGCTCATCTGTTCTTGCATACTGTCTCTTTTACTTTTATAGCCCTTAGCATGTTGCTCATAGTCATTTTAAATTCCCAGTCTGATAATTCCAACATCTCTGCCATATGTGAGTTTGGTCCTGATTCTTGCTCTGTCTCTTCTAATTGTGTTATTTGCCTTTTAGGTGACTTGTAATATCTCCTTGATAGCAAGGGAGGATGTATTGGATAAAAACCTGCTATACATGTGCCTTCAATAATGTGTTGGTAAGGCACAGTCCGGAGAAGAGGCATCCTACAGTTCCAAGCTTAGGTATCAGTCTTTGAATGAACCTCTGACTCTGGACCATAAATTTCACAAATGCTTCTCAATTTTTTTTTTTTTTTTTTTGAGATGGAGTCTCACTCTGTTGCCCAGGCTGGAATGCAGTGGTGTGATCTTAGCTCACTACAGCCTCTCCCTCCCTGGTTCAAGCAATTCTCTGCCTCAGCCTCCCAGTAGCTGAGATTACAGGCACTCAACACCACACCCAGCTAATTTTTTTGTATTTTTTAGTAGAGACGGGGTTTCACCATCTTGGCCAGGCTGGTCTTGAACTCCTGACCTCACAATCCACCAGCTTCATCTTCCCAAAGTGTCAATTTTTAAAAAAATGTTTTTCTCCCTAGGCAGGATAGGATGGCTAGAGTGGGCTGTAATTGAATATTTCTCTCTGTAATATGGTAGGCTAGAACTGGCTGAAGTTGGGTATTTCCTTTACCTCAGGTCAGTTAAGCTTAGATAACACCAGAGCTTATGAGGCTCCAATTAATTAGTTTTTCCTGAGGGCAAGTCTCATAATCCCTATTAAAAACAAAGTGCTCTGGCCTATTTCAAAATGATTCCTTTCTCTTTCACTCTGCTAGAATGAGAAGATTTTTCTCCAACATTTACTATAAGATCCAGGTCGAGCTCCTGAAGAGAAAATCATCAAAAAAGGGGGTCCTTGAATTGGTCCCCCTGGAGTTATTAGCCCTCAGACTTGTCCAACCTGAGGCTCTAGCAATTCAATTATAGTACATTTTTTTTTCTTTTTTACCCTAGCACTATTTCCTTTCTGGTTTTTGTTATGAGTTTCTGCTCCAGGAAGCTGTTACTCCTTATATTTACTTTGTCTCTCCATCTCCAATCTTGGAGACAGTGGTTTGCCACATGTCCTCATCTCTTTTATGGATCCAAGAATCATTGCTTTTTCAGTCGGTTTAGTGTTTTACTTGATGTTAGAAAAAAATGGCGCCCTCCAACTTTCTTTTCTGCAAAAGTAGCACCCAGAAGTCCCAGTATATTTTTTAAAATTGTATTCACTTATCTCATGTCTTATCAGTCCTAAACTTGTACTTAAAATTCCACTATAATTTCTTAATTAATACACAAGTTATTTAAAATAAGATTTGCCCCAAATATGTAGGGATTCTTATTTAAAAATGTTTTCTACCATTGCCTGCCATAATTGCACTGTGGCAGATATTGTCTGTACGATACCTACTTTTTGCAACCTGTTGAGTTCTCTTTTTCTTTTCAACTTTTATTTTAGGTTCAGGGGGTACATATGCAGGTTTGTTACATAGGTAAATTGTGTGTCATGGGAGTTTGGTGTACAGATTATTTCAGCACTCAGATAATAATCATAGTTACCAACAGGTACTTTTTTAGATTTCACCCTCCTCCTACCCTCCACCCTCAAGTAGGCCTCAGCATCTATTGTTCACCTGTTTGTGTCCATGTGTACTGTTGGGATTTTTTTATGTCCGAATATATCATCAGTTTTTGTAATTCTCCCTCATGTACTTGAGAAAAATGCATATTCTTTGAATTGTTGGATGTAGTTTTTTTTTTTTTTTTTTGAGACAGAGTCTCACTCTTTCACCCAGGCTAGAGTGCAGTGGAGCAATCTCGGCTCACTGCAGCCTCTGTCGCCCAGTTTCAAGTGAGGTTCAAGTGATTTTCCTGCCTCAGCCTCCTGAGTAGCTGGGATTACAGGCACATGCCACTGTGCCTGGCTAATTTTTGTATTTTTAGTAGAGACTGGGTTTCACCGTATTGGTCAGGCTGGTCTTGAACTCCTGACCTCGTGATCCACCTGCCTTGGCCTCACAAAGTGCTGGGATTACAGGCATGAGCCACCATGCCCAACCAGATGTAGAATTTTATATGAATTTTATATGTATCTTAGAGGTCAGTCTTGTTAATTGTGTTATTCAGGTCTTTTATGTTCTTGCTAATATTTTGACTACTTGACCTATCATAATTGAGAAACAAAGATATGTTGAAATTTCCTCTAGTGACAATAATTCTACTGACTTTTGTTTATATATTTTATACCTATTAAATCCATTGTTTTATAATCATTGTATCTTTTAGGTTGATATATCAATATGTAGAAACCTCTATCCATAATGATGTTTATGTAAATCTATTTGGGCTATTATTTATACAGCTACAAGTTTTTTTTTAATTGCTTCTTATTCTTTTACCATCATCAACACTTCCTCATGAATTAGGAATACCTGTTATCAAGATCGCATATTTAGATTTTTCAAAAAATAGCCAAACTGAAAAATCTCTGCCTTTAAACTAGCAATTTTGTCCACTTACGTTTATTGTATTTTATATAGTCAGACTTGTTTCTACTATCTTAGAATATTATGCCAATTTACTCCCTTCCCTGTTGCCTTTTAATGTTTTCTTATACTTTTTGAATTGATATATTTATCTCTCTTACAACAAGGCAAATACTGTAGCATATTGCTATGGTCTGAATATTTGTACTGTCTCTGATCCAAAGGTAAAGACTTCGAGAAGTGATTAGGTCATGAAAGCAGACCCCTCATGAATGGGCTTAGTGTTTTTATAAAAGAGACCCCAGAGAGCTATTTTGCCCTTCCCACTGTGAGATTACTGTAAGAAGATGGCCCTCTTCCTGCTGCTGTCCTGATCTCAGACTTTTCAACCTCTGGAACTGTGACAAGTAAATTTCTGTTGTTTATAAGGTACTCAGTTTTGTTGTATGCTATATTTTGCTATATTTTTAATAGAAGCCCCAAACATACTAAAATACATGTTCTCATGTTCTTTGATACGCCTCTTTAACCTTTATACTCTCTGATACTATCTCGATTTTCCATCTAAAATTTTAAATTTTAGATATTATATCTATTTTCTTTCCTTTTCTATTTTTGGTCTCATTTTTTAAAAGACAATTACAAAATTATCAAGTGTTTTATTCACCTTGTTTTACAAATCTCACACAATATCTTCAGTATTTGATTCTTGTTTTATTGAAGTATATCTTCCGAATTTGATTTCAGTGTGTATCTTTACATGCCACACTTTTGAGACCTTATATGCTCAATAATATATTTCCTTATAGTTGAATGACTACATGGCTAAATATAAAATTACAGTTTTAATGTTCTCTTACCTCAATACTTCAAAAGTATTATTCATCCACGGGGCTCATGCCTATAATCCCAGCACTTTGGGAGGCTGACGTGGGTGGATCACAAGATCAGGAGATTGAGACCATCCTGGCTAACATGGTGAAACCCCGTCTCTACTAAAAATACAAAAAAATTAGCTGGGTGTGGTGGTGGGCACCTATAGTCCCAGCTACTCAGGAGGCTGAGGCAGGAGAATGGCATGAACCCTGGAGGCGGAGCTTGCAGTGAGCTGAGATTGTGTCACTGCACTCCAGCCTGGGCAACAGAGTGAGACTCTGTCTCAAAAAAAAAAAAAAGTACTATTAATCTTTTGTACATCCACACTTACTGTTTAAAATTGATATGCTTTCTTTTCTGAAAGACTTCAAATTTTTTTCTTGTCATTGATATTCTTATCTAAACTTTCTCCATATATATGTGTGTCCCTATGTCTTTTGCTGGGTGTTCAACAGGCACTCTCAATCTGAGGTTTTCACATTTTTGTTGAATATTGGAAAATGTGCATTTATTTTATTTTTTAAATTTTCTCCTCTTCAACTTATTATACTCCTTTTAAGGAATTCATTATTAAGTTATTGTTAATTTTAATTAAAATCTTTGTACACTTTAAACATATATATATAGTATATAAGTTGTGTGTATATATATGTGTGTGTGTGTATATATACACCTTAAACTTTGTATACCTTAAACTTAAAGATATTTATATATACATAAGTGTAAGTTATATAAAGATACCTTACATATATATATGTATGTATTTCCAAATTTTTAAATAAAATTTCTGGCCAGGCGCAGTGGCTCCTCCGTGTAATCCCAGCACTTTGGAAGGCTGAGGTGGGCGAATCACTTGAGGTTGGGAGTTCAGGACCAGCCTGGCCAAGGTTGTGAAACCCCCTCTCTACTAAAATACAAAAATTAGCCAGGCATGGTGGCATATACCCCTGTAGTACCAGTTACCTGGGAAGCTGAGACAGGAGGATCACTTGAACCTAGGAGGCAGTGGTTGCAGTGAGCCGAGATCACACCATTGCACTCCAGCCTGGTTGACAGAGCAAGCATCTGTCTCAAAGAAAAAAAAAATTCCATCTTGCATTAATTGATAACCCCCAAATCATTCAGGAGCAGATTGTTTATTTTCCATGTATTTGTGTAGTTTTAGGAGTTCCTTCTGGAGTTGATTTCTAGTTTTATTCCACTGTGGTCTGAAAAAAATAGTTGATATGATTTCAATTAAAAAAAATTATTCGGCCAGGTGTGGTAGCTCATGCCTGTAATCCCAGCACTTTGGGAGGCCAAGGTGGGCGAATCATCTGAGGCCAGGAATTCAAGACCAGCCTGGCCAACATGGTGAAACCACATCTCTATTAAAAATACAAAAATTAGCCAGGTGTGGTGGTGCATGCCTGTAATCTCAGCTACTCGGGAGGCTGAGGCAGGAGAATTGCTTGAACCCGGGAGGCAGAAGTTGCAGTGAGCCAAGATTGTGTCACTGCACTCCAGTCCATGTGACAGAGCAAGACTGTCTCAAAAAAAAAAAAAAAAAAAAGCACCAGTTCTATCCCTCTAAGTTTCAGAGATGGATTCATTGCTAACCAAGGTGATGGAAGCCATTTTATTATCCAGCAAGACTTAGACTATGTCATTGAGCTCACCGGGCTGATTGTGACCCTATGTACAAGGTAGCCACATGGGAGAAGCAGATCTACACATACTGTTAAGATGGTCTTGTATGATTCTACCAGCTTTCTGACCTCTGACCTCTTGGAAAGAGCAGCCCCAGTTAGTGAAAAGGTTTGACCCTGATCAACAATGAGTAGAAACATCATCAGTCCTTAATGTCTTGGGCGCCCCTTGGAAATCACAGAAAGTCAGCTGTCCTGGCTATATGGGACTCTCATCCCAAGACCTACTTTGAACTGAGTAAGAAGCTCACCTGTGACTACCGCATTTGTCTCAACTTCTCCTTGTGTAAACTCACCCCAGCAACACAGGGCAAGGATATAGATGCTTCAGTTTGTTCTTTTGTGTTAAATGTTTACAAGGACCTCAGAACTAAAGCCTGTTCTCTGGAGGAAATAAAGAAAATATGTTTGGAGGTGCCTGAATATGAAAAAAAAAATTGAGATTTGTGATGTATCATATGATCTATATTTGAGAATGTTCCATGTGTTGATGACAAGAATGTATATTCTGCAGTTCTTGGGTAGAATGTTCTGTAATATCTGTTAGGCTCATTTGTTCTAGAGTGTAGTTTAAGTACATTGTTTTTGTTGACTTTCTCTCTAGATCATCTGTCTAGTGCGGTCAGTGAAGTTTTTAAGTTCTCCACTATAATTGTGTTGCTGTCTACTGATTTCTTAGGTCTAGTAGTAATTGTTTTATGAATCTGGGAGCTCCATTGTTAGGTGCATAAAAATTTAATCTCTTTTTGTTGGATTGATTTCTTCTATCATTATATAATCATCTTCCTTGTCTTTTTTTTTTTTTAACTGTTGTTCCATTCTGTGGAAATCGAAATCAAAAAGTGAGCAGGAGCTATTCTTACATCAGATAAAACAGACTTTAAAGCAACAACAGTTACACATATTTATTTCACATATTCCAATTTTTTTTCATTTTCATAGCTTACTTCCTTTGGTAACATTCACTATATTTTCATTTACTATGACATTGTTTTCCTTTATATCAAAGAGAATAGTTAGAATAGTTCTTTCAAAATTCTGGTCAGTGATTCCAACATATGTGCCATCTATGGGTTGGTTTTTGTTGATTGTCATTTCTCATGAGAATATCTCACATTTTCCTGGACCTTCACATGTGGATAATTTTGAACATTGTTATATTCTTCCAAAGAGTGTTATTCTTTAGTTAGTTAGTTAGTTTCTTTGTTTTATAAGGTATTTAACTTCGTTGACTTGGAATTGCAAACTATGTGTTGGTGTTTTAATCAGCTCAGGTGCTAAAACAAAAACCATCAACATATATATTTGAAGGATATGCAAACATTCAGTCCTTAACAGATGGTAATAAAAACAATGACAATGAGTGAGTTTGCCCAGAAAAAGTATATGAAGTAAAAAGAGGAGAGTGTCTGAAACAAATCCCTGGAAGAACAGGGGATAACCAGAATAACATAATCCATGGATACTTGTGAGGAATGATGCAAAAAACAGGATTTGAGTCATGCAGGTGTAGTCAAGTCTAAGCTTCTACTGGAAAGGACACAAGGGAGAGTTATGGGAAAGAGAAGGTTCAGTGGGGCAGGGGAGTTATTTTTTAAAATAAAATAAACTGTAGAAGCTTAGAACTGTCTTCTGACTGTTAAGTCCAGAAATTTTACCGTATTACACTAATGAACAGCTTGCCGTGACTGCAGGTAGATAGAGACTTTACCTCTTATCTCGATGCCAGTTGTCTCTTCCTGCCAGTGACACATTAAAATCTCTCTGACAATTATGTACATTTGTATCTCTGTTTTGTTTTTATTTGAATGAACTTAAAGCAGAGAGCTGGAGGTTGGTAGTTCACAATTTTAATAAAAATAGAAATTTATCAAGCTTACTGTGAAGCTAGCACTTCATGTTCCTGGAGGTATTTAGAAAGCCTCGCATATGCCCAGGGTAGTAGACTCACTTGTAAAACACCTGAGAAGACCATAAGCTTTTACCTAAGGCTGATCCTCAGGCTCAGCCCAAGGCTTACCAAAGGTGGAAGAATTAAAAAAAAAATAGCTAAAATAAAAATTTATAAGAAAAGAGTTATGGACTGAATATTTGTGCCTTCCTTGCCAATTACATATTGAAACCCTGAGCCCAAGGTGTTGGTATTTGAGGCCTTTGGCAGGTAAATAGATCATGAGAGAGGAACCCTTCATGATGGGATTTGTGCCCTTAGATAATGTGAGAAAGCCAACTAAATTTTTCCCTCCCTGTGAGGGTACGAGTAGAAGCTAGCTGTCTTCAACCTAAAAGAGGGCCTTCACCAGAATTCAACTGTGTTGGCCCCTTGATCTCAGACAACCCAGCTTTCAGAATTATGAAATATACATGTTTATTTCTCAACCCATTTAGTCTATAGTAATTTATTATAGCAGCCTGAACTAAAACCAAAGTTCAGTGGCAACCTTAAGCAGGCAGAATACAGAATCATCGAATTTTAAGATAGGCCAATTGAAAATTTCAGTCTGAGAAGCAGAAAATATATATATATATATGAAGAAAAGTGAACAAAACCTAAGGACCTGTCATATACCATCAGGTGAACCAGGATACAAATTACAGGGATTTCAGAAGGAGAATAGAGAGAGAAAAGGGAAAAAAGAATATTTGAAAAATGGGCTGGCTGAGAACACCACAAATTTGATGAAAGACATAAATCTCAATAGCCTAGAAGCTTAAGGAACTCCAAGTAAAAAAACTGAAAGAAATTCACTTTGAGATATTTTGTAATCAAACCATTAAAAGTCAAAATAATAATAATAATACAGAATCTTGGAAGCAGCTAGAATGGGAATCATCATGTACAAGTGCTGTCCCATAGGATTAATAACTAATTTCTTGTCAGAAACTATGGAGACTAGTGAATGATATATTTAATAAGGGGCTGATATTCAAAATCTACAAAGAACACTAAAACTCAATGATAAGAAAACAGCCAATTATAAAATGGGAAAAAGATCTGAACAGATACCTTACTGATGGGCATATACAGATGGTAAACAACTATATGAAAACATGTTCAACATAATATGTCAATAGTGAATTGCCAATTCAAACAATGAGCTTTCATTACATACTTATTAGAGTGAGTAACATTCCAAACACAAAAAATGCCAAATGCTGGCAAATATGAGGAGCAACCAGAATTCTCATTTATTGCTGGTAGGAATGCAAAATGGTAGAGCCACTTTGTAAAACAATCTGATAGTTTCTTATGAATCTAAAGACAGGCTTACTGTACAATCCTGCAGTCATAGACCTTAGTATTTACCCAAATGACTTGAAAACTTATATCCACATAAAAGCCTGCACACAAGTGTTATAGCAGCTTTATTCATGATTGTCATGACTTAAAAGCAACCAAGATATCTTTCAATAGGTGAATAGGTAAAGAAACTGTGATACAGTCAAACAATGTAATTTTTTTTAGTGATTAAAAAGAAATGGAACATCAAGTCATAAAAATACATGGAAAGACATCCAAAACATAACTGTAAGCAAAGAAGCAAATCTTAAAATGTTATATATTGTAAGATTTCAAATATATGAGATTCTGGAGAAGAAAAATCTAAAGAAAGGAATGTGTTCAGTAGTTGCCAAGTGTTTGAGGAAGAGAGGAAGAAAGAAAGAAACAGTGCAGAGGATTTTTAGGTAAGGGAGACTATTCTTTATGATACAGTAATGAAGAAGACCTATCAATATACATTTATCAGAATCGATAGACTGTAAAACACACCAAGTGAACCCTAATGTAATAATGCATCCAAATTGGTTCATCAGTGTAAACAAATGTACCACACCAATAGAAGGTAAACATAATAGTAGGGGAAACTGTGTGTGGATAGAGGGAATATGTGGAAGCTCTCTGTAATTTATGGTCAAATTTTTTTTTTGTGAATCTAAATTGCTCTAAAAAATAAAGTCTATTAAGTATATTAAAAAATTTTTCAAGAAAATACTAGCCAATTAATTCCAACAGCACATTTAAAAGATTGTACACCATAACAAAAATGGATTCATCCTGGAAATTTAAGCATGATTAAATACATGAAACTCAAAGGAATGCAATATATTAAGCAAAGAAAAAAGCCACATGACCATCTTACTAGATGCATTTGACACAAATCCAACACCCTTTCTCAACACAAACACCCAGAAAACTAGTAATATAAGGGACCTCTCTCAACATGATAAGGGCATTTATGAAAAATCTTCAGCTGGCATCATATTTGATATTGAAAGACTGAAAGTTTTGTCCCTGTAATTAAAAACAATACAAGAATATTCATTTTTACTAATGCTATTCAAGATTGTTCTAGAAGTTCTAGCCAGATCCATTAGACAAGAAAAAGAAACAAAAGGCATTCAAATTAGAAAGAAGGAAAACTGTCTTTATTTACAGATAACATAATTATATGTAAAGAGAAGCCCAAAGAATCCACAAGAAATCTACTAGAGCTAATAAATAAAGAAAAATTACATAGTAGAAAATCACACACACACACACACACACACACACACACACATATTACTTGTGTTTCTGTACACCGGGAATAAGCATTGAAAAATAATTAAAGGAGTAAATCCATTTATCATAGCATCTCAAAAATATATATAGGAACAAATTTAAACAAAAAGGTTAAAAAAAATCACACACTGTAAACTATAAAACATTGCTTAAAAAATTAAAGACCCACATAAATGGAAAAACATCCAGTGTTTATAGATTATAAAATTTAGTATTTTTGAAATGACAGTGCTACCCAGATTTCTCTGCAGATTTACCGCACATTCTATCTAAATCCCAACAGCCTTTTTTTTTTTTTTTTTCTTGCAGACATGGAAAAATCCATACTGAAAGTCATATGAAATGGCAAGGGTCCCCAAATAAACAAAATAATATTGAAAAAATAACAAAGTTGGAAAAAAATTTTTAAAACTTTTATTTTAACTTCAGGGGTACATGTACCAGTTAGTTATATAGGTAAATTGTGTGTTGCAGATGTTTGATGTACAGATTATTTTTATTATTATTATTTTATTTATTTATTTATTTATTTATTTATTTATTTATTTTTGAGACAGAGTCTCGCTCTGTCGCCAAGGCTGGAGTGCCATGGCGCATTCTCGGCTCACTGCAAGCTCTGCCTCCCGGGATCACGCCATTCTCCTGCCTCAGCCTCCTGAGTAGCTGGGACTGCAGGCACCCACCACCACTCCCGGCTAATTTTTTTTTGTATTCTTAGTAGAGATGAGGTTTCACCGCATTAGCCAGGATGGTCTCGATCTCCTGACCTCGTGATCCACCCGCCTCGGCCTCCCAAAGCGCTGGGAATATAGGCGTAAGCCACCATGCCCGGCCGATGTACAGATTATTTTATCAGCCAAGTAATAAACATAGTACTTGATAGGTAGTTTTTCTATTCGCTGTATTCTCCTAACTTCCACCCTCAGGTAGCCACAATGTCTATTGTTCCCTTCTTTGTATCCATATGTACTTAATTTTTTGTTCACACTTATAAGTGAGAACGTGCAATATTTGATTTTCTGTTCCTGTGTTAGTTTGCTTAGGATAATGGCCACCAGCTTCATCCATGTTGCTGGAATACAATTGCTGGGTTGAATGATAATTCTATTTTAAGTTCTTTGAGAAATTGCCAAAGTGCTTTTCACAATGGTTGAGCTAATTTACACTTCCACCATCAAGGTATAAGTGTTCCCTTTTCTTCACAACTTCACCAGCATCTGTTATTTTTTGACTTGTTAATAATAGCCATTCTGACTAGCATGAGATGATATCTCATTGTGGTTTTGATTTGCATTATCATATTTTATTTATCTATTCATTTGTCAATGAACATTTTAGTTGCTTCTACCTCTTGGCTATTGTAAATAATGCTGTGATGAACGTGGGTGTGTGAAAATCTCTTCAAGATCCCAGTTTGAATTTCTTTGAATATATACACAGAAGAAGGATTGATGGCTTCTATGGTAATTCTGCTTGTAACTTTTTTGTGAAAACTCCAAACTAGTTTTCATGATGGCAGCACTATTTTACATTTCAAACAACAAACACAGTGGATCCAACTTTTTCACATACTTATTAACATTTGTTGTTTTTCTTTGAATAGTGAGTATTCTGATGAGCGTGGGGTGATAGCTCATGGTAGTTTTGATTTGCATTTCCCTTATGATTAGTGATGTTGAGCATCTTTTCATATGTTTATTGGCCATTTATACATCTTGTTTGGAGAAATGTTTATTCAAGTCCTTTGTCCATTTTTTAGTTGCATTATTTGTTTTTTGTTGTTGTTAAGTTGCAGAAGTTACTTATATATTCTGGGTATTAGCTCCTTATTAAATATGGGATTTGCAATTATTTTCTGCCATTCTATAGGTTAAATTTTCATCTTGTTTCTTTTTATGTGCAGAGGTCTTTAAGTTTGATGTAGTCACATTTGTCTATTTTTTATTTTGTTGCCTGTGCTTTGGGTGTCATACTCAAGAAATTATTGTCAAATCAAATGTTCTGAAGCATTTTCTCTGTATTTTCTTCTAAGAGTGTAAGGTCTTACATTTAGGCATTTAATCCCATTTTGAGTTAGTTTTCACATATGGTGTAAGACAATGGGTCAACTTCATTCCTTTGTATGTGGATACCCAGTTTTCTCAACATCAATTGTTGAAGAGACTGGTTCTCTCCCTGTCATGCAGTGTTGGCACCCTTGTTGAAAATCACTTGTCCATATAGGCAACAGTTCATTTCTGAACTCTATTCTATTCCATTGTTTTATATGATTATCTTTATTTCAGTACACACCATCTTAATTACAGTTGCTCTGCAGTATATTTTGAAAACAGGAAATATGAAGCATCCAGCTGTGTTATTCTTCAAGATTATTTTGGCTACGCAGGGTGCCTTTGGATTCTCTGTAAATTTTATATTTGTTTTTTCTATTTCTATACAAATGCTGGCTAGGAATGGTGGTTCATACCTGTATCCCCAGGGCTTTGGAAGTCTGAGGCTGGAGGATCACTTGAGGCCAGAAGTTTGAGACTAGCTCTAGTCCAAGCAACACAGCAAGATGCCACATCTTTAAAAAAAAGTAATTAGTTAGGCATAGTGGTGCACAGCTGTAGTACCAGCTATTGAGGAGGCTGAGGTGGGAGGATTGATAGAGCCCAAGAGGTTGGGACTGCAGTGAGCCATGATCACTCCATTGTACTCCAGACTGGGCAACAGAGCAAGACTCTGTAAAAATTCAAAATTTAAAAAATTAAATGGCATTGAAATTAAAATCTGTAGATGAGTTTGGATAGTATGGATGTTTTAACAATACTAAATCTTCCAATCTATGAGAATTGAATGTTTCCCATTTATTTGTGTTTTATTTATTTTGGTAATATTTAATAGGTTTCAGTGTAAAAATCTTCACTTTGTCATTTAAGTTTATTCCTAAGTGTTTTATCTTTTTTATGATCTAGTGAGATTTTCTTAATTTCCTTTTGAAATGTTCATTGGTAGTGCATAGAAACACTTCTTAATTTTGAATGTTGATTTGTGTCCTGCAACTTTGCTAAATGTGTTTATTTTTTCTAAATTTTTTTTGGTAGAATCTTTACATATAAGATGATGTCATCTGTGAACAGAGATAATTTTATTTCTTTTCCAATCTGAATGCATTTTATTTCTTTTTCTTGTTTAATTTCTTTTCCTAGAACTTCCAGCAGTAGGTTGAATTAATATTAATGTTAGGAGTGGGCATCTTGTCAAATGTTTTTTCTGCATTAATTGAGATGATCATGTGGTTTTGTCCTTCATTTAGTGAATGTGATGTATTATGCTGATTTAATTTTGTATGTTAAACCATCCTTGTATTCCAGGTATATATTTTGCTGGATCATGATGTGATTTTTTAAAATATGCTGTTGAATTCAGTCTGCTAGTATTACATTTAGGAGTTTTGTATCAATATTCACCAGGAATATTTTTCTGTAGTTTTCTTTTTTTCTGTCTTTATGTTATTTTGGTATTAGGGTAATTCTGGCCACATTAAGTGAATTTTGGAGTTTCTTTCAAAAGTATTGGTGTTACTTATTCTTTAGGAGTTTGGTAAAATTCTCTAGTGAAGACATTGGTTACTGGTTTTATCTTTTTTGGAAGTATTTGATACTGCTTCAATGTCCTAATTATAGTTCTGTTCAGATTTTTAAAATTGAATCATAATTCAATTTTAGTAGGTTGTATGTTTCTAGGAATGTATTCATTTATTCTATGTTTTCCAGTTTGTTGGCTTATAATTGTTCATAGTCATCTCTTATAATTCTTTTTAATTTCTGAGACAGCCGTTGTAATGCCTGCTCTTTCAGTTCTAATTTTAGCTATTTAAGTCTCTCTCTCTTTTTTATTTTAGCTAAAGGTCTCTCAGTTTTGTTGATATATTCAAAAGACCAACTTGGGTTCATTAATTTTTTTCTGTTGTTTTTGTTTATTTTCTATTTTATTTTTTCTACTCTAATGTTTAATATTTTCTTCGTCTCTTAATTTCAGGTTTGTTTTTGTTTTCCTGGTTCCTTGATGGATACAGTTATGTTATTTATTTGAGATTTTTCTTTCCTTAATATCAATTTATAAACTTTCCCTTTAGTGCTGCTTCCACTGCATCACATAAGTTTTGGTTTCTTGTGTTTTCATTTTCATTTTTCCTCAGATATTTTATTAATTCTTGTTATTCCTCCTTTGACCCATTGGTTGTGTAAGAAAGAATTTTTTAATTTCACATATCTGTGGATTTTCTTGTTTTATTCCTGCTTTTAAATACTATTTTCATTGCACTGTAGGAGAAAAGATACTTAATATAATTACAACATTTTTAATTTGTTAAGATTTGTTGTGTGGGCCACGGTGGTCTATCTTGGAGAATGTTCCATTTCTGCTGGAGAAAAGATGTATTCTGTTGTTATTTGATAGAGAGTGCTCTATTTGTCTGTTAGGTTAATTGGTCTATCATGTTCAAGTCATTTGATTCCTATGATAGTCTCCCTGGTTGTTCTGTATATGAATGAATGCAGGATATTGAAGTATCATTATTATTATTATGTTACTGTCCATTTTTCCTTCAGTTGTATCTATGTTTGTTTCATATATCTCATTGCTTTAGTTTTAGGTGCAGATCTATTTATAATTGTTGGCTCTTCCTGGTGAATTGATAATTTTATGCCGCTATAATGTCCTTTGTCTCCTGAGACAGATTTTGTCATAAAATCTAGTTTTTCTGATATGATTATGGACATACCTGCTCTCTTTAGGTTCCTGTTTGCATCGGATACCTTTGTCTGTCTTGATACAGTCACTTGTGTTGGTCATAAAATTCCTCTTTGCCTCCACAAAGTTCTATTTTTCAGCTGGCTTCCTGAAAGTGCTACTCCTGCATGCACTGCCATTCCCCTCCCAGTTAGCCAGGGCTATTCACATGGAAATAAAGAAAATAGCTCACCATCATGGCCATCTGAGAACAGTGTCTAGCTTCCTATAAATCAGTTAATGAAATTAGTTTAAAAATAGCAACCTTAACTATACTCCTCTAGCAATCGAATGTTGTAACCAAGTTAGAAAATCATGCTTTAGTAGTGTACTGATGATAGTATTATAGGGCTGAGAAGTTTCAACTTGTATAGGGAAAAATGGGTATTTTTTTATGATAATGTTTTCGAGTAAAGAAGAAAAACTGTTTTAGTTCCATGTACCTATAAACATTATATAGTTCTTTGATTAACCAATTTTCATTTTTTCTTCTATTGTTTTTAGATGTTCTTGGCAGCCCTGTCATTCAGCTATATTGCTAAAGCACTAGGTGGAATCATTATGAAAATTTCCATCACTCAAATAGAAAGGAGATTTGACATATCCTCTTCTCTTGCTGGTTTAATTGATGGAAGCTTTGAAATTGGTAACTTTTATTTTTTCTATTTGATAACCATACTTGCATAAGTTGAAAAACAAACTGTTCATGCATGCTTTATATCACTGGGTCTGGACTAGGTGTAAATTTGTCTCTCATGGGCAATTTGGCAATATGTTAGGATATTTTTGTTGCTATAAATGGGCTGGGGCAGGGAGGATGCCACTGGTACCTAGGGGTAGAGGTCAGGTATGCTGCTAAACACTGTGCAATGCACCAGACAGACTTACCAACAAAGAATTATCCTTCCCAAAATGTCTATAGTGAGGATGTTGAAAAACTCTGGTCCTACACAAACTCATGGTTTGCAAATTAACTTTTTAGGAAACTTTATCTCCCTTGTCTCAAGGTGCCCCAGTGTGAAGAAAGGTTGAGGGAGGACGATAATTCTTATGGTTTTAGGTGGAAGGACTGCATAGGAGCAACCTACACTAGATTCTACTGTTTAACTGTGTACAACATTGGGGGTTTAAAGTCTTTTTTTTTTTTTGAACATTGAAGATACTGCTTTGATGTAATCATTTTAATTTGGATTTCTCCAACAATAGTGAGATTTTATATAATAATTGAAAATATTATATAATAATTGAAAATAATATATTTTCAATATAATAATTTTTCAAAGAAAAATTAAAATTTTTCTTATTTTACAAACTGCTAGCTTATAGCCTCTGCTAATTTTCCCTTTTTCTTTTCACTTTCTAATTATTTGGAGGGACCACCAAATTGTCTATTATATAGACTGCAAATATTTTCTACAATTCATGTTTCTATTCTAACTGTATTTACACAATGCTTAACTAATGACTAAAATGTAATTGTCAAAGGAAGATTTATCTCTTTATATAAATTCAGAATATTTGTGATTCAAAGATATGACACTCTACATGTCCTTCACTTGTTTACCTCCCAGGCTCAATGAAATCATCTAGAATTTTAGAATTGGAATGTTATTAGTTTTAACGTTTAATTCACTGTATGTCTATTTTTATTATGAAATTAATCCTTAACATTTTTGTTAAACTTTGCAGCTATTTAACAGCAATTATTTGAACATCATTATCAGTTTGGTTTCTTACCTCTATTTCTTGAATCCTATGACTGCAAATCTCATCTTTACTCTTTCTGGAGTATACCTTCATGTATAGATGACCCTCTGTATCCACAGGTTCCACACCCACGGATGCAAGTCACATTCAAAAAATATAAAACTTAAAAATGGCCATATATTAATAAAAATGATGCGAATAAAAACAACATAGAATAGCAACTATTTACATAGTATTTACATTGTATTAGAAGTATTAGAAGTTATCTAGAGATGATATAAAGCATACAGGAGGATGTTGATAGGTTTTATGAAATACTACATCTTTTGTTTGTTTGTTTTTGTTTTTCAAGGCAGAGTCTCCCTCTGTCGCCCATGCTCGTGCAGTGCCCTGATGTCATCTCACAGCAACCTCCACCTCCTGGGTTTAAGCAATTCTCCTGTCTCAGCCTCCCGAGTAGCTGGGATTAGAGGCGTGTGCCACCACATCCGGCTAATTTTCGTATTTTTAAGTGGAGACAGGTTTTCACCATTTGGCCAGGCTGATCTCAAACTCCTAGCCTCAAGTGATCTGCTAGCCTCAGCCTTTCAGAGTGCTGAGATTACAGACGTGACCCTCCACATCCAGGCAATACTACACCTTTTTACCTAAAGGACTTGAGCATCCACAAATCTTGGTGTCTACAGAGCATCTTAGAACCAATAACCAGTGGACACGAGGGATGACTGTAATTATTTTTTTTTAGGAAGAATTGAAAACGTGGCATATTTTCTAAGCCCTTGCCTGTTGGAATATTTATTTTAGTATCATATTTAATTGATAATTTGTCTGGGTATGGAATTAAAATTTCCAAATCCCTTTTTCTCAAAACATTAAAAATATTCATCTACTGTTTTATAACATTCAATGTTGTATATGAGAAATTATTACCACTGTAATTTTCATGCACTGATATGCATCTCTTTTTTATCTTTAAATATCCAAAAATTTACTAGCATGTATCCGAGACTCTATCTTTCTACGTTATTTCTGCTGGACAAACGTAGGAACTTTCATATGAAAGCTTACGTCTTCCTCTAACACAAAAACTTTATTTTCTGTTTCCTATTTGTTTCTTCCTGTATTTTATTCTTTCTTTTCTTCTGAAACATGTATGAGATAAATAATATATTTTCTGAATATTTTTCCTTTAAAATTTTTTCCTCTGAATTTCTACCTCTTTTCTTTATGTTTCATCAATTTTCTCTGATGTGTGATGTCATCTTTTATATCAAGTTCTAATTTGTAAATTTTTAATTATATTTTAAATTTATAACAACACTTTATTGTTGTCTTATTATTTTTAGTCTGCCAGTTCTGATTCTATGGCTGCAACATGCCATTTTACCTCTAAATATACTAACAGGATTTTTTTTAAAAAAAGTTTCTACTCTTTTTAGTTTAATATTGTTTAAGTATTTATTCTTGTGTTGCTTTATCTGCTGGTCCATTCTGGTGCTTTCTTTCGTGAAACTATTTTCCATCAGTGTTCAATAATTCTTGATTATTGTCTGTTCAATGTTATATATAAGGCTACAGATAAATCTGAATTGGTCTACTCTTATTGCTCTTCTTCCATGTTTTAATCTAAATAATTTATACTCAACATTACATCTCAAATAATGTATCCTCCAGGAAACTTTCACAAAGCCCCTAATTAATTTAAGCTCCCTATTTCCATAATCTAATAGCACATCTATCCATCTGTTTTATTTTATTACTAGTGTGTTTCTAGAGAACAAGTACCACGATTTTTTTTTATATTTCTGACTCTGAGCACTGTGGTAGGTACATAGTATAAATTTAAAGAATGCCTAGAATAAGTTTAAAATATGCATGAATGATTATCTTTCCCTCAGATTAGGAAGACATTTTCCATTCCAATGCAATCCAGTAAACTCCAAATTTTCAAAAAAAAACTTTGCTTCTCTCATATAGCCAAATTACCCAAGTGCTTTCTTTGCATATAAAACCTATTCTACTTATTAATACTATACAACTTTTCAATGAGTGGTTTAATGTAGGAGAGTTTACCTTCACAGTTAAATTACATGGTCTTTGAGGGAAGGTACAATGTCTTGGGCATATTTGCATTCATTTGGGGCATTCAGTTCTACTAGATACAAAATTACACTAAGTCATATCAACATAATTTTGTTTTTTTTCTAGGAAATTTGCTTGTGATTGTATTTGTAAGTTACTTTGGATCTAAACTACACAGACCGAAGTTAATTGGAATTGGTTGTCTCCTTATGGGAACTGGAAGTATTTTGACATCTTTACCACATTTCTTCATGGGATAGTAAGTGTTAAACAGCTCTGAGCCATTTATTATCAGCTACTTGTAAATTAGCAGTAGAATTTTATTTTTATACTTGTAAGTGGGCAGTTACCTTTTGAGAGGAATACCTATAGGTATGCATAGAGAAATGGAGTATATTTCCTATATAATAGTTCATGTATTGCTTTATTCATCATGTATTTCTTTATTTATCATGGCTTTTATAAACTTTTAAATAAGAATAATATTATATAAGGTATACAGTTTTATATGAAATGAATATCTTATTTACCAATTTTAGTATAACATATGTATTTTATGTTTTTGCCTGTAAGATTTTGATTATCCTCAGTAAGGCTTCACAACTTCACCTGCTGCTGTACAGGTTTTCCCATCAGCATTTCACTGAAGCTGCTCTTTCTAAGGTAACTGTGTAGTTATGATTAGAGTAAGAAGCTCATATGAGAAAACTGAAAATAGCAATAACTTAAATAAGATAGAAGTTTATTTTTTACATTTTTTCAAGTCCAAGGATGATATGATTCTACTTTTCATCATAGTGCTATGCCTTGCATGGCCTTGTCCTCTTGTTACAAATTGTGGCAATGTATTTCCAGGCAACAGGATAGAAGAAGAGAAGAACAAGAACAAAGAGTGCACACAGGCTGAGCTCCAGGAGCATTTTCAGAAGCAAAACACTTTCACTGATTTCACATTTACGGGAAGTCAGTTACGTTTTACACATAGATATGTAGATGTTGGAAAAATGTACTTTATTCCAGGCTTCCGTATTTCCAGCTAAAAAAACCAACTTCTGTTACTATGGAAGGAGAGAAGAAAGGATACTGAGAGACAACGAGCAGTTTGTTAGAGACACCAATTCCTTAATGCCAAATCCAGCAATCATGCCTGTTGGTCACCATATGAATTCTGTTTTTTTCCCCCTCTACATTTGGCCCTTATAAGAACTTTCTTCTTAATGGTACTGCTCTAATACTCATCATATTCCACAATCTTGATTCATTTTTCTATTTTTGTGGCTTCATCATGCCCATCTTTTTCCTTTGCTTCTGACACCATAATTTCTGTGTCCCATAATTCCCTCTAATCTTCTTAATATCTTATTCTTCATTATTTTTATGGAGAATATGCCTTAAATGCAACTACCCCAGCTTCATCTTCCATTGCTCCCCACATTTGAGGACCACATTCTAGGCTTACAGTTCTCTAATGTGCCATAATATGTCATATCTTTGCATCTGTTATTTCTACAGACTTGAATACTTTTCTTCCTTTGTCTACCAATTTGAATTCTACCCATCTTCAATATTCATTTAATCTGTCCTTCACATTGTGAAGTTTTCTTTGATCTACCCTCACCTCCAAGAAAAGCTGATCATTTCTTTTTTTTTTTTTTTTTTTTTGAGACGGAGTCTCGCTAGTCGCCCAGGCTGGAGTGCAGTGGCGCGATCTCGGCTCACTGCAAGCCCCGCCTCCCGGGTTCACACCATTCTCCTGCCTCAGCCTCCCGAGTAGCTGGGACTACAGGCGCCTGCCACCACGCCCGGCTAATTTTTTGTATTTTTAGTAGAGACGGGGTTTCACTGTGTTAGCCAGGGTGGTCTGGATCTCCTGACCTCGTGATCTGCCCGCCTCCACCTCCCAAAGTGCTGGGATTACAGGCGTGAGCCACCGCGCCCAGCCCCTGATCATTTCTTTTTTGTGGGTGTGTGACAACCCAGGACCTTGTATATTAAATTTACTATATCTTCGATCATACACATTTATCTTAGAGAGTGTGAAATTTCCAAAGTACAAACACTGTGTGTTTTATTTCTTGATCTTCATGTTTTATTTCTTGTTCTTTGAAGTTGAGCAAAATGCCTGGCACACTATATGTTGTCCTTAGAACTCACAGAGCGGTTAGTATTTTTGAGCATCAGCGTCTGTCCCTGATCCAGCTCCATCTCCGTTGTTCTTATTTTTTCCTCATAAAGTTTAAATGAATTAGAAATTTGTTTTTATTGAGTTTTGAAAAGTCAAGCACTTTGTGTGTGTGTGTGTGTGTGTGTGTGTGTGTGTGTGTACATGAAAGAAAATCAGACAGATTGACCATCTTTGATGGTAACTCAAAGGGATAAATAGACATAGTTAACAGATAAAAAAACAACAGGTGAAACCATGATATTTCATATCTTGACCAGATTATAAGCACTCTTAGGATAAAAGCAAGGTGATAACCCACTTTGTTCATGGTGTATTGAAGTATCTTTCTTAGTGGACACTCCCATTTCACCCCCTCTCATCACCTGTTCTGAAATACATGCTGGGAAGTTGACAAACAAGATTCTGGTAATTTGGAGAAGACAGCGGTTCAAATAAAGGAGAAAATTTCTCTGTATTTCTGGGAAAACTGAAAATATTCAGTAGATAAGCAAAATGTTCAATTTCATGTTGCTCTTACAGTTATAGGTATTCTAAAGAAACCCATATTAATCCATCAGAAAATTCAACATCAAGTTTATCAACCTGTTTAATTAATCAAACCTTATCATTCAATGGAACATCACCTGAGATAGTAGAAAAAGGTAAGAATTAATAGTGACAGTAAAACAAATTCTAGATTGATAGATTTAATCACGTCTATAAAGTTTCTGATATTCTTTAACAAAATTGATTTAAGAACAAATAGGAAGAACATTTATCCCTTACATACAGACAAAATCATACTGTTAATGTATGCAGTCGATTCTTAAACAACACAGGTTTGAACTGCACCTGTTCGCTTATATGCAGCTTTTGTCCAACCAAACAGAAGGAGAAACCCACCACCGATGTGGAGGTCTGACTTCTATAGGCGGTTTCCACAGGGCAAATGAGAGGACTTAAGTCTGTATAAATTTGTGTACATATGAGTTGTCCTAGAACAAACCTCCTAGTGTACAAATGGATTATTGTATACCAAGGGCATTTAGAAGTAGATAAGAAAAAAGAACAAATTTAGTAGGAAATTTGCAAAGAACATACACATTTAAAATAAAAAAGCAGAAAGTGGTAGAAATATGTGAATAATATAACTTTCTCTTTATAAAGATGCAAAATGTTATAGCATTTGAAGACTTTGTAACTATTATAAACACAATAATATAAGTATAATTTTAACCCCAAAATTTATTAAAAATAAATGAAGTGGAGGAAAAAAAATGATTTCAAGTTTTCTGTATTGCTGGGAGAGTATAAATTTCAAAGTCTTTCTGGAGATTAATTTTCAATACATATTAAAGAACAAAAATATACTTGCCTACTTTCTTGATTAATCTTAAGGAAATCATCAGTAATGTTCACAAGGACATTTCATAATCACAGCCATGACATCCATGTTTAACAGAATAAAAAAAAATATTTTGTAACGACAAAAGAAGAGATTGTTTAACCAAATTAGGAAACTATTATTCAACACACTACTATGCAGTAATTAAAATTTTAATATAGAAGAACTCTTGACAACATGGGGAAATTGTGACAATATAGTGATAATTGTATATGCACCTTAAAAATAACCTGGATTTTTAAATATGTAATGTACATAAGGAATATTATGCATATTTTGTGCACTAAAAATGCAGAAGATCTAGAATAACATTTGCAATGATCGTCTGTGTGTAGTGTAATTATAGAAAATTTTTACTTGTTTTCTTTGTGCCCTTCCTTATTTTCAAACTTTGTAAAGTGAATATGAATCACTTGTAATTAGGAAACAAACAAACAAAAAATGGAAAAATGAAGGATTTAAAGTAGTTAAATTTCTAATAGGAATGTTAAAATTAATGTTTAAAGTAAAACACTCTCTTGTCTCGATAGATTGTGTAAAGGAATCTGGGTCACACATGTGGATCTATGTCTTCATGGGGAATATGCTTCGTGGCATAGGGGAAACCCCCATAGTACCATTGGGGATTTCATACATTGATGATTTTGCAAAAGAAGGACATTCTTCCTTGTATTTAGGTAACGTACAGAATATATTAAATTTCATGATTACATTCCCTGGATCTACCCTTGAAATAATAATGTCATTATTTTTTTCTTTTACCTATTAGAAAAATATTTGCAGAAGTGTATTGTATAATATTACTTTTAAAAGCATGTTAAATGAAAACCAAGTATTTGTGACATCTGATTAAATTGTTTTGTAATACTTACAGGTAGTTTGAATGCAATAGGAATGATTGGTCCAGTCATTGGCTTTGCACTGGGATCTCTGTTTGCTAAAATGTACGTGGATATTGGATATGTAGATCTGAGTAAGTACAATTAGAACAAGGTACCATGATAGTGTCTTTTAAGTGCAGGACACCATTCTTCCAAAGAATTAAATTCAGTCTTTCAATAGTTCTTTGTTTACTATTTTTCAAGAGTTACAAGTAGGAAATAAATCCATTAATAATCAGAATAAAAAAGAAATTTAGCTCCTATTTATACTTTGCTTTTACAACTAAGTATAAAAAGAGATTTTTAACAAATTTATTTTAGATTACTTGATCCAAAATAACCAAACTTGAAATGTCCCTTTCCCAAAACTGACTGGCCCAGTCAAGTAAATTTTATTTTTCAGTTGATGGTGACTTGGATGTTGATGTGTAGAACTCAGATGTTGATGTTTGCTTTGCGAAAGCCTCCTTGTGGCTGCTGCATTGACTTACGGCAGGGGTGGGTTAAGAGAGGCCACAGTGCACTTTGGTTGTGGTCATTTTTCCTGGTTCTCACTGAGGGCTTGGCCTATGGGAACATTTAATGAGTGCTTATAGAACAAATGAATGAAGGAGAGGATGCATAAATAAAATTTACGACTTTTGTCTTTACTCTCAGAGCATGCTTTATTTCTCCTCTTGTAGAAGAATAAGAATCAATGTTGTAATATCTGCCTCGACTTCAGGCCCTCCTTCCTACAGATATACCTTCACCATATCCATATTTATCTTTTTTTAACCCATACTTATGAAAAAGTATTTATCTTTAGCTAATATTAGTAGATCCAACTGGGGTTTAGATTTCCTCTTTCTGCCTCTCCTCCATCTGCACCCTCTCTTTTCCTCAGCAAACACACTGAAGTCTCTCCCATCTATGTACACATACACATTTTTATATCCCCAAACAACTTTCCAATTGATTAACTGTTTCTCAATTTATCTTCAAAGCCAAGTACCTAGAAAAACATCATCTAACATAAGTATCTCACCTTCTCATCTCCCATTTACTTCTCATCCACTATAATCTGTTTTACCACTAATAAAACACAATCAGCTTCTATGTAATTTACTAATTGTAATGGATATTTTTCTATAATTTATTTTAATGGATATTTCTACTACTTGTTCCATTTTTTTCTTCTTAGATTTTTTTTTAAATAAGTACCTAAAACTCAACCTGTGAAAAGCTGGTCTCATCGTCTGATTTCCAAACCCACTTTGTTTCCTGTATTCCCTCTCTTGATGAATATCTGTACCTTAATTCAATGACTGACTGAATTACTATGCCCTGTAATCTCACACTTCCCTTTATTTAAAATTGGAAAAACTTTTCTCTCTTTTTTATTTTTATGGTTCTCAAAGTCTCTTTCAACATGTGACTTTTCTCATGTAACCCTTACTTCATCATTTCCATTGGTCTCAAATTCGGTGCTCCTATTAATCATCAAGAGCATGCCTTTATTGTAGCCCTTCTCACAACAATCTATAAATATTTGCATACTTACCCACCATCTCTTTGAGAACATGACAGAATCGTGTCTGTGTTAGCATATAATAACTCATCAGGGTTTGTGAATAAACAAATATGATTTTCTATCTCTTGAGGACTTAAATAGATCACTCCAAAGAGACCAAAGGATTCATTCCAAGATGGAATAGCCATTATTGTAGGCCAAGAAATCATAAAGTGTTTTCTATTATAAAACTAAAGCAAGTACCTGATGATATGTTTTATATCTTCCATGTTAGACATGTGGCTTAGTGTAGCTACACGTTATGTACATCATTTTTACTCATTTGCTCTACTTTAATCATTGCTTTTAACACTGAGTACAAAGTAAGTGTTGAAGGTCTTTAGGATAGTAGTTTTGTAGCCTCTCTATTCAGAAATAAGCACACCATTTTAGAATTCATGGTGATTCAACTTCTACCCCTGACTGTTCAGACCTTATCACATCTTCTCTTATTCTGTGAGAAGCATGAAGTGAACTTATGATAAAGTATACTTTGGTAAATTTTAATTCCTACAGGATCCAAAGACATAACATAAATGAGTAAAGAATATCAAGGGCAGGAAATTAGGGTATGATGGTTAGAATGGGGAGAGTTGTTGTTGGTGCACTACTCTCCCCATACACACTAAAACTCATGTGCTCCCCAGCTCTGGTCTATACTTTTCATACAGAATTTTGGCACCGGCATTAATAAGGCTTTCTGATTGGTTTTCCAGAGAATCCAGGAACCAAGATTTTAATGTAGAATTTTCCAATTTTTAAGATTGTGTGTGAGCCACGGGAAGCACTAGCAGGACATATCTAGCTTGGTTATGACCTTTAGTTCCTATATATAGACCAGTGAAAGAACCAAAAACAGTCATCAAAATTACATTTCTGACAGGTGATAAGTAAACACTTAGCATGTATAATGGAGTTACTGATTTAACTAGTCATTTCCTGAAGTCTGCCTGAGTTGTTGATTATGAAACAATATGATCACATAAATCAATTTTAAAACCAGATCAGTCCATACTAGCAAATAATATATTTCTAAATAGTTTTAAATCAATTCAATATTTTTTCATGTCAATGATTTTTCTTATAGATCAGAGTAATGGCATCAGTTAAGTTTGCTACAAACTTCTATGGTGTGTGTGTTTCCGTGTGTGTACGCTTTCTTAATCTTTATTATTTTTATTTTACTGAGATAAGAACAATTAAAATGGACTCTACCTCCCAAAAATACAATTGAACCTTGAACAGCACAGATTTGAACTGTGCAGGTCCACTTATACATAGTTTTTTTGATAAATGTATTGGAAACATTTTTCGAGATTTGTGACGACATGAAAAACCTTGCAGATAAACTAGGCAGCTTACAAATACAGAAAAAGTTAAGAGAAAATTAGTTATATTGTGAATACATAAAATATATGTAAATATTATTTTATAATTTACTACAATAAAATATGCACAAATCTATTATTAAAAGTTAAAATTTGTTAAACTTTACACAGAGAAACTCTTATAGACCTTACATGATGCCATTCCCAGTCACAGTATTAAATCATGACTGCATAAAATTAACTGTAGTGCCTACTTCACTGCTGTAAAAATTCTGTAATCATCTCCTGTTGTTATTGCAGTAAGCTCAAGTGTTGAGAGTATTTATTTAAAATGCCATGTGTCATTCATCATCTCCATATGAGTAGTTTTCATCACTCTCCAGTAAGTGATGAATCACAGTAAAAAGTGAACCCTTGTGTTTTCTGCGTATTTTTCATCCTGTTAAGTGCTGTAACATCAACCTTAAGTAACACTGTGTGAGCCGTATGAAGTACCACTAGTGATGCTGGAAGTGCTCCCAGAAGCAAAGAAAAGTCATGACATTATAAGAAAAAGTTGAATTGTTTAATATGTACTGTAGAATGAGCTCTGCAGCTGGCCACTGTTTCAATATAAATGCATCCAGTACAAGGACCATTGTAAAACAAAAACAAAAACCCACACACAGAAAAATGGATCAACATGAAGCCTCACTGCAGCTACAACATTGGGCACATAAACCTGTCCTTTTAGTGCAATAGCTTTTTATATCATATTGAAAATTCAACTTTTATGTAGATGCAAGATTGCTATCAGAAAGGCATAACTGTAGACTCGAAACATGATTCAAGAAAAAGTGAAGTCATTATATGAAAACTTAAAGCAAAAGGAAAGTGAATGATTTAAAGCTGGAGAACTTCATGCCACTAATGCATAATTTGAAAATTTTCTAAAGAGGTTTGCCTCAAAAAAGTGTCAGTATAACAGGAGAAGCAGCTCCTGCCACTTAGGAGTAACAGAAAAGTTCTAAATGGCATAAAGAAAGTCATTGAGGAGAAAGGACATCTACCTGAGCAGGTTTTTAATCCGATGAAAGTGCCCTATTCTGGAAAAAAAATACCACAAAGTACACTTATTAATGAGGAAGATAAGTGAGTACCAGTATTTAAGGCAGGAAGGGATAGGCTAACGCTGATGTTCTGTGCAAATGCAGTGGGGTTTATGATCGGAACTGTTCTTACCTATACAACTGCTAATCCCTAAGCCTTGAAGGGGAAATAGTAAAAAACAGTTGTTAGTCTTTTGGTTGTATGACAAGAAGGCCTGAACAATAACTTTTTTTCTGAAAAGTTATGACAGTTTCCTTCCATGCTTTGTTCCTGAAGACAGGAAGTACCTTGGCAGGAAGGGTTTACCTTTTAAAGTCCTTTTGATAATTGGCAATGCTCTTGGTCATCCAGAACCTCATGAGTTGAATACTGAAGGTGCTGAAGTGGTCTGCTTTACCCCAAACTCAATGTCTCTAATTCACCCTCTAGATGTGGGGTCCTAAGGACATTTAAGGCTCATTATACATGTTACCCTATAGAAAGGATTGTAAATACTGTGGAAGAGAACCCCAATAGAGAGAACATTATAAAAGTCTGAAAAGATTACACCGTTGAAGTCGCCATCATTGTTATGTAAAAAGCCACAAAAGCCTTCAAACAGGAAACAAATTTCTACTGGAGAAAACTGTCCAAATGTTGTGCATAGCTTCATGGAATTCATAACCATTCAAGAAAATTATGAAGAGATTGTGGATATGGCCAAAAAAAAAAAAGGTGTGGAGTGAAGAATTTCAAGACATGGATCTTGGAGACATTCAAGAGGTAACAGGCACAACAGAGGAATTAACAGAAGACAACTTGATGGAGATAAGTGCTTCTGAACTAATGTCAGATGATGAGGAAGAAGACATGGAAGAAGCAGCGACAGAAACAAATTGACATCAGACAGTCTGGCAGAAGTGTTCTGATTATTCAAGACTGTTTTGATGTATTTTACAACATGGAAGCTTCTGTAATGTGGGCACTGAAATGAAAGCAAACAGTGGAAGAAGGATTGGTATCATATAGAAACATTTTCAGAGAAATGATAAAGTAACAAAGTCAAATAGAAATTATGATGTATTTCTGTAAAGCCACACTGTGTGTACCTGTCTTTCCTGTAGAAATTATGATGTGTTTCTGTAAAGCCACACTGTGTGTACCTGCCTTTCCTGTCTTTCTTTTTACCTCCTCCACTGCCTCTGCCTCTACTACCCTAGAGAAAGCAAGAACAGTGCCTCCCCTTCCTCCTCCTCTACCTGTTCAATGTGAAGAGATGAGGATGATGAAAAGCGTTATGATGACCCACTTCCACTTAATGAATAGTAAACACATTTCCTTGTGATTTTCTAAATGTCATTTTCTCCTGCTTATTTTATAGAAAGAATACAGTTTATAATACATACAGCATGCAAAATATATGTTGACTGTTTATGCTATTGGTAAGAATTCTGGCCAACTATTAGTGCTAAAAAAGCACTTGATAAAATTCAACATCCCTTCATAATAAAAGCCCTCAAAAATCTGGGGATAGAAGGAACATACCTACCCAAATATATCTACAGATTCAAGTTAAGTTTTTGGGGAACCAAAAGTTACAGACAGATTGTCAACTGTTTGGGGGGTCAGCCACCCTAAATCCCATGTTATTCAAAGGTCAACTGTACAATACAGTATTATTAACTACAGGCACAATGTTGTACAGCGGATCTCTAGAGCTTACTCATCTTGTATAAATGAAACTTTTTATACCCATTGACTGGGAACTCCCTATTTCCCCTTTCCCACAACCACTGGAAATCACCATTCTACTTTCTGCTTTCATGAGTTTGACTCTTTTGTATGCCTCACATAAATGTAATCACTCAGTTGTAGGGACCAGCCCCACAGATTTGGTGGGTCTCTTACTGTGTGCGGAGATGAGAGAGTGTAGAAATAAAGACACAAGACAAAGAGATAAAAGAAAAGACCCCTGGGCCTGGGGGACCACTACCACCAATGCACAGAGACTGGTAGTGGCCCCGAATGTCTGGCTGTGCTGTTATTTATTGGATACAAAGCAAAAGGGGCAGGGTAAAGAGTGTGAGTCATCTCCAATGATAGGTAAGGTCACGTGGATCACATGTCCACTAGACAGGGGGCCCTTCCCTGCCTGGCAGCCGAGGCAGAGAAGAGAGAGGAGACAAAGAGAAAGACAACTTACACCATTATTTCTGCATATCAGAGACTTTTAGTACTTTCACTAATTTACTACTGCTATCTAGAAGGCAGAGCCAAGTGTACAGGATGGAACATGAAGGCGGACTAGGAACGTGACCACTGAAGCACAGCATCACAGGGAGATGGTTAGGCCTCTGGATAACTGCGGGCAAGCCTGACTAATATCACAAGAGGTGGAGGAGCAGAGTCTTTTCTAAACTCCCCCGGGGAAAGGGTGACTCCCTTTCCCGGTCTGCTAAGTAGCGGGTGTTGTTCCTTGACACTTCTTGCTACCGCTAGACTGTGGTCCGCCTGGCAATGGGCGTCTTCCCAGACACTGGCGTCACTGCTAGAACAAGGAGCCCTTCTGGTGGCCCTGTGTGGGCATAACAGAAGGCTCGCACTCTTGTCTTTTGGTCACTTCTCACTGTGTCCCCTCAGCTTCTGTCTCTGTATGGCCTGGCTTTTCCTAGGTTATGATTATAGAGTGAGGATTATTATAATATTGGAATAAAGAGTAATTGCTACAAACTAATGATTAATGATATTCATATATAATCATATCTAAGATCTATATCTGGTATAACTTCTTGTTTTATATTTTATTATACTGGAACAGCTCGTGTCCTTGGTCTCTTGCCTCGGCACCTGGGTGGCTTGCCGCTCACACTCAGTATTTGTTCTTCTGTGACTGGCTTATTTCACTTAGCACAATGTTGGCAAAGTTTAACCACGTTATCACATATTGCAGGATGTCCTTTCTGTTTAAGGGTGAATAGCATTTCATTATACGTATATATCACATTTTCTTTGTTTATTCATCTCTCTGTAGATATTAGGTTGTTTTCACATTTAGACTGCTGTGAAGAGTGCTGCAATGAACATACAAATGGAAATATCTCTGTGAGATCCTAATTTCGATTATTTTGGATATACACCTAGAAGTGAGATTGCTCCATCATATGGTAGTTCTATATTTAATTTTTTGAGGAAACTTCATACTATTTTTTTATACCAGGTGCACGATTTTGCATTCTACCAACAGTGTATAAGTGTTCAAATATCTCCACATCTATGCCAACACTTTTCTCATTCTTTATTTTTGATAATAGCCATCCTAATGGGTGTATGGTGATACGTAATTGTGCTTTTGATTTGCATTATTATGATAATAAGTGATGTTGGATATCTTTTCATATACCTGTTCATTTCGATACCTTCTTTGGAGAAATTTCTATTCAGGTCTTTCACCTATTTTTAAATCAGGCAATTATATTTTTTTGCTATGGAGTTGTAGGAATTTTTTGTACATTTTAGAAATTAACACCTTATCACATATATGCTTTATGAATATTTTCTCTTATTCCGTATGTTGCCTTTTCACTCTGTTGATTATTTCTTTTGCTGGGTAGAAGCTTTTTAGTTTGACCAGTTCCATTTGTCTAATTTTGCTTTTATTGCCTGTGCTTTTGGTGGTACATCCATGAAATTATTGTCAAGACAAATGTAATGAAATTCTTTCTCTAAGTTTTATTCTAAGAATTTTATAGTTTCTAGTTTTAAATTTTAGTCTTCAACATAGTCTGAGTTTATTTTTTCAGTATATATATGATAAGGATATAACATCATTTTCTTGTATGTGAATATCTGGTTTTCTCAACACCATTTATCAGAGAAACAATTATTTCACTATCGTGGTCCCTTGTCAAAGATCAGATGACTGTATACACACAGATTTCTCTGGGCTCTGTATTCCATTCTGTTGGTCTACATATCTATCTTTATGCCAGTACTGTAATGTATTAATTACTTTAGCTTTGACATATATTTGTAATCAGGAAGTGTGAACCATCACCTTTGTTCTTTCTCAAGGTTGCTTTGGCTATTTGAGGTCATTTGTTGGTTTCATATGAATTTGAATCTGTGGATATATTTGAGTAGGTATGTTCCTTCTATTCCCAGATTTTTGAGGGCTTTTATTATGAAGGGATGTTGAATTTTATCAAGTGCTTTTTTAGCATCAATTGAAATGATCATATGATTTTTACCTTTCATTCTGTTTATATAATGTATCAGATTTATTGATTTGCATATGTTGAACTAACTTTGGATCCCAGGATAAATCCCACTTGGTCATGATGAAGGATCATTCTAATGTATTGTTGAATTTGGTTTGTCACTATTTTGTTGAGGATATTTGCATCAATATTCATCAGAGAAATTGGCCTGTAGTTTTTTTGATGTGTGTTTGTTTGATTTTGGTATCAGGGTAATATTGGCCTCACAGAAGGAGTTTGGAAATATTCCCTGCTCCTCCATTTTTTGGAATGGTTTGAATAGTATTGGCATTAATTATTTCAGTCTCTTTGTTAAATTATCTGATAGTTTCTGAATTCCTTCTCTGTGTTATCTTGAATTTCTCTGAGTTTCTTCAGAATAGCTATGTTGAATTCTCTGTTTGAAAGATTACATATGTCTGTTTCACCAGGATTGTTCCCTGGTGCCTTATTTAATTTGTTTGGTGAGGTCATGTTTTCCTGGCTCATCTTAGTGCTTATGTTATTCATCAGTGTCTGGGCATTGATGACTTAGGTATTTATTCTAGTCTTTGTTGTCTGGGTTTGTTTTTGCCTATCCTTCTTTACTAGGCTTTTTAGGTATATGAAGGGACTTTGGCCACAACCTCAATAATACTGTGGTTTTTACAGTCTTAGAGAGGTACTGCCTTGGTGGCCTTGGAAAGTATATGGAAGAATTCTCTGGATTATTAGGCAGAGACTCTTGTTCTCTTCCCCTGCTTTCTCCAAAGCAAATGTAGTCTTGCTCTTTCTGTGCTGAGCTGCCAGAAACTGGGGGTTCACTGATGCAAGCAAGCATCCTTGTGGCCCCCCAACCACTGAGACTGTCCTGGGTAAGACCTGAAGCCAGCACAGCACTGGGTCTTGCCCAAGGCCCTCTTTAACTACTGTCGGGCTACCATCTATGTTAACTCAAGATCAAGGGCTCTACAATCAGTAGTTGGCCAAGCCAGCCAGGTTTGTATCCTTCCCTTCAATGCAGTGAGTTCCTCTAGGCCTCAGGCTGGCCTACAGATGCTGTCTGAGAGCCAAGGATTGGAGCAAAAAACCCTTGCAATTTACCTGTAATAGATATCTGTTTTACTATGGCTACGCTGGCACCCAAACCACAGCACAAAGTTCTTCTTGCTCTTCTCTCCCCTTGCCACAGGCAGAGGAGCCTCTCCCTGTGTCCACCACCACCACAGGCCCAAGGAAGATTCTGCCAGGCCACCACCCATGTTCAATTAAAGCTCTAGGGCTCTTCAGTCAGTTTATTATGAATGCTGCCAGGTCTCAGAGACTCATCCTTCAGGGCAGTGGGTCTCTTAGTCCAGGACTAGGCTATTGGACAGCATTTCTAGACTTGCCTCTGGCCCAGGGCAGGTCTAGAAATGCTTTCCAAGAGCTTAGTCCTGGACTCAGGGACCCCAAAAGCCTTCTTGTTGCTCTGTTCTACTGTAGCTGAGCTGCTACCTAAGGTGCAAGACAAAGTCGCCTTTATTTTTCCACCACTTCTCTTAAACAGAAGGAGTCTTTCACCGCAACCACCATGGCTGGGATTGTGCTTGGTCACACCTGAAGTCAGCAAATCTCAGAGCCCAAGGCCCTGAGTGCATTACTTTGCATTACTTTGGTACCACTGCTGGTTATTTAGGGCCTGAGGGCTCTTTAGTCAACTGATGATAAATGCTGCCAGGAGTGGGTCCTTCCCTTCAAGGCAGTGGATTCCTTTTTGGCCCAGGATGTGCCTAGAAATGTTGTCCATGAGTTAGGGCCTCAAAACTCTGCCTGGTGCCCTATTTTACTGTGGCTGAGCTGGTATTAGAAAAAATATTTTGCAATCTATGCCTTAGAAAAAAAGAATCACCTCTCCAACTCTTCATGGACTGGCCTTATTGTAGGAGAAAACCTTCATCAATCAGCCCAGCCATATCTTCTTGGGCCTCTCAAATTTTCATGGTCATCCAAACATCTATCTTTGTCTTAGGATCCCCCAGGCATCTAGAGTATGCAGGGTCTTATCAGCACCTTTACACATTTGAGACAGAAGACAGTCCTTAGTCAACTCTTAGGAAAGTTTGAATATTTGGCATGCTGTCCAACCCTTTCCCTTCCCATGGAGAATTTGGAAGCTGAGATTTCTTACCTCATCACTCTGCTTAAATCTAGGGGCAGGAAGAACTTGGCAAGTGCCCATGTGCTAGTTTAAATCATCATTTTTGTGTTCTTTGTAGCACCCAGGGGCCAAGTGTATGCCTAACCTAAAGACAAGGAAGACAAAATACCTTTCCTTGATAGAACTCAGAAAAGATGAAATGTTATATATGTGGTCCAAATCTTTGTTTCCCCATGGAGGAGCTAAGAGCTGAGATGTTGTTGTTGTTTTTGTTTTTGTTTGTTTTTGCCTGCTCACTCTGCACTAACCTAGGGGGCAGGATCTGTGATAAATGTCCACATACTGGCTCATCTTTATTCTCTGTAGTTCCCAGGTGTCTGGCATATGCTGGGTCCTCTCAGTACTTCGAGACAGATGAGATAGAAGCTAATCTATTGGGTAGCACTTGGAAAGGTTGAAATGTTGAATGTGCAGTCCAGCCCTTTCTCTCCCCAAGGATAAGCTGGGAGCATTTTTTAAAAATTTTATTTTACTTTAAGTTCCAGGATACATGTGCAGAATGTACAGGTTTGTTACATAGGTAAACATGTGCAATGGTGGTTTGCTGCACCTATCAACCCATCACCTAGGTATTAAGTCCCACATGCATTAGCTATTTGTCCTGATGCTCTCCCTCCTTCTGCCCCCATGACAGGCCCCAGTGTGTATTGTTCCCCTCTTTGTGTTTATGTCTTCTCAGTGTTCAGCTCCTTCTTGTGAGAACATGCAGTGTTTGATTTTCTGTTTCTGTGTTAGTTTGCTGAAGATAATGGCTTTCAGCTTCATACATGTCCCTGCAAAGGACATTATCTCCTTCCTTTTTATGGCTGCATAGTATTCCATGGTGTATATGTACCACATTTGCCTTATACAGTCTATCATTGATGGGTATTTGGGTTGGTTCCATGATTTTGCTATTGTAAATAATGCTGCAATAAACATACATGTGCATGTATCTTTATAATATAATGATTTATATTCCTTTGGGTATATACCCAGTAAAGGGATTGCTGGATCAAATGGCATTTCTGGTTCTAGATCCTTGAGGAATTGCCACATTTTTTGTTTTTTTCTTTTTCTCTCACACATTCGCTCTGTGTTAAGCCAGAGGGAAGAGCTGTGTCAAGTGTTCACATGCCAGTTTAAACTGCTAGTTTTTCCCAATTGTATGGTATAATACTGAGGAGGAGAATGGCAAGAGGATGTCTCCAATTATCTTACTGGTTTTTATGTATCTGGTTTTGTACTTTCCTGATGTATAGCAATCTCTCAGTTAGCTTCTGTATTTCTCACAAATGAAATTGATCTGAATATTACTGTTGAATCAGTATGTTCATGGAGAAAAAGGTATCTGTCCTTCTTATTCTGGTATCTTGCTGATATCTCATGGATGCATTCCTGTTACTTAAACTGTATATTTTCTACCTACTAAAATAACTCATTGACATTTGAGATATAGCATTTACACATTACTCTTATACATACTTTAAGGGAAATATAGTTGAAATAAAATGGTTAAATGATTTCTAACATTTAGAGTCCAATATTTCTGGGTTACTCTTAAACTCAGATTTTCATTTTGCATAGTTTTTCATCCTCTGTGCTGTCTGGAGAGTTGCAAATGCAGGTTCCTGGGTAGTTAGGGTGCTGTGGATGGAAGCTCCTTTATTGTCTCTAAGTATTTTTTGCCAGCTGCTTAAATTTTATTTCTGAGGCTTTCTTGACCTCATTAGATGATTCCAACATTTTCAGACAACAGTGAGGATTCATATTTCTTCCATGAACAGTTATTAAATGGTCTGAGGAGTTAAATGTCCAATGATGACAGCTGTCCAGTCATGAAATCTGAAAAGCCACCAAGTGCACACAAGATCAGGCAATGCGAACAGTGTCATGACTGACTCCTGGACAATAGCAATTGCAAGATGTCATCAACCTAGTTTCAGAGATAACAAAATATGAAAAGAAGAAAATAGTGTTTTAGAATTGAAAGTAAACATTTGGTTTACTTTCTTCATCTATGGAGGACTGCAATCATTATCATTATTTCCCAGAACCTACTGTATTTCAAAACGATTTTTGACTGGCTTCTTTTAACTGTTTCTCCTAGGCACTATCAGAATAACTCCTAAGGACTCTCGTTGGGTTGGAGCTTGGTGGCTTGGTTTCCTTGTGTCTGGACTATTTTCCATTATTTCTTCCATACCATTTTTTTTCTTGCCGAAAAATCCAAATAAACCACAAAAAGAAAGAAAAATTTCACTATCATTGCATGTGCTGAAAACAAATGATGATAGAAATCAAACAGCTAATTTGACCAACCAAGGAAAAAATGTTACCAAAAATGTGACTGGTAGGTATTTGACATTCATTGTCAACTTGGAATTGTTAATCTCAATGAAACGGAGAAGTGAGTAAAAAAAAATAAAGCATACTCAAATCATCTAGAGTCAGCTTTCTTCTCTGCTAAATTTAGCTGAATTATTTTTTCTAAAACTCCTATTAAAATTAACAAATATGTCTTGAGTACATAAAAAGGGGAAGAGGATTAGGTTTCTGCTCTTTAGAAGAGAGAAACCAATCAAAGGCTACAAACATCTGTTGCTTATAAGCCAGAGTATATATTCATTTTAATATAATATAGTATAAACTGTGAGGGTTTAAAGGATTATAATTTTTCATTCATTTATTTATTTAACAAATGATACCAGCCATCATACTATTCTCTGGTAATAGAACATTGCCTTTATTTTTTGAGAACCTGGTGGATGATATTAAGACGTATATAGATCACTGTAATAAAGTATCTTAAGTACTATGGTAGGTTATATTTAACTATTCTCAGGTGTAGAGATGAAATAAGGAGAAGGAATTCAGGAGAGGAGTCTGTCTAGGTAATTAGAGTAAGATTATTTTTCTTGGTAATTAAAATTATATCTTATTAAATTAATTTTTATATATGAATTAAAATTATATATATACATATATAATCTTACCTAAGTATTCAAAAATGAAGTGAAAAGCAACATCAGTAATTAAGATATTTGGAGTAAATAATGTGAATTAGGATTCCTTACCACTTGATAGTGGTGCCTCTGTCCAATATAAGCCAAATGGGCTAATGGAGTACCATTGAGAAGCAATAATCAAGAGAATGATCTGGCAGCTGTCAGAGCAAGATATATCAAATGGTAAGGTATTGACAGCAGTTTTCAGATTAGGGAGAAATGGTGAAGTAGTAAAACCTGAAGCAGTGCAACCAACACTTAAACCCTTGGCACTTTTTAAAGTTTTCATTGAAGTAAACTTACAAACTTTCCAAAGTAACCCATGTTCTTTCTCTCATCAGTTCCTTCACTTACCTTTTTTTTTGTTGTTGTTATTTTCTCCTCTCCACCACACTAACCCAAGAGCAATGGGATGGATGCTGGAGCCTTGTGTATTCACTCATGAGAGTGGATTGCTCAATTTCAGCTGCGTTGGTAGCTTGAAATTGTCCATGGTAGGAGAATTTACCGTCATGTATTACCATGGAAATTGAAAAATATCACAAATCGAGTTTGTTTCCCAGTGAATCTGTTGTTAAACATTTACCAGCACATCATTGATAAGTTTTTGTAGTTTAACATGCATACTAAAAACAGCGTATCAAGGATTTTTTATTTTGTCTATGCTATGTTTCTACTTTAATCAAATCCATAACAATTGATGAATTTTTTTTTTTGAGACAGAGTCTCGCTCTGTCACCCAGGCTGGAGTGCAGTGGTGCAATCTTGACTCACTGCAACCTCCACCTCCCAGGTTCAAGCAATTCTCCTGCCTCAGCCTCCCGAGTAGCTGGGACTACAGGCACACACTGCCATACCCGGCTAATTTTTTGTATTTTTGTAGAGACGGGGTTTCACCGTGTTGGCCAGGCTGGTCTGGAACTCCTGAGCTGAGACAATCCACCTGCCTTGGCCTCCCAAAGTGCTGGGATTACAGGCGTGAGCCACCATGCCCAGCCAATTAATGGATTTTCTAAACCTATAAGGACCAGGGTTGACTGTGAGCCCAAAAAGAATAAAGAAGATAATAAGGTGCAAAAAAAGGGGCAACTGTAAACATTTTCTATATTATGAACTGTTTTTTTAAGGGTAGTGATGTGAATAGTAAAGCGAATTTTAATTAGGTGCTCATTAGGAATGGTTAAAATACTAAGTACCTATAGTCAGAAAAAAAATTAGATTTATTCCATATATTCTTGAGTAGAACTAAGACTAATTGATTAGAAAGCAAAGAAAATTCCAGTTCATTACAAAGACAACATGTAAACAATGAGAACTGTTCAAAAGTTGAGCAAATTGCTCTCAGGTAGCATAATGTCACTTGAATTGTTTATTGATCCATTTTTTAATGGATCAACATTGTAGTGAGTTATGATTGTATAGAAGTTCAGTTTAGATGACATCTGAGTTCCTATTTACCTCAAAAATTTAACAATTTGGTTAATTCACATGTTCCATTTATTTTGAGCAAAGGTCGCGACTCTCTTAGAAAGCCTCACAAATCATTTGTAACTTTAAGTCTTATATAACTTATATTTACAAAATTCAGATATTAATATATATTTTATTATTGAAATATGTTATTTTTATAACTCTATAGGTTTTTTCCAGTCTTTGAAAAGCATCCTTACCAATCCCCTGTATGTTATATTTCTGCTTTTGACATTGTTACAAGTAAGCAGCTTTATTGGTTCTTTTACTTACGTCTTTAAATATATGGAGCAACAGTACGGTCAGTCTGCATCTCATGCTAACTTTTTGTTGGGTAAGACATATTTTTTACCTGTTTGCTTGATAAATGAAACACTGCTGAGTACTTGTGTTCCAAGTCACATTTTATTATGAAGGTGATTTTATATTTTACTAAATGTAATCTTATTATGTCTCAAACTTTACAAAATTTCTCCATCTTGTAATATCATCGTTGTTCTGCATTTGAAGTTGCATCTCATGTTAGGTGAATTTAATTCCATAGGTGAAATTCACCTAATTCTATAGGTGAAATTCTAAAGAAAAAAAATTGCTTGTGAATAAAACATTTAGACGTAGTATCTGCATAATTGGATCTTATAATATAGTACTGAGATCCTGAGACAAACCCTTTTATAATATAACCATTATAATTCTATAATTCATGGACTGAAATAAGGCCTCAGCTACTTACAAAAGACATAATATTAATCTTTTCAGAAGGAGAATCAATTTAAATACATTACAAAATATGCATGATTCAAAACAAATGTCATATTTTAGAGAGGTTTATTTTGCTACAATGCCTATTTTCAAAGTCATATTGAGACCTTCTCATTAAGGAAAGGTTATCTTATATCCCTTTTCCCACAACTCCAGTATTGTAGAAACCTTGTAGAAATTTGATAAGTATTTGATGAGTTAAACAGTGTATCAAATGGTATGTATCTAGGTCATATGTACATAGGAAAGTAATAATTAGAAAATGAATGTACTGAAGCATTGGAACAGGCTTCTGGATGATCTCCCTGTTGAACTGACAGATTTAAACTTAAAAGATTCAGTTTTGACTCCCAATAACCTGGCTTGAATTTTTTGTTAGAGGAATCTTCACCTTTAATAACACTTACGGGACTGTGAAATGGAAAAAATGTAACAGGGATCAGTCATTTTTAATCCTGTATGTAGACATTTTTATCATATCATGGTAGATATGTCTTTTATGAATAATAAAGAGATATTAATTCAAGAATTTAATTCTAAAGCCTGGGCAAAATTGGAGTGAGTTATTGAGGATTGAAACATTTTGAGAAATGTATAAAGGATTTTTTAGATGGTAGGATAGAAATCTCAGAGAAAGAAAGATTTTGTTTTTGTTGTTGATTGCCAGAAAAAAAGAAAGCTCCTCATAGAAATAACCTTTTTAGACACGTAAATATTCTTAGCCACTGCCTTTTTCTTGTGAGGAAGCCAAGCCCTCATAATTGGCCAAAATAAATTATTTTTGTCTCTCATGTGGGTATACTTGTCCCTTACCTCCACCCTAGTGTGCCACCCTTCTCTCTTTTTTTTTTTTTTTTTTTTTGAGATGGAGTCTCGCTCTGTTGCCCAGGCTGGGGTGCAGTGGCGCGATCTCGGCTCACTGCAAGCTCCGCCTCCCAGGTTCTCCACCCTTCTCTTAAAGAAATAAGAATGGGTGAATTTGGTTGATATACACTGTGTTTTATATATAAAGACATATCAGAAAAACCATATTTGTATAATTATAGCTTTTTTCTCTTCTTTTATTTCTAGGAATCATAACCATTCCTACGGTTGCAACTGGAATGTTTTTAGGAGGATTTATCATTAAAAAATTCAAATTGTCTTTAGTTGGAATTGCCAAATTTTCATTTCTTACTTCGATGATATCCTTCTTGTTTCAACTTCTATATTTCCCTCTAATCTGCGAAAGCAAATCAGTTGCCGGCCTAACCTTGACCTATGATGGGTTTGTATATATTGCTATATAAATTGTGTAATATGTTAACCATCAAATTAAAAGATTATGTGCAAGTAAAATAAGGTAGAAAACAATTGTAATTAAACTTTATTTTAATTGAGAGAAATTTCAATTTTCAAATTCTTAAAATGTCCATTTCCTAAGACAATAAAAATTTGTTTTATTCCTTCCTTAAGGAAAAGCAACATCGGTTGAAATAATAATACCTATGATTTCTGGGTAATTAAAATGAGTGGTAGACACTTTTACCCCAATTTTATAGATGGGAAAGTGAGATTTAGAGAAACACACACATTATATGGCTAGCAATGTTAAGATTAAGACACAAATTTGAGCTATTAGAGGTATCAGATGTCATTAAATAAAATTATTCATAATGTATTTTCTAAATTATCAATCTCCTTATTTTTCTTAATTTAAATTCTATACTCATTTGAAGATATTTTATAAATCCTTAATAATTATCATATCTTTACAAAACAAATAAAATCTTTAAGCTTAAACATTATACAAATAACATTTTATAATTTTAGTCATAATATAAAATTATATCTTATGATTTATAATTATATTATAAAGTAAATCAGTATAAACAGTATTATAGTTTTATTCAGAAAATATGCAGAGATTTTTTATCCTTTTTCAACTAATTCTATTATTCTTGATTTTTTATTCCTCAGAGGTTTGGTTTTAACTACATTGAAATCTTTTTTTTTATGTAGTTAAAATATAGATTGTAAAATTCAACAATGTTAACTAACATGCATAGATTCAGAGGATTTTAAAGTGAGCTTAGAGGAACCTCAATCTAATGCCATTACCTCCCTGAAGAGAAACTGAATCTCAGAAAAATGAAGTTACTTATATAATGTAAAGTTTCATTGATAGAATGATAAAGACCTCTTGTCTAAGTCTTATCTAACCTCTTTTATTTCTTTTTTAATTTTTACTTTTTCTAGGTCATAAGTCATGTCTTGGTAAAGAAGGAGAGTTAAAAGTCAATAAGCATTACAAAAATTGCCATTTTGACATCAGCAAATCAAATTTCTCTATCTAATTAAAGGAAAACCCTTTCTCTTATTTCTCTTCTCTTTTCCTCTTCTCTTCCTCCTCCTCTATTTCCCCTCTCCTTATCCCCTTGTCTCCCTCTTCTGCTCTTTCTCTACTTCCTCTTTCTCTTTTTTTGATATATTTCTATCATATATTTTCAGAAATAATTCAGTGGCATCTCATGTAGATGTACCACTTTCTTATTGCAACTCAGAGTGCAATTGTGATGAAAGTCAGTGGGAACCAGTCTGTGGGAACAATGGAATAACTTACCTGTCACCTTGTCTAGCAGGATGCAAATCCTCAAGTGGTATTAAAAAGCATACAGTGAGTATTAGTTTTCACTTTTTCTCCTCTCCTTAATCAAAATCACAGATTTGATTTAATAAATACTTATCAAATCTTCCTATAACTAAGGTCTCCAATAAAAAGATAAAACAAAAAGATTCCAGTATTATCTGTCCTCGTGATAGCTGTGAAGTGTAAACAAAGCTTCATATAAAACTCTGCTTAGGACACAATCAGACTTCTCTGTTACTTGAATTCTAATTAGAGATTACCCACTTTTTTTCTTGAGATTTTAAGAATATGACCTGTTAGAATTTGAATGCATTTAGGGTCTCTAAGAAGCATCTCATTTGACTAAAGCACATGATTTTTATTATTTGGAATTACTTTACCCTTTGGAAGTTAGGGGAAAGTTCAGAGTTAGCCTGTTGTCAGCACTACCTGCTTTACGAGAACAATAATCTATTTGCATTTTAATATATACATACTGATAAGTGTAGCTAGGGACTCACTGTGGCCTTGGACTTTCCAAGAAATGAGTCAAGTCTTCATGTTCACTTGAATTCCCTATTCTTGATTTCCTATTTTGATGTTCCCAAAGCTGGCACTTCTTTTACTCAGTATAATTTAGTATCCTACTCACTGATTGCCAACATATCCATTGGAAATTCCATTTCTTTCTTAACTCAAAGGCTTTTTTTTTTCCATGTGACACATATCCTGTTTTTCCCAATATCCTGGGTAACTCCCAATGATTGGAAATTAGGTATGCTGTTCCCCATACCTACAATCAATTCAACATCTCACAAGTTGCATAACTATTTTTCAGGCCCTTTCCCTATTACCAACATTAGCAATATAGTCAGCTGCGATTATGACTCTCTACCACACTCTTCCATGCTTCAATTCTAAACATTTTCTATCTTTCCCTTGCCCAATATCCTACCAACGTATTATTAAACGGCATGGAGAAATTTGAAGAATAAAGCCTCCTAGTTTCCTTGAAGATAGGCTACAACTTTAGTAAACTTGCACATTTGTGGCCCAAAGACTATACTTAAAAGCCCACATCTCATATTCATCAGCTATAGTATCTTTCAGTAAGAGTACCCCATTTAATCCCTGGTCCTGTGTTGTCCAGTAGTGAAGACCTGAAAGAGAGGTGATATTAGTATCCTAAAGAGAGCTCTGTCTTCATGGAGACATCATCTTAATATTGGCAATGGCTATGCTATGTGGGGGCTACTGCAAAGTTCCTTTACTAAATCCTCAGTAAAATTGTTAAAATAATGCTCTCTGTATCAAAGTTGGGTTTCATTGGCCAATGTGCTTGCTCCATAAAAGATTCCTCCATGTTATTCCTATTGAAAAAAAATAAAAGGAAAAAAGGAATCTTTCTTGAACCATACGAGTATGGATTTAAATTCTTTTTTTTGTTTTGAGATGGAGTCTCACCCTGTCACCCAGGCTGGAGTGCAATGGCATGGTCTCGGCTCACTGCAGCCTCCACCTCCTGGGTTCAAGCAATTCTCCTGCCTCAGCCTCTCAAGTAGCTGGGATTACAGGTTCTCACCACCACACCCGGCTAATTTTTTTTTATCTTTAGTAGAGACGGGGTTTCACCATGTTGACCAGGCTGGTCGCAAACTCGTGACCTCATGATACGCCTGCCTCATCCTCCCAAAGTGCTGGGATTACAGGTGTGAGTGACCACGCCTGGCCAATTCTTTTACAAGTTCTCCTTCAGTAAATAGTCTTCAGCAGTAGTAGGTTCAAGATGAACTTAAATCTTTAGCCTAGAATCAGAGCAGAATTTATTAAAGCCACCTAACCACATACACTGCCTGCCTGATCTCTAAAATTACTTGTTCCTAATATTCCTCTTCTATATTCTAACCATTAGCCAGCACATTCTTTTGTGTTAAACCTTTCTGGTAATAATATACTATATCTTGTCACCTGTCATTATGGTCTTGAATGTTGCTTTTGCCTGCTTAAATAGAATTCTGGCACCACTGCCTGGCTCTATTTCCTCTGCACTCTGTCCCATTTTCATGAGTGGCTAAGTTTTGTCCCGTTTCAAACTATATTTTCTGGATTCTTTTGGTAGTTCTTTCCCAGAGTAAGTCCCTAATACTTAGAACCTGCCAAAGAGAGTAAGAATGTGTATTTTGGAAAGAAAATGTAGGTGGAAGAGAAATATTTTAAATAATGTATATTAATGAAAAAATTATATACAGAATTTCATACACTAATTTCTTAAATTCCTAAATTCAGGGAGCTATTTTGCCTTCACTATTAAGCAACTATATTTTTATAACATTTTTTAAACTGTAAATATTTTAGTTTGAGACTTCTTTAAATATAATGGAATGTATTCATAGCCCTGTTGTATTTGGCAAATGTATTTGTTAATATTTCAAAAACTATTTTTAGGTGTTTTATAACTGTAGTTGTGTGGAAGTAACTGGTCTCCAGAACAGAAATTACTCAGCACACTTGGGTGAATGCCCAAGAGATAATACTTGTACAAGGAAATTTTTCATCTATGTTGCAATTCAAGTCATAAACTCTTTGTTCTCTGCAACAGGAGGTACCACATTTATCTTGTTGACTGTGAAGTAAGTATGATCCTGTAAAACATTGTCATGTATATTAGACTAAAACACACCTAATGATAGGCATATTTTTCTGTATTTTGAGCTCAAATTCATATTTTGTCAATTTTTAATTCTTTGAGAATGCATTTTCTTAGAATTATTTTGATATTTCAATAACATCATTAATAATTTTTGTCTCTAATACTTCCATTGTCAAATCTAGGCTCTATACTTTCTTCTCTTTAATAAAAATCTTAAGGCACACACTGATTGACAGTTGCCTTGATTGTAGGAGAATCTTTGTGTGATTGTAAAAGAACTTTTAATTTTGAGTTGCGTTGCATCCTAATGAGCCAGTTAAGAGTAAATCATCTGTTGATTTCATTGAAAGAAAACATTTAGCAACCAGGTATAAATACAAACTTCAATTTGTAATGAAATTCTAATGCTTTCAATTCACCCACAGCATGGCTTTTGACCTGGTATTTCATGATACCCTTGTAGGGCATAAGAAAAATATGTGTAAATAATTCATTCCTTTTTTCACTTATTAGACAGTTATTTAGACAGGATATGATGTTCGATGAAGAATATTTCCTAGTAAGTAAAACCAATAAGGTACTTGTTTTCTCACAGCTTAGAAAATGACAAGACTGATGTGAGACAAATAAGTATAAAAATAAACACATAATTACAAATTGCTGTTTGTCTTAATAAGGAAAAAGACTGCCAATTAAAGGAATAAAAAGAGAAACTAAATTTAGGATTAAAGTAAGGGGATGTGAGGGGAAAGACTCCCAGAGTACATCTCAAAAGAAGTGACATTATATCTAAAGATGTAAAGAAAAAGCCAAATGAAGGGCTTTCAGGGAGAGGGTCTAGGTGCTGTTTCCTTAAGACAGGAAAGAGCTAGAATTTTTGAGGAATGAAAAGAAGCCAGTTTATTGGAACACACTGAGTGAGAGGGGTATGGCAGATGATGTTTGGAGAGTTGAGGGGAAGCAGATAATGTGTGCCCTACTGGCCAAAATAAGCACACAATCACCTAAAACGGGAAACATGTAAAGACATGCATGTAGATCTTAAAAATATACATGATAAGTAGAGTGACCTGGGGTAACACCTAATTGTACTTTTAAAACCTACTAGTTGATCGGAAGTTCATGGCCAGCCAACAGCATGACATGGTAGAAAAAAAAAAAGCAACCAACAATGTGTTTTAACTTTTGTTAATATGAATATAAACCTGTAAACTAAGTCAGTTTACAGTTGTTAAATTTTCACCCTGCCTGCAAATTTTCTTAAATTCATACCATAAATATTCCACAAGTATAGCTTCATCTTAATATAAAATGTCAATTCAGAAGGAGAAGCCTTCTGTATTTCCAAATTACAGATTCATTAACTTATAAAAATTCACTTCATAATTTCATACTAGTTTGCCTCTCAACATGTTTTAGCTTCTTAATTGAAACCTTTTCATGAGAAAAGGAGAGTTTTAAAAACATTGTTCCATCCTTGATGATAGTTATATTTTATCTGAATAAAAAGTGATTAAATCAACATTACCACTTATCAGAGCATTTATTAATTTCTCACCTGCCTTTGATTTCCTTTGAAGAAAAGTTTTCTGAAGCTGACTGGAGAATAAAAATACAAACTTCATTTTATTAATGATTTTCTAATGCTTGCATCATAAGGCTATTGCTAAAACTAGACTCAGCAGGAGTGTAGACATTTACTCATCCAGTACATATTCATTATGTGTGTCAGCCACAAATCCATGCACTGAGGATGCAAATGTGAACGAAAATGATAAAACTTCATTAGCATCCAGTGGGGATAGGGTACAGGGAGTGGATATATATAGAAGAACTAATAAACAAATAAGCAAGTAAATATGTAAAACAGGGTAAATGTGAAGCACTAGAAAGAAAAATAAATCAGAGTCAGAAAATAGAAAAAGTGGGGATAGGTAAGAGATGCTAGTTCAGATATTGTGAAAGTTATATGACAAGAGACCTAAATGAAAAGATGAAGAGAGAAGCTACAAGCCATGCTAAATGAGGACAGGAAAGGAACAAGCTAGGCAAGGTAGAGCAAAGACAAAGGCCCTTGGGTGGAGCATACTTGATACATACAAGGTTAGAAAAAAGTGTGTGAGGAAAAGAGAGGTACGAAGTACAATGACAGAGCTAGCGTGATCCAGATTATATTGTTCACAGGAAAGGCTTTGGAGCTTATTCTAAGTGTGTTCAGAAGCCCCAGAGGGTTTAAGCATTAGTATTACCTAATGCTTAAGGCTTACCTGAGAAGATCACTCTGACTGTGCATGACTTGTGTTTTTGGAAGACAAGAATGAAATCAGGGAAAACAAAAGGCTATGATCATTCTTCACAATGAGGTATTATTGAGCATGGTTATGATAAAGGAAGTGGGAAGATATTTGTGCTTCATTCTTTGTTTTGTTTTGTTTTCTAAGGCAAAGCCAATATGATTTGCTGGTTGATTGAATGTGGCATGTGACAAAGATAATTTAAGGATGATCCCAAGGTTCTGGCCTGAGCTCTGGAAAGATGGTGATACTATTGAACAAAAGGGGAAACACTAAGGAAGGGTAGTTTGGAGGAAGTAGAAAAGCAAAATTTCTTATATCCCTGTAAAACTGAGCTGCCTGTTAGGTATCTACCAACAATGCCATATGTAGAAGCCACCATTTAGGAAAATCATTAAAGCCATAGACACAAATCTAGAGTTGGCAATATACAGATGCTATTTAAATCCAATGCCACATTGAGATCTTCTAGGGACTGGGTACAGATAGAAACTACATCCTAGGAACAACAGGCACTCTAACTTTAGCGATTAATAATAGAAGGAGAGGACACTAAAGGAAACTGAGGAGGTCCCATGAGTTATGAGGAAAATTGGGAAAGGATCATGTCCTTGAAGCACAGTGAAGAATATATGAAGAAGCAGTGAATAAAGAAACTATGTCAAGGCCTGCTGAGAGTTCATAGGAGTTATGGACTAGAAAGTGACCATTGGATTTCATTATATGCTCATCACTATTAACCTAAACAAAACTAGTGCATGAAGATGGGAGGTGAAAAAAAGGCTGTTTTGGTTGTTTTAAATTTTTTCATTTTTATGGATTTAGAGATACAATTGTAGTTGTGAAACATGGATTATATTGTGCAGTGGTAAAGTCTGGGGTTTAATGTTCCCATCACCCGAATCGTGTACTTTATATTCAATAGGTAGTATTTCTTCCCTCCCACTCCCTTCCACCCTCCCACACTTTAGGGTCTCCAATGTCAATTATTCCACTCTGTAAGTCCTTGTGTGCCCATTGTTTAGCTCCCACATCAAAGTAAGTACATGCATTTTTTACTTTCTGTTTCTGAATCATTTCACTCAGGATAATGGCCTCCATTTCTATCCACATTGCTATAAAATACATGATTTCACTTTTTAATTGCTCACTAGTATTCCATAGTGTATACATATATACAAAATTTTTAATCTAATTATCAGTGAATGGAAATTTAGAGTGATTCCATGACTTTGCTTTTGTCACTAGTGCTGTAGATAAGCATACAAGTCAGTTGTCTTTTTAATAAAATGATTTCTTTTTCTTTAGGTAGACACCCTGTGGTGGGATTGCTGGATTAAATGGTAGTTCAATTTTTAGGTCATCAGGAAATCTCTATACTGTTTTCCATAGAGGTTTTACTAATTTACATTCCCACCAACAGTGTATAAACATTCATTTTTCTTTTCATCTTCACCAACATCTCTTGACTTTTGACCTTGTAATAATAGCTATCTTGATGAGTATAAGATGATATCTCATTACGGTTTTAATTTTCATTTCTCTGATGATTAGTGATGTTGGGCATTTTTATATATTTATTGGCCATTTGTATGTCTTCTTTTGAAAAATGTCTGTTCATGTCGTTTACCCACTTTTTAATGAGGTTTTTTTCCTTTTTTTATTGAGTTGTTTGAGTTCTTGTAGATTCTGGATATTAGCCCTTTGTCAGATGCATTGTTTGCAAATATTTTCTCCCATTCTGTGGTTTGTCTGTATACTCTGTTGATTATTATTATTATTTTTTTTTTTACTGAACAAAAGTTTTGTAGTTTAATTAAGTTCCATTGGTGTATTATTTTGTTGCATTTCCTTTTGAGGGTGTAGTCATAATTTCTTTGCCTAGATCATTGTCCAGAAAAGTTTTTCCTAGGTTTACCCCTAGGATTTTTATAGTTTCAGGCCTTACAATTACGTCTTTCATCCTTTTTCAGTTAATTTTTATATATGGTGAGAGATACGGGTTCAATTTTATGTCTGTGTATATGGCTCTCCAATTTTCCCAGCACCATTTATTGAATAGGGTGTCCTTTCCTCACTGTATATGTATTTGTTACTTTGTCAAAAATCAGTATGTTGTAGGTATGTGGCTTTATTTCTGGCTTCTCCATTCTGTTCCATTGATCTATGTGTCTATTTTTATACTAGTACCCTTTTATTTTGGCTTATAGCCATGTAGTATAATTTGAAGTCAGGTAATGTGATACCTTCAGCTTCATTTTTTTGCTTAGGATGGATTTGCTAGTCAGACTTTTTTGGTTCCGTATGAATTTTAGGATTTACATTGGTAATTTCATAAAAATTGTGTTGAATCTGTAGATTGTTTTGGGCAGGATGGTCATTTTACACAATATTCATTATTCCAATTCATGAGCGTAGGATGTTTTTCTATTTTTTTTGTGACATATATGACTTTTTTCATCAGTGTTTTGTAGTTCTCCTCGTAGAGACTTTTTTACCTCTTAGTTTAAATGTATTACTATTTTTTATATTCATTGTAAATGGGATTAAGTTGTTGATTTGATTTTGAGCTTGATCATTATTGTTGTATGGAAATGGTACTTATTTTTGTACATTGGTTTTGTATCCTGAAACTTTACTGAAGTAGTTTATCAAGTCTAAGAGGCTTTCAGAGGAGTTTTTAGGGTTTTCTAGGTGTAAGATTATATCATAAGTGAAGAGGAATAATTCAAATTCTTCTTTTCCCATTTGGAGACCTTTTATTCCTTTATCTTACATGATTGTTCCTGATAGGACTTCCAATACTACGTTGAATACGAGTAGTGAAAGTGGGCATCCTCATCTTGGGTCCATTCTTAGAAGTAATGCTTACGATTTTCCCCCATTCAGTATGTTATTGACTGTGGTTTGTCATATACATGGTTTTTATTATTTTAAAGTATGTTTCTTCTATGCCTAGTTTGGTAAGTGTTTTTATCATAAAGCGATGCTGGATTTTATCAAATGTTTTTTCTGCATCAATTTATTTTATCATACGCTTTTTGAAAAAAGATTTCTGTTAATTTTGTGAATCACATTTTTGATTCGCATATGTTGAACCATCCTTGCATTTCAGGAAAAAGTCCACTTTTCATTGCGATGAACCTTTTTATGTGCTGCTGAATTTTATTTTCTAGAGTTTTTTTTTTTTTTTGAGGATATTTGGATCTATGTTCATCAGGGATATTAATGTGTAGTTTTCTCTTTTATTTGTTATGTACTTGCCTGGCTTTGGTATCAGCATGATGCTGACTTCATAGAATTAGTTGAAGAGGATTCCTTCCCCCTTGATTTTTTGGAATAGTTTTAGTAGAGTTGGTATCATTTCTTCCTTTTTGGTTTGGTAGAATCTGGCAGTAAGTTCATCTTTTTGTTGTTGTCATCAGGAGATTTTTTAATTATTATTACTAATTCAATTTAATTGCTCATTATTGGTCTGTTAAGGATTTCTGTTTCTTCCTGGTTCAAACGTGTGAGGTTGTATGTTTCCAGGAATTTATCCATTTCCTCTAGGTTTTCCAGTTTATGTATGTAGAGATGGTCATAGTAGTCTCTGATGATCTTTTATGTTTCTGTGGTAATAGTTTTAATGACACCAGTAATATTTCTGATTGTCCTTATTTGAATCTTCTTTCTTTTTGGTTAAGCTACTAGTAAGCTATCTATCTTACTTATATTTTCAAATTACAACTTTTTATTTCACTGATCCTTTGTAATTTTTTTGCCCAAATCTCATTTAGATTTTTTCTTTGATATTTACTATATTCTGCTAGCTTTGGGTGCAGTTTATTCTTGTTTTACTAGTTCTGTGAGACGTGACATTAGATTGTTAATTTTATATCTTTCTGTCTTTTTGTTGTGGGCATTTAATGCTACAAACTTCCCTCTTGGCACTGATTTGTTGTATCTCAGAGGTTTTGGTATGTTGTGTCTTTATTTTCATTCATTTCATTTTCTTAATTTTTTTTTTTTTGTTTTTGGGGACAGAATCTCACTCTGTCACCCAGGCTGGAGTGAAATGGTGTAATCTTGGCTCACTGCAACCTCTACCTCTTGGGTTCAAGCAGTTCTCTGGCCTCAGCCTCCCTAGTAGCTGGGATTAAAGACCTGTGCCACCACACCCAGCTAATTTTTTTTATTTGTAATAGAGACGGGGTTTCACCATGTTGGCCAGGCTGGTCTCAAACTCCTGATCTCAAGTGATCCACCCACCTCAGCCTCCCAAAGTGCTAGGATTACAGGTGTGAGCCACCACACCCAGCCTCATTTCAATTAAAAAAAAAATCTGCCTTGATTTCATTATTGACCAAATAATTGTTCAGGAACAGGCTATTTAATTTTCATGTATTTGTGTAGTATTGAGAATTCTTCTAGGTACTAATTTCTATTTTTATTCCACTGTACTCTGAAAAGGTACTTGATATTATTTTGAGTTTTAAAAAAAATCATTGAGTATTGCCTTTTGGCATAGCATGTGGTCAGTTTTTGAAAATGCTGCATGTGTACATGAGAAGAATGTATATTCTGAGGTTGTAGGGTAAAATGTTCTGTAAAATGTTCTGTAAAATGTTCGTCAGATCCATTGGGTCTAATGTCCATTGTAAAAGTTTCTTTGTCGATTTTTGGCTGCCATGATCTGCCTAGTGCTGTCAGTGGATTATTGAAAGACCCCACTACTGTTGTATTGCTATCTATTTTGTTTTCCTTAGGCCCAGTAGTGTTTGTTTTATGAATTGGGGTGCTCCAATGTTGGGTTTATATGTTTGGAATTGTTATATCTTCTTGTTTAATTGATCCTTTATATGATAACCTTCTTTGTCATTATTTATGGTTTTTGATTTGAAATTTGTTTTATCTAATGCCAGTATAACTACTACTGCTCTGATTTGGTTTGTATTTTCATAGAATGTCTTTTTGCACCCCTTTGGTTTGAGTCTGAAAAGGTCTTTACCAGTTACTTGAGTTAGGTGGGTTTTTTGTATGCAGCATATAGTTGGATTTTTAAAAATTCATTCTGCCAGACTATATTTTTTAAGAAGAGTGTTTAGTATATTTATATATAAGGTCAGTATTGATTTTTGAGGGGTTGTTTCTATAATATTGTTAATTATTTCTTAATTGCTTTGCAGTCTCAATTAGGTAATTTTAAAATAAGATCTGTAAGTTTTATACTTTGTGTGTTTCCATAATGATAAGTATTGCTCTTTCATTTCTATATGTTAGAACTCCTTCAAGCCTTTCTTGTAGAGTCAGTCTGTTTGCGACAAATTCCCTTAGTGTTTGCTTATTTGGGAAGTACTACTTTTCTTCTTGAATTATAAGTCTTAGTTGAGCAGTATACAAAATTCTTGGCTGGCATTTTTTTTTTTCTTTAAGAGACTGATAATAAGACCCTAATTTCTTTTGGCTTGTAAGATTCCTGCTGAGAAGTCTGTTGTTAGTCTGATAGGATTCTTTTTACAGGTAATTAGATACCTCTCTCTTGCCACGTTTAAGATTTTTAAATTTTTGTTGACTTTGAGTAGTCTGATGACTATATGTCTTGTGCTGGTTATTCTTGCAATGCATCTCACAGGAATCACCTGAGCTTTTTATATTTGGATGTCTGGATCTGTAGTAAGTCAGGGAAGTTTTTGGGAGTTATTCTTTCAAACAAGTTTCCCACACTTTTAACTTTTTCTTCTTCTCCCTCTGGAATACCAATGATTCATAAGTTTGTATGCATTCCATAATCCCATATGTCCTGAAGGTTCTGTTAGGTTTTTCAATTTACTTTTCTATGTATTTTTCCTACCAAGTTTATTTGAAAGACCTGTCTTCTAGCTCTGAAATTGTTTATTCTGCTTGGTCTGGCTTATTGTTAAAGCTTTCAGAAGTATTTTGCAGTCCCTTCAATACATTTTTAATTTTTAGAAGTTGTGTCTGCTTCTCGTAATAAAATCTTTCTCTTCTTTTATACCCTATGTTATTTTTTTTCATTTATTTTTGGTAATTTTTAACTTTCTTTTGGATCTCAAGCTTTACATAATCCCATATTACTTGAAGGTCTTATTTCTCGAAGACTTCTTTAGAATCAATATTTTGGATTCTTTATCAGCATATCAAAGATTTCATTTTGGTTTGGATTAATAGCTCAAGAGTCATTGTGGTCCTTTGGACCTTTAACAATCTATCTTCTTTATACTTCCAGAATTCTTTCTCTGGTTCTTTCTAACTTAGATAGGCTATCTCTCCTTATTTTGAATTTATTTTGTTTGAATTAGGTTTTTTCCATTTGAAAATGTGGCTATAATGTGTGTTATGTAGGATCTAACAGGCTATATTGAAGAGGATAGAGAGAAAATGCCAGAAAGGGAAGTGCAACAGTCAGCACAGCAAGTTATTTTCAGGAGTAGTGCTACAAAAGAAACAGACAAAAGTTGTGGTTGATAGCAAAGTTGTGGAATAAAACTTCTGTTTATGTTCAATGCTAGACGTAATAGCATGCTTACATACTGATGAGAATCATCAGTAGAGATGAAGGAAACTGACAATGCAGAAAAGAGGGAAAGCAATTACAGAGGAAGATGAAAAGAGTTTAACCAGGACACAGAGTTTTTCTCTGTACAAGAAGGGAAATTTTCTATGTGGGTAAAAGGCAGGTAAATGTGTACCTGTAGTGATGAAGAATATTGAACTTTTTTCTGCTGCTTCTACTTTCTTTGTTATAAAAAAGGAATGTAATCAGATGAGAAAGAGGAGGAAGAAAAGAAAGAGTCTTTGGATCAGAAAATGTGAACTAGTAATCCTGAAGATTAAAGAAACATACTGACAGGGAAAATGGACTAGTAGAATATTGGACGATTGCCCTGGAGGCCCCCTGAATGTCTGTGCTTATGAATTTAAAGTGAGCACAGTGAGATGTTTGAATTCTTTCCTCCAGGGATGCAGCTCTTTGTATATAGGTTCAGAGAAGGCAGAGGATTAGATGAAAGCATTTTTGCTTGTCTAGTACAGTAAAGGATGAGATGGACAAAAATTTACAGAATATATGCAGATGAGCAATTATAACAAAAGATCATGATGAGAAAGGAAGTGAAGAGGTAAAACTAGATATGACCTGTGAAGAGGTTAGGGGAATCATAGCCTAAAGAGCTAGGGCTGGAGCTTCTTGTAACAGATATATTAAAGGGAGTAAATTTAAAACTTAGGAGGTAGTTATGAGGACTGGGATGGCCAAAATGGAGAATTTTAAAAGTGGGTACTGATGAACTGACTGTGGGTGGAAGACTTTCCAGAAAAGAGGTCAAGAAACTGAAAGGCCAGAGAACATTGGGAGCATAATCTATATGATCTATATTTCCTAAAATAACTAGGAAAAAGGGCAGAAATAATTTTCACAAAAATGACAGGGAGTTTGGAATGAAAATTGTCAAGAAATGATGAGAGTTGTGATGTGCCATTCTATAGCTAACTTCAGCAAGGAGGTTAGAGAATAGTATGGTAGGGTGGTGCACTTCTTCTTGGGACCTAGAGGTCTGTCAGAAGAAAGACTCAGATCTGGAAGTGGTAAAAATGAAAGATCAATGAGAACTTCTACATTTCAGGCCCATTGATGTGGAGGTTGTGGAAGGAAAAAGCCTACAGGAGAGAGTTACATGGAGTGTCATTGGGAGTAAGCCAGGCTTTGTTTAGAACAAGAAAGTGAAAGGGCTACAAAGAATGTAGGAACTAAATATTTTGCTGGTAACAAATATGAGTTTCCCTGGGAAAAATGAAAGGGTTTGAGTAATGGAAAAAGAGTAAGAGAGTGAGTGGGATTAAGGGATGTAGTAAACCATGTGGAATGAGAGCCTTGGTACCCAGACAGGATCTCAAAATCTTGACATTCTGCTGGTGACAGGATGTGAGGCATGATGTAAGTTTATGACAAACAAAACATCAATTGAAAAGGCCCAAAGGAGGGTAATGTTTCAGAACTTTTTTAAAAAACTGCATTTTAGTGGGTTAGCTAGAAAAGATTTGTCTCATATACACAATAAATTAGAGCTGTTCTTCAGTCTTTTGCAAACAGGAAAACAAGCATTCCCTACCTGTGCTATCTATTGTTAGGGTTTCATTAGGTCTAACTGGAAATTACCTCAAGAAACAGCAGGTCATGATGGTTGATTGTCATTAGAAAGAACAACAGAGGATCAATGTAAATGAAATCTCTTAAATTAAACAATTAAATGAAATAGCACATTTAACTTCTTAGGGTGCCTTTTGTGATGAATTCATCCTGAGAGAGGTGCCAGCTGCTCAATATCATATGTAAAGCAGGAGTCACACTACAGTGGTAAATAACTTACATGATAACCATGCACGAGCGTGTGCACATCAGTGAGGATGTGAGTATGAGCAGGCAAGAAGTAGTGTGAGTGTGCATGCATGTGGATGTAGGGGTGAGTGTGTGTGATTGTTATTGTATATGAATATTACCATATCACACACATTCATCATCTCCACTGAATTGTTGAAGATTTCAGGCCAGCTCTTAGGAAAATATCCTCCCTATCTGCAAGTCCCCCCAAGTCTCCTGCATGCCACCCCTTCCCCTGGGTGAAAATACAGCTCAATAACAAATTTCAGTTTACCTTGTGTGTGTAGTATACCGACAAAGTGTAACTTCTGAAAATCAAGTACAGTGAAAAATACATGTCAGGCTATTGTCAAAAAACTCAACCAGGGTTGAAGTGCAATCTCTCCCTTCCCAAAATCTCCTTTGAGAAATCTGATATTTGAGAGTAATAACTAAATAGATAAGTTAAACTCCCCTTTCTACTGATTTCTTCTTGACCATCTCTTTATGAAATAAACTTCCTCCTAAATAGCAGGCATGGATTCTGTATTCATTTGTTTTTATGCTGCTGATAAAGACATACCCAAGACTGAGCAGTTTACAAAAGAGGGAGGATTTAGTTGGAATTACAGTTCCACGTGGCTGGGTAAGCCTCACAATCATAGTGGAAGGCAAGGAGGAGCAAGTCACATCTTACATGGGTGGCAGCAGGCAAAGGGAGCTTGTGCAGGAAAAGTACGCATTATAAAGCAATCAAACCTCATGAGACTTATTCACTATCATGGAACAGCATGGGAAAGACCACGATTCAATGATCTCCCACTGGGTCCCTCCAACAACACGTGGGAATTATGTGAGTAAAATTCAAGATGAGATTTGGTGGGGACACAGAGCCAAACCATTTCATTCCACCCCTGTCCCCTCCAAATCTCATGTCCTCACATTTCAATACCAATCATTCTTTCCCAACAGTCCCCCAGAATCTTAACTAATTTCAGCATTAACCCAAAAGTCCACAGTCCAAAGTCTCATCTGAGAGAAGTCAAGTCCCTTCCACCTATGCACTTGTAAAAACAAAAGCAAGCTAGTTACTTCCTAGATACAATGGGGGTACAGGCATTGGGTAAATACAGCCTTTCCAAATGGGAGAAATAGGCCAAAACAAAGGGGCTACAGGCCTTATGCAAGTTTGAAATCCAGCAGGGCAGTCAAAACTTGAAGCTCCAAAATGATCTCCTTTGACTCCATGTCTCACATCTGGGTCACACTGATGCAAGAGGTAGGTTCCCGTAGTCTTGGGCAGCTCTATCCCTGTGGCTTTGCAGGGTATAGCCTCCCTCCTGGCTGCCTTCTCGGGTTGGCGTTGAGAGTCTGCAGCTTTTCCAGGTGAATGGTGCAAGCTGTCGGTGGATCTACTGACAGCTTCTGGGATCTGGAGGATGGTGACCCTCTTCTCACAGCCCCACTAGGCAGTGCCCCAGTAGGGACTCTGTGTGATGGCTTTGACCTGACATTTTCCGTTCATACTGCCCTAGCAGAGGTTCTCTATGAGCACCTTGTCCCTGCAGCAAACTTCTTCCTGGGCATCCAGGCATTTCCATACATCTTCTGAAATCTAGGCAGAGGTTCCCAAACCTCAATTATTGACTTTTGTGCACCCACAGGCTCAACACCACATGGAAGCTGCCAAGGCTTGGGGCTTGCACCATGTGAAGGCACAGCCCAAGCTCTACATTGGTCCCTTTCAGCCACAGCTGGAGCAGCTGGGATGCAGGGCACCAAGTCCCTAGGCTGCACATAGCACAGGGACCCTGGGCCTGGCTCAGGAAACCATTTCTCCTAGGATTCCAGGCCTTTGACGGGAGGGGCTACCATGAAGACTTCTCACATGTCCTAAAGACATTTTCCCCATTGTCTTGGGAATTAACATTCAGCTTTCAAATTTCAGGTATTCAAATTTCTGCAGCCAGCTTGAATTTCTCCTCAGAAAATGGGGTTTTCTTTTCTATCACATTGTCAGACTGCAAATGTTCCAAACTTTTATGCTCTGCTTCCCTTATAAAACTGAATGCCTTTAACAGCACCAAAGTCACCTCTTGAATGCTTTGCTGCTTAGAAATTTTTTCTGACAGATACCCTAAATCATCTCCCTCAAGTTCAAAGTTCCACAAATCTCTAGGGCAGGGGCAAAATACTGCCAGTCTTTTCACTAAAATATGACAAGCATCATCTTTGCTCCAGTTTCCAACAAGTTCCTTATCTCCATCTGAGACCACCTCAACCTGGACCTTATTGTCCATATCACTATCAGGCTTTTAGCCAAAGCTATTCAACAAGTCTCTAGGAAGTTCCAAACTTTCCCATATTTTCTTGTTTTTTTCTGAGCCCTCCAAACTGTTCCAACCTCTGCCTGTTACCCAGTTCCAAGGTCACTTCCACATTTTCAGGTATCTTTTTAGCAACGTCCCACTCTACCGGTACCAATTTACTGTATTAGTTTGTTTTTACGCTGCTGATAAAGACATACCTGAGACTGGGCGATTTACAAAAGAAAGAGGTTTAATATGACTTATAGTTCCATGTGGCTGGGGAAACCTCACAATCATGGTCGAAGGCAAGGAGGCTCAAGTCACATCATATGTGGATGAGGCAAGCAAGGAGAGTTTGTGCAGGAAAACTCTGACTTACAAAGCCATCAGATCTTGTGAGACTTATTATCATGAGAACAGCACAGAAAAGACCTGCCCCTATGATTCAATTATCTCCCACCGGATCCCTCCCACAACACGTGGGTATTATGTGAGTAAAATTCAAGATGAGATTTAAGTAGGGACACAGAGCCAAATCGTATCAGATTCATTGTCCTCAGTGTAGTTTTGTGCCCTCAGCTGTGCTAACAAAGTGCTGCTGTCCTTTGTCAAAGCAGGGCCAAAACACACTTTCTGTTTATTGTCTCTCCTAATAGATAACTATTTTAGATTTAACTTTCAATGTATTATGTTTAATTTAGTTTTTGTCTTTTAAAATTTTATAAGCGCTATTGAATTCTTTTCAGAATCTCAATAAATGGCAGTTCTCTGGCAAGGTATAGAGGCAAATATGTGTACATGAAACTGAGGTTTAGAGTGCTAGCTCATTGTGTTGGATTCTTATAACATATGAGATAAGCATTATCATGCCCACTTAGCAAACAAGGAAACTGAGGCTAAGAGAGATTAAGTGATATACTTCTACAAGTCATTTGGATGAGAGAAAGCATAATTTGTCTATTTACTTTCAAGAATATTAACTAGCATGGTATCTCTTAGTAGGTGCTTAGTGAATGTTTCTTGATTGATGGTGGTTACTTAGCTCTCTGAAAAAAACCATCCAACACTTCGAGGAGAAAAAAACCCTTTTTATCAGTTAATTCAACATTTCAGTAAAAGTGGGTTATTTGAGCCACAGTCATCCACCTCATCCCAGCTCTCCTCCTTTACTAATGAAAGATAATTTCATTTCTCTTGGTATGTACTAAGTTATCACAGGGATGGTAGTGTCATCAGTTTATTGAACACAGAAAAATGGAATTGTAGAAATGTAAGAGTGAGTGAATTTCCAAGTGAGGATACAAATATGCTCTGTAGCTTTAATGTGACAGTCAAATACATTAGACACTAGAATACAGAAAAGTTTTTTGACCCTTCTGGTTGTATAATATAATTTACGAATCATATTAATAAGCTATTCTGTTAACATTGATGACAGAAATAAGGTGGTAAAAAGAGGTCTGCTAAGAATTACTCCTGGATAAAAGTATATAATCCTTTAATAGGAGGTACCTTGACTAAATAGTCCACACAAAATCATTTTCTTCATAAGCATAATAAAGTCTATTCCAACCACTTTCTTATAGGATTTTCATAAGGATCAAATGTGAACATATTTGTTAAACTGCCTTGAAATCATAAAGCATTTAATAAATAAAGAAATTATTATTATTATCACTCAGGTGTTTACCTTTTAAAACAGTTGAAAATGTAACTTTATATAACGTGGGAAATTCACTTAAGAGTATTCATTCTACCAGGGAGAGGAATGATGCTGATAAATGTTTTGATATTAACTCAGTTTGATTTTTTAATGACATGTATTATTTCTTTGCCTTTATCATATTTCAGGATTGTTCAACCTGAATTGAAAGCACTTGCAATGGGTTTCCAGTCAATGGTTATAAGAACACTAGGTATGACAAATATATAGATTATACATTTTAACATATAAATATTAATGTTAAATACTAAAGACTGAATGCAATTAATTTTCAACTATAAGACTGTATAAAAAAGAATAGGTAAGAATCATTTCTATTTTGTGATAAGTGAAAATAAAAAGGAACGGGAAAATTGAGTGGTCTAAAAGATAATTTGATGTTAATTCTAGTTAGAGTCAATCTGTTAAGAGCAAGGAATCATCATATTTATATTATATTCTTTCTAACAGAAACAGAAAGATAGGTGGTCTCTGAGGTTTTCCTTCTTTCAGGAAAATAAGAATATTTCTCCCAGGTATACGCAGAGTGGAGGACCTTCCTTCCAAATGGAGACATTACTTAGGACAGCCCTAAAGTAGCTTGGGAACCCTGGGAATCTGGTCAGGCTGAGGTTGTCTAGAACAACAGAAGCTGACATTCACTGTGCCATTTCCCACTGCCTGGTCCTCTATGGCTGGACAGCTAACCATTAGCAGGAGTTAATGCAAAAGGGAATGAAAATTCATACTCTAGAACTAGGCTTGTTGGATTATGAGGATGTCCTGAATAAAAGAAAGCTCAGAAAATTGTGGTTTATGGTGGCAAGGGTAGGATTTTAGACTCTAGAGGCTAAAGGCCTATTTCTAAATATTCAAAAGTGATGAGAAAAGATTTAGGAAATGAACCTTTGTCCCTTATTGCCATTTGCCTTTTTTACTGCACAGATACTTGTTGTTAAATAATGTCTAGTCTAACCTCTGTGAGTGGTCCTTTGTAAGAATTGTAAACATTATGTGCTTATTCCTGGGAAGTAGGAAAAGGGCATCATTCATCTAGGGATTGGTGCAGAGGACTGATTATGGTCCATAGGTAACCACTGATGGCAGAAGGAAAAGGAAGTGGGAGGGGTCAGTTTCTGGGACCCTTGCAAGGAAAGGAAAAAGTATAACTCTATGGCCAAATTACCGTGAAGAAGTTGTACATGAAGTGTATTCGGTGAGAAGGTCACAGATCCTGAAATGTAAAAGGAAATATAAAAGGAATAGGAGAGAGAAGATGAAGATGCTGCAGGGTTGCATTGCCTCCATCCTAACCGTCCCTTTCTGTGTCCCTAATCTTCCAGCCTCTGTAATCTTAGCAGTTCTCTACCTCCAGATTCAGAGACGATACCTCACTCCTGGAATCTGGGCCACAGAGGCTGAAAATAGCATCTGGGTAGTTAGGACTCCTTCTGATATGTTGAAATGAGACTATGACAATAGAAGACATTGTTTAAGCAACATAAAATAGAAAAAAATTGAATTTTGCCATTCTAATTGTGAACATCCAATTTTGTTATGTCCAATATATGGCACAATGGACCCTAAATGCTTCTGTGGGAAACATCCACACTTGGTAGCAAACTTCCAATTCATGAACAATTGTCTTAAATATGATATATGTGTAAATGGTAGAAGACCTATATAGTGTATTAAACTAAAAGAGGTATTTAGAAAATAGGTTATCAGAAGATTTACAATTCTAATAAGACAAAGTTTGTTACTTAAAACATTTACTTCACAACGTTTGTTTAAACCAGTGGCATAACGTGAAGAAAATAAATTGTTGGCATCTATTTTTTTTTATTTTTCTAAGGGTCGCTGTGATTTTTTGAAATCTGCAAATTTCTCACCCATTATCTCAGTACCAGTTTGCTTCAGATGCATTGGCCTCAGACAACATTCCCTTGTGAATCTACTATTTCTCAGTCTCAGAAAATTGAGAATGATTAAAAGTAAAATGAATCGGTAAAACATTCATGTATAAATCACTGTCATTTTTTGTGACAAAATAAAATCTGAAAAGTATGAATCACAAAACAGAACAAGAACAAAGTAAAATCTTGTATGCTTCAGTTCTGCCATCTGAATGATAGCTCTCTACTATGATGTCCCTCAAAATTTTGAACAAATTACCTATTCTTAAAACTAGGAGTTAATCTCAGAATTTATACTTCTCCTATAAACAACATATGTATCCCTGGAATGCCTCACAGTCATCGAAATCAGGCACTACAAATAAAAATTGACTTTGGGACAGACCACTGAAAATATATGCACCATTGTGCACTAACAGACCACTAACAGAAACAAAATTTAGCAACGGAGACCCTAACCTGCAGCCCAGGTTGCTTTAGGAGGTATTAAAAAGTGCATGAAATCAATGGAGAGAAAATGCTGAATTGTGGGCTCTGATGGCACTAAGAAAGAGAGAATTGGGCTCTGAGCCTAGAAGGAAGTAAAACTGGCCAATAGCTCGGAGCACCCCGTGAAGCTGGGCCTGAACTTCTCTGGGGAGGGAATCCTGGTGTAAGCATTTACTTTTTAATTATCTTAAAATAGTATTAAAATCTCCTGCCTTTACAGCAGTTTAGATGAGAGCTTTTCCTTTTCTCAAGAAGTTATAATTTAACTGTCAGTAATCCAGCCATTCTTGCCTAAGAAAAATTCCATATGAACCAACATAACTTTCATGTTTTACTAACAACATTCCCCTTTTTACCAATCAGACTTAAGTTAATAGGTATTGTAGGAAGAACAGAGTATATAGGCATATAATACTCTTTCTTCCCTCTGTATATAGGGAGAGAAGAGTAGATCAAATACATCTGTGACATTACCATATGATTTAAGCCTTTGCGATTTCTAATAATTTTGATTCCTGGGTGGATGTAAGCCAAACCAATGGAATAATTTTCCAAAACTTTAAACTTGTATTAATCCAAAATGTATCAATATCGACTATCGCTCAGTTACATTTGAAGCATTTCACTTGGATTGATATCTTTTTATCTCATGTTGCAGGAGGAATTCTAGCTCCAATATATTTTGGGGCTCTGATTGATAAAACATGTATGAAGTGGTCCACCAACAGCTGTGGAGCACAAGGGGCTTGTAGGATATATAATTCCGTATTTTTTGGGTAAGTTGTCGTAAACACATTTCATTAATAGATTTTTTCTTTGTCTATGTTAATGTCTAAGATATAGCATTTTTAGTGTGATCGTAATATTAATGATAGCTACCATTTAGTGAACAATTACTTTGTATTCACTATTGTATCAAGCATTCTGGTATCTCATTTTAATACTCATAGAAACTGTAGGAAATGTATATATTCCTCCTTTTTCCTTAAATATGAAGAAAACAAGATTGAAGAATAATGAGTAACTTGTCAAAAATTGCACAACTAAAAGAAATACAGCTAGGATTTGTACTTGAATCTCTTTTGATTACAAAGCTCTCTCCCACTGGCTTCTCCAGGAAGACACAGAATGACCAGCTGCAGCTCTGGTTATATGGTAATTGAGGAAAGAAATGGAAAAACAAAGTTTCATTACTCTTCTATTCATAGGCAGAAGTATCCTGCAAGTGACATTAAGACAACTAGATTATCTGGAAGAAACAAAAAGCTGCTGCAATTGTACCTTACCTCTTATAGAAGCATTAATTTGTAATTTATATATTGATCAATATATAAATTTGATTTCTGAAACTATAAGTATTAGAACTACTCATAGTAGAATTTCTTTTAATTATCTAGGAAGAATAAATGTGTTTGTAAGTATGACCCAAATGCCTGAAAGTATAATAGAAAAATAATGGTGAAAGGATTTATATTGCTTTGTGTATATACCCAATAATAGGACTGATGGGTTGAATGGTAATTCTGTTTTATGTTCTTTGAGAAATCGTCAGACTGCTTTCTACAATGACAGAACTTATTTACATTCCCACTAGTAGTGTATAAGCGTTCCCTTTTCTCCACTATGTCTTCAGTATCTGTTATTTTTTGACCCACTAAAAATAGCCATTCTGACTTGTGTGGGATGGTATCTGATTGTAGTTTTGGTTTGTAGTTCTCTAATAATTAGTGATGTTGAATCCTAATTGAACTAATGCATGAACAGAAAACCAAATATCACGTGTTCTCCCTTGTAAGTGGGAGCTAAACATTAAGTACATATGGACACAAAGAAGGGAACAATAGACACTGGAGCCTACTTGTGGGTGCAGAGTGAGAGGAGGGTGAAGAAACAAAACTACCTGTAAGTGACTATGCTTATTTAAAAAGAGAAAGAGAACAAGAACAGATAATAAAATATTTTAAAAACTGCATTACACAAGGTATTGTAAGCAAAGTTCAACAGCAAGGGGTAAATTAGAAGAATTTATAATTCAGAGATAGACACAACCAAATGTCCTATGTATATAAGGATCTCTTAAAAATCTCCAAAAACAGGCCGGATGCAGTGGCTCACAACTGTAATCCTAGCACTTTGGGAGGCTGAGGCAGGCAGATCACTTGAGACCAGGAGTTCGAGACCAGCCTGACAATCATGGTGAAACCTTATCTCTAGTAAAAATACAAAAAAAAATTAGCCAGGCATTGTGGTACATGCCTGTAATCTTAGTTACTTCAGAGGCTGAGGTGGGACAACTGCTTGAACCTGGGAGGTGGAGGTGGCAGTGAGCTGAGATCACCAACTGCACACTCCAGCCTGGGCGACAGAGCAGGATTCCATCTCAAAAAAAAAAAAAAATCAATGCAAACATCAAATGCTAGCAAGAATGGGAAACAACAGGAATTTCCTGTCATTGCTGGAGGTGATGTAAAATGGTACTGGAGTGTTGGAAGACAGAGTGAAATTTTCTTACAAAGCAAATAGAGTTATTGTACGATTAAGCCATCATGTTCCCAGGTATTTACATAAATTAGTTGGAGACATGTCCACAAAAAAACCTGTACTTGAATATAAAAAAGTGGAAGCATTGAAGATGTCCTTCGGTAGGTAAATGGATAAGTAAACTATGTTACATTCATATAGTGGAATATTAGTAATCAATGTATTAGTCTATTCTCACACTGCTATGAAGAGCTACCTGAGACTGGGTAATTCATGAAGAAAAGAGGTTTAATTAACTCCCAGTTCCACAGGCTTAACAAGAAGCATGACTTGGAGGCCTCAGAAAACTCACAATCATGGCAGAAGCCTAAAAGGAAGCAAGGCATGTCTTCTCCTAGTGACAGGAGAGAGAGAGGGAGAGAGCAAAGGGGGAAGTGCCACACACTTCTAAACCACCAGACCTCATGAGAACTCACTCACTATCTTGAGAACAGAAAGGGAGAAATCCACCCCCAAGATCCAGTCACCTCCCACCAGGTTCCTTCTCCAATTCAACATGAAATTTGGGCAGAGACACAAACCCAAACCATATCTTTCAATCCCTGGTCGTTCCCAAATCTCCTGTTCTTCTCATATTGCAAAATACAGTTACCCTTCTCAACAGTCCCCGTGTCTTAACTCATTTCAGCATTAACTCAAAAGCCCACAGTCCAAAGTCTCTTCTGAGACAAGGTAAGTCCCTTCCACCTATGAGCCTATTAAATTTTAAAAAGTTAGTTACTTCTGGCCAGGCGCGGTGGCTCATGCCTGTAATCCCAGCACTTTGGGAGGCCAAGGTGGGTGGATCACGAGGTCAGGAGATTGAGACCATCCTGGTTAACACGGTGAAACCTCATCTTTACTAAAAATACCAAAAAATTAGCCAGGCATTGTAGTGGGTGCCTGTAGTCCCAGCTACTTGGGAGGCTGAGGCAGGAGAATGGCATGAACCCAGGAGGTGGAGCTTGCAGTGGGCCGAGATCACACCACTACACTGCAGCCTGGGCAACAGAGCGAGACTCTGTCTAAAAAAAAAAAAAATTAGTTACTTCCAAGATACAATGGGGGTACAGGCATTTGGTAAATACTCTTATTCCAAATGGGAGAAATTGGCCAAAACAAAGGGGTTACAAGCCCCATGCAAGTTCAGAACCCAACAGGGCAGTCATTAAATCTTAAAGCTCCAAAATGATCTCCTTTGACTCCATGTCACACATCTAGGGCACAATGATGCAAGAGATTTGTGCCCAAGGCTTTGGGCAGCTCCACTCCTGTGGCTCTGCAGGTACAGTCCCCATGGCTGCTTTCATGGGCTGGTACTGAGTGCCTGCAGCTTTTCCAGGCACACAGTGCAAGCTGTTGGTAGATCTACCATTCTGGAGTCTGGAGGACAGTGGCCCTCTTCTTATAGCTCCACTAGGTAGTGCCTCAATGGGAACTCTGTGTGGGAAGTCCAACCCCACATTTTCTCTCTGTACTGCCCTAGTATAGGTTTTTCATGAGGGCTCCACCCCTGCAGCAGACTTCTGCCTGGACATCCAGGCTTTTTTTTTTTTTTTTTTTTTTTTTTTTTTTTTCTTGAGACAGTGTCTTGCTCTGATGCCCAGGCTGGAGTGCAGTGGCATGATCTCAGCTTCCCGTAACCACCGCCTCCTGGGTTCAATCAATTCTTGTGCCTCAGCTTCCTGAGTAGGTGGGACCACAGGCATGCACCACCATACCTGACTACTTTTCATGTCTTTAGTAGAGATGGGGTCTTGCCATGTTGGCCAGGCTGGTCATCCAGGCATTTTGATACATACTAGGAATAGGTCCCAAACCTCAACTCTTGCTTTCTGCCCACTCATAAGCCCAACACCATGTGAAAGGCACCAAAGCTTGGGGCTTGCACCCTCTGAAGTCATGGCCCAAGCTGTACCTTGACTCCCCTTAGCCATGGCTGGAGCTGGAGTCAGTGGGAAATAAGGTGTCATCTCCCAAGGTTGCACAGGGCAGCAGGGCCCTGGGCCTGACCCACAAAACCATTTAACCCTCCTAGGCCTCCAGGCTGGTGATAGGAGGGGCCTCCATTAAGGTCTCTAAAATGTCCTAGAGATATTTTCCCCACTGTCTTGGCTATTAACATTTGGATCCTCTTTACTTATGCAAATTTCTACAGCAGGCTTGATTTTATTCTCAGAAAATGAGTTTTTCTTTTCTACCACGTGGCTGGGTTGCATATTTTCCAAACATTTAAATGTAAGTTCCAGTTTCAGATAATCTCTTTGTTCACACATATGAGTAAACACTTTTAGAAACAGCCAGGTCACATCTTGAATGCTTTGCTGCTTAGAAATTTCTTCCACTAGATACCCTAAATCATCTCTCTCAAGTTGAAAGTTCCACAGATCTCTAGAGCAGGGACAAAATGCCACCAGTCTCTAAGCTAAAGCATGGCAAGAGTGACCTTTACTCCAGTTCCCCATAAGTTCCTCATCTCCATCTGAGACAATCCTGAACTTCATTGTCCATATCACTAGCAGCATTTTGGTCAAAACCATTCAACAGTCTCTAGGAAGTTTCAATCTTTCCCACATCTTCTGTCTCCTTCTGAGCACTCCTAACTGTTTCAACCTCTGCTCGTTACTCAGTTCCAAAGTTGTTTCCACATTTTCACATATCCTTATAGCAGTGTCCCACTCCCAGTACCAATATTCTCTATTAGTCTGCCTCAGAAAACTTACAGTCATGGTGGAAGGGGGAAGCAAGTCATGTCTTCTCATTACAACAGGAGAGAGAAAGTGTAAAAAGGGAAGGACTACACACTTCTAAACCATCAGATCTGGTGAGAACTCACTATCATGAGAAAAGCAAGTGGGAAATCCACCCCCATGATCCAATCACCTCCCACCAGGCCCCTTCTCCAATATAACATGGGATTTGGGCAGGGACAGAAATCCAAACTATATCAATCAATAAAAAGAAATGAGCTATCAGCCTACAAAAAGAAAAAAATGAAACTTAAACTCATATAGCTAAATAAAAGAAGGCAGTCCAAAAAAGCTTCAGATTGTATAATTTTAACTGCGTGATCTTGTAGAAAAAGCAAAACAATGGGCAACAAAATCAGTAGTTTCTTGGGGCTCAGTGTGGAGAAGGCTGGAATGAGTAGGCCTAGCACAAGGAATTTTTAGGGCAGTGAAACTATTCTATATGATATTGTAATATTGGATCATGACATTATGCATTTGCCAAACCTATAGAACTTTACAACATAAAAAGTGAACTCTAATGTAAAATATGCATTTAATAATGTATCAATATTCCTTCATCAGTTTTAACAAATGTGCTATACTAATACAAGATATTAATGATAGGAGAAACTGTGTACCTGTTGGGCAGGGAGATCTCCATACAGTTTTCTGGTAAAACTAAAATTGCTATAAAATATAAAGACAAAAAAATCACGAAACATTTTTCAAAGAAGAAGTCACTAATGGTTATGAAACATATAAAAAGATTGCAGCTCTGTTATTATCAATTGTGTTATAATTGTAGTTCTGTTATTATCAATGAATAAGAACATGAACATCATCTTGATAATAAAAGAATTATAATTAAAAATCACCCAGATTGTCAACAATCAAAAATGTTGCTTGAAGACTGTGTTGGCAAAGTATATAACTTTGAGCCAACAGCAATACTTCTAGGAATTTATCCTAAAGATATCTATACTCCCAAAATACTGAAAACAAAGTAAGAACCAATCAAGAAGATATCAATTAAATTAATAATGTGCATGCAGGCAAATGAATATTCTGAGTTCTTAAAAAAAGGAAAAATCTTTTTACTTACTAATATGGAAGGCTATTCACAATATATTGGTATATTCACATATATATTATGTGAAAAAAGGAAGCATTACATGAAAAATGTGTGCGGAATATGCTATTATTTATGTAAGGTGGGGAATATTTCTTAGTTCAGGTTAGATCTCTGGTGAAAACTCCCTGGATCTAATTTACTAAAAGAACTTTCTTCTACCTGATGTGTAAATTCACTGTCTAACATCCCCAACAAGTAATGATCCAGATTTTTCTGGAATTACAGTAAAGCAGCATTCAGCAGCCCACAGACATTCTCTTAAATTTAAAATAATTATAGAAAATCTTTCCCTAAATGGGAGATTTCTTTCCTCCCTCCCTCCCCTTCCTTCTTTCCTTCCTTCCCTTCCTTTCTTCCTCCCCCTTCCCTTCCCCTTCCTTCCCCTCCCTTCCCCTTCCCCTTCCCCTTCCTCTTCTCCTCCCTTCCCTTCCCTTCCTTTTTTTTTTTTTTTGAGACGCAGCCCCACTCTGTCATCCAGGCTGGAGTGCAGTAGCGAAATCTCGGCTCACTGCAACCTCCGACTCCTGGGTTCAAGCAATTCTCTTGCCTCAGCCTCCTGAGCAGCTGGGATTACAGGCGCCCGCCATTACGGCAGGCTAATTTTTTTGTATCTCTACTAGATACGGTTTCGCCATGTTGGCCAGGCTAGTCTCAAACTCCTGACCTCAGGTGGCCCGCCCACCTCAGTCTCCCAATGTGCTGGGATTACAGGAGTGAGCCACTGCTCCCGGCTGGGAGATTTCATTTCTATTTATAAAAGTATGGAAAAAAATAACAAAGAAAAACTTAATAAATTTACTTTAAGAAAATATTTATTTTAATTGAAATCATAATTCATTTTAAGGACAACTGGCAAGATGCTCCCCAGAATCTCCCCGAAGCAATAATCACCAAGTCCAAGCATTAGCATAACATTTTGAAATGGTGATACTTTAGTTATGTTAGTTTCAGTATGAAAAGGCCACTAAAACATTGTTTTAAAAACTGTACTACTTCTTTTTCCTTCAGTAAAGGTTTAGGTAAAAGTAAAAGGAAATGAAAAGTGGAATTTTAAAGTATAATAAAAAAATTTTAAAAAGGGCAGTTCATTTGCCAGTTAATACACTGAAAGTTAAATAATTACCTTATGATTTTTAATAGATTTTATTTTTTAGAATAGTTTCAGAATCACAGTAAAATTGAGGAGAAAGCACAGAGATTTCCCATATCTTGCCTGCTCCCGCATACATGCATAGCCTTCCCCATTATCAACATCTCCCATCAGGATGGTACATTTGTTACAATTGACAAACCAGATTGACACATCTTTATCACTCAGGATCCACAGTTTACATCAGGTTTCACATTTAGTGTTGAACTTTCTGTGGGTTTGGATGAATGTAAAATGATACATAACCACCACTCCACTATCATAAAAAGTAGTCTTGCTGCCCTAAAAATCTTCTGTGCTCTGCCTGTTCATTCATCCTTTCCCAGTAATCCCTGGATCCCTAGAAACCAATAGTCTCTTTACTACTTCCACAATTTTGTCTGCTTCAGATCATATAGTTGGAATTATACATTTTGTAGCCTTTTCAGAGTAGCTTCTTTAACTCAGTAATATGCATTTAAGTTTCCTGTACTTGTTTGTATTGCTTGATGGGTTATTTCTTTTTAGCACTGAACAATAATTGATTGTCTCAATACACCATAGTTTATACATTTGCCTACTGAAGGACATCTTGATTGCTTGCAGGTTTGGGCAATTATAAATAAAAGTTAATAATAAAAGTTATCCATGTGCCAGTTTTTGTATAGATACAGGTCTCAACTTCTTTGTGTCAACACCAAAGTGCAATTACTTGATCATATGATAAAAATATGTATAGTTTTATAAGAAATTGTCAGACTGGCTTCAAAAGTGGCTGTATCATTTTGCATTTTGACCAACAATGAATGAGAGTTTCTATTGCTCCACTTCCTTATCCACATCTAATGTCTAGTGTTCTGGATTTTGGCCATTCTAATAGGTATGTAGTGGTATCTCATTGTTGTTTAAATGTGCATTTGCTTGATTTCCTTGATGACATAAGATGTGAAGCATCTTTTTCTTTTTTTTTTTTTTTTTTGAGACAGAGTATCACTCTGTCGCCCAGGCTGGAGTGCAGTGGCATGATCTCGGCTCACTGCAAGCTACGCCTCCCAGGTTCACGCCATTCTTCCACCTCAGCCTCCCGAGTAGCTGGGACTACAGGCACCCACCACCACGCCTGGCTAATTTTTTTTTTTTTTGTATTTTTAGTAGAGACAGGGTTTCGCCATGTTAGCCAGGATGGTCTTGATCTCCTGACCTTGTGATCCGCCCGCCTTGGCCTCCCAAAGTGCTGGGATTACAGGTGTGAGCCACCACACCCGGTCATGAAGCATCTTCTTATATGTTTATTTGCCACCTCTATATTTTTTGTGGGGAGATATATGTTAAAGTCTTTGGCCTACTTTTTAACTGTTTTTTCTATTGTTGAATTTTGACAGTTCCTAATATTTTTGAAAACAGTTATTGAATATGCCTTTTGAAAATATTTTCTCTCAGTCTGTGGCCTCTGACTCTCATCTTATCCTTTTGACAGTGTCTCTTACTTTCTCAGAGCAGAATTTTTTTGTTTTGTTTTGTTTTGGAAATGGATCTCGCTCTGTTGCCCAAACAGGAGTGCAGTGGCACCTTCTTAGCTCACTGTAGCCTTGCACTCCTAGGCTCAGGGAATCCGCTAACCTTAGCCTCCTATTGATGTGATCATGTGATTATTTTTCTTAGTTAGTCCATTAATATGATGAATTATATAAATGATTTGTGAATGTTGAACCTGTCTTCCAAACCTGGAATATATGCCTGGATAACTGTTTTATTCAGAGGTTTTAAATTGTAATGAAGTCCTCTTTGTCAATAAGTTCTTTCATGGATTGTGCTTTTGCTGTTGCATCTGAAAAGTCATAACCGAATCCTAGGTTGCTTACTCCTGTGTTACGTCCTAGGAGTTTTATAGTTTTGCATTTTACGTTTTGGTTTGTGATTCATTTTGAGTTAATTTTTGTGAAGCCTAAATTCATTATTTTGCATGTGGATATCTAATTGTTCCAGCACCATTTGTTGCAAATACTATATTTTCTCCATTGTAGTACCTTTATGTTTTTCTACAGATCCATTGACTGTATTTAAGTGGGTCTATTTCTGGGCTATTTATTCTTTCCACTTACCTATTCGTATATTATTTTACCAAAGTCACACTGTCTTGGTTGCTGTAGCTTCATAGTAAGTCTTGAGGTCAGGTAGTATCAGTCCTATTATTGTGTTCTTACACTTAAGTATTGTCTTGGCTATTTAGCATCTTTTGCCTCTTCACATAAACTTTAGAATTAGCTTGTCAATATCCACAAAATAACTTATAGAGATTTTGATTGGGCTTGCATTGAATCTGTGTATCAAGTTGGGACAAACTGACATCTTGACAATATTGAGTCTTACGATACTGTACATGAACATGGAATATCACTTCATATTTTAGTGCTTCTTTGATTTCTTTCATCAGAGTTGTATAGTTTTCTGCCTATGCCTTTTGTATATATTTTGCTAAATTTATACCCAATGTTTCATTTTTGGGGGTGTTAACGTAAATAGTAATGTATTTTTAATTTCAAATTCCACTTGTTCATTGCTGATTTATAGGAAAACTTTTCACTTTGGCATATTAATCTTATATCCTGCAAACTTGTTATAACTGCTTATTAGTTCCAGTAGTGTTTTTGTCTATTATTTGAGATTTTCTACATATACATATGCAAACAAAGGTAGTTTTATTCCTTCCTTTCAATCTGTATATATACCATTCCCTTTTGACTTTTTTTTTTAATCACATGGACTTTCTGTGTACCATGTTGAAAATTAATGGTGAAAAGGGACATTCTTGGCTTGTTCCAACCTTATAAGGAAAGCTCTGAGTTCTTCACCATCAAGTAAAAAATGTGTAGAATTTTTGGTGTATATGTTTTTAATCAGGTTGATAAAATTCTCCTCTATTCCTAGTTTAATGAAAGTTTTTGTTCACAAATGGATGTTTGATTTTGTCAAATGCATTTTCTGCATCTATTGATGTGATCATGTGATTTTTTTCTTCTTTAGCATGTTAATATAATAAATTATATAATTGATTTTTGAATGTTGGACCAGTCTTGTAAACCTGAAATACATTCCACTTGGTTGTGGTGCCTAAATTGTTAATGCAATGTCAAATTCAATTAGCTATTTTTGAGAACTTCTGCACCTGTATTTGTGAGATGTATCGCTCTGTAGTTTTCTTTTCTTGTAATGTTTGTCTGCTTTGGGTATTAGGATAATGCTGACCTCATAGGAGACAGGAAGTATTCCTGCTGCTTCTATTCCTCTGTAGGAAATTGTAATGAATTGGTATAAATTCTTACTTAAGTGTTTTATAGAATTCGCCCATGAACCCATCTTGGTTTGGTGTTTTCTGCTTTAGAAGGTTATTATCAATTCATTTCTTTAACAGATATAGATCTATTCAGATAGTCTGTTTCTTCTTGTGTGAATTCAGGTAGATTGTATCTTTCAAGGAATTGGTCCATTTCTTTCAGGTTATTAAAATTGGGGGCATGATGTTGTTTATGGCATTCCCTTTTGATCCTTTTAAGGTCAATGGGGTCTACAGTGATGTTCCATCTTTGATTTCTGATATTAGTAAATCGTGTCCTCCTTTTTATCTAAATTAGCCTGGCAAGGGACTCCAATTTTATTGATTTTTTTCTGAGAAACAGCTTTTGTTTTTGTTGATTTTCTCCCCTCATGTCCCATTTTAAATTTCACTGTGCCCTACTTTTACTATTATCTTCGGATTACTTTGGATTTAATTTGCTCTTCTTTTTCTAGTTTGCTAAGGTAAAAGATTAAATGATTGATTTAAGATATTCTTCATTTATCTCTAATTCTGCTTTCACTGCATCCATAACATTTGATGTTATAATTTTATTTTCACTTATTTCAAAATATTTTTAAATTTCTCATGAAATTTCATCTTGACCCATATGTTTCTTAGAAGTGTATTGCTTAATCTTCACAGATTTTGAGACTTTCCAATGATCTTTCTGTTGTTGACTTCTAGTTTAATTCCCTTGTGGTTTAAGGACAGATATTACATGATTTTCATTCTTTCAAATTTCTTCTATTTTATTTTTATTTTTATTTATTTATTTATTTATTTATTTATTTATTTATTTATTTATTTTGAGACCGTCTTGCTCTGTTACCAAGGCTGGAGTGCAGCAGTACGATGTCACTCACTGCAACCTCTGCTTCCTGGGTTCAAACAATTCTCGTGTCTTGGCCTTCTGAGTAGCGGGGATTACAGGTGTGTGCTATCACACCTGGCTAATTTTTTTTTTTTTTTTTGTATTTTTTCTTTTCTTTTCTTTTTTTTCAGATGGAGTTTCACTGCTGTCGCCCAGGCTGGAGTGCAATGGTGCAATCTCAGTTCACTACAACCTCCACCTCCCAGGTTCAAGTGATTCTCCTACCTCAGCCTCCTGAATAGCTGGGATTACAGGCCTGCACCCCCACACGCAGCTAATTTTTGTATTTTTAGTAGAGATGGGGTTTCACCATGTTGGCCAGGATGGTCTCAATCTCTTGACCTCATGATCCACCCATCTCGGCCTCCCAAAGTGCTGGGATTACAGGTGTGAGCCACTGCGCCCAGCCTTTTTTTTTTTTTTTTGTATTTTTGTAGAGACGGGGTTTCACCATGTTGTTCACCATGTTGATCAGTCTTGTGTCAAATTCTTGACCTCAAGTGATCTGCCTGCCTTGGCCTCCCAAAGTGCTGGGATTACAGGCCTGAGCCACCACGCCTGGCCTTAAATTTCTTAAGATATCTTTTATAGACCAGAATGTGGTCTATCTTGGTGAATATTCTATATGAGCTTGGGAAGACTTTGTAGTCTGTTGCTGTTTGATGTAGTAGGTTACATCTGTTATACTGTTGGTTGATAGTGTTGTTGAGTTCAACTATGTCTGATTGAATTTTGCCTGGTGAATCCGTGCATTTCTGATAGAGGCATGTTGAAGTCTCCAACATAATTGTGGGTTCATTTACATTAAGTATCCACTTAACATTGTCCATAGGTTCTTAGAAACTGATTTTAAGCAAAACAATACACTATGTACCATAGTAACTATTTTTATACCAATTATCTATGGTGAAATTGGTTTCATTATACAATACATAAATTCACTTTTAAAATTATAATTTCCAAGAACCTGTAGACAATGTTAAGTGAAGACTTACTGCATTTCTCTTTGCAGCTCTATCATTTTCTCCTCACATATTTAGACACTCCATTTTTACATGCTTACATGTTAAGTATTGTTCTGTTTTGTAAAAGGATAATAGGATAACTGATTTCTTTGTTATTATGTAAAGACTTTTTTATCCTTCATAAATTTCCTTGCTTTGAAGTCTGCTCTGTTTGAAATTAAAAAATTAAAATAGGTACTCCCATTTTCTTTTGATTAATGTTATCAGTGTATATCTTCCTCAGTCTAATTACTTTTATTCTGTATGTCTTCATATTTAAAGTGAGTTTCTTGTAGACTACATATAGTTTGGTTCTTGGTTTTAATCCTCTAACAATCTTATTGTTATCTTTTGAGATGGGGTCTCACTCTGCTACCCAGGCTGTAGAGCAGTGGCTTGAACATGGCTCACTGTAGCCTCAACCTCCTGGGCTCAAGAGATCCTTCTGCCTCAGCCTCCCATGTAGCTGGGAACACAGGCATGAACTAACATGCCTAGCTAATTTTTTGATTTTTTGTTTGTTTGTTTGTTTTAGAGATGGGCAACTCTGTTGCCCAGTCTGGTCTCAAACTCCTGTACTCACTTGATTCTCCCATCTTGGCCCCCCAGAGTGCTGGGATTACAGGCATGAGCCACCATGCCTGGCTTATTTTGGTCTTTTAATTGGTGTATTTATATCATTGACATTCAAAGTGATTACTGATATAATTGAAAGAATACTGACGATATTTGTTACTATTTTCTATTTGCTCTCCTTGTTCTTTGATCCTATTTTTGTATTCCACTCTCTGTCTTCCCGTTTTGTTTTAATTGAGCATTTTATATAATTTCATTTTCTCTCATTTGTTAGTTTATTAGTTGTACTTTTTAAATAAAAATTTCAGTGATTTTCCTAGAATTTGCAATATACATTTAGAACTAATCCAAGTTTATATTTTAGTAACACTTTATTAGTTCACAGATTATGAGTACCCTTATAATACCAAAATAACCCTAATTCTTCTTTCCTACACATTGTGTCATTGCTGTCATTTACTCCACTTACTGTAAGCATACATACACATATGAATAAGCATGTATATTATATATAATTAAATACATTGTTTCTATTATTATTTTAAAGAAACTGATTTCTATTAAATCAATTTAGAATAATTTTTTTATTTAACCTTAACTGATTTCTTCTCTGATATTCTTCCATCTTTATGTATATCCGAGTTTATGACCTATATCATTTTCCTTCTAACAAACTTCTTTTAAGATTTCTTGCAAGGAGAGTCTACTGGCAAAACAGTCCCTCAATTTTTGTTTGTATGACAGTGTCTTTATTTCGACTTAGCTTTTGAAAGATAATTTCATATGGTACAGAATTTTTAAGTTGGTGTTTTATTTTTCTTAACAGTTAAATATTTCACTTTGCTCTCTTCTTGCTTGCATGGTTTCTGAAGAGAAGGCTGATGTAATCTTTTCTACTCTATAAATAAGGTTTGCTTTTCCTTTTGGTTTCTTTCAGGATGTTTTCTTCATCTTTGATTTTCTATAGCTTGAAAATAACAAACCTATGCATAGTTTTTCTGGCCTTTATCCTTCTTGGTGTTTTTTGAGCTTCCTGGATCTGTGGTTTGGTGTCTGACATTAATTCAATAAAAATTTTCTGTACTTATTATTTGAAATCTTTATTTTGTTCCTTTCATTTTCCCCTTCAAGTATTTTCATTATAAACACTTGTGTAGTCCTTCCAATGTTCTTGGTTATTCTGTTTTTTCTTTCTTTTGTCTTATTTTTCTTTGCTTTTTTTATTGATATAAACTTAGAGATTGTTTCCTCAGCAGTGCTCTATCTAATAATAAATCCATGAAGGCATTTATCATTTCTGTTACAGTTTTCTTATCTGTATTCTTTCATTTTGGTTCTTAGAATTTTTATCTCTTTACTTAAATTGCTAACCTTTCTTACATTCTGTCTACATTATCCATTAGACCACTTGACAAATTAATAATAGTTGTTTTAAATTTCCATCCCTGATATTCCCTGACATATCTGGGTCTGGTTTTAAGTCTTATTCTTTTCAGACTGTGTTTATTGTCTTTTAGTATGTGACTTGCAAATTTTTCTTGACAGCCAGACAAAATGTATTGGGTAAAAGGAATTGCTGTATATAAGCCTTTATTAATGTGGTGTAAGGCGATGAAGACAAAGTAGCATCCTGTAGTTCTATGATAAGGCCTCAATCTTTTAGTGAGCCTGTACCTCTGGACTGTGAACTTCAAACTTGCTTCTCAGTTTCTGTCTCCCACTCCTTAGGTAGAATGAGATGGCTTGAGGGGGCTGGAGTTATGTATTTTCCTCCCTCCCAAAGGAAGGCTAGAGACAGCTGGGGTTTAGTTTCTGTAGCTTCATATGTTTTTTTAATAATAGAAAAATATCTTATGCCCCCAATGAAAATAATAAATAGAATTGTTCTCTTAATATTTGTATGTGTAACTTGTTTTTCTTTCTTTTAAGATATGCATACTGGGGAGAAAAAAATGTAAGATATTTTACACATTTAAAATAATAATCGACTCTCTATTTTCTCTTTTCACAGAAGGGTCTACTTGGGCTTATCTATAGCTTTAAGATTCCCAGCACTTGTTTTATATATTGTTTTCATTTTTGCTATGAAGAAAAAATTTCAAGGAAAAGATACCAAGGCATCGGACAATGAAAGAAAAGTAATGGATGAAGCAAACTTAGAATTCTTAAATAATGGTGAACATTTTGTACCTTCTGCTGGAACAGATAGTAAAACATGTAATTTGGACATGCAAGACAATGCTGCTGCCAACTAACATTGCATTGATTCATTAAGATGTTATTTTTGAGGTGTTCCTGGTCTTTCACTGACAATTCCAACATTCTTTACTTACAGTGGACCAATGGATAAGTCTATGCATCTATAATAAACTATAAAAAATGGGAGTACCCATGGTTAGGATATAGCTATGCCTTTATGGTTAAGATTAGAATATATGATCCATAAAAATTTAAAGTGAGAGGCATGGTTAGTGTGTGATACAATAAAAAGTAATTGTTTGGTAGTTGTAACTGCTAATAAAACCAGTGACTAGAATATAAGGGAGGTAAAAAGGACAAGATAGATTAATAGCCTAAATAAAGAGAAAAGCCTGATGCCTTTAAAAAAAATGAAACACTTTGGATGTATTACTTAGGCCAAAATCTGGCCTGGATTTATGCTATAATATATATTTTCATGTTAAGTTGTATATTTTTCAGAAATTATAAATATTATTAATTTAAAATTTGAATTTGTGTTTGACTAACAACCTCGATGGATCTTCTTCCAACCTCCCATTAAGATCCTGCAGAAGAAATAGAAATATTCAAATATTGCAAGGTGTAATTGTGAGACAACTTATTATAATACGTGTTAAGTTTCTACTGGACCCATGGAAGTGGATTAAGAAAAACCGACTTTAGCTTGAGAAAGCAAAACCCATTGATAAGATGTGTCTTCATTGCATCTGTCTGTTCTCTGGGAGAAGCAAAATCTGTGTTACTTCCTTGCATACTTGTTTGTTTATTCATTGTGCACAAGAAGATATCTTCCACATCTTCACAAGCTGGATAAGAAATAGAGAAAATGAGATCAAATATTTAAATATTGCATTTTCTGGTAGTGATGCAGGATATTTCTTGGCCTCTTCACTGGACTCACAATAGAGGTGCCCTGTTTATTTGGTCTGCCATGCTCAACCCCTTGTGGGAGGGAGAGTGTGAGTGACGTAGTGCAGGACCATGTGGGCTGTCCTGGTCATCGACACAGAAACAAGCTCTGTGAGTTTCTCATGGCCAGACCAGGTGCGAGTGAGTGAATGCTGGACCTGGGCAACCGCTCCAGGCACTGAAACGAGTGAGTTACATGCAGGGCTGGCAGCCAGGCAAGGTGCAAGGGTGCTCAGGATCCTGAAGCCCCAGAGGGGTTGTTATGGTGCTCCTTTAGTTCCACCGTCTACAGTCTAACAGATGGCAGCATGTTAGCAGCTCAGTTGGCCCCTTGTCTCTTTACCTTGGGTGGCTGCCCTCTGCCAGTGAGGGCAAAGGCCAGTGTGACAGATTTTTCTGGGTACCTGCATTCGGTGGGTTCCAGGCCCTTGTCTGGTGTCCAAGAAGAATGAGGTCACATTGACAGTTGAAGGGTGGTGAAGGTGGAGAGTTTTAATGAGTAATGAAAACGACTCTCAGTGGAGAGGGGAGCTGGAGAGGGGATGGGAAGGGCCGGTTGTCTTCCCCGAAGTCCTGCTGTCTCTTCCTCGAATTCAGGCTGTCTCCCCAGTCTACCAGCTGAGTCTGGAGTCTTTATAGGCACAGGATGGGGAGTGTGTGCTGACTGGTTTCTGAGTATGCAAAAAAGGTTAAAGTGAAGGCACCACTCAAAGGTGGGCATGACAGTATAGAAAACCAATTAAGAAAGAGTAGTTATATCTAAAATAGTTGGAGGGTGGGACCAGTCAGAGGAAAGCCTGCCAAATAAGAAGACAACTTCTCAATCTGGTCTAAGGCTTTAACTTGTAGCCTGGCTTTTGGACTTTAAACTGTCATCAGCTTGGAGGTGGGGTTTCACCGGAAACCTGCCCCTATTTGCCTAGGCATTTGGCTGTCTCCTGTCACTATCAGGAGCAACATCTCTACTTAGTGAATGCTAGAGGTTGTAGTTTATAATTCTCAATTGGTTAAAAGATGTTTTGTATCAGAATCAACTGTAAAAATATATTTTAAAAGAAATATAATTATATACCTACTGTAGAGATTCCAAATTCAAACATGTGTGATATCGCTTGGATATCTTTAAAACATTCCACATGATGCTAGGATTCCTTGATAGACCACCATGGTATAGGAAAAGGTGTACCTGAGTGTAGTAAAGTCACAAGAAATTATTACTAGAATATGGGAACTGGCCTGGAAGATATATAGATATATACGTGTGTATGTATGTGTGTGTGTGTATGTGTGTGTGTATATATATATCTTTATACCTGTTCTCAGACTGTAATCCTAAGGAAAAAAAATTAATCACACAAACAGAAATTTGAGGAAACCCACATACATGCTAGGTTTGTAGGTATCATATAACAAATCTAATGTGATCACATGCACACACACATATACACACACACATATAATCATATATATTGAATACAATGTGATATTTCAATACATGTATACATTGTGTAATAATCAAATCATGGTTATTAGTGTATCCATCACCTTATACATTTATAATTTCTTAATTATGAGTACATTCAAAGTCCTCTCTTCTAGCTTTTTGAAATATATAATGCATTATTGTTAGCTATTGTCACCCTACTATGCAGTAAGTACCAACAACTTATTCCTCCTAACTGGAACATTGCACTCATTGACCAATTCCTCCCCATCTTCCCCTTCCCCTGTTTTTCCTGTCTTTGGTAACCACAATTTTACTCTTAATGTCTACGAGATCAATTTGTTTAGATTCTTCACATGAATGACATCATGCAATATTTTTCTTTCTGTACCTGACTTATTTCCCTTAACATAATGTTCTCCAGGCTCAACTATTTTTTTGTAAATGACAGGATTTCATCCTTTTTTAGTGGCAGAATGGTAGTCAATTTTGTATATATGCCACATTTTCTTTATCCATTTCTCTGTTAATGGCATTTAGGTTGATTCCATGTTTTGGCTAAAATCAACAGTGCTGCAATTAACATGGGAGTGCAAAATGACTCTTCAGCATACTCATTTCATTTTCTGTGACGATATACCCAGTAGTGGGATTGCTGGATCATATGGTATATCTATTTTTAATTTTTTGAGGAATATCCATGCTGTTTTTCATAATGGCTGTAGTAATTTCCATTCCCAACAATGTATAAGACTTTCCTTTTTTCCACAGTATTGCCAGCATTTTTTCTTTTCTTTTTTTTGTTTTGTTTTTGGTCTTTTATGACAGCCTTTCTTAGTGGGGTGAGGTGATATCTCATTCTGCTTTTTATTTGCATTTCCCTGATTGTTAGTGATATTGAGCATTTTTTTCATATAACTGTTGTCCATTTCTATATCTTTCTTGGAGAAATATCTATTCAGGTATTTTGTCCATTTTTAAATTACATTATTTTTCTATTGAGTTGTTTGAATTCCTTATAATTCTAGATAATAACCTCTTGTCAGATGTATAATTTGTAAATATTTTCTCTCATTCTGTAGGTATTCTCCTTAGTCTGTTGATTGTTTTCTATACACAAGATTTTTAACTTGATGTAATTACTGTATTTTTGCTATTGTTGCCTGAGTTATTGAGATCTTGTCTAATAAATCCTTGCCCAGGCTGAAGTTATGTAGCATTTCTCCTTGCATTATTCTAATAGTTTCATAGTTTTGGGTTTTACATTTAAATCTTTAATCTATTTTGAATTGAATTTTGTATATGGTGAGAAATAGAGGTCTAGTTTTATTCTATTGTATGCAGAGATTCAGTTTTTTCATCATCATTTATTGAAAAGAGTGACCTTTCCTTGATTTGTGTTCTTGGCCTCTTTGTCAGATCAGTTGGTTGTAAATGCATGAATTTATTTCTGGCATTTCTGTTTTGTTCCATTTGTCTTTTTGTCTTTTCTATATTTTTAGCCAATACAATGCAGTTTTGGTTACTATAGCTTTGTAGCATATTTTTAAGCCAAGTTGTTTGATGTCTCTAGCTTTGTCCGTTTGCTCAGAATTGCTTTAGTTATTCAGTCTGTTGTGGACTTCCAGTCATGTGTTGAATAGGACTGGTAAATGTGGGAAATTTTATCTTGTTCCAGATCTTAGAGGAAAAGCTTTCAACTATTCCTCATTCAGCATTACACTGCCTATGGATTTGTCATAGATGGCCTTTGTTATGTTGAAGTATGTTCCTTCTATACCTAATTGTTGAGAGCTTTTATTATGTAGAGGTGTTGAATTTTGTCAAATGGATCTGCATCTATTAAAATGATCATATAATTTTTGTCTGACTCTATTGATGTGATGTATCATGTTTATTGATTTAAATATGTTGAAATATGCTTGCATCCCTGGGATGAATCCCACTTGATTTTTAAAATTTGTTGTTAAATTTGGTTTGCTGGTATTTTGTTGACTATTTTTTTCATCTCAGTTCATCAAGGGTATTGGCCTGAAGTATTTTTGTTGCTGTTGTGTCTTTCTCTGGTTTTAGAATCAGTGTGATGATGGCTTCACATAATAAATTTGAAAGAGTTCCCTCCTTTTAAATTTATTAAGATAGTTTGTAAAGAATTGTATTCATTATTTTAAAGATATTTTGTAGAATTTAGCCATGAAGTCGTCATGTCTTGGACTTTCCTTTAATGAAAGACATTTTATTACCGCTTAAGATCTCATTACTCATTATTTGTTGATTCACATTTTCTATTTCTTCTTAATTCAGTCTTGGCAGATTTTTTAAATTATTTTTATTTCAATAGATTTTGGGGTACAGGCAGCTTTTGGTTACATGGATAAGTTCTTTAGTGATGCCTGAGACTTTTGTGTACCTGTCACCTAAGAAGTGTACAATGTATGCAATATGTAGTATTATATCCATTATATCCTTCACCACCCTCCCAACCTTCAACCACCCTTGGTGGGTTTTTATGTTCAGGAACTGATCCATTTCTTCTAGATTTTTCATATTGTTGGCATATCATTAATTGTGCATAGTAGTTTCTTATGAACATTTGTATTTCAGTTGCATCAGTTGTAATGCCTCCTTTTTAAACTGATTTTATTTATTTGACTCCTGTCTTTTTTTTCATGGTTAGTCTTGCTAAAGGTTTGCCAATTTTGTTTATGCTTTTATAAAATCAGCTCTGCATTTCATTTATCTTTTGTGTTGTTTTTAGGTCTCTACTGTACTCTGATTTTATTATTTTCCTTCTAATGTGAGTTTATTTTATTCTTGCTTTTCTATCCTTGAGAACCATCATTTGGTGGTTCATTTGAGAGCTTTTTTTGATGTAGACATCTATTGCTATAAACTTGCTTCTAAGGACCACTTTTGCTGTATTCCATAAGTTTTAGTATGTTGTGTTTTCATCTTCATTTGTCTTTAGAAAGTTTTAAAATGTCTCTTTTAATTTCTTCATTGGCTTACAGGTTGTTTAGAAACATGCTGTTTAATTTCCATGTACTTGCAGCATTTCAGAACTCCTCCTTTTGTTGAATTCTAGTTTTATTTCATTATGGTGAAAAAATGATTCTTGATATGATTTTAGTTTTTTTGAATTTTTAAAGACTTTTTTGGTAAACTAACATATAGTCTATCCTGGAGAACATACTATGTGCAGTATAGAAGAATGTGCATTCTGCAGCTGTTGGATAGAATGTTCTGTAAATGTCTGTTAAGTCCATTTGGTCTAGAGTGCAATTTAAATCTGATTTTTTTTGCTTGGTTTTCTGTAAATAATCTGTCCATTGCAGGAAGCAGGGTGTTGAAATCTCCTACTATTATTGTATTACTATGTATCTCTCCCTGTAAATCTATTAATGTTTCCTTTATGTATTTAGATGCTTTGATGTTGGGTGCATAGGTATTCATGATTGCTATATGCTCTGGTTGTATTGACCCTTTTATCATTATATAATGACCTTGTCTCTTTATGTTTTAACTAGAAATTTATGTTTATCTGAGAGAGTATAGCTACTCTTGTTTTGTTTTGGTTTTTATTTGTATAGAGTATCTTTTTGCACTCATTCACTCTCAGTCTATGCATGTCTGTATAGGTGAAGTAAGTCTCTTGTTGGCAACGTATGGTTGAGTCTTGTTATTTTATCCATTCATTCAACTTTCTTTTAACTGGAGAATTGAGTCTATATACATTCAGTGTGATTCTTGAAAGTAAGAACTTACCTCTGCCTTTTTGCTGTGCTTTTTTGAGCTGTGATTTTGTATCTTTTAAAAAAAATCTTCCTATCCTTCTCTTCTCCTTACCCTTCCTTGTCTAGTATCCTCTGTTTGACTTTTTACTTCTATGAGATCAACTCTTAAGCTTCCACATATGAGTGAAAACACATGGTGCAAAATATTCTGCTCCTGGCTTATTTCATTTATCATAATGTTGTCAAATTCTATTCATGTTGATGCAAATGACAAGATTTAATTCTTTTTTATAGCTAATTAGTATTCTATGTATCTCTCTAAACATACAGATATATGTCTATCTATCTATCATCCATCTATCTCATGTTTTATCCATTTATTTGTTGTTGGACACTGAGATTAATGCTATATTTTGGCTCCTGTGAACAGGGATGTGATAAACATCTAGGTGCAGACATATTTTTATTTAGTGATTTTATTTCCTTTGGATAAATTCTCAATAGTGTGATTGCTAGATTGTAAGGTATTTCCATTGTAGTTTATTGAGGAACCCCTTTACTCTTCCCTTTGTGGCCATACTAGTTTACATTACCACCAACTGTCTGTAAGAATTCTCTGTAGTCTGCATCCTTGCAAGCATTTATAGTTTGTCTTTTTTTATGATAGCCATTCTAACTGGGGTGAGAGGATACCTCATTGTGGTTTTTATTTGCATATCTCTTTTAATTAGTGATGTTGACAATTTTTTTTCATATATTTGTTAGCCAATTGTATGTCTTCTTTTGAGCAATGTCTGTTCAGACTATTTGCCCATTCTTTTAAAAATTAAATTGCTGATCTTTTTGCTGTTGAACTGTTTGAGTTCCTTGTATACTCTGAATATTAATCTGCTGTTGAATGAGTAGCTTGGAAATATTTTCTCACATTCTGTATACTGGCTCTTCACCCTGTTGATTATTTCTATTGCCATACAGAGCATTTTAGTTGGTTATTATCTCATTTATTCATTTTTGCTTTTGTTGCCTGTTTTTTTAAGGTCTTACTCATAAAATCTTTTTGCAGACCAATGTCCTGTAATATTTTCCCTACAATTTCTTAGAGTAGTTTTATTGTTTCTGGTATAACATTTAGGTCTTTGATCCATTTTGAGTTTTTTTTGTAATAGCATAAGAGGTAGGAGCTCTTTTTCATTATTCTGCATGTGTATATTCAGTTTTTTCAGCACAATTATTGAACAGGCTGTCCTTGCCCCAGTGAGAGTTTTTGGTATTTTTGTCAAAAAAACAGTTGGCTATACATATGTGGATTAATTTCTGGCTTTTCTATTCTGTTCAACTAGTTTGTGTGTCTGTTTTTATGCTAGTATCATGCTGTTTTGGTTACTGTAGCTTTGTAGTATATTCTGACCTCTGGTAGTGTAATGAATCTGGCTTTGGTCTTTTTGATAAGAACTGCTCTGGAGATTTGAAGAGTTTTGTGGTTCTGTAGACATTTTCTAATATTTTCTATTTCAGTGAAGAGTGTCATTGGTATTTTGATATGAATTGCATGAATTTGTGGATTGATTTGGATAGTAGTGTCATTTAAACAATACTGATTTTTCTAATTCATAAACACAGGATTTCTTTCTACATGTTTGTATCCTCTTCAGTATTTTTCATCAGCATTTTGTACATTTTCTTGGAGAAGTTTTTACCTCCTTGGCAAAATTTATTCCTAGGTCTTTTTTTTGGAGCTCTTGTAAATAGGTTTGTCCTTCTGATTATTTTAGCTAATTCATTGTTTATTTATAGAAACACTACTGATTTTTGTATATTAATTTTGCATCCAGCATCTTTATTGAAATCATTTCTAATGTTTTTTTGTAAGTCTCTAGATTTTTCTATATATAAGATGAGGTCATCTGCAAAAATGGACAAATTGACTTTCTCCTTTCCAATTTAAATGCTCTTCTTTATTTCTCTTTCTTATTTGCCCTGGCTGGAAATTCAGAACTATGTTGATTAGGAATTGTGAGATTAGACAAACTTGTTCTGTTTCTTAGGGCAAAAGCTCTCTGATTTTCCCCATTCAGAAAATAGTTAGATGTGTGTTTTTCATATAGGACCTTTAATATGTTGATGCATTTTTCTTTTATACCTAATTTACTGAAAGTTTTTATCAGGAAGAGATATTCAAATTTATTCAAAAGCATTTCCTGTGTCTACTAAGATGGTCACATAACTTTTATTCTACTGATGTGATGCATGACCCTACTGATTCACGTATTTTGAACCATTCTTGCATTCCTTGGATGAATCTCACTCAATCATGGTATTATTGCTTGGTATGTTGTTGGATTAGTTTGCTATTATTTTGTTGCATATTTTTGCAGCTATATTTATCAGAAATACTTGCCTGTAGTTTTTTCTTTTTATTTCCTCATGTTCTAATTGGTTTTAATTTTGCAGTGTTTTGCTGGCCTTGTAGAATGAGTTAAGAAAATTCCCTTGGTTTCCCATTTTTAGAATTGTTTCAGAATAATGAGTTTTAATTCTTGTTAAAAAGAATTGTACCAGTAGAATTATACCCATAGAATTTAACAGTGAAGCCATACAGTCTTCAACTTGTATTTGTTGGAAGACTTTTTGTTACTGTTTCAACCATGTTACTTGCTATTGGTCTGTCAGATTTTCTATTTCTTCTTTATTCAATCATGATAGATTGTGTGTCAGGAATTTATCAATTTTCTCTAGGTTTTCAAATTTAAAATAGTGTTCAGAGTATCTCCTAATGATCCTTTGTATTTCTGTAGTAGCTGTTGTGAAATTTCCTTGTTAATTTCTGATTTTATTTAGTTGGGTCTTTTTTTTTCTTAGTCTAGCTAATGGTTTGTCAATTTTGTTAATCTTTTCAAAAAACTAGCATTTTGCTTTGTTGATCTTTTTTATTTTTTTTGTTACTCTTTGTCATTTAGTTTTGCCATGATCTTATTTCTTTTATCTACTAATTTTGGGTTAGGTTTGAAAATTTTTATGTTAATTGATGTACATGTGCAGGTTGTTTATTTTTAAATTTTCTAGTTTTTTTTGATATAGGCCTCTATTGCTATAAACTTGCTTCTTAATGCTTCTTTTGCTGTGTCTCATAGGTTTTGGCATATTGTGTTTGTATTTTCATGTTTTTCAGATAATTTTTAAAATTTTATTCTTAATGTCTTTCTTCACTCATTGGTCATTTAAGAATATGTCGTTTAATTTCTGTGTATTTGTATAGTTTTGAATGTTACTCTTGTTATTATGTCTAGTTTTATTTCGTGTGGCCAGTTAAGATACCTGACATGTATTTGATTTTTTAAAAATAATTTCTGAGACCTGTTTTGTGTCCTAACATATGGTCTATCCTGGCGATTGTTCCACATGCTAATGAAAAGTATGTGCATTCAGCAACTGTTGGGTGAAGTGTTCCTTAAATATCCATTAGGTCCACTTCATCTGTAGTGAAGGTTATTTTTTTATTTTGATTTCCTTTTTTAAACTTTAGATTCAGAGGGTACATGTGTAGTTTATTATAAGGGTGTATTGCATAGTGCTGAGTGTTGGGCTTCTATTCATCCTGTCACCCAGATAGTAAAAATAATATCCAATAAGACTTTTTTTAGTCCTTTGTTTTCATCTCTCTTTCCCTTTGTTTGGAGTTTCCAGTATCTGTTGTTCTCATTGTTACATCTATGGTAATGCAAGATTTAGCTCCCACTTACAAGTGAAAACATGTGATATTAGGCTTTCTGTTTCTTATGTAGTTTGCTTAGGACAATGGCCTCCAGCTGCATCCAGGTTGCTGCAAAAGACATGATTTTATTCTTTCTTATGACTGTGTAGTATTCCATGGTGTATATGTACCACATTTTCTTTATACAATCAACCACTGATGGGCACTTAAGTTGATTCCATTCTCTGCTATTGTGAATAGTCCTGCCACAAACATACGAATGCATGTGACTTTTTGATAGAATGATTTATTCTCCTTTGAGTATCCACGTATTAATGGGAGTACTGGGTCAATTGGTAGTTCTGTTTTTAATTCTTCAAGAAATGTTCTAACTGCTTTCCACAGACACTGCACTAATTTGCAATCCTACAAACAGTGTGTAAGAATTCCCTTTTCTCCATAACCTCATCAACATCTGTTATTTTTTGACTATTTAATATAACCATTCTGGTGGGTGTGAGATGATGGTATCTCCTTGTGGTTGTGATTTTCACTTCTCTGATGATTAGCGTTGCTGAGAAATCTTTTAATTTCTATTGGCTGCTTGTATGTCTTCTTTTGAAAAATGTTTGCTCATGTCCTTTCCTCACATTTCACTTGGGTTGTTGCTTACTCTTGATTTATTTAAGTTCTTAATAGACACTGAATGTTAGTCCTTTGTAGGATGCATAGTTTGCATCCAAACGATGCAATCCAAAATTCCATAGTTTGCAATTTTTTTTTCACATCTTGTAGGTTGTCTGTTCTGATCAGAGTTTCTTTTATTGTGTAGAAGCGCTTTAGTTTACTCAAGTTCTAATTGTCTGTTTTTCATTTTGTTGCATTTGCTTTTGGGATCTTCATCATAAATTCTTTTCCTAGGCCAGTGTCTAGATGACTACTTCCTAGCTTTTATCAAGAATATTTGTGGTTTGAGATCTTACATTTAAGACTTTAATCTATCTTGAGTTAATTTTTACACATTGTGAGAGGTAAGGTTCCAATTTTGTTCTTTTGCATATGGTTAGCCAATTTTCCCAGCACCATTTGTTGAATATAGTGTCATTTTCCCATTGTTTATTTTTGTCAATTTTTTCAAAGATGAGTTTGTTGTAAATGTGCAGCTTTATTTCAGGGTTCTCTGTTCCATTCTATTGGTCTATGTGTCTAATACTTAGCAGTACCATGCTTTTTGATTACTGTATTCTTACAGTTTGAAGTCATTTAGAGTGATGTCTCTTTCTTTGTTCTTTTGCTCAGGATTGCATTAACCATTTGGGCTCCTTTTTTGGTTGCATATGAATTTTGGAATAGTGTTTTTTCTAATTATGTGAAAAATAACATTGGCAGTTTGATAGGAATGGCATTGAATCTGTAGGTTGCCTTGGGCAGAATAAGCACTTTAATAATATTGATTCTTTCCACCCATGAGCACCAACTGTTTTTTCATTTGTTTGTGCCAGCTTTTATTTATTTCAACATTGTTTTATTGTTCTTATAGAGATCTTGTACCTCCTTGATTAGGTTTATTCCTAGGTATTTTTATATGCTTATTGTAAGTGGGATTGAGTTCTTGATTTGGTTCTGAGCTTGGATATTATTGGTATATGGAAATGTCACTAATTTTTGTATGCTGATTTTGTATCGTGAGAGTTTGCTTAAGTCATTTATCAAGGTAAAGTGTCTTTTGGCAGAAATTTTAGCATTTTCAAGATATGCAATGATATAATCAGCAAAAGAGATAACTTTACTCCCTGTTTTCCTATTTGGATGACTTTTATTTCCTTCTCTTGCCTTATTTCTTTGGCTAGGGCTTCAAGTACTGTCTTTAATAAGGTTAGTGAAAGTTGGACATTCTTGTCTTATTCCAGTTATTAAAGGGAATGCTTTCAGCTTTTGCCCATTCAGTATGATGTTACCTGTGGGTTTGTCATAGATGGCACTTATTATTTTGAGGTAAGTTTTTTCAATGCCTAGTTTCTTGAGGGTTTTTATCATGAAAGGATGTTGTATGTTTTATCAACTGCTTTTTCTGTATCTATTGAGATGATCATATGGGTTTTGTTTTTACTTTTGTTTATGTGCTGAATTGCCTTTATTGATTAGTGTATGTTGAACCATCCTTGCATCCCAGGAATAAAGCCCACTTTATCATGGTGAATTAACTTTTGATGTGCTGTAAGAATTGATTTGCTATTGTTTTGTTGAGGATTTTTGCCTCTATGTTTATTAGAGATATTGGCTTCTAGTTCTCTGTATTCACTGTGTCTTTGTCAAGATTCTGGTTATCAGGGCAATGCTTGTTTCATAGATGAATTAGGGAGGAGTCCCTCCTCTTTGACTTTGCTTTGAATAGTTTTAATAGAATTGCTACCAGCTCTTCTCTGTATATCTGTTAAAGTTTGGCTGTGAATCCATCCAGCTCAAGGATTTTTTTGGTTGGATGGGTTTCTAGTACTGATTCAAGAATTTGATATCGATCTATTTAGGGTTTTGATTTCTTCCTGGTTCAAACTTGGGAGGTTGTGTGTTTCCAGGAAAGTAAGGATGCCCCATGTAATTCATGGTTCCACTTTGCCCACTAGTGAAAGCTTGAAAGTGACATGATTTTAGAATCCTAAAGAGAGCTCTGTCTACATGGAGACATCATCTTCTTAATATCCCTATACACAACTCTAACCACCAATAAATCTCCACTGTATAATTTGTACTTGTCCTAACTTCTATCAATATAAGTTTATGCCTGTGAATTAAGACTTGATCTCCAGCAAAATTGGAAGAGAAATTTTTTCCTTCACTACGTTGTGAGCAATACATTTCTTTTTTAAGAAGCAGGCTTTTGATAGTAGTGAAAATAGAGAATATAAGATATTTATAAACAGAGAAAAGATCGTGGAAAAATGAGAGTATAAATACAAACAAAATTGTCTATCCATCAGTTTGTTTAGGACTGATCTTATCAATGAAGATTATATTGTTTATATTCTCTACAAAAATGTGTCTTTGAGTCACTTGAATTAAAAATTAATTTTTGTTTGTCTGACAATACCAACATCTGTGTCTTATTGTGGTTTGGTTTTGATGATTGCTGTATCTGTTCAGTGTGTGTTTTCATTGCCTTTTGATGTCTCAGAATTTTTTGTTGAAATCCATAAATGTAGTATAGGAATGTCAATACTGAAGTAAATATTTATTTTACATGGAGATAATAACATCTTTCCTGCCACTAGGCATATATTGTGGGGGTCGTCAGTAACAGGACTGGGCTTGAAGTTTTTTATTGTTTTCATTGCCCTGGGAACATCAAAAGCATTAAATATCTTAGTAAAAATTTGTATATAAATTCTGCCCTCTGAGTATATTTTGTTTCTCCTTTTGCTGTATTACTCAGAAACAATCTGTCTCTTGCAGCTCTCCCAGCTATATTCCACTCTTATTGTTACCAGATACTCATTAGCAAGGGGATGATGTTGCCGTGAAGCTCAGTATTAGGCAAGCTCTGTGAATCTTGGTCTTGATGATGACCTGTTCCTCTCCAAGGAGTGGAGCTTTTCTCCTAGTTTCCCTTCCCAGCTGCAAGGGTTTTCACCAGTACTCTCAAACCATAGTTTTTGTTGTCCTACCCTTTTGGAGATAAAGACTTTTATTCTTTAAAGGTGAAATGAGAGATTGATCTTGAGCAGGCCTTGAACAGTAGTTGCTGTTCTCATACCCCAGCCAGTACCAATGGAGCTGCCTAGAGATTATCTGTAATCTTCATATAGAGTGCATAGTGGGGCTACTGAAAGAATCAGCTGCAAGAAGCATAAAGCCCCTGATGTGTGCAGACTTCAGGGAATTCACACTTTCTTTTGTCCAGCCACATTTGGTATTTAGCAACTCATTAAACATTTCTAGCTGAATCATTTTACTTATACAGCACTGGTTGACTTCTGCTTCAAGTAAACAAGTGTTCAAATCCTATGTCTTCTTACAGGAGCCCATCTCTCTCTAGATTTCCAGTTAGCTGTTTGCCTGGTAAGCTCAACTCCTGATGGGTTCAAGAAAAGTTATGATTTGCATTTTATCCATCTTTTTCTATTGTAAGGGTGTGGGTGAGACATTCCTGCTCCCTGCATCTCTGATGGAAAGTGGAAGTCTCATTTTTATTTCTTTGATATAAAGGAAAATGTGCTTCAATTACCTTTATAAATTTTCAAGACCAATTTGAATATTGTGAGAGTACCTATTTCCCTTATCTGATTTTTCTTAATAGATTTTCTAATAATTCATATATTATGTATCTAGTAAACAAATAGTTTACCAAAACAAATAGTTTAATCCAGAGTGTAAGTAACTCTGGACTATTCTGTCAAAAGATTGATCCCTCATTCATTTTGTATTTATGATTTTGAATTATTTTCTTATATAAGCATTCCATTTAAGTTTTATAATGTTATGAGCCCAGGAGTTGGAGGTTACAAAAAACTATGATCATACCACTACACTCCTACCTGGGTGCTAGAGAGAGACCTTGTCTCCAAAAGAAAAAAATATATATAAGCTTAAAAATCCACAGCACATAGCCCTATCCCTGTTGGTGGAGATATTTCTTTTTCTTTTTTCTTTTCTTTTCTTTTCTTTTCTTTCCTTTCCTTTTCTTTTCTTTTCTTTCTTTCTTTCTTTCTTTTTCTTTCTTTTTATTATACTTTAAGTTCTAGGGTACATGTGCACAACATGCAGGTTTGTTACATATGTATACATGTGCCATGTTGGTGTGCTGCACCCATTAACTTGTCGTTTACATTAGGTATGTCTCCTAATGCTATCCCTCCCCCGTCCCCCCACCCCACGACAGGCCCGAGTGTGTGACGTTCCCCACCCTGTGTCCAAGTGTTCTCATTGTTCAACTGGTGGATATATTAAGTGCTGCCTTGGGTAACAACCCTCCAGCAGTGTCCCAGCTCTGCCACCTTTCCTGTGTTGTCTTTCTTCCCTAGACTTTTTCCCTCATGGTTGCAAGGTGGCTACTGCTCCCCAGGGCTAATATCCACAGTTCAGAATAGAGGAAAATGTCTCTCAGAAAGCTTTGTTGTTTTATTTCAGAAAGAAATCTCTTCCCAACTTGCAAGCCTCTGCCAAATATCTCATTGGCCTAAGCTGTAACCACTGAAGTATAGCCAGTAGCAAAGGAGACATTCTTATATTTGCTTCTGTTATTCCACCAATAAGGACTGGATTTTGTTCTTCCTCTTCATCAATCTAGAGTCATCATTTCTCACCAAGACCTGCATTAGAAGCTTAGGCACACAACTCTGATTAGTGACTCATCACATATGGATAGGGTTAGAAATTACCTAGTACTTTTCTTTGCTGCCCTCACTGCTGCAGTCATACCTATGTCAAAGTTACACTCCTCTCTTCCAATGATTTGAGCTCCTCTCTCTTGTTTCAAGGCTACCCTCATCTTGAATCTTGGTTATTTTTAATACACTCAAGAGATAAAATTCCAAACTTCATGTACCTAAAACTTAGTCCATAATTCTTCCCCCTAAACCTGTTCTACACAGTCTTTCTCTTCTCAGTTGCTTTCCTTTATATATGATGCATCCAATCATTTGGGAAATCATATTAGCCTGTAAAGAATCTGTACAAAGTCCTTCAATTAACTAGCCTGCTTTCTGCCCAGCTACCAGCTCAAACTCTGAACTGGCAACTCAGTTTTCCACCTCCAATCCAGCCTCCTTCTAAGTGCATTCTGTATTCCAGCTTCCTCCACTCTGTTGTATCCCTGCAGACATTCTCACTCCCTTTATAGCAGCAGTCCCCAACCTTTTTGGCACCGATTTTTCCACAAACCAGGGGTGGTGGGAGGAATGGTTTCAGATTGAAGCTGTTACACCTCAAATCATCAGGCATTAGTAAGATTCTTCTAAGGAATGCACAACCTAGATCGCTCACATGTGCAGTTCACAATAGGATTCGTGCTCCTGTGAGAATCTAATGCTGCCTGTGATCTGACAGGAGCAGAGCTCAGGCGGTAATGCTTGCTCACAGGCCACTCACCTCCTGCTGTGTGGCCAAGTTCCTAGCAGGCCACCAACCAGTACAAGTCTGTGGCCCAGGGTTGGGGACAACTGCTTATAGTACACATAAATAACCGTAGTGTTTTTACACTCAGTTTCCCTACCTTTCCTTCCTCCATTCTCTTTACCATTAGAGATTTACATCATTTTTATATATTGACTGTCATTTCAATAGGAGGCAGAATAAAAAGACAAATAGAAATATGTCTGTCCATTTTACTCTCTTGTACTAGAAGCCCTATGTTAATTTAGTAAGTCCTCTTCTACCTCTAAAATCCTTTCCTTTTTTATTTCATCCATAAGTTACAAATAATATGAGCATATTTAGTTTTTAATATATACCTTGATGACCTTCATGAAACCCAGTTTCATTACAGAAGCTACTTTTTAAACATTTCATTCTCTGAGATTATTTTTGGAAATTTAGTGTTTGTGTTCTAATAGGACACAATGGGTGGCATAAATGGTCTAAAGAGTCCTCCTGAATCTGGGAAAGCAGTCTTTTGACAATATGTGACACTACAAATGCCCTTTGAAGATGAGTTTTTCTAACATTGTTCTCTTATCCTTTGATGCAGACACTTGTCTTTTTTTTAAGTAAATATTTTTATGTTTAATTTTTGTTGGCACATAGTAAGTATATATGTATTTATGGGGTACAGAAGACATTTTGATAGAGGCATATTATGCATAATAATCATACCAGGGAATGTGGGGTATAATCACTACAAGCATTTATCCTTTCTTTGTATTAAAAACAATTCCATTTTACTCTTTCAGCTATTTTTAAATATTCAATAAATTACTGCTGACTATGGTAACCCTCTTATGCTATCAAATTCTAGGTCTTATTTATTACTTGTAACTATTTTTTGCATCCAGTAACCATCCCCACATTCCCCTACCATCACCCCACAACCATTCCTAGCCTCTGGTAACCATCCTTCTACTCTGTCTATATATGAGTGCAATTGTTTCGATTTTTACCTCCCATAAATGAGAACATATGAAGTTTGTGTGCGTCACTAAATTCACTTAACATAATGACCTCCAGTTCTGTCCATGTTGTTGGAAAAGCCAGGACCTCATTCTTTTTTATGACTGAATAGTATTCCATTGTGTATAAGTATCACATTTTCTTTATCCATTCATCTTTTCCTAGATGCTTAGGTTGCTTCCAAATCTTGGCCGTTGTATATAGTATTGCAACAAGCATGGGAGTGCATGGGAGTGCAAGTATCTGATTTCTTTGGTTACATACTCAGCAGTAGGATTGCTGGATTGAATGGTAGCTCTATTTTTAGTTTTATGAAGAACCTCCAAACTGTTATCTATAGCGGTTGTACTATTTTACATCCTCGCCAGCATTTGTTATTGCCTGTCTATTGGATAAAAGCCATTTTAACTGGGGTGAGATGATATCTCATTGTAGTTTTGATTTGTGCTCCTGTGATGAACAATAATGTGGAGCACCTTTGGAATGCCTGTTTGCCATTTGCATGTCTTCTTTTGAGAAATATCTTTTCAGATCCTTTACCCATTATTTAATTAGGTCATTATTTTTTTTCCTATAGAGTTTTTGAGGTTCTTATATATTCTGGTTATTAATCCCTTGCAGATTGATAGTTTGCAAATATTTTCTTCTATTTTGTCTGCTTCCCTTGCTGTGCAGAAGCTCTTTATCTTGATGTAATCTCATTTGTCCATTTTTGCTTTAGTTGGTTGTACTTCTGGGTTATTACTCAAGAAATCTTTGCCCACTCCAATGTCCTGGATAGTTTCCCTGATGTTTTCTTGTATTTCTAGTAGTTTCACAGTTTGATGTCTTACATTTAGGTCTTTAATCTATTTTTATTGCATTTTTGTAAATGTCAAGATATAGGAGGCTAGTTTCACACACCTACATATGGATAGCCAATTTTCTCAGCACCATTTATTGAAAAGAGACTGTTATTTCCCCAATGTATGTTCTTCGAAACTTTGTTGAAAGTGAGTTCATTATAGCGTATGGATTTGTTTCTGGGTTCTTTATTTTGTTCCATTGGTCTATATGTCTATTTTTATGCCAGTACCATGTGGTTTTGGTTACTATAGCTCTAGCGTAATTTGAAGTCAGGTAATGTGATTCCTTCAGTTTCATTCTTTTTTCTCAGAATAGCTTTGGCTCTTTCGGGTCTTTTGTGTTCCATATAAATTTTAGATTTTTTTCTATTTTGGTGAAGAACGTCATTGGTATTTTGATAGAGATTGCATTGAATCTGTAGATTGCTTTGGGTAGTATAGACATTTTAACAATATTGATCCATCTAATTCTTGATCATTTTTCATTTTTTGGTGTCTCCTTGAATTTCTTTCATCATTGTTTTATAGTTTCAATTGTAGAGATCTTTTACTTACTTGGTCAAGTTAATCCCTAGATATTTTATTTTATTTACAGCTATTGTAAATGGGATTTTAAAAATTTTATTTTCAGATTTTCATCGTTGGCTTATAAAAATAGTTCTGATATTTGCCTGTTGATTTTGTATTCTGGAACTTTACTAAATTTATCTGTTCTAATAGTTTTTTTTTTTTTTTTGGTGGAGTCTTTAGGTTTTTCCAAATAAAAGATTCTATCATCTGCAAGTAATGATAATTTGGTAACTTCTTTTCCAACTTGTATGTCCTTTATTACTTTCCCTTGTCTGATTTTTACAGCCAGGGCTTCCAATATTATGTTTAATAGCAGTGGTGAAACTGATTATCTTTCTCATGTTCCATATCTTAGAGAAAAGGCTTTTAGTTTTGCCCAATTTGGTATGATATTAGCTGTGAGTCTGTTGTATATAGCTTTTATTGTGTTAAGCTATGTTCCTTCTATACTACTTTTTAAAGTTTTTATCATGAAGGGACGTTGAATTTTATCAAATGCTTTTTTAGCATCAATTGAAATTATATGGTTTTTGTCCTTCATTCTGTTGATATGGTGTTTTACATTTATTTATTTGCACATATTGAACCATCCTTCCATTGCTGAAGTAAATCCCACTTGGTCATGATGAATGATCTTTTTAATGTACTGTTGAATTTGATTGCCTGTTATTTAGTTGAGCATTTTTGAATCAATATTCATCAGGGATATTGGCCTATGCTTTTCTTCTTTTCTTCAGATATGTCTTTTTCTGGTTTTGTTCTCAGGATTAATACTGGCCTCATACTCATAGAATGAGTGTGAAAGTGTTCCCTTTTGCTCTATTTTTTGGAATAGTTTAAGTGGAATTGATATTTTTCTTTGAATGTTTGGTAAAATACAGCAGTGAAGCCATTGAGTCTTTAAGAGTTTTCTTTGCTGGGAGACTTTTTATTATGGCTTCAATCTCATTACTTCTTATTGATCTGTTCAGGTTTTGGATTTCTTCATGGTTCAATCTTGGTAAGTTGTATGTGTGCAGGAATTTACTTGTTTATTTTAGCTTTCCCAATTTATTGGCATATATTTGCTCATAGTAGCCACCAATGATCCTTTGGCTTTCTGCAGTATCAGTTGTAATGTCTTCTTTTTATCTCCAATTTTGTTTATTTGGGCCGTCTCTTTTTTCTTAGTTTGGTCAAAGCTTTGTCAATTTGTTTATCTTTTCAAAAACCAGCTTTTCATTTGGTTATTCTTTTGTATTATTTTCTTCATTTCAGTATCATTTATTTCTGCTCTGATCTTTATTCTTTCTTTTCCTCTACTAATTTTGGCTTTGGTTTGCTCTCACTTTTCTAATTAAAGGTGCATCATTAGATCGTTTATTTAAAGTTTTCTACTTTTTTGATGTAGTCATTTTGTAGCTATAAGCTTCCTTCTTAGTACTACTTTCACTATATCCCATAGGTAATGGTATGTTCTGTTTCCAACTATTATTTGTTTCAAGAAATTTTTTAATTTTCTTCATATTTCTTCATTGACCCTCTGCTCATTCAGGAGCATATTGTTTAACTTCCATGTGTTTATATATCTTTCAAAATTCCTCTTGTTGATTTCTAGCTTTATTCTATTGTATTCAAAGGATATACTTGATATGATTTCAAATTTTGAATGTTTAAGACTGTTTTTGTGACCTAACATATGGTCCATCCTTAAGAATGATTTGTATGCCAAGAAGAAGAATATGTATTCTGCAGCCATATGATAAAAACTTCTGTAAATATTTATTATCCCCATTTGATCTATAGTGCAGACTATAGAGTCTACTGCTCTTCATTGGTTTCCATTTGCATAGAATAACTTTTATCACCCCTTCATTTTCAGTCTGTATGTTTCTTTATAGATGAAGTGTATTTCTTGCTTGTTCTGTCATCCTCTCCTCTTTTGTTCCTTCCTTACTGTCTCCCTTTTAATCAAGTGATTTTTTTGTGGTGGTATATTTTAATTATTTGCTTTTTATTTTTTGTGTATCTGTTACTTTTTTTTTTTTTTTTTTTTGAGGCAGAGTCAAAATCTTGCTCTATTGCCCAGGCTGGAGTGCAATGGCAAAATCTCGGCTCACTGCAACCTCCGTCTCCCGGGTTCAAGCGATTCTCCAGCCTCAGCCTACTGAGTAGCTAGGACTACAGGCACCCGCCACCATGCCCGGCTAATTTTTGTATTTTTAATAGAGACAGGGTTTCACCATGTTGGTCAGGCTGGTCTCGAACTCCTGACCTTGTAATCCACCCGTCTCAGCCTCCCAAAGTGCTGGGATTACAGGCATGAGCCACCGCGCCCAGCTCTGTTACATGTTTTTTGATCTGAGATTACCATGAGGCTTGCAAATAATATCTTATAACCCAATATTTAAACTGGTGATAGCTTAACACTGATTGCATAAACAAATATGTAAGAAGAAAACTAATGAAAGCTCTACACTTTAACTTCATCTCCATCTCCTCACTTTAACATTTTTGTTGTCTCTATTTATATGAATATTTCATTGTCCTGTCTATGTCTTGAAGAGTTGTTATAGTTATTATCTTTGATTGATTCATCTTTTAGTTTGTCTACTTAAAATATGCACAATATACACACCACAATTACAGTGTTATAATTTTCTGTGTTTGTCTGTGTACTTACTGGTACCAGAAGTTTTGTACCTTCAGATGATTTCTTATTGCTTATGAATGTCTTATCTTTCAGATTGAAGAACTCACTTTCGCACTCCTTGTAGGACAGGTCTCATGTCGATGAAATTGTTCAGCTTTTGTTTGTGTGAGAACGTCCTTATTTGTTCTTCAGGTTTGAAGAATATTTTTACTGTAGGTAAAAAACCTTTACCCACTTTGGGAGGCCGAGAAGGGTGGATCATGAGGTCAGGAGATCAAGACCATCCTGGCTAACATGGTGAAACCCTGTCTCTACTAAAAAAAAAAAAACCCTTTCCCCCCACCCAACTTTGAGAGCCTCACTCATTAGTCAGAGTTCTCACTTTCATTCTTACTACCCATGTCTTCTTGCAAGATAGATCAATAGTAATTCATATAGTGCACTTGTGCTGAAGAATTTTGATGAACTAAGGCAGCAATGAAGCTTTTTATCATTTGAAGAAGTACAGGTAGCAAACAAGGGAGCAGTAGGCAGGTTCCTATTATTATTATAACTTCTATTATAAGAGTTTTAAATCCTTCTAGTGCTGGGAGCCATTTTCCAAACATGGCCCCAGGATCAAACCCATGCCACACTTGCATGGGCACATGTGCCAGTTTTGTCATATCTCTAACTATGTCTTCAACTACTTGCCCTTGATCATCTATGTGTAGACAGCAGTTAGTAAGGTTAAATTTCCCACAGACCCCTTCTTCAGCTGCTAGCAAGTAGTCAAGAGCCAATCTATTTTGATAGATAGCATTTCTCATCTGAGTTTCTTGCCTGGCCAGAATAGTCAAGACTCTGCTGGTCTTATTAGTGATTATTTCTAAGACAGCTTGTAACCGTATGATTCAGTCGATCATGTAAATGGGGGTCTGGTATTCCCACGAGCTGTCTTGTGCCCAAATAGCAGGCCCATAATATTGTATGATTCTTTCAGGGGGCCATTCATCATCTTTCCAATTTCCTATAGCCATGCTTCTCTTTTCGTGGGAAACATAGACAGGGAAGCCCAGGAGTTCACCTGTCTTTATGGGCAGTAGGAGGAAAGATGGTTTAATAGTGCCAATAACACAACTACCTGCCCACTGGTCGGGTAATTTGGTGTAAGCTCTATGCCCTCATATCCAGTATAATCCAGTGGGGGCTGTCCAGTCCCGGTGGGACTCCAGGTGGGTCCACATGGTTTTTAACTTTGGGAATTTACTAAATGGATTTTTTTTTAGTGTGGTTTGAACTTCACTAGGTGGCTCTTTTTGTACTATTATTATATGGTTTTTGCCTAAGGCAGCTGAGTCTTCCTACAGGAAGGGTGAAGTCCTTCCCTACTCTTGCTATACAGTTTGTCTAGTGATTGAGGCTTTTAGGACCCAGAAGTTATCAGGCTGATTCTTTTGAGCCAGGAATTCATCAGGAACTGGGTCTGTAGGTATTAATTCTTGGGCTTCCCATGGCCATTGATCTCCCATTACAGTTCCTCCAAATACATAACATGAAGTGACACTGAGAGACTGGGCTACATGCTCAGCTAATTGCAAAAACGAATTTCTTGTTTTTCCTGGAATTTCTGGTACTGGCACATTCGGTTCATCATACTGGCTCAGGAGAGCATTTATAAACTTCTCCTTAAACTATGATATTTACTCGAGGATCCAGTCCAGCCCCATCTATTCCTAGGGTTACAGGCTCCCCTTTTTTCCAGCAAGGATCAAGGGGGCTGGTTATTACTAGCTCTAAGGGGTTACACTGACCACTGGTACAGGAACGGCCGCTTTTCCCTTTCTGAAGGTGGACAAAATCCTTTTCATTTTTTATCCAAGTAGCCTAAATTACACAAGACCAGTATCCACATTCATTTCCACACAGTCCTAATTCATGACAAATGTACTTATTTTCTGCCATATAGCCTCTTTCCTAATTAAGAGAACCACATCCTATTCCTAACTTATTACTATTAATGATAGCACAGACATCAAATTTCAAGGTGACTTTCTTGGGCACCCCTTTTTCTTCTGTTTTGGCTAACACTTTACTCATATTGTTTATGAGCCCCCGTCAGTTCTCAGTCCTTAATCTTATTTCAAAAACTGTGGTCATGGGAAGCTCAGATGGATCATAACACACATCAGGTTGGTCATTTCCTGGGCTACCTACCTTGTATAGAATAGTATTATACAAACAAGTTCTTTTTAGAGTCCTGGTACACTTACAATAACCATAAAATAATAAGACTGTAGAAACTTTTTGTCCTACCTCAGTGATTTGATGTCAGTCTGAGGAAGGTCATTTGAAGTCCTTACTGTACAAGTCCAGATTTTAAGGAAAATGAGTCCCGCGATGAGTTTTCTCATGCTTTGGCCGTGCATGGACAAGTCAGCTTCCGGGAGTGACTGGAGCAAGACTTGTCATCTTCTTCAGAGTCACTTTGCAGGGGTTGGCAAAGCTGCTCCCATCCACGTACAGCTCACAAGTCTATTGATGTTCAAGGATGGTCTCAGAGGTTGGGCCCACTAGAATAAACTGAGTCCAATACCTTTACACAGTTATGTTTAACTGGGCTCTCTGATACTGGGGGCAAGGTGGCATGGTTTAGGGTGTTGCAAACTTCAATGGTTATGCGGGGATTTTCACATAGCAAGCTTTGGTACTTGGTTAATCTAGCATTTGTTAGCCAATGATGTCCTTTGGTATTCATCAAAGTTACCACAGCATGGGGGGTCCTTTGATATTCATCAAAGTTACCAGAGCATGGGGGGGCCTTTATATTCAGGTTTTGCCCAAGGGTTAGTTTATCTACTTCTTGTGCTAACAGGGCCGTTGCTGCCGGGGCACTTAGACATGGGAGCCAGCCTTTGGAAACCCCATCTAGTTATTTTGAGAGATAGGCCACTGGCCTTGGCCAGGGCCCCACAGTCTGGGTGAAAACTCCAACTGCCATTTTTTCTCTTTCTGACACATAGAGTGTAAAGGGTTTTGTCAAGTCAGGTAGCCCCATGGCTGGGGCCGACATGAGTTTTTATTTTAACTCATGAAAAGGTTGTTGCTGTTGGTTGTAATAGATGTAGTTTATCCAATCTACATTTTTATTAACTGTCATCTACCAAAATATTGACTCAAATCTTACAGCTATTTGATTTCAGGCTTTAAATTGATCTGGTATTCCCTGTGGGATTTCAATTGTGTCTAAATAGACGTGAGAGTCAAAAGACCCATAAGGGGCTACTCTCACTTTACGATGTCTTATTTTTCCTCCCTCTGGTTGATGAAATGCCAGGGCGAAAGGCATAGCCAATTGGACTAAAGTACAAGTGCCACTCCAGTTATTTTGCAGAGTGCCCAGTAAAGGTCCACCACAATACCACTGCACATCCACTCAGGGATGAACAAGGGCTGATTGATTCATAAGCTCTTGAAAATTCTTAAGCTCACTGCATCCCTTCAGGTCTCCAAGGAACGCTAAGTTTCCTCCCTGTCGTGAGAGACACGAAGTGGGAGACAGAAGCTGGATAGCCCTCGGGGGCTGACCCGCAGAGTGCCAGACTTTTGGGATATAGCAGAGAGAGAGCTTGGCATGACTTATTACTCCAGGCTGTAGAATGCTGGAAAAGAGCTACCACACAGCCCATGCCTGGTCGACTGGAGGACCACCTTGGCGGAAAGGGGACAATCTGGGCCTCTGGCCTGCCATGTGCACAAGCATAACAATTGCTTTTGTTTAACATGTGGATGGAATATTAGATCCATTCCAACCAGGCATTTGCATCTTGGTATCCTATCTTAATTGCCAAAGTTTGTTTTAAGTCTTTAACTTCTGTGATCCTCTAGTACAGTGAATGTATATGATTTTAGGAAATTACAAAAACCAGTTGGTGCAGTCCATCCATGCTCTTTAGTGTACACAGAACATTGGACCAACTATGGCATAAATGCTCTACAATGGGGGGCAAGAATCCTGGTTGTCACTGGGGTCTTTACTGAAATCTCCCTGGATTAAATGGTCCCAATTTACTGATTCCCAGTCTGAGAAGAGTCAGGAGGGACAGAGGTACTTTTCTGAAGTAGAGAGCTGTCTTTGACTTGGCAAGTCCCCACAGGGTATAACAAGGCAAGCATTAAAAGCAATAGTTTGAGGTGAAATTGACTTGGTTATGTTAATAACTAGATGGTCAGCAATAGAGTGAGGAAAGAAAGAGTAATAGAATAGATGAAAGAGTTAAATTTTTCTTAGCTTCAGTTTGGTAGAGTTTTCCCCTGGAGAAAACCCTTTCCATGACTCTGGAGGGGGGTGGCGCTTTCTTGACTTGCATGTGATAAGTCCATCGTTTTTTCACTGTGCGAGCAGCAGTGATTAGAAGCACAAGGTAGGGTCCTTCCTAGGCTGGCTCAAGTTTCCCTTCTTTTCACTCTTTGATGAAAACATGATCTTCAGGCTGGTGCTCATTTACCAGAAATTCTAGGGGTGGTACATGTGCTAAAAGACTTTTAGTTTTGAGGGAAAGGAAAGTGGAAGATAAACCAAGGGCACAATTTTTAAGAAATTGACCTTTTGTTTTAAATGTGGGGACTCGAGCCAGCCCAGGAAGGACCCTACCTTGTGCTGCTAATCTCTGCTGTTCGCACAGTGAGAAAAGGATGGACTCATCACACCTGAGTCAAGAAAGTGCCAACCCCCTCCAGACAGTGGACTTTATAGTCCTTGGTGTCTTTCTACTGAGAAATTTCCTTTAGCACCTATTTTTATTAGTTTTTAGACCAAAGAAGCCGAACACCATTTTATATCTGACAGTGCTTCCTGTATGATTCTTATACCAGATAAGCTAAATTTCACCTTTTTATTAGTGTGTAATTAATGTTAAACTTAGTTTTAATAAAATTTATAGACATATTTATTCAATTTTTAATGTCGGACCATAAGGTAAGATTTTTATAGACTCTTTTTAACCTTTTATAACCTTTTATAATCTTTTTAACCTTTTACAATCTTTTGTTAAAGAGCAGGTTAGCCCTTTAAGAAAAACCTGTTGTGTTTTTACTTTAATGTCCAGTTCACAGAAAAACTGGATGATACCCCTTCAACTTTAGCTAATATGTTTACACATATTACACAGAATTTTCTTTACAATTAACTTTTTAAAACTTGCTTAAACCTTCAAAACAAAAATTTTTAACCTTTTAATATAGGTAAAATGTTACATTCTTATGCCTCCTTATAACCCTTTTACCAAAGGTATAATTTACTTTCCTTATACACCTTGCACATAAACTGTTGCTTCAGTAGTACTCAGGAGGCCTAATTACTTTTAAATTATGCATCATTTCTTGCATAAGTTCTTTTTATAATTTTTTTTCTCTTTCACAGACAATTCTTCGACATGCCTCAACTTTCTGACTTATTACAAACGTTTCTTTCTTTAAACAACCAGTTAATTTATTTCAGGACAAGAATTTAACATATAACATTCTTTTTACATAAATTCTGTTCCTCCTTCCCCCCCCCCTTTTTTTTTTTGAAGATGATAACCATTCTTTTCCAAAGTGAACTTCCTTTATGTCTGTGGACTAGACTGTCTAAGGCCACAAGATTAGAAGTTACTATAATACATGTTACACTGTTAACTTTTAGCAAACTTTACTTTTGTTGAAAACCTTGTAAGTTTGGGATTTCAATTATCCTTTGCTATTAATAAGACCTTGTTTAGTCCAAATTAACTTAGAGCTGGTATAGATGGCTTTTTTTTTCCTCCAGTTACCCAGGAGGAATCATCTATCATCCTTTCATGAAGGGAGTTCCTCCTAGGTCTGGTTAGACCTTTGTATGGTAATTAAGATTTAGATCGCCTGTTAGGAAACCTGCTGGGTTAAGGGAATTTTCAGTGGTTAATGTTAAATCATTTTTTTTTTTGATACTTCTGAATTGGTGAGGTGTGCTCACAATGAGGTTTCCTTTAACAGTTATTTTTCTACTTTCTTGTGTTAGCGAAGCAGTTGCCACTACAGACTGAATGCATTTGGGCCATCTGCAGGTTACTGGGTTAAGGATTTTTGATAGGAAGGCTTCAGTGCTTTCAGGATATGCCCTTGTTTACACTGACAACCAAGTGGTATTGGAGTGTTATAGGATAATGGAGAATACCTTTAATTATCAATTATAGGTTTTTAATTTACCTTGACTTTTAAAGGAATAGGGTACACTTTTTTTCTTAACTACTTGTATATCTCTTTCTCTCTTTCTTTCTCTCTTTCTCTCCTTGACTCCCTCTTTATCTCTCTGTCCCTTCCTCTCCCTCTTTGTCTCTTTTTCTCTCTCTCTCTGCTGGTCTTTCCTTGCCTCTGCCAGCTGCTTATGCTGCTGTTCTCTCAACCACTGTGGCATGGGGTGGATCTAAAACCAGCATAACCAAGTGTCCATGTATGAGAACTGTTCTGGGTGCCCTGGCTTATAGGTTACCTTGTGCCATACCTTTGAAACAAGGGACCTGTCCAGGCTTCCTTCTGATGGCCAACCCACCTCTAATGCTGGCCAATCCATTTCACACAAAGTTCTAAGTTTTCCTGGTGTCATAGTAACACCGTAAGGGGACCTTTCCTGAAATTTTTCAACATAGTTCCTAGTTGGGTGGGCTTACTTTGTGCCTGACCCATGTGTCCTCGAGACAAAACACCACACTCACACCACATGCACACCACAAAACAAAGAACCAGTAAAAAGGGCACACACACACGTTTACAGTTTACACCAAACCAGAATGAAAACCAAAATCAGAGTATCAAGAAATCCAAGCCAGGTCAAAACCAACACAAAAAGTATCAAGCAATCCAAGTCAAGTCAAAAACAAAAACCAAAATACCGGTACAGGCACGTTGTGGGTGATCAGGCCACGCTTCCACTCAAATGGAGTGGGCAAGTTCCAAAGACCAGTCTTACCAAGTTTCAGATGTCCAAACTCCAAGTGCCAGTTCCTTCCCGGTGTTCAGCCACTGAGTTGATCATCTGCGGGGACCTGCTGTGCACTGCTCTGACAAGGCACTCCACTGGGGCAATTGCCTACCTGAGAGTGCTGTCTGGATCCACATCTCTCAAGCTGGCTGGAGTCCTCTGCAGGGATGCTCCATAGGGCAGGCCTAAGCCACCTAAGGGGCTGCCTCAACCACCCATCCATTAATCACCTCGCTTCCCAGTCAGGGAACCAAGAAATGTAGCAGGACAAGCTGCAGACAAAATCCTTCAGACACCAAGTTCTAGAAGGAAGGGCTTTATTCAGCCGGGAGCTTCAGCAAGACTCATGTCTGTAAAAACTGAGCTCCCCAAGTGAGCAATTCCTGTCCCCTTTAAGGACTTACAACTCTAACAGGGTCCACATGAGAGTGTCGTGATCAATTGAGCAAGCAGGGGGTACATGACTGGGGGATGCATGCACCGATCATCAGAGCAGAACAGGACAGGAATTTTCACAATGCTTTTCCATACAATGTCTGAAATCTATAGATAACATAACCGGTTAGGTCAGGGGTCAATCTTTAACCAGGCCCAAGGTGTAGCACCGGGCTGTCTGCCTGTGGATTTCATTTCTGCCTTTTAGTTTTTACTTCTTCTTTCTTTGGAGGCAGAAATTGGGCATAAGACAATATGAGAGGTGGTCTCCTCCCTTAATTCCACTTAGAAAGAAATAGAAAAGCCAAGAGACCTAGACCTTCTTAGTTACCTAATTTCATTTAATACGAAAATAAGGCATTTAAACTTTACCGAAGAATATTATTTTTCTCCTCTATCTTTAACATAGTACTTCACAATCTCTCAGAAGCACAAAATTTTAATAGCTTATAAATGATAAATGTTCTAAACTTTTCTCCAGCACTTATCCTTACTTGGCATTGATAAGAATACCAATTTCTGGAATCCAGGAATTATGTACAAAAATTAGAATGTAAGAAAATAATAATGAGAGAAATTCAAATTGTTTAAAAATAGCAAGCCTACCCCTAGAAATATAACTCCATTGGCTTGGGAACCACACTCCCATCCCCCACAGCAGCCACAGCAAGCCATGACCAAGGAGAGTCTCAGCTCAGAAATTCCTAACCCTTCCCCCTCATTATGGTTTTTCTCTACCCAGCCTGGTAGCCAAAGACAAATGGCGTAATCCCCTGGGAGCTCTATGGCCATGCCCACTGCCTGAGAATCTCGAATATTAATTCAAAGGTGACCTTAGGGCAAGTTTGTATCCTCCCTGTACAAACGCAACTGATGTACTCTTAAAAGCACCACCACCTGGCTGTACAGAAAGCAACACAAAATCAGCACACTTAGTACAAATACAACCAAGGACCCTCAGAGTTCACTTCACCACCCTGCTTCCTTCACTGGAGCAGGTGCTGGTATCCATGGCTGAGAGACCTGAAGATGGATCACACCACACGACTCTTTGTAGACACTCCCTAGTACCAGCCCAGAGCCTAGTAGCTCTTCTAAGTGTCTAGATCCAAATGAGAAATAACAGTCAAGGCAGGGTGTCTCTCAAGAAGCTCCCTTTCTAGGAGAAACAGGAGAGCACCACATCAAGGAAGCAATCCATGCGACAAAAGGATATGAATAGCAGCCCTTAAGTCACTGATCTTCCCTGTAACATTGTCTACCCAAATGAGGAAAAAAAAAATACCGTAAAAACTGAATCTATGAAATAACTGTGACACATATATCAAATATATTTTGGGGCAACTATATCAACAAATGTCCCATGAATGATAATGAAATGGTCTCATTGTCAGAAGTAACATGTGAGGTTCATTGTCTCCTTGGCCAAGGAGAGCAAGGACATGGACACACAAAGAGTGAGGTTGAGAGTAGAAGTTTAATAGGCAAAAGAAAGAGAATAGCTCTGTGCTGCAGAGAGGGGTCCCAGAAAAATGGGTTGCCAGATGCACAATGAAATGTAGGGAGTTTTATAGATGATATTGTGAGGAGACAGTGCCTGATTTACACAGGGTGCAAAACACTGTTTAGACCAGGTGTGCCATTTGCATGGGTTGCAAATTTTTGGTAGCCCCCAACCTATTCTTTAATTGTGCAAGCGAGTTCTCTGCCTGAGCTGCACCATGTTGCCCACTCCTCTGTTACTGTACACGTGGTAACAACAACAACCTCCATTTGGACATGCCTGGCCTGGAGGTAGCCCTTTTTGATTGGCACAGCTGCTGGCATTTCCCTGTGCAAACTTCCAACTTGCTTATCTGTGTTTACAGCTCAATTCCAAGGCTCCTCTTCATTAGAAATGATTTGGGGGGTTGCTTTTTTCTTAGAAGAGAAACTCTGCCAAGACTCTGTTGCCCTCAGTATCTGCGTAAATAATTTCTTTCTATGTCCTGTATCATCTTCCCACTCAGGAGTGAAAACCTGAACTGCTCTTAGCAGGTGTTGTATGACTACTCTTCTGGCTATTTCCTGCTGGAGAGGGGCATCTTGTGGGGAACAGCAGTTGAGGCTCCTCCTGAGGATCTAAGGGTCCTTGGAAGAAAGGTGGGTCCATGAATGGTTTCATCTGTAACAACATTTGGAATTTAATAGCTTCTAGGTCAGAAGAGATAAATTTTACAACAAGGTTTAGAATACAGAGTTTGGATGTGAGTATTAAGATAACCATTATTAGTGGGGGCATTAGAGGCCACAACCACGACAGGGTTTGTTTGGCACCTGTTACCCATTTTGATGGGTTATAATACTGGTTTGCCTCCACCAGGTGTCGCTGTACTTTAGTAGACGCATTAATGGAGAAGCACCATTTTTCCAATGTAAATCCAATGTAAGCGGCATTGGATTGAGCGGCTAGAGTAACTTTAGTGTTAATTTTGGCTAAATCTTCCCTGTAATTATTATTTCTGTTATAAAGATGAAAATTAGGCAGAATATTACAGCAATTAGAATTTTTCATACAGAATTCCACATTGTGGGTGCCACAGTGTATAGTCCTACCTACTGCAAATAGAAGAGTGAGTATAGCAATTTCTGCAAAAGTTATATAATAAATAATTTTCATCTAAAATTTTACTTGCCAAGATATAGAATTTCCCTTTAAGGGTGTATGGTGTTACAAATGTAATCCCATGGGTAATCAAAATCTCCCTGCAAATATGCATCAAAAGGAAGTTCTAATAACTGGCAGAGAATCTCTAGAGGAAAGGTAGAAATGATTGAAAGTATCTAGTAAGGTAGAGGTAGGACTGAGTAGGATGAGTGGCCCTCACTCATTTACTTAATTTTTATGATTTCAGCTTAAGATCTCCTATCTCTTCACATTGATATCCAGAACATTCCTTTGAGACATCAGGAGTTGCTCTGTCAGCTTTCCAGGTTTTGACTCAAGTGTGATGTATTCAGGAGTTGATTCCTGTAACTTTTACCACTGAGGTGGTTGAAAGAAGAACAGTGTAGCGCCCTTTCAAGGTTGGGATTTAGGAAAGGAGAGAGAGAGGAGAGAGCCTTTACCAATACCAAATCTCCTGGGTTAAATAAAGGTTGCCCTATTTCTTGGGTTGGGCTTTTGCTAATTGTGTTAATTTGGTTTGGAAGTGAACTAGGGAGGTTACATGTTTACCACTTCAAAGGTCAGCCTCTTGGTCTGATAGAAAATCATTTGTAAGGAAAGGCCATCCAAACAGCATTTTAAAAGGACTCAGACCTAACTTTGAAGGGATATTTCTTACCTGCAGTAAAGCCATGGGAAGAAGAGTGACAGAAGTAAGGTGAGTTTCTTGGGATAGTTTTCTGAGGTGTCTTTTAATAATATCATTTGCCTTCTCTACCTTTCCTGAGGACCAGGGTCTCCAAGCACAATAGAGATGATACTGTATGCCTAGTGCCTTTCAGATCCCCTGCATGATGGTTGCCTTAAAAGAAGAGCCATTGCCACTTTGGAGGTACTTAGGTAGAGCAAATCAGGGAGTTATTTCATTAACTAACAATTTTATTACCTCAAAGCCCTTTTCAGTATGTCATGGAAAGGCTTCTACCCAGTTATTGAAAGTGTCTACCCATACCAGGATGTATTGGATGACCTCTGTTGTTGACATGTGGGTGAAGTTTATCTGCTAGTCCTCCCCTGGATAGCTTCCCATCCTTTGGGTTTGAGGCAGAAAAAGCCACCTGTTGAGGGTATTATTTTTAAGACAGATTTCACAAGCATTAACAACCTCCTTGACTGTTTTTAATAAGTTCTTTCCTTAAAACAATCTCTGATAACACTGATAAGTTTTATCCTTGAATAAGTGGAAAGTTTGGAGCTTGGTGAAGAATCTTAAGGACTTTCAACTGGCTGGAGGCTGGCAAGTGGAGTTTGCTGTCCTCTATTAGAGTCTTCTTGAGTACAGAAAAGTGTACCCTCAAGAGATGTCCCATTCTATCTCTACAAAGGAGTACTGAGGTTTACTTTCTCTTATGGAGCCTTCCCAGGTTAGAGGGGCTTTAAGTGTGTTGAGGCCCTGAGGCTTCCTTACCCCTTACTTGTCTGCCTGATTAGCTAACTTGTTTCCTTCGACTACTTCATCTGTTCCTTTCTGATGTCCCTTACAATGCATCACTGCAACCTCTCATGGGAGGAAAACTGAGGGTTATAATCTGTTAATTTCATAATGGCATTTTATAGGAGATCCATTAGTGGTAAGATAGTGTCTTTCCTTCCAAATGGCAGCATGAGCATAGAGGACTAAGAAAGCCCACTCAGAGTTAGTGTAAATGTTAGCTACCTTTCCCTTGCTTAATTCAAGTGCTTCCATAATAGCTATCAGTTCAGCTACTTGAGTGCTTGTGCCTGGTGAGAGGGGCACACTTTTAATAACATCATTCAGAGTGACTACCGTATATCCTGCTTCATGGACTCCTTGCTCTACAAAGGAACTTCCATCCATGAAGAATGTTCAGTCTGAATTTCCTAGGAGAATTTCCCTGAGATTTTCCCTTGCTCCATAGGTCTGTACTATAACTTGTTCACAGTCATTTTCAGGTTCTCCAGTTTCCTTGGGGAGGAAAGTGGCTGGGTTTAGGTGAGAACTGGATTGTAGACCCTTCTAACAGCAAAGCCTGATATTTAAAAAGCCAGCTGTCTCTTGGCCAAAGCCTTTTCCTAGAAAACAGCAATTCTGCTACATTATGTAGGGTATAAACAGTTAAGCCATATCCCAGGGTTAATTTGGTGGCCTCTGGTACCAGTACAGTCACTGCAGCAATGGCTTGGAGGCATGCTGGCCATCTTTTAGCCACCAAAATCAGTTTTCTTACTCAGGTTTCCCACTGGCTTTTGAGCTGGTCCTTGAGCTTCAGTTAAAATTCCCAAGGCCATTCCCTTTCTTTCTGATACATAAAGATTTCAGGCCCTCCCTACAAGAAGGCTGAGGGCTGGTACCTCAAGTAAGGCTTGTTTTAGCTGGTTAAAAGCTTTGAGGGTTTTAGGAAGGGGAAATGAGAAAATGGGCTTAATCCTTTCTTCTCCTAATGCTCTGGTCCCTTCACACGACACTAACTCAGGCACTTCACTGACGTTTGGCAAAGTTGGGCCTTCTATTTTGAAACTTTATATCCTCTGTTGGCTAAAAAATTAAGAAGAGCTTCAGTGCCTTCCTGAGAAGGTTTCTCAGTTGGGGCACAGAACAGTATGTCATCTACATATTACAAGACCATGGTCTGCAGATGGAAAAACTCAGAGAAGTCCTTTGACAGTACCTGTCCAAACAAGTGAGGACTATCTTGAAATCCCTGAGGCAGCATAGTCCATGTTAACTGAATGATTTGGCTGTAGGGCTCTTATAAGGCAAACAAATATTGAGAGTCAGGATGTAATGATATACAGAAACAGGCATCCTTTAGATCTAGGACCGTGAACCATTTAGTTTTCTCAGGTATTTGAGTCAGCAAGGCATAGAGATTAGGGACAATCAGATGAACTAGGACTATGGCCTCATTAATGAGGCAGAGGTCCTGAACTAGTCTCCATTCCCTATTAGGTCTTTGCACTCCTAATATTGGGGTGTTGCAGGAAATGTTACAGTGTTTGAGGAGGCCCTGCATCTTTAGGTTATTAACATTGGCTTCTAGCCCTTTCCTAGTCTCTGGATTTAGGGGATATTGTCTCTGGTTAGATAAAGAAGTGGGATCCTTAAGGTGGATCCAGACTGGCCGAGCAGTTATAGCCTGACTTATTCTTCCTTGAGTTGCACACGCTTCTGAATTAATATTAGCTTCCACCAGAGGGAGACAAAGAGATTGTCCCAGGGCAATAAGGATGCTGACCTTTATGTGAGCTAAAATATCTCTACCTAATAAAGGAGTGGGACTTTCAGACATGATTTAAAAGGAATGCGTAAATAATAGGGCCCTCAAACTACAACTACATGGTTGAGAAAAATATTGATTTAGAAACTTTTCTGAGATGCCCATCACAGTCATGCTATGGGAAGATGGGAGGTCTGGATTTGAGAGAAGAGTGAAACTGGTTCCAGTGTTCAGAAGAAGGTCCACCCTCATTCCTTCAATTTCCAAAATCACCCAGGGCTCCTGAGCTGTAATAGCAGTTTGAGCAACTGGAGCCAGGGTTTTGAGCCACGTGACCTCATCAGTCCTGTTGGGCCGTCTGTCAGATGATCAGTTCTGGACTTGGTGACCTCCATCTCCAGGGGCAGTCTGATCTCCAGTTTTCTGCCCCCACAGGCTGGACAGGATCAAGGTGGCTTCCTCTTGCTGCCTGTGCAATCTTTTTTAAAGTGCCCTGAGTTGCCATATTCGTATCAACTAGCAGATGCATCCTGGAGATACTGGAATTTGCAAGCTTGAAAGCAGCTACTGGAGCCTCTGTCCCTCTCTTGTGTTTTCTTTTTAATCTCTTGGGTCTCCTCCTGGTCTCTATTATAAAAGACCAAGGTGGCCACCTTCAGGAGGTTTCCCAAGGTGCTGTCTATTCCTGTAGCCTGCTTCTGTAGTTTCTTTCTAATATTACAAGCTGCCCATGTAATAAAAGTCCTTTAGGATGAGCATTCCTTGAATTAATCAGGAGACAAACAGCTGTGTTCTATTAGTGCCTCTCTCAGTCTTCCAATAAAGGCTAAGGGATTCTCATTTGACTTCTGGTCTACCATAGACAGTTTAGAGTAATTAAGAGGTTTGGCCCTAGTTCATCATAGGCCCTTTAATATGCACATTAAAAAGGGGTTTTTTGTTTTGTTTTGTTTTTCCATTCACTTGTGGAGTCACTAGAGTTCCAATTGGGGTTGCCAAGAGGTACCACCTCTTTTCTTATTGGAAATGGTGATTCCTCTATTTCTTTGCCTTTCTTATTTTCTCTTTTCCTTTTTGGCCTGCTCTGGAAGACATATTGCTCACTCCAGACTTCTTTGCTCCCTGCACAGCTACCTTTTTTTTTCACCAGCTGTTAGCGTTTGGCTTAGAAACAGCATAACATCCCTCCATGTGAGGTAAAACACCTGAGTTAAATTTTAGAAAGCTTATATATCCCTATAAGGGTGGTCAGAATATTGACCCAAGTCTCCCTTTATTTGCATAAGGTCCTATAATGAGAAGGAAACTTGAACCCTAGTGGCATCATCTCCATTGGGCATTTCCTGTAGGGGTAAGAGTGAAATTGGGTAAGTGGAAAGTTTTAGAGATGGTGGAACTGGAGGAGTTGATGGCTTGGTTGGAGGAAGCCCCAAATAAGAAGGCTTCCAGGGAAGGAATAGGCAGCAATCTTGGCTGTTCTGCAGCCTCCACTGGTGATACCCAGGCAAACAGGATCTGGAGTAGACCTCCAGCAAACTCTAGCAAACATGCAGTAGAGGGGCCTGTTAGAAGGAAAACTAACAAACAGAAGGAAATAGCATTAACATCAACAAAAAGGACATCCACTCAGAAACCCCATCCGAAGATCACCAATGTCAAAGACCAAAGGTAGATAAATCCATGAAGTTGCTGAAAAATCAGTGCAAAATGGCTGAAAATTCCAAAAGCCAGAATGCCTCTTCTCCTCCAAAGAATCACAACTCCTCGCCAGCAAGTGAACAAAACTGGACAAAGAATAAGTTTGACAAATTGACAGAAGTAGGCTTCAGAAGTTGGGTAATAACAAACTCCTCCGAGCTAAAGGAGCATGTTCTAATCTGTGGCAAAGAAGGTAAGACCTTGAAAAAAGGTTAGAGGAATTGCTAACTAGAATAGCCAGTTTACAGAACATAAATGGCCAAATGGAGCTGAAAAACACAACATGAGAACTTTGTGAAGCATACACAAGTATCAATAGCTGAATCAATCAAGTGGCAGAAAGGATATCAGAGATTGAAGATCAACAATGAAATAAAGCATGAAGACAAGATTAGAGATAATAGAATAAACAAGAATTAACAAATCCTCCAAGAAATGTGGGACTATGTGAAAAGACCAAACCTACATTTGATTGGTGCACCTGAAAGTGATTGGGAGAATGGAACCAAGTTGGAAAACACTCTTCAGGATATTATCCAGGAGAACTTCCCCAATCTAGCAAGAGAGGCCAACATTCAAATTCGGGAAATACAGAGAACACGACAAAGATACTCCTTGAGAAGAACAACCCCAAGACATATAATCTTGAGATTCACCAAGATTGAAATGAAGGAAAAAATGTTAAGGGCAGCCAGACAGAAAGGTCGGGTTACCCACAAATGGAAGCCCATCAGACCAACAGTGGATCTTTCTGCAGAAACCCTACAAGCCAGAAGAGAGTGGGGGCCACTATTAAACATTTTTAAAGAAAAGAATTTTCAACCCAGAATTTCATATCCAGACTAAGCTTTAGAAGCAAAGGAGAAACAACATTCTTTACAGACAAGCAAATGCTGAGAGATATTGTTACCACCAGGCCTGCCTTAGAAGAGCTCTTGAAGGAAGCACTAAGTATTTAAAGGAAAAACCAGTACCAGCCACTGAAAAAACATACCAAATTGTAAAAGCCATCAACACTATGAAGAAACTGCATCAACTAACAGGCAAAAGAACACAAGCTAGCATCATAATGACAGAATCAAATTCACACATAACAATATTAACTTTAAATGTAAATTGGATAAATGCCCCAATTAAAAGACATAGACTGGCAAATTGGATAAAGAGTCAAGACCCATTGGTGTGCTGTATTCAGGAGAACCATCTCATGTGCAAAGACACACATAGGCTCAGAATAAAGGGATGGAGGAAGATCTACCAAGCAAATGGAAAGCAAAAAAAGCAGGGGTTGCAATCCTAGTTTCTGATAAAATAGACTTTAAACCAACAAAGATCAAAAGAGACAAAGAAGGGCATTACATAATGGTAAAGGAATCAATGCAAAAAGAAGAGCTATCCTAAATATATATATGCACCCAATACAGGAGCACCCAGATTCATAAAGCAAGTTCTTAGAGAACTACAAAGAGACTTAGACTCCCACACAATAAGAGTGGGAGACATTAACACCCCACTGTCAATATTAGGCAGGTTAACGAGACAGAAAATTAACAAGGATATTCAGAACTTGAACTCAGCTCTGGACCAAGTGGACCTAATAGACATCTACAGAACTCTCCATCACAAATCAACAGAATGTACATTCTTCTAAGCACCACATTGCACTTAGTCTAAAATTGACCACATAATTGGAAGTAAAACACTCCTCAGCAAATGCAAAAGAATGGAAATCATAACAGTCTCTCAGACCACAGTGCAAACAAATTAGAACTCAGTATTAAGAAACTCACTCAAAAGCACACAACTGCATGGAAACTGAACAACATGTTCCTGAATGACATTTTGGGAAAATAACAAAATGAAGTCAGAAATAAATAAGTTATTTGAAACCAAGGAGAAGAAAGATACAATGTACCAGAACCCTTGGGACACAGCTAAAGCAGTGTTTACAGGAAAATTAATCGCACTAAATGCCCACAAGGGAAAGCAGGAAAGATCTAAAATTCACACCCTAACACCACAATTGAAAGAACTTGAGAAGCAAGAGCAAACAAATTCAAAAGCTAGCAGAAGACAAGAAATAACTAAGATCAGAGCAAAACTGAAGGAGATAGAAACATGAAAAACCCTTCAAAAAATCAGTGAATCCAGGAGTTGGTTTTTGAAAAGATCAACAAAATAGATAGACGAGTTGCCAGACTAATAAACATGAAAAAAGAGAAGAATCAAATAGACACAATAAAAAATGATAAGGGGGATATCACCACTGATCTCACAGAAATACAAACTACCATGAGAGAATACTATAAACACCTCTACACACATAAACTAGAAAATCTAGAAGAAATGGATATATTCCTGGACAGAGGCACCCTCCCAAGTCTAAACCAGGAAGAAGTCAAATCTCTGAATAGAACAATAACATGTTCTGAAATTGAAGAAGTTATTAATAGCCTACCAACCAAAAAAAGCCCAGGACCAGATGGATTCACAGCCGAATTCTACCAGAGGTACAAAAAGGAGCTGGTACCATTCCTTCTGAAACTATTCTAAACAATAGAAAAGAGGGACTCCTCCCTAACTCATTTTATGAGGCCAGCATCATCCTGATACCAAAACCTGGCAGACACACAACAAAAAAAGAAAATTTCAGGCCAATATCCCTGATGAATATTGGTGCGAAACTCCTCAATAAAATACTGGCAAACCGAATCCAGCAGCACATCAAAAAGCTTATCCACCACGATCAAGTCGGCTTCATCCCTGGGATGCAAGGCTTGTTCAATATATGCACATCACTAAATGTAATCCATCACATAAACAGAACCAATGACAAAAACCACATGATTATCTCAATAGATGCAGAAAAGGCCTTAGACAAAATTCAACACCCCTTCATGCTAAAAACTGTCAGTAAGCTAGGTAGTGATAGAATGTATCTCAAAATAATAAGAGCTATTTATGACAAACTCACAGACAATATCATGCTGAATGAACAAAAGCTGGAAGCATTCCCTTTGAAAACCAGCACAAGACAAGGATGACCTCTCTCACCACTCCTATTCAACATAGTATTGGAAGTTCTCGCCAGGGTAATCAGACAAGAGAAAGAAAGAAAGTGTATTCAAATAGGAAGAGAGAAAGTCAGATTGTCTCTATTTGCAGATGACATGATTTTATATTTAGCAAACCCCCTTGTCTCAGCCCAAAATCTCCTTAAACTGATAAGCAACTTCAGCAAACTTTCAGGATAAAAAAATCATTGTGCAAAAATCACAAGCAATCTTATACACCAATAATAGAGAGCCAAATCATGAGTAACTTCCATTCACAATTGCTACAAAGATAATAAAATACCTAGGAATACAACTTGCAAGAGATATGAAGGACCTCTTCAAGGAGAACTACAAACCACTGCTCAAGGCAATAAGAGAGGAAACAAAGAAATGGAAAAACATTCCGTGCTCATGGATAAGAAGAATCAATATCATGAAAATGGCCATACTGCCCAAAGTAACTTATAGATTCGATGCTATCTCCATCAAGCTACCATTGATTTTCTTCACACAATTAGAAAAAAACTACTTTAAATTTCATATGGGACCAAAAAAGAGCCCATATCGCCAAGAAGAATAAAACAAAAAGAACAAAGCTGGAGGCATCAAGCTACCTGACTTCAAACTATACTACAAGGCTACAGTAACCAAAACAACATGGTACTGGTACCAAAACAGATATATAGACCAATGGAACTGAACAAAGGCCTCAGAAATAACATCACATATCTACAGCCATCTGATCTTTGATGAACCTGACAAAAACAAGCAATAGGGAAAAGATTCCCTATTTAATAAGTGGTGTTGGAAAACTGGCTAACCATATGCAGAGAACAGAAACTGGACCCCTTCCTTACGCCTTATACAAAAATTAACTCAAGATTGATTTAAGACTTAAATGCTAGACCTAAAACCATAAAAACCCTAGAAGAAAACCTAGGCAATACCATTCAGGACATAGCCGTGGGCAAAGATTTCATGACTAAAACACTAAAAGCAATGGCAACAAAAGCCAAAATTGACAAATGGGATCTAATTAAACTAAAGAGCTTCTGTGCAGCAAAAGAAACTATCATCAGAGTGAACAGGAAATTTACAGAATGGAAGAAAATTTTTGCAATCTATCCATCTGACAAAGGGCTAATATCCAGAATCTACAAAGAACTTTAACAAATTTACAAGACAAAAACAACCCTATCAAAAAGTGGATGAAGGATATGAACAGACACTTCTCAAAAGAAGACATTTATGCACCCAGCAAACGTGAAAAAGAGCTCATCATCACTGGTTGTTAGAGAAATGCAAATCAAAAGCACAATGAGATACCATCTCATGCCAGTTAGAATGGTGATCATTAAAAAGTCAGGAAACCACAGATGCTGGAGAGGATGTGGAGAAATAGGAATGCTTTTACCCTGTTGGTGGGAGTGTAAATTAGTTCAACCATTGTGGAAGACAGTGTGTCAATTCCTCAGGGATCTAGAAACAGAAATACCATTTGACCCAGCAATCCCATTACTGGGTATATACCCAAAGGATTATAAATCATTCTACTATAAAGACAAATGCACATGTATGTTTATTGCAGCACTGTTTACAATAGCAAAGACTTGGAACCAACTCAAATGCCCATCAATGATAGACTGGATGAAGAAAATGTGGCACATATACACCATGGAGTACTATGCAGCCATAAAAAACGATGAGTTCATGTCCTTTGCAGGTACATGGATGAAACCGGAAACCATCATTCTCAGCAAACTAACACAAGAACAGAAAACCAAACACCACATGTTCTCACTCACAAGTGGGAGTTGAACAATGAGAACACATGGACACAGGGAGAGGGGCATCACACACTGGGGCCTGTTGGGGGGTGAGGGGCTAGGGGAGGGACAGTATTAGGAGAAATACCTAATGTAGATGACAGGTTGATGGGTGCAACAAACCATCATTGTGCGTGTATACCTGTGTAACAAACCGGCACATTCTGCATATTTTTCCTAGAACTTAAAGTACAATAAAAAAATTTTTTAAAAAATGCTATATATTTTTAAAAATTCATTTTAAAAATATGACCTATGGGGCTATATGAGATTAACTCTGTAATTCTAACATCATGTGATTTTAGTTTTATTAGACATAAAACACAAAGGCCTGTATGTGTTTAAAAAAATTACCAGCCACTGCCAAAACACACTGAAGTGCAAAGACCAATGATAGTGTGAAGCAACTACATCAACAAGTCTGCAAAATAATCAGCTAGCATCATGATGACAGGATTAAATTAACACATAAGGATATTAACCTTAAATGTAAATGGGCTAAATACCCCAATTAAAAGACAGAATGAAACACTGGATAAAGAGTGAAGCCCATTGGTGTCCTGTATTCAAGAGACACATCTCACATGCAAAGACAGAGGTAAGCTCAAAATAAAGAAATAGAGGAAAATTTATCAAGCAAATGAAGAACAGAAAACAGCAGGGGTTTCAATCCTGGTTTCTTACAAGACAGACTTTAAATCAACAAAAGTCAAAAAGACAAAAAATGGGCATTACATAATGGGAAAGAGATCAATTCAACAAGAAGAGTTAACTATCCCAAATATCTATGCACCCAATACAGGAGCACGCATATTCATAAAATTATTAGAGACCTACAAACAGACTTAAAATTCCACACAATAATAGAGACTTTAACACTCAAATATCAATACTAGACAGATCTTTGAGACAGAAAATTAACATGGATATTCAGGATCAAGTGGACTTGATTGATGTCTACAGAACTCTTCACCCCAAAATAACAGAATATACATTCTTGTCAGCACCACATGGCACTTACTCTAAAATCAATATCATAATCGGAACTAAAACACTCCTCAGTAAATGTAAAAACACTGAAATCATACCAAATTCTCTCAGACCACAGTGCAATCAAATTAGAACTCGAGATTAAGCAACTCACTCAAAACCACACTACTACACGGAAATTGAACAACCTGCTTCTGAAGAACTCCTGAGTAAATAATGAAATTAAGACAGAAATCAAGAAGTTCTTTGAAACCAATGAGAACAAAGAGACAAGGTACCAGAATCTCTGGGATGCAGCTAAAGCAGTGTTAAAAGGGAAATTTATACCACTAAATGCCCACATCAAAAAGCTAGAAAGATCTCAAATTGACACTCTAATATCACAACTGAAAGAGCCACAGAACTGAGAGCAAACAAACCCAAAAGCTAGCAGAGGACAAAAAATATCCAAGATCACAGTAGAAATGGAGATAGAAACACCAAAAATAATTCAAAAAATTAATAAATTCAGGAGGTGTTTTTTGAAAAAAAATAAACTAGATAGGTTGTTAGATAGACTAATAAAGAAGTAAAGAGGGAATAATCAAATAGGCCCAATAAAAATAATAAAAGGTATATCACCAGTGACCCCACAGTAATAGAAAAAACCATCAGAGAATAATATAAACACCTCTATGAAAATAAACTAGAAATTCTAGAAGAAATGGATGAATTCCTGGGCATATACGCCCTCCTAAGACTAAATCTGAAAGAAGTTGAATCCCTGAATAGACCAATAACAAGTTCTGAATTTGAGGCAGTAATAAATAGCCTACAAACCAAAAAAGAAAGCCGAATAACAGATGCATTTAAAGCTGAATTCAAACTATTCCAGACAATTGAAAAGGAGAGTTTCCTCCCTAACTCATTTTATGAGGCCAGAATCATCCTGATACCAAAACCTGGCAGAGACACAACAACGACAACAATAAAACTTCAGGCTAATATTTCTGATAAATATTGATGCAAAAATCATCAGTAAAATATAGGCAAAGTGAATCCAGAAGCCAAGTACTTTAAATTGTGGAAATGGTATTTATCTTTTATTAACAGTGACTTTTTTTAAACACTAGAAGGAAATGAAGCTTTTTACACACACAAACACACACAGCCTATCCTCCACGGTTTATCCTCTATGGTCAAGATGGCTTCATCCCTGGGATGAAAGTCTGTTTCTACATATGAACATCAGTAAATGTAATTCATCACATAAAGAGATCCAAAGACAAAAACCACATGATTATCTCACTAGATGCAAAAAAGGCCTTAGATAAAATTCAACATCCCTTCATGTTAAAAACTCTCAATAAACTAGGTATTGATGGAACATATGTCAAAATAAGAGCCATTTATGAAAAACCCACAGCCAATATCATACTGAATGGGTGAAATCTAGAAGCATTTCTTTTGAACTAGCACAAGACAAGTATGCCTCCTCTCACCACTCCTATTTAACATCGTATGGGAAGTTCTGACCCAATCAGGCAAGAGAACTGAATAAGATGTATTCAAATAGGAAGAGAGGAAGTCAAACTGTCTATTTGCAGATGACATAATCCTATATCTGAAAAACCCCATCGTTTTAGCCCAAAAGCTCCTTAAGCTGATAGGCAATTTTAGCAAGGTCTCAGGATACAAAATCAATGTGCAAAAATCACAAGCATTCCTATACACCAAGAATAGACAAGCAGAGAGCAAAATCATAAACCCTCATTCAGAATTGCTATAAGAGAATAAAATACCTAGGAATACAGCTAACAAGGGAAGTGAAGGATCACTTCAAGGATAACTACAAACCATTGCACAAGGAAATAAGAGAGGACACAAACAAATGGAAAAACATTCTATACTCACGGACAGGAAGAATCAGTAGCATGAAAATGGCCATACTGCCCAAGGTAATTTAGAGATTTAATGCTATTCCCATTAAACTACCATTGACATTCTTCACAGAATTAGAAAAAAACTACTTTAAAATTCATATGAAACCAAAAAAAGAGTCCGTATAGCCAAGACAATCCTAAGCAAAAAAACAAAACTGGAAGCAACACACTATTTGATGTCAAAGTATATCAAGGCTATACAGTAACCCAAACAACATGGTACTGGTACAAACAGAAACACAGACCAGTGGAACAGAATAGAGATCTCAGATATAAGACCACACATCTATGACCATCTAATCTTCGACAAACCTGACAAAACCAAGAAATGGGGAAAGGATTCCCTGTTTAATAAATTGTGCTGGGAGAACTAGCTAACCATATGCAGAATATTGAAACTGGACCTCTTCCTTAAACCTTATACAAAAATTAACTCAAGATAAATTAAAGACTTAAATGTAAAACCCAAAACTATAAAAACCCTAGAAGAAAATCTAGGCAATACAATTCAGGCAATGGGCATGGGCAAAGGTTTCATGACAAAAAAAAAAAACATTAAAAGTAATTGCAACAAAAGCAAACATTGACAAATGGAATCTAATTAAACTAAAGAGCTTCTGCACAAGAAAAGAAACTATCATCAGAGTGAAGAGACAATCTACAGAATGGGAGAAAATTTTTGCAATCCATCCATCTGACAAAAGTCAAATATCCGGAATCAACAAGGAACTTAAACAAATTTAAAAGAAAAAAACAAACAACCCCATTAAAAATTGGACAAAGGAGGCTGGGTGCAGTGGCTCACACCTGTAATCCCAGCACTTTGGGAGGCTGAGGTGGGTGGATCACGAGGTCAGGAGATCGAGACCACCCTGGCTAACATGGTGAAACCCTGTCTCTACTAAAAAAAAAAAAAAAAAAAAAATTAGCCAGGTGTGGTGGTGGGCACCTGTAGTCCCAGCTACTCAGGAGGCTGAGGCAGGAGAATGGCGTGAACCTGGGAGGTGGAGCTTGCAGTGAGCTGAGATCTCGCCACCGCACTCCACTCCAGCCTGGGCAACAGAATGAGACAAAAAAAAAAAAATTGGGCAAAGGACATGAACAGACACTTCTCAAAAGAAGACTTTATGCAGCCAACAAACATGAAAAAAAATCCAATATCACTGATCATTAGAGATATGCAAATCAAAACCACAATGAGATACCATCTCACACCAGTCAGAATGGCAATTATTAAAAAGCTGAGAAACAATAGATGCTGACAAGGCTGTGGAGAAATAGGAATGGTTAAACACTGTTGAGGAGAATGTAAATTAGTTCAACCATTGTGAAAGACTGTGTGGCAATTCCTCAAAGACCTAGAACCAGAAATACCATTTGATCCAGCAGTCCCATTACTGGGTATATACCCAAGGGAATATAAATCATTCTATTACAAAGACACATGCTCATGTATGTTTATTGCAGCACTGTTCATAATAGCAAAGATGTAATCAACCCCAATGCCCACCAAAGATAGATTGGATAAAGAAAATGTGGTGGATATATACCATGGAATACTATGCCACCATAAAAATGAATGAGATTATGTCATTTGAAGGGACATGAATGGAGCTGGAAGCCATAATCCTCAGCAAACTGAAACAGGAACAGAAAACCAAATCCCGCATGTTCTCACTGTAAGTGGGAACCGAACAATAAGCATGGGCACACAGAGGAGAACAACACACCCTGGGATCTGTCAGGGAACAGGGGAAGAGAGAGCATCAGGACAAATAACTAATCCATGTGGGGTCTAATACCTAGATGATGGGTTGATAGGTGTAGCAACCCACATGGTATGTTTGTCTATGTAACAAAACTGCATGTCCTGCACATGTATCTCAGAACTTAAAATAATTAAAAAAACATTTTCTAATATGAAATAATTAGATACAACCTAAATGCTTATCAATATAGAACTAGTAACATATATTATGGACAAATTAATATCCTGCTACCATAAGAAAAATAAGGAGGACTTTTATTAATACAAAGATAGAGAATAGTGTTAATAGTATGCTACTTGTGTTAAAAAAAGACAATATTATATACTTAATTAAAATACATATTATATTTCTGGATAAGGGGACAATGGTTAAAGAAAAAATCTTTGCTTTTTTTAAATTTACATTTCAACTGCATGCATTTTCTCTTGAAAAAGAAATGAACAACATCAAAATAAAACAAGATCATCATGGTGTCAAGGTCAAGCATCACCAGAATTGCTCTAAGAGGTACTTGGAGCACACTTTGTGTGCTTTAACAAATCCAAATTCTATCTGTTTTTTTAGTCTGATTCCAGAGGTATTTCCTTTATAAAACTCTCTCAGGTTATTCTAAATTAATTCTTTACATTATTTTTCTACCTATTTTGAGTATCTTCTATGCGCAAGGGACTAATTGGCACTTTTTAAAACTATTAAATGTTTGTTCATGTAATCTAGTGTGTGATTCTATGTTACTTACTTGTTCAAACTTATCTCCATAAATTTATTTCTCTATTTAATTATTATGCTCTTAGGCTCAGAGTTTGTGTCTCTCTTTTCTCCTTTTGTGTCCAGCATTGACCTAGCCCAATAGTCAGACCATAGTAGACCCTGAATTAATATTAGTGAATGGCTGATTGATTGATGATGACCTTGTGGCTTTTCTTATTTCTAAATTATATATTGTAAAAATAAAATAAATTATAGTTTTTCATGCTGAATAAGTGATTGTTTCAAAGTAGGCAACAAAAACAATTAAAAACATTCATTGACATCTGTAGTTCAAATATGGACTAAAATCAACATTTGAATAAGACAGCAGAGGCACAATCTTGAGAGAATAAGAAAACAAGGCACTGTGATGGGTTCAAGGTGAAAAGTTTTGTGTTTTTGAAATAAAATAAGTAGATGGGGAACTTTATAGATAGGCAAGTTGTTAGAAAGAACATTATATTTCAAATTATAATTTTAATGGGAGCATATATTAAAATATTAATGAAATGATCCATATCTTGAATTAAATCAGTCTTTTAATCTGATAAAGAATTTATTTGGTGAAATTTTTGATGCTTTGTAGTTTATCAATGTGAAAAATTTAGAAATATTTTGATAGCTTGTCTTTGGTTTTTGGATAGATCAAAAGAGACTTATGAATGTGATTAAACTAAAAAATGTGCAAGGAATAATATGTTAAAAATACTTAGAATTAACCTATAAACATAGAATATTAATGTTTTGCCAAAATTACATTCTGATACTGACCTATTTAAATATTCCTTTAAAAAAACCCAGTATTTTAAATAATTCTGATAAGTAATTTAGGCTGATGAAAGAGAGATCTATAATAGTCAAAAGACCTGGGACAAAAATCTAATTGATAATGTAGAAAAGCCACTTAATTTTTCCATTTACAAGTTGGTAAATGTAATAATTCTGCGTTTTGCTTTTGACACAAAACTGTGAGGTATTAAATTGTACTGGTAGTTTTATAAACAGGAGCAAGTACTCCTAAGCACAGTGCTAAATGGGGAAGCCAATGCTCAGCCAATTTGAGAAATTTGCCTGAAGTAACCTACATTGTGAATTGAAAACCCTGGAACCGAAGTCAAAGCCTTTAAATCTCCATAGGAGAGTCTTGAGGAAATCAAGAAATTAGTTGATTTCCTCAAGATATATATTTTTATTTAGTCACATTTGTAGTCCTATCTAGTTTAATAAAGACCACAGAGATTGGATAGTAAACCAAAAAGTACCTGAGGCCGAGTCTCAATCAATTTAGAAATTTACCTTACCCAGGTTAAGGATGCACCTGGGAGACAGACCTGGGCATTTCTCCAAAGATGATTTTGAGGGCTTCAAGATTTAAAGGAGAAAAGCAGGCTGGACGGAAAAGTGGGAATGTATGGTCACATTACTGAATCCACGTGTTGCCACAGAAAAAGCAGGTAAGGGAATAGTCAATCATTTATTTGCCTTGGGCTCAGTAAATTGGCACTTTACACAAAGTAAGGTAAACATAGAGTAGCTACCTGTGGAAATATTTAACCTTTTATCTGTAGCTGTATGCTTAGGAACAAAAGGAAGACTGCTTCTTGCAGGACTCAGCTTTTAGTTTAATTTTGTTTCTGCGGGCGTAGTGAATTGGAGTCCCAAGTTTTTATTTTTCTTTATGTTTCTGCTCCCTTTTCTGTAAACAAATATAAAAAAAGCATTTTAGAAGAAAAAATAGGAGGAGGAAGAGAGAAAAAAAACAACAAAGAAATAACAAAATGGAGAACAATCTTGGTAAACTGATATAGGCAATATTACTCTGAAGTCTATTGTCAGTAGGCAATTAGAAGGTGATTTATGTCTATAAATAGGGTCTTGTTATTGTCTTCTGAAGTTTAAGTTGTCTAGTTTGCATCCACAGGGCTTTAATAGAAATCACAGCTTAATATTTAGTAATTTCAAATTGGAAACATGAGAGAAAAAAGAAAAATAAAGAGGGAAAACAATTAAAAACATTATTTTGGAGACTTGTAGCAAGAAATAATTTTAAAATTTAGTCCAAATTGTAGAAAATAATAAAAATGGATAAACCTCAGGGAAGAATAGAATAGAACAACAGGCATACTATAGTTTATAAAAAAATAATTTTTCTCTCTTCAATTCTCCAGTTTTATTAAAGACAAAATTATAGTAGGACCAATTTATTTGTAAAATAACTTTTAGTACTATTACACTTGGTTTGATTATTTGCATAAAGTGCAACAAGAATAATCATTTGGCATATAGGCTGTCTCTCTTTTTTTGTAAAATTGGCTTTGCTGGAATCTTTTTCACAAGGAATCTAAGATTAGACTTTTGTAAAATCTTGAAGCCTAGCCAAGGATTTCTCTGTGCCTGCAAATAGCTGTGTGAATTCTTCTCTTTCTGAGGTCCCAAGGAAACTTGGGGTTCCCAGGCCTGTCAGAAAGTTACATTCTTTAATTACCACAGATCATGACCCTGTAAAGAACAAGGTATGGGGCTAGTTTATACAAGGGGCTTTCATTGGCTCCATAGATCAGCCTCATTTTCTCAAGGCAATCTGAAAATATTATTTCAGTGAAAGCCTTGATAAAATAACCATCTTCAGTTATTCCCAGTAATAAAAGAAAACAGATTCTCAGTAAATATATGCAAATATCCTCATAAATTAAGGATACTTACATAATAGTTTCCAAATTTTGGAGTAACCAAGTTTAGAGAAAGGAATTACATTCTAAATTTTGTTCTTAAGAGTATACTTTACTAAACTGTTAAAGCTGTAAGTAGCTTAAAAGGAAAGTTTTCCTGACTCTGAAAAATAAAACAAAAACAATCAGCAAATATTTTAAAGAAAAATCATAAATGATTATTTCAGTCTTCTATTATTTTTGTTCATGCAATTAACTCCATGTTCCATTCAATATTGGATCACCAAACTTTATGAATACATCAGTTTTCCATGAAAGTCCTGGAAATTTTTCTATTTCAATGGCACAATATCTAAATTTGTTAGAAACCTATATTTAAGAATAGTCCTCAGAGTTCTATAGCTGATTATAAACTGTCCTATAAAAGAATGAAAATAAAACAGTTGTGGATGACAAAAGTCTTAGAACAGCCATGGTTAGAGACAAAATTGACAAATAAATTTGATTACCTTTGTGGCATACAGCAATTTTACATAATAATCATAATGACTACTGATAACACTAAGACATATCAGAATCACAGGAATATCACACATTTTTGGAACACATTCTAATAACACATTTATAGAAATATAATATAATTCAATGAAGGTTAAACACCATTTCTTATTTGACAATGTTTTCTGTATAACTTTATTATATCAAACAAGCCAAATATATCTCTTCTGGACTTCAGGAGACCTAATATCAATAAACTGATGAAGTCAAAAGTACTAATTTTAGAATTTGATTTTGGAAAGTCTGTCAAATATCAAAAGTTTAAAATACTTAATATCACAAAATAGGATCTCAAGTTATTGTAAAATGAGTCATTCATTTAGCCAAACTGATAACTCAAAGATCTAAAAAATAAAGGCAAAAATCTTTATTGTTTAACTAAGAAGACTTAATTTCCCAAACAATAAGACCTGCTAAAGACAGCATGAGACCAATTAAATGTGTTTCTCAAGTCTTATAAACAAATCTATTAAATTTTAATCATGTTGACCATAAGAAATAATTTTCATACACTTTTTTATAATGTTCTAATTTTTTTGTATTAAAAAATGAGTTAATGTCCCAAGAAACTTGTTATAACAAATCAGACACATGGGCCCTGATGCAGGTCTTTCATCAGTGTGCCTGTAATATTAATGTTTAATTTATACAGAAACTCTGAACTAAGTTTATCTCTCTCAAAATTGACCCTTACAATCTCACACACCCATGTCTTCTGTGACAGTTCCTGAGCCCAGAGGTGTTTAACAGCTTTAATTTCTGGCCCTATGTCTAATGAATGCAGTTAATTTTGATTGTCATCTTTTCCTGCATCTGAAGATGAAGGTTTAACTGCTGTTAGGGTTTAAAATTTAGCAGGACTTGGTGTCCCTTTTAGACCCAGAATTAAAAGCCCTGCTACTTAACAGAATAAGGACTTAAAAAAAAATACAGGAAGTTACATGGATGTAACCACCTTAATTAAAAAAAAAATCTGTTTTTCTAAAAGTCAAAACTTAATGACATAGGCATTTTTTAAATAAAATGTAAAATCTGTTTGTTAGGTCAGTTACCAAAAGACAAAAAGTAAATAAATAAGTAAATAAATAAATGAAAGACCTTCTGCAGTATGCTTGCCTTTCCCTATGAGGAGTCCATTTAAAAAACCTGCAAGTCAACCAATGTAAACTGTACTTGAATTACTTAGACATAGAAAGAATGTGTCCTGTGTCATAAATGAAAATTTTTTGTTTCATAGAACAATTTAAAGCCAAGAGCACAGAATGTTAGATTAAAAGAAAACATTTCATTTACACATTTTTTAGCATTGGGCCACAATAGCAGTAGAATCTGAGGGAAAAAAATTACAGAAGCTGATAAAACTTGAAGAAGACAGTTATCTCAGTCCTTCTTAAAGGGAAGAGAAAACTGAAAACAGACACAATAAAAGTCAAACTTTTGGGTTTAAAAAATTAAAATATCTCACAATTTTATTAAGAGTAAATCAATACTTTAAGAAAATTTTGTTGTTCTAACCAATTCTTTAGTGTATTAATTTTTTTATATCAAAGCCCAATCTCTAGAATCACTATTATAAATAATTGCCTTTGAATTACAGAAAACATGATAACATGTAGCTTTTTTCTCATAAATCCTCTTTTTACAAATTTTATTACAACTTATACAAATAATTTATGACATGCTTGGACTTTCTGTTTTATCTTAAACATCCCTCTTATTTTATTTTATTTTATTTTAAACATCCCTCTCTGTTTTTTCATAAACATCTCTCTCATTTTATTTTAGAAAAAAATAATCATATGAGATTATTTCTCATAAAATTATTTTCTCTTTAACTTTTCTTATCAAAAATACCTCTTTATAACTTTTTAAACATTTCTATACTAGTTCCTATTACTTGGTTTCATAAACTTTAAATAATCTTTGCATTAGTCAAAAATAACTTTCCTTTAAATAACACATTTTCTAGAAAAATATTTTCCTAAAATTTAAAAAAAATTAGAAATGACTTAGATATTTAATTAATATTTATTATTTAATATCATAACTTTTGATTACAAATCATATGGCAAGTTTATTTATAAGCATTTATTCCATTACATTTACCTAATTCACTAATTTTTTAAAAGTATAGTTTACCTAGTTTACTCAAGAAAACTGTGATAGTCAACATTTAATGTTATTTATCTGTTAATCATTTTTATAGGCTGTGATCTCTGGTGTTTACCTAAGCAAGAACCTTAAGGTTAGATAAATATTTTTGCTTGTTTGTTTTGCCAATAACTCAAAAGTTAGCCATTTTATTAAACCAACGATATTCAAAGCCTTGTGTATACAAAAAAATATACAAACAAAGATAATTTTCTTTTGGGCTGCAAGCTTTATAACCCTCATGCCAAATTTGGCCACCTTATAATATCTAGCAGAGATAAATATTAAACTGTGTGGCCAAGAAATCTAAACAATAATGTGTGTTGACAATTCTAACACATTTCTAATTTTATTTTACTAACAATTTAAAAACACAGTATTGATTAAGGATTTGCTGAAGTCAAGTGAACTTGGAAAAAGCATTTGGGCTTTTCTATTTTCTAGTTTTCTGATAAAGTATTTGATTTAAGTGCTTTTTAAAATCCTATTGGTTAGAACTCATATATTTTCAGTAGTTAACAGTAGTAAGCATTATATACATAACAAATAAATACATAGATATATTAGTCATGCAGATAAAAGTAGAACTTACAGATTCATATTTTAGATATTTTAAATTTCCAATTTAGATATTTTAGACTTTCAATTTCTTATAAACTGTTTCATTAACCTAGGCAATTGTTAGCTAGATAGTGTTAAATTTGCATACTAAAGGAACAACTCTTAAGTGAAAATCAGATAGCAAAATTTACATCTCAAGGTACAGAGAGAGAGTCTGGTGTGCTAGAGGAAGATTAAAAATGGATGCCAAGTCAAACATGAAATTGTAGAAATGTACCATAGAATTGTTTAGGAGACCAATTGTATTTAGATAGGTAGTTTTAAATTTAATTTCTATTTTTTAACTGGATCTCTGAGCTCTGCACAGAGCCCACACTGTACCCTAGGTCTCCAGAAAGAGAGAGGTATCCTAAGAGTAGGCCATGTAATGCTTTTACAGTGCACTTTGTTACAAAGATGTTTCTCTACATGTCTAAACCACACCCTTTTGTATTTTACACACCCAAGAGTAGCACCTGTTGTAATAACTATTTTAGTAAAAAAAAAATTGGGTAACACAATACAAAAGCAAGCAGTTTAAGATGTGAGAAATTTGTCTGGTTATACTCTTAGAGTTCCATAATGAAAAACAGAGGTTTCTCCCAAAAAGGAGTCTGGGAGGAAGCCTCTATTTTCTTAAGGAATCTTAACAAATGTATTATCTCAGAGATCTGAAATTCAGAAGTCTGAAATGGGTGTCAATGAACTAAACTTAGGGTGTTGGCAAGACCATGTTTCTTTCTGGAAATGTTTGGGACAATATGTTTCTTTACCTTCTCCAATTTCTAGAGGCTGTCCAAATTCCTTGGCTCATGGCCCTTTTCCATGTTCAAAGCTAGTAATGTCCATATCACATGGACACTAACTCTTTTGCTTCCCTTTTCCACATTTAAAGGAACTTTGTAATTACATTGGATTCACTAGGCCAGATAAAGTCAATCTCTTTATTTTAAGGTTATCTGTTTAGCAACTTTAATTCCATCTACAACATTAATACCCCCTTGCCATGTTACCTAATGTATTCATAAGTTGTGGAGATTAGGACCTGGATGTCTTTAAGGGTCATTATTCTGCCTAATGTTATATTATATGCAACACTATATATACATTATATTATATATAACACCATATATAATTATATATATGTTATATCATATATAACTATATATATATATATATGATTAATATTGGGTGTCAACTTTATTGGACTGAAAGATTCAAAGTATTGTTCCTGGGTGTGTCTGTGAAGATGTTGCCAATAAAGATTAAAATTTGAGTCAGTGGACTGGGAGAGGCAGACCCACCCTCAATCTGGGTGGGCACCATCTAATCAGCTGCTAGCAGTGCTAGAATAAAGCAGGCAGAAGAAAGTGGAAGGACCTGACTTGCTGAGTCTTCTGGTCTTCATCTTTCTCTCATGCTGAATGCTTCCTGCCCTCGAAAATCAGACTCCAAGTTATTCAGTTTTTGGTCTTTTGGACTTACACCAGTGTTTTGCCAAGGGCTCTTGGGCCTTCAGCCATAGACTGAAATATGCAATGTCAGCTTTCCTTCTTTTGAGGTTTTGGGACTCAGACTGGCTTCCCTGCTCCGTAGCTTGCAAAAGGCCTATCATGTGGTAACCGTGTGAGTCAATTCTCCTTAATAAACTCCCTTTCCTATATACATTGATCGTATTACTTCTGTCCCTCTAGAGAACCCTAATATATATATTTATATAAATATATATGTATATATATTTATATAAATATATATGTAAATATATTTTTATATATAAAGAATACATATATTCTCTCTAGTACAGATAGACAATAAATTATATATGTATGTATATTACATATTACATATATATAATTTATATTATATGTATGTATATGTATATGGTATATTACATATATATGTAATTTATTTATTATCTATCTCTCTGTACCATAACATAAGCTCCATGAAAACATAGGTGTTTGATTCATTGCCTTCTGTGTCAAACATTATGAGTGTCAGTTTATATTAGCTGAATGACTGAAAGGGTAGATGAATAAATATTTTTGTGCTCAATACCCTGTTCCAAGCTGGTGGAAATGTCTGCCACTGCTGCTGCTTCTCCTTTTCCTTTTTCTTCCTCTTTTTCCCTTTTCATACTTGTGTTAATATTACTTTGGTATAATTACTATGTATTTAATACATATCATGAAAAAGAGTGAATCAAATCTGCACTCAATATTTTTAAAAGGGAAAAGAAATTTTAAAAAAGCCTATTGTACATTCTTTTGTATTTATTTTTTTTCTCATTAGACACCAGAGTATTGATTTATGACCAATTTTAATCACTGATGTACTGGCTGAGCCACGTTAATGTATTTGTTTATTATATATTCATTCATTTATGAATGGATATATTTGTAATAACATAACAAACACCCATGAAATTACTACTTAGCACAGAAACTAAAACAAGACAGAAATTTATATCTACCTACATTGTTTTCTACTTTCCTGGATTCTGCTGCTTCTCATCTGAGATGAAGACTAACTTAAATATGTGTTGATGATTGTTTCACCATTTTTTAATGTAAGTTGGTAATATCTATATGCATTCCTTTAAAACTTAGATTGTTTAATTGTTTTAGCTACATAAAGGGCTATCTTGGTGCTTATCAAGTTACATTTTTACTTGTTATTTTAATGTTAAGATTCATCAATAGTATTTCATATAGTACTTTATGCATTTTAAAGGCTGTATAAAATTTTATTATACTAATATAGCTTAATTTATTTCTCTACTCACGTTGGGTTTCTTTTTTGGATTGCTTTTAGGGATTTTTTTATTCTAAATACTTCTGTTGTAAATATTTTCATTCATATTTTCTGATTTATATGGTTTGGCCCTGTATCCCTACCCAAATCTCATGTTGAATTGTAATCCTCAATGCTGGAGGAGGATCCTGGTGGGAGGTGATTGAATCATTGGTGCAAGCATCCCCCTTTCTATTCTCGTGATACAGTTATCCTGAGTTCTGCTTGTTTAAAAGTATGCAGCACCTCCCCCACTTTCTGCCTACCATGTGAAGATTTGCCTGCTTCCTCTTTGCCTTCCACCATGAGTATAAGTTTCCTGAGGCCTCCCCAGAAGTAGATGCCTGTACAGCCTGCAAAACCATGAGCAGATTAAACCTTTTTTTTTTTTTAAATAAATTAGTCAGTCTCAGGTAGTTCTTTATAGCTGTTTGAGAATGGACTAATACAGAAAATTGGTACATAGAAGTGGGGCATTGCTATAAAGATACCAGAAAATGTGCAAGCAACTTTGGAACTGGGTAATGGGTAGAAGCTAGAACAGTTTGAAAGGCTCAGAAAAAGATAGAAAGATGAGGGAAAGTTTGGAGCTCCCTAGAAACTTGTTGAATGATTGTGACCAAAAGGCTGATAGTGATATGTACAATGAAGTCCAGGCTGAGGAGGTCTCAGATGGAGATGAGAAACTTATTGAAAACTGGAGTAAAGGTCACACTTACTATGTTTTAGCAAAACGGACTAGCAGCATTGTGCCTTGGCTCTAAGGATTTGTAGAATTTTGAACTTGAGAGAGATGATTTAGGGTATCTGGTGGAAAAAATTTCTAAGCAGTATAGCATTCAATATATGACCTGGCTGCTTCTAACAGCATATGTGTTCACAAGTAGATGATCTGAAACTGGAATTGATATTTAAAAAGGAAGCAGAGCATTAAAGTTTGAAAAATTTGCAGCCTGACCATGTAGTATAAAAGAAAAACCCATTTTCTGGGAAAGAATTCAAGCTGGTTGAAGAAATTTGCATAAATAAAGAGAAGCAGAATGCTGCTAGCTAAGACAGTGGGGAAAATGCTTCCAAGGCATTTCAGACAACTTCATGGGAACCCCTTCAAACAGAGGCCTGGAGGCATAGGAGAGAAAAATGGTTGTGGGCCAGGCTCAGGGCACCACTGCTCTTTACAGCCTGGCACATGGCACCTGGCATCCTCACCACTCTAGCTTCAGCCATGGCTAAAATGGCCCCAGATAGGTCTAAGGCTGCTTATCCATAGGGTGCAAGTCCCCAGCCTTGGAGGCTTCCACATGTTGTTAGGCCTGCAGGTATGCAGAGGGCAAAGGTTGAGGCTTGGAAACCTCTGCCTAGATTTCAGAGGATGTATGAAAATGCCTGGATGTCCAGGCAGAAGTCTACTGGAGGGGCAGAGCCCTAAAGGAGAACCTGTACTATTGCAGTGTACAGGGGAAATGTGGGGTTGCTGGCCCTATAGAGAGTTTCCACTGGGGCATTCCCTAGTGGAGCTGTGAGAGGAGGGCCACTGTTCTCCAGACCCCAGAATGGTAGATGCATCAACAGTTTGCATCATGCACCTGGAAAAGCCACAGGCACTCAATGCCAGCCCTTAAGAGCAACATTGGAAGCTGAACCCGGCAGAGCCACAGGTACAGAGCTGCCACCGTCCTTGGGAGCCCAACCCTTCATTCAGTGTGGCCTGTATGTGAAACATGGGGTAAAAGGAGATTGTTTTGGAGGTATAAGATTTTAGACTTAAGCTATAAGATTTAAGCTTTAAGATTTAACCCTGCTGGGTTTCTCATGGTGCCTGTAGCCCCTTTGTTTTGGCCAATCTCTCCCTTTTAGAATGGGAGTGTTTACCTGTACCCCCAATGTATCTTGGAAGTAAATAACTTGTTTTTTATTTTACAGGCTCATAGGTGGAAGGGACTTGCCTTGTCTCAGATAAAACTTTGGATTTGGACATTTGAGTTAATGCTGTAATGAGTTAAAACTTTGGGAGACTGCTGGGAAGGCATGATTGTGTTTTGAAATTTGACAATGTCATGAGATTTGGAAGAGGCCAGGGTGGAATGATATAGTTTGGCTCTCTGGTGTCTGCCAGAATCTCAAGTAATCCTCAATGTTGGAGGAAGGGCCTGGTGAGAGATGTTTAAATCATGTGGGCGGACTTCTTCCTTGCTGTTCTTTGACAGTGTTCTCCTGTGATCTGTTTGTTTAAAAGTGTGTAGTACCTCCTTCCTCTCTCATTCTCTCTTCTGCCAGCCATAGGAATACATGCCTCCTGACCCTTCACCTTCCACCATGATTGTAAGTTTTCTGACTTCTCCCCAGAAGCAGAAGCCTGCACAACTCACAGAACACTCACAGAACACACACTCATACAACTCACAGAACACAGAACGCAGTTAAATAAGTCATTTAACCTCCTTTCTTTTAAATGGACTAATGCATTGTTTTACCTTGTACGAAGAGTTTTTCTTGATAATACTTACAACCAAAATTGTTAGAACATGGAGTGTATAAATGTTCAATTTTAGGAGATAATGCTGTTTCTTTTTAAAGTGGCTACATGAATTTACTTGATCACCAGCAACATAGAAGTGAAAATCTAAGTGTATGTCCTCTCCAACACTTTGTGTTTTCTGACTTCTTGATTCTTGTAATTTAAATAAGCAATGACATTTCATTTTTGTCTTGCTTTGTATTCCTTGATATCTAGTGAGTTTGAACATCATTCCACATGTTTATTATCCATATATGTTTTCTCTTCTGTGAAAACCTGTGCATATATTTGCCCATGTTTATATTAGATTACTTGTGTTTTTTTATTTATATGAATTATTTATACCAAGAAAATATTGTAATATGAATTCATTATTATATGTGAGAAGAACATCTTGTAGGCTTTTAAATCGTTTTTCATAATGAACTTTTGACAAAAAAGTCTTTAATTTTAACATATTTGAGCCTGTCTATAATTTTATAATTGAGCATTTACACAAGTAATAAAAGTGTTTTTAAGGAATATCTTGTTCTTCCAATGTGAGAAAGATTTATATCTACACATGTTGCTTTTGAAATTAAAATCTTTGATTTATATGAAGTTAATTTTTATGTGGAATATGAAGCAGAAATTTAATTCCAACATTCCCCCGTATGGATAACTATTTTAAGCTCTGTTTGTTGACTAGCCCCTATTTTTCCAATTTATCTGTTGAGCCTTCTATTCTATATCAAAGTGGTATGAATCTGTTTGTATGTATCAGTCTGTTTGGAGCTCTATTACCTATTCGTTTGGCCATTAACTTATTCCTGTGGCAAGGATAGGTATTGCCTAATATTGCCTAAAGCTTCATATTAAGGATTATGTTTGGTAGAGTAGGTAATCTCTTTTTACTTTTCTTCAGATATGACTTCAGTATTCTTGGTGTTTTTAAAATTTTTAATAGACTTTTCAAATAAGCTTATTAAGTTTGATGAAAACCTTGTTAAGATTTTGATTAAACACATTGAATTCATAGATTGATTTGGAAATAATTCAAACTTTTCAAATATTAAGTCTACTGCCCATGAATATGATGTAACTCTCCAGTTACTTAGATTTTATAAAATGTTAGCTGGGAGAGGTGGCTCACGCCTATAATCCCAGCACTTTGGGAGGCTGAGGCAGGCGGATCACAAGGTCAGGAGATTGAGACCATCCTGGCTAACACAGTGAAACCCTGTCTCTACTAAAAATACAAAAAATTAGCCGGGCATGGTGGCGGGCGCCTGTAGTCCCAGCTACTCGGGAGGCTGAGGCAGGAGAATGGCATGAAGCTGGGAGGCAGAGCGAGCAGTGAGCCGAGATGGTGCCACTGCACTCCAGCCTGGGCAACAGAGCGAGACTCCATCTCAAAAAAAAAAAAAAAAGTCACTAAAAATGTTTTAGAATTATCCATGTAAAGATTTATATATTTTTGTTAGATTTATTTCTAAATACTTGATGTTATTTAAGACTATTATAAATAATGCATTCTTTTTTTTTCTTTTCTTTTTGAGACAGAGTCTCACTCTGTCACCAGGCTGGAGTGCAGTGGTGTGATCTCGGCTCACTGCATCCTCCGACTCCCTGGTTCAAGTGATTCTCCTACCGCAGCCTCGCGAGTAACTGGGATTACAGGCACGTGTCACCACGCCCAGCTAATTTTTTGTATTTTTAGTAGAGATGGGGTTTCACCATGTTGGCCAGGATGGTCTCGATCTCCTGACCTTGTGATGCACCCACCTCGGCCTCCCAAAGTGCTGAGATTACAGGCGTGAGCCACTGAACCTGGCCAATATATTTTTTTGATTTATTTATTTTTATTTATTTTTTATTATACTTTAAGTATAAAGTATCAATGTGCAGGTTTTGATACATAGGTATACATGTGTCATATTGGTTTGCTGCACCCATCAACTCATCATTTACATTAGGTATTTCTCCTAATGCTATCCCCCCCAGCCCCCCACTCCCCAACAGGCTCCAGTGTGTGATGTTCCATGCCCTGTGTCCAAGTGATCTCATTGTTCAATTCCCACCTATGAGTGAGAACATGCAGTGTTTGGTTTTCTATCCTTGTGATAGTTTGCTGAGGATGATGGTTTCCAGCTTCATCCATGTCCCTGCAAAGGACATGAACTCATCCTTTTTTATGGCTGCATAGTATTCCATGGTATATACGTGCCACATTTTCCTAATCCAGTCTATCATTGATGGATATTTGGGTTGGTTCCAAGTCTTTGCTATTCTGAATAGTGCCACAATAAGCATACGCATGCATGTGGCTTTATAGCAGCATGATTTATAATCCTTTGGGTATATACACAGTAATGGGATGGCTGGGTCAAATGGTACTTCTAGTTCTAGATCCTTGAGGAGTCACCACACTGTCTTCCACAATGGTTGAACTAATTTACACTCCCACCAACAGTGTAAAAGTGTTCCTTTTTCTTCACATCCTCTCCAGCACCTGTTGTTTCCTGACTTTTTAATGATCGCCATTCTTACTGGTGTGAGATGGCATCTCATTTTGGTTTTGATTTGCGTTTCTCTGATGACCAGTGATGATGAGCATTATTTCATGTGTCTGTTGGCTGCATAGATGTCTTCTTTTGAGAAGTGTCTGTTCATATCCTTTGACCACTTTTTGATGGGGTTGTTTGAGTTCTTCTAGATTCTGCATATTAGCCCTTTGTCAGATGGGTAGATTGCAAAAATTTTCTCCCATTTTATAGGTTACCTGTTCACTCTGATGGTAATTTCTTTTACCATGCAGAAGCTCTTTAGTTTAATTAGATCCCATTTGTTTATTTTGGCTTTTGTTGCCATTGCTTTTGGTGTTTTAGTCATGAAGTACTAATGAAGCAAATGGTAGGGTGGATGGCATTAGGAGAAATACCTAATGTAAATGACAAGTTGATGGGTGCAGCCAACCAACATGACACATGTATACCTATTTATCAAAACTGCACATTGTGCACATGTACCCTAGAACTTAAAGTATAATAAAAAATATATAAGTCCTAGTTGGAGACTATGTCCTGAATGGTATTGCCTAGGTTTTCCTCTAGGGTTTTTACAGTTTTATGGTTTTAGGACTTAACATTTAAGACTTTAATCCATCTTGAATTAATTTTTGTATAAGGTGTAAGGAAGGGATCCTGTTTCTGCTTTCTACATATGGCTAGCTAGTTTTCCCAGTACCATTTATTAAATAAGGAATCCTTTCCCCATTGCTTGTTTTTGTCAGGTTTGTCAAGGTTCAGATGGTTGTAGATGTGTGATGTTATTTCTGAGGCCTCTGTTCTGTTCCATTGGTCTATATATCTGTTTTGCTACCAGTACCATGTTGTTTTGGTTACTGTAGCCTTGTAGTATAGTGTGAAGTCAGGTAGCATGATGCCTCCAGCTTTGTTCTTTTTCCTTAGGATTGTCTTGGCAATGCGGGCTCTTTTTTGGTTCCCTGTGAAATTTAAAGTAGGTTTTTCCAATTCTGTGAAGAAAGTCATTGGTAGCTTGATGGGGATGGCATTGAATCTATAAATTATTTTGGGCAGTATGGCCATTTTCACAATATTGATTCTTCCTATCCATGAACATGGAATATTCTTCCATTTGTTTGTGTCCTCCTTTATTTCATTGAGCAGTGGTATGTGGTTCTCCTTGAAGAGGTCCTTCACATCCCTTGTAAGTTGGATTCCTAGGTATGTTATTCTCTTTGTAGCAATTGCAAATGGGAGTTCACTCATGATTTGGCTCTCTATTTGTCTGTTATTGGTGTATAGGAATGCTTGTGATTTTTGCACATTGATTTTTTATCCTGAGACTTTGCTGAAGTTACTTATCAGTTTAAAGAGATTTTGGGCTGAGACAATGGGGTTTTCTAGATATACAATCATGTCATCTGCAAACAGGGACAATTTGACTTCCTCATTTCCTAATTGAATACCCTTTATTTCTTTCTCTTGCCTGATTGCCTTAGCCAGAACTTCCAACACTATGTTAAATAGGAGTGATGAAAGAGGGCATCCTTGTCTTCTGCTGGTTTTCAAAGGGAATGCTTCCAGTTTTTGCCCATTCAGTATGATATTGGCTGTGGGTTTGTCATAAATAGCTCTTATTATTTTGAGATATGTTTCATCAATACCTAGTTTATTGAGAGTTTTTAGCATGAATGGCTGTTGAATTTTGTCAAAGGCCTTTTCTGCATCTATTGAGATAATCATGTGGTTTTTGTCTTTGGTTCTGTTTATGTGATGGATTACATTTACTGTTTTGCATATGTTGAACCAGCCTTGCATCCCAGGGATGAAGCTGACTTGATCATGGTGGATAAGCTGCTGGATTCAGTTTGCCAGTATTTTATTGAGGATTTTCATATTGACGTTCGTCAGGGATGTTGGCCAAAAATTCTCTTTTTGTTGTGTCTCTGCCTGGATTTGGTATGAGGCTGATGTTGGCCTCATAAAATGAGTTAGGGAGGAGTCCCTCTTATTCTGTTAATTGGAATAGTTTGAGAAGGAATGGTACCAGCTCCTCTTTGTACCTCTGGTAGAATTGGGCTGTGAATCTGTCTGTTCCTGGACTTTGTTTGGTTGGTAGGCTATTAATTATTGCCTCAATTTCAGAGCATTATTGGTCTATTCAGAGATTCAACTTCTTCCTGGATTAGTCTTGGGAGGGTGTATGTGTCCAGGAATTTATCCACTTTGTCTAGATTTTTCTGGTTTATTCACATAGAGGTGTTTATCGTATGCTCTAATGGTAGTTTGTATTTCTGTGGGATTGGTAGTGATATCCCCTTTATCATTTTTTATTGCATCTATTCGATTCTTTTCCCTTTTCCTGTTTATTAGTCTTGCTAGCGGTCTACCAATTTTGTTGATGTTAAAAAAAAAAAAAAAAACCAGCTCCTGGATTCATTGATTTTTTGAAGGGTTTTTTTGTCCCTATCTCTTTCAGTTCTGCTCTAATCTTAGTTATTTCTTGCCTTCTGCTAGCTTTTGAATTTGTTTGCCCGTGTTTCTTTAATTCTTTTAATTTTGATGTTAGAATGTCAATTTTAGATGTTTCCTGCTTTCTTTTGTGGGCATTTAGTGCTATAAGTTTCCCTCTACACACTGCTCTAGCTGTGTCCCAGAAATTCTGATACATTGTGTCTTTGTTCTCATTGGTTTCAAAGAACATCTTTATTTCTGCCTTCATTTTGTTATTTACCCAGTAGTCACTCAGGAGCCGGTTGTTCAGTTTCCATGTAGTTGTGTGGTTTTGAGTGAGTTTCTTAATCCTGAGTTCTAATTTGATTGCACTGTGGTCTGAGAGATAGTTTGTTGTGGTATCTGTTGTTTTACATTTGCTGAGGAGTGCTTTACTTCCAATTATGTGGTCAATTTTAGAATAAGTGAAATGTGGTGCTGAGAGGAATGTATATTCTGTTGATTTGGGGTGGAGAGTTCTGTAGATGTCTATTAGATCTGCTTGGTGCAGAGCTGAGTTCAAGTCCTGGATGTCCTTGTTAATTTTCTGTCTCACTGATGTGTCTACTATTGACAGTGGGGTGTTGAAGTCTCCCATTATTATTCTTTGGGAGTCTAAGTCTCTTTGTAGGTCACTAAGGACTTGCTTTATGAATCTGGGTGCTCCTGTGTTGGGTGCATATATATTTAGGATAGTTAGCTCTTCTTGTTGAATTGATCCCTTTACCATTATGTAATGGCCTTCTTTGTCTCTTTTGATCTTTGTTGGTTTAAAGTCTGTTTTATCAGAGACTAGGATTGCAACCCCTGCCTTTTTTGTTTTCCATTTGCTTGGTAGATCTTCCTCCATCCTTTTATTTTGAGCCTATGTGTGTCTCTGCACATGAGATGGGTTTCCTGAATACAGCACACCGATGGGTCTTGACTCTTTATCCAATTTGCCAGTCTCTGTCTTTTAATTTGGGCATTTAGCCCATTTACATTTAGGGTTAATATAATTATGTGTGAATTTTATCCTGTCATTATAATGTTAGCTGTTTATTTTACCTGTTAATTGATGCAATTTCTTCATAGCATTGATGGTCTTTACAATTTTGCATGTTTTTTCAGTGGCTGGTAGTTATTGTTTCTTTCCATGTTTAGTGCTTCCTTCTGGAGATCTTTTAGGGCAGGCCTGGTGGTGACAAAAATCTCTCAGCATTTGCTTGTCTGTAAAGGGTTTTATTTCTCCTTCACTTATGAAGCTTAGTTTGGCTGGATATGAAATTCTGGGTTGAAAATTCTTTGCTTTAAGAATGTTGAATATTGGCCCCCACTCTCTTCTAGCTTGTAGGGTTTCTGCAGAGAGATCTGCTGTTAGTCTGATGGGCTTCCTTTTGTAGGTAACTCAACCTTTCTCTCTGGCTGCCCTTAACATTTTTTCCTTCATTTCAACCTTGGTGAATCTGACGATTATGTGTCTTGGGGTTGCTCTTCTCGAGGAGTATCTCTTTGGCAGTTCTCTGTATTTCCTGAATTTGAATGTTGGCCTGCATTGGTAGGTTGGGGAATTTCTCCTGGATAATATCCTGAAGAGTGTTTTCTAACTTGGTTCCATTCTCCTCATCACTTTCAGGTACACTAATCAAATGTGGATTTGGCCTTTTCACATAGTCCCATATTTCTTGGAGGCTTTGTTCATTTCTTTTTACTCTTTTTTCTCTAACCTGTCTTCTCACTTTATTTTATTAATTTGATCTTCAATCACTGATACCCTTTCTTCCACTTGATTAAATTTGCTATTGAAGCTTGTACATGCATCACAAAATTCTTGTGCAATGGATTTCAGCTCCATCAGGTCATTTAAGGTCTTCGCTGCACTGTTTATTCTAGTTAACCATTTGTCTAATCTTTTTTTCAAGGTTTTTAGCTTCTTTGTGATGTGTTCGAACATGCTCCTTTAGCTTGGAGAAGTTTGTTATGAATGAACTTCTGAAGCCTACTTCTTTCAACTTGTCAAAGTCATTCTCCATCCAGCTTTGTTCCATTGCTGGCAAGGAGCTGCAATCCTTTGGAGGAGAAGAGGCTCTCTGATTTTTAGAATTTCCAGCTTTTCTGCTCTGTTTTCTCCCCATGTTTGTGGTTTTATCTACCTTTGGTCTTTGATTTGTTGACCTACAAATGGGGTTTTGGGTGTAGATGAACTTTTTGTTGAGGTTGATGCTATTCTCCCATTTGCTAGTTTTCCTTCTAACAGTCAGGTCCCTCAGCTACAGGTCTGTTGGAGTCCAGACCCTTTTTGCCTGGGTATCACCAGTGGAGGCTGCAGAACAGCAAATATTGCAGCCTGATCCTTCCTCTGGAAACTTCGTCCCAGAGGGTCACCCACCTACATGAGGTGTCTGTTGGCCCCTCCTGGGAGGTGTCTCCCAGTTAGGCTACACAGGGTTCAGGGACCCACTTGAGGAGGCAGTCTGTCCATTCTCAGAGCTCAAATGCTGTGCTGAGAGAACAATTGCTCTCTTCAGAGCTGTCAGACAGGGACGTTTAAGTCTGCAGAAGTTGTCTGATGCCTTTTGTTCAGCTATGCCCTGCCCAAAGAGGTAGCATCTAGAGGCAGTAGGCCTTGTTGAGCTGTGGTGGGCTCCAGCAAGTTTGAACTTCCTGGTCACTTTGTTTACCTACTCAAGCCTCAGCAATGGCAGATGCCCCTCCCCCATCCAGGCTTCTGCCTTGCAGTTCGATCTCAGACTGCTGTGCTAGCAGTGAGCAAGGCTACATGGTCATGGGACCTGCTGAGCCAGGCATGGGAGAGAGTCTCTTTGTCTGCTGTTCGCTAAGACCTTGGGAAAAGTGTAGTATTTGGGTGGGAGTGCCCTGTTTTTCCAGGTACAGTCTGTCACGGCTTCCCTTGGCTAGAAAGGGAAATCTCCTGACCCCTTGTGCTTCCTGGGTGAGGTGATGCCCCGCCCTGCTTCAGCTGGCCCTCCATGGGCTGCACCCACTGTCCAACCAGTCCCAATGAGATGAACCAGATACCTCAGTTGGAAATGCAGAAATCATCCATCTTCTGCATCGATCACGCTGGGTGCTGCAGACCAGAGCTGTTCCTATTCGGCCGTCTTGGAATGTGCCCCAATATATTCTTTTTAAATCATGTTGTCTGGTGTTTTTTAGTGGCATATAGAACTATAATTAAATGTAGAGCAGGCATGGGGGCTCACACCTGTAATCCCAGCACTTTGGGAGGCCAAGGCAAGTGGATCATGAGGTCAGGAGTTTGAGACCAGCCTGAACAACATGGTGAAACTGTGTCTCCACTAAAAATACAAAATTAGCCGGGCGTGGTGGTGAATGCTGTAATCCCTGCTACTCAGGAGTCTGAGGCAGGAGAATCACTTGAACCTGGGAGGTGGAGGTTGCAGTGAGCTGAGATTACACCATTGCACTCCAGCCTGGGTAACAGGGTGAGACTCCATCTCAAAAAAAAAAAAAAAAAAAAGAAATATCATGAAATGTATATCATATATCCAGTAACCTTGCTGAACTCTCCAATTTCTGATAATTTGTAGTCCTTTAAGAGTTTGACAACATAAGAGGGTAGATATATAATTTGAAAATTATAGTTATAATTAATACATTTAAATCCTTATAAATATTAAGTTTTCATAAAATGTTATGTTTTGTAAAATTCATGTTTCATAAAACATGCATATGTTGAATGCATGTGATGGTCATTACATTTGCTTAGTTCCAGATTTTAGTATGCTTATTTTTGAAACATATTTTATCAGTTTGAAGATATTCTCCTATATGCCTAATATTGAGTTTATTTTGTTTTCTAATCTTTGGCTCATTTATATAACTGTGTGTGTGTGTGTGTGTGTGTGTGTGTGTGTGCGTGTGCCCCTTTGTGCATGCACACTTGTCTGTTTCTACAATTTTTATTTTTATTGTTTCATAGGTTATTGGCATACAGGTGGTGTTTGGTTACATGAGTTAGTTCTTTGGTAGTGATTTATGAGATTTTGGTGCACCCATCACCCAAGCAGCATACACTGCACCCTATTTGTAGGCTTTTATCCCTTGCTTCCCTCCCATTCTTCCCCCCAAGTTGCCAAAGTCCATTGTATTGTTCTTATGCCTTTGCATCCTCATAGCTTAGCTCCCACATATCAATGAGAATATACATTTCCATTTCTGAGTTACTTCACATAGAACAATAGTCTTCAAACTAATCCAGGTCACTGAGAATGCCCTTAATTTATTCCTTTTTGTGGCTGAGTAGTATTCCATCTTACATATATATACCACAGTTTCTTTATACACTTGTTGGTCAATGGGTGTTTGTGTTGGTTCCATGATTTTGCAATTGTAAATTGTGCTTCTATTAAATTCTTTTTTTTCTGGAGAGATACCTAGTAGTGGGATTGATGGATCAAATGGTAGTTCTACTTTCAGTTCTTTGAGAAATCTCCACACTGTTTTCCATAGTGGTTGTACTAGTTTACATTCCCACCAGCAGTGTACAAGTGTCCCCTGATCACTGCATGTATGCCAGCTGTGTTTTGATTTTTTGATTATGGCCATTCTTGCAGGAGTAAGGTGGTATCACATTGTGGTTTTGATTTGCAGTTCCCTGATGATTAATGATGTTGAGCATTTTTTCATGTTTGTCAGCCATTTGTATATCTTCATTTGAGAATTTTCTATTCATTTCTTTAGCCCACTTTTTGATGGGATTTTGTTTTCTTGATGATTTGTTTGAGTTCATTGTAGATTCTGGATATTAGTTATTTGACAGATATATAGATTGTGAAGATTTTCTCCCACTCTGTGGGTTGTCTGTTTACTCTGCTGACTGTTCCTTTTGCCATGTAAGTGCTCTTTAGATTAATAAAGTCCCAGCTATTTATCTTTGTTTTTATTGCATTTGCTTTGGGGTCCTTTGTCATAAAATCCTTGCCTAAACCAATGCCTAGAAGGGTTTTTCCAATGTTATCTTGTGTTGATTTTTTATAAGGTGAGAGATGAGGCTCCAGTTTTATTCTCCTACATACGGCAAACCAATTATCTTAGCACCATTTTTTGAGAAGGGTGTCCTTTTCCCACTTTGTGTTTTTGTTTGCATTGTCAAAGACTGGTAGGCTGTAAGTATTTGGATTTATTTCTGGTTTCTCTATTCTGCTCCATTGATCTGTGAGCCTATTTTTATACCAGTACCATGCTGTTTGGGTGACTATGGCCTTATAGTGTAGTTTGAAATCAGGTAGTGTGATGATGCCATATTTGTTCTTTTTGCTTAGTCTTGCTTTTGCTATGCAGATTCTTTTTTGGTTCCATATGAATTTTAAAATTGTTTTTTTTCTAATTCTTTGAAGAATGATGGTGGTATTTTGATGGGGTTGCATTGGATTTGTAGATTGCTTTTGAAAGTATGGTCATTTTTCAATATTGATTCTACCCATCCATGAGCATGGGATGTGTTTCCATTTGTTTTTGTCATCTATGATTTCTTTCAGCAGTGTTTTGTAGTTTTTCTTGTAGATGTCTTTCACCTCCTGGGTTAGGTATGTATCTAAGTATTTTTTTTTTGCATCTGTTGTAAAAGGGGTTGAGTTGTTGATTTGATTTTCAGTTTGGTCGCCATTGGTGTGTAGAAGAGCTGATGTGTCTGCATTAATCTTGTATTTGGAAACTTTGCTAAATTATTTCATCAGTTCTAGGAGCTTTCTGGAGGAGGCTTTAACGTTTTTGAGATTAACAATTGTATTGTTGGCAAACAGTCACAGTTTGACATCCTCTTTACCAATTTGGAAGCTCTTTATTTATTTCTCTTGTGTCTTGTCTGATTGCTATGGCTAGGACTTCCAGTACTATGTTGAAGAGGGATGGTGAGAGTTGGCATCCTTGTGTTGTTCCAGTTCTCAGAGGGAATATTTTCAAATTTACCCCAATCAGTATTATGTTTGCTGTGGATTTGTCATAGATGGATTTTATTACATTAAGGTATGTCCCTTGTGTGCTGATTTTGCTGAGAGTTTTAATCATTAAAGGATGCTAGATTTCATTGAATGCTTTTTCTGCATCTATTGAGATAATCATGTGATTTTTTAAAAATTCTGTTTATGTGGTGTATCACATTTATTGACTTGTGTATGGTAAACCATCCCTGTATCTCTTGTATGAAACCCACTTGATCATGGTGGATTATCTTTGATATATTGTTAGATTTGGTTAGTTAGTATTTTGGTAAGGATGTTAGTGTCTATGTTCATCAGGGATATTGGTCTGTAGTTTTCTTTTTTGTCCTTTCCTGGTTTTGGTATTAGGATGATGCTGGCTTCATAGAATGAATTAGGGAGGGTTCCCTTTTCTCTGTCTTGCAGACTAGTGTTCAAAGAATTGGTACCAATTCTTCTTTGAATATCTGGTAGAATTCTGCTGTGAATCCATCTGGTCCTGAACTTTTTTTGTTGGTAATTTTAAAATTACCATTTCAAACTCACTGCTTGTTATTGGTCTGTTCAGGGTATCTAATTATTCCTGATTTAAACTAGGAGGGTTGTACATTTTCAGGAATTTATCATTCTCTTCTGGGTTTTCTAGTTTATATACATAAATGTGTTCATAGCAGCCTTGAATGATCTTTTGTATTTCTGTGGTATCAGTTGTAATATATCCAGTTTCATTTCTTATTAAGGTTATTTGGATTTTCTCTCTTCTTTTCATGGTTAAACTTGCTAATGGTCAATTTTATTTATGTTTTCAAAGAACCAGTTTTTGTTTCATTTATCTTTTGTTTTTGTTTCAATTTCATTTAGTTCTGCTCTGATCTTGGTTATTTCCTTTCTTCTGCTGGTTTCGGTTTGGTTTGTTCTTGTTTCTCTAGTTCATTGAGGTGTGACCTTAGAATGTCAGTTTGTGTTCTTTCAGTTTCTTTGATGTAGGTGTTTAGGGCTGTGAACTTCCCTCTTAGCACCACCTTTGATGTATCCCAGAGGTTTTGATAGGTTGTGTCACTATTGTCATTCAGCTTGAAGAATTTTTTAATTTACATCTTTATTTTGTTTTTGACTCAATGATTATTCAGGATCAGGTTATTTAATTTCTATACATTTGCATGGTTTTGTGGGTTCCTTTTGGAGTTGATTTCCAGTTTTATCCTACTGTGGTCTCAGAGAGTGCTTGATATAATTTCAATTTTCTTAAATTTATTGAGGCTTGTTGTGTGACCTATCATATGGTCTATCTTGGAAAAAATTCTATGCACTGTTGAGTAGAATGTTTATTCTGCAGTTGTTGGATGAAATGTTCTGTTCATATCTGTTAAGTCCATTTGTTCCAAGCTATAGGTTGAATCCATTGTTTCTTTGTTGACTTTCTGTCTTGATGGCCTGACTAGTGCTGTCAGTGGAGTATTGAAGTCCCCCACTATTATTGTGTTGCTGTATATCTCATTTCTTAGGTCTATTAGTAATTGTTTAATAGATTTGGGAACTCCAGTGTTAGGTGCATATATGTTTAGGATTATGACATTATGCTGTTGGACAATGCCCTTTACCATTATATAATATCTCCATTTGTCTTTCTTAACAGCTGTTGCTTTAAGGTTTGTTTTGTCTTATATAAAAATAGCTATCTCTGGCCAGGCGCTGTGGCTCATGCCTGTAATCCCAGCACTTTGGGAGGATCACGAGGTCAGGAGATGGAGACCATCCTGGCTAACACAGTGAAACCCTGTCTCTACTAAAAATGCAAAAAATTAGCTGGGCACAGTGGCGGGCGCCTGTAGTCCCAGCTACTCAGGAGGCTGAGGCAGGAGATCCAGCCTGGGTGTCAGAGTGAGACTCTGTCTCAAAAAAAAAAAAAGAAAAAAATAGCTATCGCTGCTCACTTTTGGTGCCTATTTGCATGAAATGCCTTTTTCCACCCCTTAGCTTTAAGTTTATGTGAGTTCTTATGTTAAGTGAGTCTCTTGAAGGCAGTAGATACTTGGTCTGTGAATTCTTATACATTCTGCAGCTCTCTATCTTTTAAGTGGAGAATTCAGGCCATTTACATTCAATGTTAGTACTGAGATGTGAGGTACCATTCCATTCATTGTGCTATTTATTGCCTGTGTACCTTTGTTTTTTGTTTTTGTTTTTTCTTTTTAAATTGTATTTTTGTTTTATAGGTTCTCTGAGATTTATGCTTTGAAGAGATTCTGTTTTGATGTGTCTCCAGAATTTGTTTCAAGATTTGGAGCTCCTTTTAGCAGCTATTGTAGTGGTGACCTGGTAGTGGTGATCTGGCACTGGTGAATTTTCTAGCATTTGTTTGTCTGAAAAAGATTGTATCTTTCCCTCATATATAATGGTTAGGTTCACTGGATACAAAATTCTTGGCTGATAATCATTTTATTTGAGGAGGCTAAAATAAGACCCTAATTCTTTCTAGCTTATAGGGTTTCTGCTGATAAATCTGCTGTTAATAAGATAGGTTTTCCTTTATAGATTGCCTGGGGCTTTTGTCTCACAGCTCTTAATATTCTTTCCTTCATTTTAATGTCTGTGGAATTTGTAGTGGTATCCCATCTGTTATTTCTAATAATAGTAATTAGTGTTTTTTCTCTCTTTTTTCCTTAGTTAACCTGGTTAGAAGCCTAGCAATTTTATGGACCTTTGTAAAGAACCAGTCTTCAGTTGTGTATATTTTCTCTATTGAATTCCTGTTTTGTTGTTGTTGTTGTTCTTGTTTTTGTTTTTGTTTCACTCTGTCACCCAGACTGGAGTGCAGTGGCACGATATCGGCTCACTGCAAGCTCCATCTCCCAGGTTCACACCATTCTCCTGCCTCAGCCTCCCAAGTCGCTGGGACTACAGGCGCCTGCCACCATGCCCGGCTAATTTTTTGTATTTTTAGTAGAGACGGGGTTTCACTGTGTTAGCCATGATGGTCTCTATCTCCCGACCTCGTGATCCACCCGCCTCGGCCTCCCAAAGTGCTAGGATTACACGCATGAGCCACCACACCCAGTACTTGAATTCCTGTTTTTAATGTCATTGATTTGTGTTCTAATTTTTATTATTTCTTTACTTCTTGCTTTGAATTTCATTTGGTCTTCTTTTTCAAGTTTCCTAAGGTAGAAACTTAGATAGTGATTTCAGATCTTTCCTCTTTTCTCATATATGCATTCAGTGCGGTAAACTTCCCTCTAAGCATTGCTTTTGTGACCTCTCACACATTTTGATGAATTGTGTTTTTATTTTTATTTAGTCAGAATATTTAAAAATTTCTCTTGAGATTTCCTTTGACCTATGTGTTATTTAAAAATGTGTTTTTTAATCTCCACATATTTGTGGATTTTCCAGTTATCCTTCTGTTACTGATTCTAGTTTAATTCCGTTGTGGTGTGAGAACAAATGTTATAACATCTTTTTTTTTTTAAATAAGATGTATTTTATGACTTAGAATGTGGTCTCTTTTGGTGAACCTTCCATGTGAGCTTAAGAAGAATATCTATTCTACTGCTGTTACTGAAGTAATATACAGATGTTTATTATATCCAGTTGATTAAAGGTGTTGTTAAAGTCATCTGTGTTCTATCTGTTTCTGCCTGCTGGATCCGCCCATTTCTCTTAGAGGAGTGTTGATGTCTCCAACCATGATAGTGTATTCATCCATTTCTCCTTGCAGTTCTACTTCCCAGAGTTTGATGATCTGTTGTTGGGTGCATATATGTTAAGGAGTATTGTATATTTTTTGAGAACTGATCTTCTTATCATAATGTAATACCTCCCACCCCCTTTTTTTAACTTCTTATAACTTTTCTTGCTTTGAGGTTTGCTCTATCTGAAATTAGTTTTGCTGCTTCTGATTTCCTGTGACTATTGTTAGCATGGAATATTCTTCTCCATCTATGTACTTTTAATCTATATGTGTTTTTATATTCAAAGTGAGTGTCATGTACACAACATATAGTAGGCTCTTGTTATTTGATCTACTGTGATGCTCTCAATCTTTAAATTGCTGCATTCAGATCATTGATGTTAACATTCATTACTAATACACAGTCATGTGACATTTAATGACAGAAATGCATTCTGAGAAGTGCATTGTTAGTCTTTATTTTTCAATTTTTCACACATCATAGAGTGTACTTACATAAACCTAGTAAGTATATCCTACTACACAATTAGGCTATATGGCATAGCCTATTGCTTTGAGGCTACAAACCTGTACAGCACGTTACTGTACTAAGTACTGCAGGAATTGTAACACAATGGTATGTATTTTTGTATCTAAACATAGAAAAGGTATAGTAAAATATAGTGTTATAAGCTAATGGGACCACTCATATATGCAGTCCATTGATGACTAAAATGTCATTATGTGGTGCCTAACTGTAGTTGAATTAATAGCTGCCATATTTCTTACTGTATTTTTATCTGTTCTTGATCTTTGTTTCTATATTTGTCTTCCACTATTTTTGAGCTTTTTGTGGTTTTTTTTTTTTTTTTTTTTTGGTCGTCTGTGCCTGGCTTTTTTCTTTTTTTTTTAATTTATTTATGTATTATTATTATATTTTAAGTTTTAGGGTACATGTGCACAATGTGCAGGTTAGTTACATATGTATACATGTGCCATGCTGGTTTGCTGCACCCACTAACTCGTCATCTAGCATTAGGTATATCTCCCAATGCTATTCCTCCCCCCTCCCCCCACCCCACAACAGTCCCCAGAGTGTGATGTTCCCCTTCCTGTGTCCATGTGTTCTCATTGTTCAATTCCCACCTATGAGTGAGAATATACCTTGTTTGAAGAAATGTAATGAATATGCCAAGAAAGGAGAAAATATAGTATCATATAAAATGCTTTTTGTGGTTTTAAAGGAGCATTTTATATGATACTATATTTTCTCCTTTCTTGGCATATTCATTACATTTCTTTGACTTGTATAGTAGTTGCCCTGATGTTTCCAATATACATTTACAACTAATTCAAGTCTACTTTCACATAACAGCATACTGCTTCATGGGTAGTGTGAGTAGCTTATAAAAACAAATTATTAACAAGATGTGGTAGCTCACACCTTTAATCTCAGCACTTTATGAGGCTGAGACAGGTGGATTACTTGAGGCCAGGAGTTTGAGACCAGCCTGGTCCACTAAAAATACAAAAATTAGCCAGGTATGGAGGTACATGCTTGTAATCTCAGCTACTCAGGAAGTTGAGGCATAAGAATTGCTGGAACCCCGAAGGCAGAGTTTTCAGCGAGCCGAGATCATGCCACGAAACTCCAGCCTAGGTGACAGATTCTGTCTCAAAATAACAAACAAACAAAAAAGGATTCTATTCTTCTATTCTTCTCTCCCATTTATTGTACCATTGTTACATTTTTAAAATTTATATGTAAGCATGCATAATCAAATACATTGTAGAATTATTATTTTAAATAACTATTTCTTAGATCAATTATATATAAGAATAATACTTTTTATTTTACCTTATTTTTCTGCCATATCTCCCTTTAATTGTGAAGTTCTGAGTTTTTTATCTATAGTATTTTCTTTCTCTAAAAAAACTTCTTTCAACATCTTGCCAGGCAAATAAACTGACAAAAAACTTCTTTAATTTTTGTTGTCTGAGAAATCCTTATTTCTCCTTCATGTTAGAGGATAATTACACAGGGTTTATAATTTTTTCTTTTCTATCAATGCTTTACATATTTTATTCCACTTTTTGTGTGGCCATGGCTCCTGAGAAGTCAGATGCAGTTTCTTATATTTGTTCTTGTATAGGTAGGCATTTCTTCCCCTCTAGCTTTATTTGGATTTTTTTCCTTCGTCTGCTTATTTTCTGTAGTTTGAAAATGATATTAATAGGCAGATTATTTTTGGGCATTTATCCTGCTTGTTTTTCTATGAACTTCCATGATCTGTTGTTTATTATGTCTGACATAAATTTGGGGAAATAGTTATTATTGAATCAATTATTTCTTCTGTTTCCTGTTTTCTTTTTTCTTTACTGAGTGTGCCCATTATATGTACGTTGCTCCTTTAATAGTTATCCCTCAGCTTTTGGATATTTTGCTTGGATTATTTTCTGCCTTTACTCTTTTTGCTTTTTAGTTTTGAAGAGTTTAACTGATACATCCTGAAGTTCATATATTCTTTTGTGAGGCATGTCAAGTATACTAATATGCTTATCAAAGGAATTCTTCATTTCTGCCACAGTGTTTTGGTCTCTAACATTTGTTTCCAGTTCTTTTTTTAGAAATTTTATCTTATCTCTGCTTAAATTGCTTAACTGTTCTTACATGCTGTCTTTTTTCTTTTTTTTTTCTTTTTTCTTTTTTTTACTGTTACAGCCCTTAGCATATTGCTCACAGTTGTCTTAAAATCCCAGTCTGATAATTCCAACCTCTCTGCCATACCTGAGTTTGGTCCTGATTCTTGCTCTCTCTCTTCTAATTGTGTTAATTTGCCTTTCAGGTGACTTGTAATATTTTCTTGATAGCGAGCCAGAATATATTGGGTTTTAAAAACCTGATATGCATAGATCTTTAATAATGTCTTGGTAAGGCATGGTCAGGAGAGGAGGCATCCTATAATTCTGTGCTTAGGTATCATATTTGAATAAACCTGTACCTTTGGACTGTAAATTTCACAAATGCTTCTCGTGGTTTTTTTTGTTAGTTTGTTTTAATTTTTCCTTCTTAGGCAGAACAGAATGGCTATAGTGGGCTGGAACTGAGTATTTTTCTCTCTCATAAGGAAGTCTAGGACTGGCTGAAGTTGGATATTTCCTTTACCTCAGGTCACTTAGGCTCAGACAACACCAGAGCTTATGCGATTCCAATTAACTAATTTATCCTGAAGGCAAGTCCTGTAATCCCTATTAACAACCGCATGCTCTTGCCTTCACACTGATGGAACGAGAGAATTTTTTCTCCAATATTTACTATAGGATCCAAGTTGGGGACTTGGGGAGAACATTCATAAAAAGTGGGGTCGTCGACTGAGCCCCTGGAGTGTTTAGCCCCCAGACTTGTTCACAACTGAGACTCCAGCAATTCAATTATAGTGCAGAATTTCTTTTTTTTTTTTTTTTTTTTTCGCCTTGGCATTGTTTACTTTGTTGTTTCTGTTTATGAGTTTCTGCTCCAGGAAGTCAGCTTATAACTCCCTGTACATGGTTGGTCTCTTCAATCTTGGAGACAGTGGTTTGCTATATGTCATCACCTCTTTTATGGATCCAGGAAGAGTTGTTGCTTTTCAGTCAATTTAGTGTTTTTTCTTGTTGTTAGGACAAAATGGCACCCTCCAACTTCCTTGTCTGCAGAACTGGAAACCAGAAGTCCCAACATATTTTTTTAAATAGTATTCACTTATCTCATGCCTTATTGGTTCTAAACTTTTACTTAAAATTTTATTATAATTTCTTAATTAATGCACAAATTATTAAAAATAAGATTTTCCTTCAAATATATGGGGATTTTTCTTTAGAAATGTTTTCTACTAGTGTTTGCCATAGTTGCATTGTGGCAGATATTGTCTGTATGACACCTACTTTTTGAAATTTGTTGAAATTCTTTTTTTCTAACTTTTATTTTAGGTTCGGTGGGTACATGTGCAGGTTTGTTGCATAGGTAAATTGTGTGTCATGAGAGTTTGGTGGACAGATTACTTTAATACTCAGGTAATATGCACAGTAACCAATAGGTAGTTGATCAGTTCTCAACATCCCTGTACCTTCCACCCTTAAGTAGGCCTCGGCATCTATTGTTCACTTCTTTGTGTCCATGTGTACTGTTGAGACTTTTTTATGTCCAAATATATCATCAATTTTTGTAATTCTCCCTTATGTACTTGAGAAAAATGCATGTCTTTTGAATTGTTGGATGTAGAATTTTATATGTGTCTAAGATGTCAGTCTTGTTAATTGTGTTATTTAGGTCTTCTATGTCCTTGCTAATATTTTGACTAGTGACCTATTATAATTGAGAAAACAGATACATTGAAATTTCCTCTAATCACAATAATTCTATTGACTTTTGTTTAATATTTTGCAGCAATTAAGTCGATTATTTTATAATTTTATCTTTCAGGGTGATTTACGTATATCAGTATGTAGACACCTCTATCCATTATGATGTTTCTATAAGTCTGGGCTATTATTTATACAGCTATAAGATTTTCTTCTAATTGTTACATTTCTTATTCCTTTAGCATCATCAAGACTTCCTCACAATTTAGAATTACCTCTTATAAAGAGCACATATTTAGATTTTTTTGGAAAATATTCAAACTGAAAAATCTCTAGCTTTAAACTAGCAATTTTGTCCATTTATGTTTATTGTATTTTATATAGTCAGATTTTTTCTACTATCTTGGAATATTATGCCAATTTACTCCCTTCTGAGTTGACTTTTAATATTTTCTTATGCTGTTTGAATTGATATATCTATTTTTATAACAAGGCAAACTGTACCATATTGCTATGGTCTGAATATTGTGCCCTCCCCCCATTCAAATGTAGGGATATTGGCAATTGATTAGGTCATGAAATGAGACCCCTCATTAATTGGCTTAGTGTCATTATAAAAGAGGCCCAAGAGAGCTCTTTTTCCCCTTCCAGCATGTGAGATTACAGTGAGAAGATGACCCTCTCCCCAGCTACCAAATCTGCTGGTGCCATGATCACAGACTTTTCAGCCTCTAAAAATGTGACAAGTAAATTGCTGCTGTTTTTAACAGTCCCAGTTTCATTATATGCCATATTTTGCTATGTTTTCAGTAGAAGTCCCAAACAGACTAAAACATAAGTTCTTAAGTTCTTTGGTATGCCTTCTTAATCTCTATACTCTCTAATACTATCTGGATTTTCAATCTAAAATTTTAAATTTTGGGTACTATACCTATTTTCCCTTCTTTTCTATTTTTGGTCTTATTTTTTTAAAGACAATAACAAAATTACCAAGTATTTTATTCACCTTGTTTTACAAATCTCACACAATATCATCTGTATTTGATTCTTGTTTTATTTAAGTATTTCTTCCAAAATGGATTTCAGTGTGAATCTTTTCATGCCAAACTTTTGAGACCTTATATGCTTGATAATATGTTTTCTTATAGTTGAATGACTATTTGGCTAAATACAAAATTATGGATTTCATGTTCTCTTCAATACTGTAAGAGTATTATTAATCTTTTGTATATACACACTTGCTGTTAAAAAGTAAAATGCTTTCTTTCCTTAAAGATTTCAACATTTTTTATTGCCATTGATATTATTATGTTTTACTAAACTTTCTCCATATATGTATGTGTTCTTACTTACATCTTTCACTGGGTTTTCAATGGGCAGTCTCATCCTGAGGTTTTTACATTTTTGTTCAATATTGGGAAATTAGCAATTATTATTTCTTTCAATATTTATCCTCTTTAATTAATTTGTTTCTTTTTAAGGAATTCATTATTAATTGTTAATTTTAATTAAAATCTTTATATACTTTACACTTTCATGTATATGTATGTATTTCCAAATTTTTAAAATAAAATTCTGTTCCATTTTCTAACTCATACTTTCTTGTTTTTATCCATATATTATTTTAAACTATTACATATTTTGTACTTCATGTTTTACACTTGTACTTTTTAAATCTTATTTTGAGTTTATTCATTTTCCTAATATTTTTCCTTGTATTCTTTGTGTATTTATTATATTTACTTTAAATTCCTGTTGTCTTCTAAAACATCTACTTCTATAACGTCTGCATACCAGTTATTTTCTCTCTGTCACTCTCTTTTGAAGGGATTTGTTTTCCTCAATATTCTTGATATTTTGTCCTGTGTGTTCACATTTACCTAGTTGTGATACTCACTCTTTATAGTAGTGAGCACAGGGGAGGACTGCCTGCTTTTGCGTCCTTACGAATCTCAGTTATTGTAAACCCCGGAAGGTCAGAAAGAGGGGAAGAAGATGAACCTGAAAATGAAAACCAGCTACCAGTAAACCATATTGCTCTGTGGTTTGCCAAACATTTTTTTAATCCATGACTTCCTCAGCCACTGAGTGAGAAACTGATTTGGGGGAGATTATGATCCAGTACTGCAGGGATATTGAGGGAATTACCTTTGGAAGAGAATGCCCAAGGCTAATAAGCTCTACATTTTTTACTCAGCTGCTCTGTTGAGCAGGACTTTGGAGCTTCTCTAACTTTACACTGGAGGACACATGGAATGGAAGGCTGAACTGTTATCCCAAATCCATACATTGAGATAGAAAGCAGTGATTATCAGAGGCTGACCTGGATCATGTAACTGCATTGAAGGCAACAAAAATTAGTCTAATAGCTGTGAATTTTAATTTATTTTTGAGATTTTTAAAATTTCAATAGCTTCTGGGATACAAGTTTTTTTGTTGTTGTTGTTACATGGATGAATTATATAGTGGTGAATTCTGAGGTTTCAGTGCACTTGCTCACCAACTAGTGTACATTTTACACTAGTTGTACCCTCCCCTTCCAACCTCACCCTTTTCAGTCTCCAAAGTTTATTATCTAACTCTGCCTGACATTGTGTATTAATGCCTGCATCTCCCAGATATAAATGAGAATGTATGGTGTCTGGTTTTTCATTTGTGAGTTACTTCACTTAGATTAACAGCCTCCAGCTCCATTCAAGTTGCTGCAAAAAGATATTATCTTGTTCCTTTTAAGGGCTGAGTGGTATTCCATGGTGTATATATACCACATTTTCTTTATTCATTCATTAGTCTATGAGCACTTGTGTTGTTTCCACATCTTTGCAACTATGAATTGTGTTGCTATAAACGTATGTGTTCATGTGTGTTTTTCAAATAATGACCTCTTTTCTTTTGGGTATATACCCAATAGTGGGATTGCTGGATCAAATAATAGATATCCTTTTAGTTTTTTAAGGAATCTCCATACTGTTTTCCACAGAGGTTGTACTAATTTACATCCTCACCAGCACATAAGCATTCCCCTTTCATGACATCCACATTGACATGTATTGTTTTTTGACTTTTTAATAATGGACATTCCTGCAGTAGTAACGTTGTATTTCATTGGGATTTAATTTGCATTTCCCTCAGGATTAGTGATTTTGAGCATTTTTTCATATGTTTGTTCTCCATTTGCATATTTTTTTGAGAAATGTCTATTCATGTCATTTTCCCACTTTTCAATGGGATTATTTGGTGTTTTTTTACTTGTTTGAGTTCCTTATAGATTATGAATACTAGTCCTTTGTTAGGTGCGTAGTTTGTAAATATTTTCTTCCATTTTGGTAGGTTGTCTGTTTACTCTGATGAATTTTTTTCTTGTGCAGAAGCATTTTAGTTTAATTAGGTCTCATTTATTTATTGTTTTTGTTGCATCTACTTTAGGGGTTATAGTCATGAATTCTTCACTTAGACCAATGTCTGGAAGAGTTTCCTGAAGTTATCTTCTAGAATTTTTATGGAGGCAGGTCTTAGATTTAAGTCTCTAATTTTTCTTGTGTTGATGTTTGTGTGGGGTAAGGAATAGGGATCTGGTTTTATTCTTCTACATGTGGCTAGCCAGTTTTCCTAGCATCATTTATTAAATAGAGTGTACTTTCACCAATATATGTGCTTGTATGCTTTGTTGAAGATCAGTTGATATTAAGTATTTGACTTTATTTCTGGGTTCTCTATTCTGTTCCATTTTCTGTAGGCTTACTTTTATACCAGTGTCAAGCTGTTTTGGTAATTACTGACTTGTAGTATAACTTGAAGTCTGGTAATATGATGCCTCCAGATTTCTTCTGTTTGCTTAGGATCGCCTTGGCTATTTGAGCTCTTTTTTGATTCCATGTGAATTTTGAGATTGCTTTTTCTAATTCTGTGAAAAATGATGCTAGCATTTTGTTGGAAACTGCATTGAATCTGCAGATTGCTTTGGGCAGTAAGGTCATTTTTAGAATACTAATTCTTCCAATCCATGAGCATGGAGTGTATATGTGTCATCTATGATTTCTTTAAGAAGTGTTTTGTAGTTCTCCTTGTAGAGATCTTTACTTCCTTGGTTAAGTATATTCTTAGATTATATATATGTGTGTGTGTGTATATATATATGTGTGTGTATATATATATACACACACTATGTATATGTGTGTGTATATATATATATTTGCAGCTGTTGTAAAAGTGATTAATTCTTGCTTTGATTCTCAGCTTAGTCCTTGTTGATGTATAGCACTGCTACCGGTTTGCATACATTGATTTTGTAATCTGAGACTTGACTGAATTGTCTTATCAAGTCTGGGGGTTTTTTGGAGGAGACTTTAGAGTTTTCCTAGGTATACAATCATATCACCAGTGAAGAGTGATAGTTTGACTTCCTCTTTTCCAACCTGGTTGTCCTTTATTTCTTTCTCTGGCCTAATTGCTCTGGCTAAGACTTTCAGAAATATATCGAATAGGACTGGTTATTGTGGGCATCCTTGTCGTCTTTCTCTTGTTAGGGGGAAAGCTTTTGAATTTTCCCCATTCAATACGATGTTGGCTATTGGTTTGTGATATATGGATTTTATTATTTTGAGGCAAGTCCCTTCTACACATAGTTTGTCTAGGGTTTTTATCATAAAGGAATGGTGAATTTTATCAAATGCTCTTTCTGCATCTATTGAGATAAATTATATGATATTTATTTTTATTTCAGTTAATGTGATATATCACATTCATTGACTTGGTATGTTAAATCATCCCTGCATTTCTGGGATGAAACCCACATAATCATGGTGTATTATCTTTTTGATCTTCTGTTGCATCCAATTAGCTACTATTTTGTTGAGAATTTTTACATCTATATTCATCAGGGATACTGGTATGTAGTTTTCTTTTTTCATTACATAATTTCCTGATTTTGGTGTAAGGGTGACACTGGCTTCACAGAATGATTTAAGGAGAATTTCTTCTTTCTCAGTCTTTTGGAATTGTTTCAGTAGGGTTTATACCAATCCTTATTTGAATATCTGGTAGAATTCAGCTGTGAATTTATCTGGCCCTGGTCTTTTTTTGTTGGTAATTTTTTAAATTACTGATTCAGTCTTGTTGCTTGTTATTAATGTGTTCAGGGTTTGTATTTTATCCTGATTTAATCTAGGATGGTTGTATTTTTTCTGGAATTTATCCATTTTCTCTAGGTTTTCTAGTTTGTGTGCATAGAGGTGCTTATAGTAGCCTTGCATGATCTTTTGTATTTCTGTGGTATTGATTGTAATGTCTCCAGTTTCACTTCTAATAGAGCTAATTTGAATCTTCTGTCTTCCTTTCTTGTTTAATCCAGTTAATGTTCTATCAAATTTGTTTATCTTTTCAAAGAACCATCCTTTCGTTTCACTGATCTTTTATATTTTTTTGTTTCCATTTTATTTAGTCCTGCTTTTATCTTTGTTTTTGTTTTTTTTTTCTTCTGCTAGCTTTGGGTTCAGTTTGTTCTTGTTTCTGTAGTTCCTTGAGGTGTGACATTAGGTTGTCTTTTTGTGATTTTTTTTATTTTTATTTTTATTCTCATTTATTTATTGAGTCAGAGACTCGCTCCGTTGCTCAGACTGGAGTGCAGTGGCACCATCTTGGCTCACTGCAATGTACGCCTCTTTGATTCAAGCAATTATCCTGCCTCAGCCTCCTGATTACCTGGGATTACAGGCACCTGCCACCTCACTGGACTAACTTTTGTATTTTGAGTAGATACAGGGTTTTACCACATTGGCCAGGCTTGTCTCAAACTCCCTGTCTCAAGGGATCCATCTGCCTCAATCTCCCGTAGTGCTGGGATTAACAGGGGAGAGTCACTGCACCCAGCCAATTTGTGATCTTTCAGACTTTTAATGTAGGAATGTAGTATTATAAGCTTTTCTGTTAGAGTTCCTTTTGCTGTATCCATGGGGTTTTGATAACTTGTATTATCTGACATATCATCGTTTATGTAATAACTGACGTATTATCGTTTATTTCAAAGAAGTTTAATTTCCATCTTGATTTCATTGTTAACCCAAAAATTATTCCAGAGCATATTGTCTAATTTTCATGTATTTGTATAATTTGGGGGATTCCTTATGGAGTTCATTTCTAGTTTTATTCCACTGTGGTCTGAGAAAATATTTGATATGATTTTGAGTTTCCAAATATTTATTGAGGCTTGTTTTCTGTCTTACTGTATTATCTATGTTGGAAAATGTTCCAAGTGCTGATGACAAGAATGTTATTCCGCAGTTCTTGGACAAAATGTTTTGTAAGATTCATGTGTATCTGTTAGGTTCATTTGTTCTAGAATGTAGTTTAAGTCCATTTTTTATTGCTTTTCTGGCTAGATAATCTGTCTAGTGCTGTCAGTGATGTTTTCAAGCCATCCACTATTATTGTGTTGCTGTCTATCTCATTTCTTAGGTCCAGTAGTAATTGTTTTATGAATCTAGGTGCTCCATTGTTTGGTGCATATAAATTTAATATCTTCTTGTTGGATTGATCCTTCTTTCATTATATAATAATCTTCTATGTCTTTCTTTTTTACTGCTGTTGCTTTAAAGTCTGATTTATTTGATATAAGAATAGCTACTTCTGCTGACTTTTGATTTCCATTTCCATGAAATATCTTTTTTCACCCCTTTACCTTGAGTTTTATGAATCCTTATGTATTATGTGAGTCATGTGAAGAAAGTTGATATTTGGTTTGTGATTCTTTATACATTCTGTTGATCAGTATCTCTTAAGTGAAGCATTTTGGACACTTACATTCAACATTAAAATTTAGATGTAAGGTATTTTCCCGCTCATCATTTGAATTGTTACTTGGATACTTTTCTTAAATTGTGTAATTCTTTTAGAGGCCCTTTGAGTTTTATGCTTTCAAATTCTGTTTTGGTGCATATCAAGCTTTTGTTTCAAGATTTAAAACCCTTTTCAGAATTTTTTGTAAGGCTGGTCTGGTAGCAACAAATTCCCTCATCATTTGTTTGTCTAAAAATGACTTTATTTCTCCTTCATTTATATAACTTAGTTTTACCAGATACAAAATTTCTGCCTGACAGTTATTCTGTGTAAGGAGCCTGAAGATAGGACTCTCATCCATTCTGGCTAGTAAGGTTTGTGCTGAGAAGTCTGCTGTTAGTCTTATAGGTTTTCCTTTATAGGTTACCTAATGCTTTTGACTTAGAGCTCTCAGAAGTCTTTTTTCATACAGACTTTATGTAGCCTGATGACTACATACCTTGGTGATGACCTTTTTGCAGTGAATCTCCGGGAATTGTTTGAGCTTCTCATATTTGAATATCTAAATTTATTGCGAGGCCAGGGAAGTTTTCCTCAATTATTCCCTGAAATATGCTTCCAAGACTTTTTTGTTTTCTCCCTCAGGAACACCAATTATTCTTAGGTTTGGCTCTTTTCCATAATCCCATAGATCTTGAAAACTTCATTTATTTTTATTCTTTTCCTTTATTTTTGTCTGTTTGGGTAAATTTAAAAGCCTAGTCTTTGAGCTTTGATTTTTTTTTTCTTCTACGTGTTCTAGTCTATTGTGGAAACTTTTCACTGCATTTTGTAATTTCTAAATTTGTCTTTCATTTCCAAAAGTTCTGATTGGTTTATCTTTAAGATATCTGTCACTTTATAAAATGTTTCCTTCATATCCTGAATTTTTTTTTTCATTTCTTAATGTAGGTTTTCACCTTTTTCAAGTATCTCTTTGAGTAGCTTTATAACCAACCTATTAAATTCTTTATTTTGTATTCCAAAGATTTCATCTCGGTTTGGATCAATTGCTGGAGTGCTAGTATAATCTTTTGGGGTGTTACAGAACCCTATTTTGTCATATTAACAAAATCGTCTTTCGGTTTGTTTTTCTCTCATTTGGGTAGAGTATTTCTTCTAATTATTCTTTTTGTTTTTTTTCCGGAGTTTTGCTCTGTCACCAGGCTAAAGTGCAGTGGCACGATGTCGGTTCACTGCAACCTCCGCCTCCTGGGTTCAAGCGATTCTCCTACCTCAGTCTCCCAAGTAGCTGGGATTATAGGTGCTCGCCACCACGCCCAGCTAATTTTTCTATTTTCAGCGGAGGCGGGGTTTCACCATGTTGGCCGGGATGGTTTCGATCTCCTGACCTCATGATCCACCCGCCTTGGCCTCCCAAAGTGCTGGGACTACAGGTGTGAGCCACTGCACCCGGCCTAATTATTCTTAAATTCATTTTTAATTTGACTTTTTTTTTTAAATTTCTTTCCCCCCTCCAAGTATGTGACTTTAATGTTTGTAGTTTACTGTGGCTTAATTTGGCTCTTTGTACTTTAATGGGTAAAAACTCTGTATGAATTCCTTGGTTATAGAGAGTCTTTGTATGATGGCTTTCTCTGATGCTAGTTGTAGTAGCAATGTGCCCAGTGTGTAAGCAAGTTCACAATCTCCTATAGAGTCGGAATGACAGAGGTCTCTTGAAGCTTATCTCATTCCACTCTGGTGTGTACTTTTTTGTTTATTTTTTCCTATGTATTTTAGTTACTGGGTTAAATAGTTCAGGCTTTAGTCCAGTGTGGGAGGTGTCCATGTTTAAAAACCAGCTGTGGCTAAATTGGGTGGGTAATTGCGATACCCGATGGTGGGCAGAGGTCCTATTCTTGACAAAGGTGGATGAGGGTGATCTCAGTGAAATTCACTGAGGTCTTAACAGAGAGAAGGACCATATCCACCTCAGCAGCTCTCTCAGGTCTACAGGAAAGCTATTCCCATTCCAGACACACCCTTGACCCAATGTTATGGCTATTTATATCAGACAGGTACCTCTTCTCATCTGCAAGAATGTTGATGTTCTACATAGAGAAGAATTGTGACTCTACCTCTTGTGCAAACCTGTGCCTGGAGGTGTTCCTCCTGTGGGGATGCAATCACCCTGAAGTGTTCCACAAAGGCTGTCTATAGGTGTATCCATACCAAGCTCCTGTGTTAACAGCCCTAGCTATATCTGCAGTAGTGGATGAGAGGCAAAAGAAGTCCCTTCTCCAAGATTCTTCACAAGTACCAGGACTCCCTGACTGTTGGGTTAGAGCTGCAGACTTTCTCTGCCGAGCCCTGCACTGCAAATGTTCTGCTGCTGAAAGAAACTTCCCAACAGTTGAAAGATCTGGGACTCAAGGCCTGCTGTCTGGGTTCTTTTGTCCCACGGGGTGTTCCCTTGATGTGGTGCACTTCCCCTCCCCTAGGAGGAGTGCTTGAGAGACAGACTATGGTGAATGCTGTAACTCCTCTGGGTCTAGCCACCCAGTGGAGCTCTCATACTCCAGGCTGGTGCTGCAGAATGTCTGCAAGGGAACCAGCAATGTGACCTGCCTCTCAGCAGTGGATCCCAGCACCAGCTCTGATGGGAGTGCAGGGAAATAACATAGACTCTGTGATATTCCTTGGTTATAAGTAGTCTTACTGTGTTGGCTTTCTCAAATGCAGGTTGTAGTAGTAAAAAGCTGGCCACATGGACAGACTCGCCCTCTTGGTTAGCCAGCGTGGTGCAGAAAATGGTGATAGCTGAGGTCATGCACAAGTTTTCTCCTTCCTGGGTGCAGTGCTATTCTGCCTGGAGATGCTGTAAGGGACTATGTTGGTTGGCTTCCAGTCAGGAGGTGGCACTTAGAAACAAGCACTAGCTATGCTAGTAGTGGTGGGATTTGTACTTGCCTTATGTTACTGAGGGAAGGTACTCAGGTTTCTTATGTGATAGGCGAGGCCATAAAGCTCTCAAAAGTGCCTATTCTTTGTGTTAAGCTACCAAGGTGAGTGGAGGGGCCAAGCAAGGTAGGGGCTGATTGGGGCAGGTTAACACTCCGGCTCTTGGTGTGTTAGGCAAGCAGCAGCCATTGTAAGAGTAAGAGGGTGGTTCCTTGGCCACTCGGATAATGTTCCAGAGAGGAGTGTAGCTGCCTCTGCTGCACAGAAGAGTTTGCAAAGCTAGCAGGGTGTAGCAGGCAGGGCAGCAGTAATCTCCACCCTGCTTCCAGGCACTTGGTAAGGCAGATTTCACACCAAAAGTTTTCTGCTGATAGCAGAAATTAAGGCCATCTTGTCAAAACTGCCTCCAACCATAAACTTTCCCCACAGAGATAGCAACTGAAGCTTTCAGGCCACGCCCCTCCCAGTCTGTCCACACAGCTAGGGAGCCCAGCTCCCTTGCTCATGGCTGCATCACACTTCCAACTTGCCCCCACCCCTGCCGCCCAATTCCGGCCCAGGGAGTTCTCCACTTGAGGGTATATCACAAAATTCATTTGGGAGCTTCTTTCAACCTGTGACCACTGGCTGGATTAGTTAAGAGACTTCCACAGGGTCCCCTGTGAGGCACAATATGGGATGGCTTCCTTAGTACACACTGGGTACTGGGAATGCATGCAAGGCACTTTCCACTGCCACTCCTACTTTTCTATTTCTCATTGCTCCCTAAATCAATTCCAGTGCTGTGTAGAGTTATGATCTTCCTGCATGCCCTGAATTTCTAGGTTCCCCAGTGGGAGTGTATACACTGCAGGCAGTGTCACTCTGGGGACTTACAGATTTTTACCTGGCTCAGGCTGCATGCTGCAGCCTGCTGCTGCTTTCAAAGGGTCTGTGGATTTCATTTTCCTCTTAAGTTCCTGAGTTGCTTTTTGGGAAAAAAAAATCGCAGTGTGAATCTCCATACACTATTTTTTCTTTCCAAGTGGTAGAGACGTGCTAACACTGCCTTTAATCTGCCATCTTGGGGAAGAAAAAAAGCTTTGGGGAAAAAAATGTGAATTTTAATAGAACAAATATATAATAGCTGAAGAGGGATACCAAGACTAATACCAGAAGTATTGGTTCCAAGAGACAAAAGTAAAGTTGAAGACATGTTTGTGAAGATTTCAGGTCAGAGTGCTTTGAGTGCTAGGAGCTTACACCTCACGTCTTTAAGCACAGTACAGGTGACTGATTTAAAAATTATGTCAAAGTCTACCATTTTGAAAACTCTAGTGTACTTTAAAACAATGTATTATAATAATTTAAGAAAACAACTTATAACCAAAGAGTGTATTTTTTAAATAAAGCACTTTAAACTTTGTCAGCAACTAAGTCTAATGACACAGACAACTGCTAGGATATCACAAAAGGATGGGATTATGACAGTAAATTTGATCCTAATCAAATTAAAAAGCACAGAAAATACAAATGACAAACACTGTAAAAATGTAAAAGGAATTAAACATAAGAAATTTATTTTGCCAGAGTGACTACTGACAGGCATATAATTGTCATTAGCTAATACAGAAAAAAAAAAATCAAAAATTTTATAAAGTGGCTGTCATAATATAATAAAATGATGTAAAGTAAAATTAAATAAAACCAATGTAGATTTATAAAAACAAGAACTTTAATTTTTAAAGGAACAAGGCTAATAGTTAAACACAGATTTAAATCTTTGTGCAAGGGTACGCAATCCAGTTTTTGTACCAGAAAACTGATTTATAATATTTCACTCTATAATGCATACCTTAAACTCAGCCTTAATGTATCTTACAGAAACAGCGGGAAGAGCCTTGGCCCTTAATTCTGTTCCTGCTCTTCCTGAAGTGACAAGAAAAAAAAATGTGTAAATGGAGAGTGTGAATAGGGTTCAATTAGTTGATGAACAAATACTTCAAAAAATTTTCTAAACAATTATTTTTTACCACATATTTTGCTTTAAAAATTGTTCCAGTCTATATCATAAATTAGTATCTCTTGGCAGAAACCTTATAAGCCAGAAGAGAGTGGGAGCCAATATTCAACATTCTTAAATAAAAGAATTTTCAACCCAAAATTTCATATCCAGCCAAACTAAGCTTCATAAGCAAAGGAGAAACAAAATCCTTTACAGACCAGCAAATGCTGAGAGATTTTGTAATCACCAGGCCTGCCTTACAAGAGCTCCTGAAGGAAGCACTAAATATGGAAAGGAAAAACTGGTACCAGCCACTGCAAAAAAAAAAAAAAAAAAAAATTGTAAAGACCATTGACACTATGAAGAAACTGCATCAACTAAAGGGCAAATTAACCAGCTATCATCATAATGAAAGGATCAAATTCACACATAACAAAACTAACCTTAAATGTAAACAGGCTAAATGCCCCAATGAAAGACGCAGACTGGCAAATTGGTTGAAGAGTCAAGACCCATTGGTGTGCTGGATTTGGTCGACCCATCTCATGTGCAAAGACACACATAGGCTCAAACTAAAGGGATGGAGGAATATTTACCAACTAATGGAAAGCAGGGGTTGCAGTCCTAGTCTCTGATAAGACAGACTTTAAACCAACAAAGATCAAAAGAGACAAATAAGGGCATTACATATTGGTAAAGGAATCAATGCAACAAGAAGAGCTAACTATCCTAAATGTATATGCACCTAATACAGGAACACCCAGATTCATAAAGCAAGTTCTTAAAGACCTACAAAGAGACTTAGCGTCCCACACAATAATAGTGGTAGACTTTAACACCCCACTGTCAATATTAGACAGATCAATGAGACAGAAAATTAACAAAGATATTCAGGACATGAACTCAGCTCTGGACCAAGCAGACCTAATAAACATCTACAGAACTCTTCACCCCAAATCAACAGAATATACATTCTTCTCAGCACCACATCACACTTATTCTAAAATTGACCACATAAGAAGTAAAACACTCCTCGGCAAATGCAAAAGAACAGAAATCATAACAAACAGTCTCTCAGACCACAGTGCAATCAAATTAGAACTCAGGATTAAGAAACTCACTCAAAACTCCACAGCTATATGGAAACTGAACAACCTGCTCCTGAATAACTGCTGGGTAAGTAACAAGATCAAAGCAGGAATAATTTCTTTGAAGCCAATGAGAACAAAGACACAACGTACCAGAATCTCTGGGACACAGCTAGAGCAGTGTGTAGAGGGAAACTTATAGCACTAAATGTCCACAGGAGAAAGCAGGAAAGATCTAAAATCGACATCCTAACATCGCAATTAAAAGAACTAGAGAAGCAAGAGCAAACAAATTCAAAACTTAACAGAAGACAAGACATAACTAAGATCAGAGCAGAACTGAAGGAGATAGAAACACAAAAAACCCTTCAAAAAAATCAGTGAATCCAGGAGCTGGTTTTTTGAAAGGATTAACAAAATAGATAGACCACTAGCCAGACTAATAAAGAAGAAAAGGGAGAAGAATCAAATAGACATAATAAAAAATGTTAAATGAGATACCACCACTGATCCCACAGAAATACAAACTACCATCAAAGAACACTATAAACACCTCTATGCAAATAAACTAGAAAATCTAGACAAAGTGGATAAATTCCTGGACACATAAACCCTCTCAAGACTAAGCCAGGAAGAAGTTGAATCCCTGAATAGAACAATAACAAGTTCTGAAATTGAGGAAGTAATTAATAGCCTACCAACCAAAAAAAGCTCAGGACCAGAACAGATTCACAGCTGAATTCTACCAGAGGTAAAAAGAGGAGCTGGTACCATTTCTTCTGAAACTATTCCAAACAATAGAAAAAGAGGGAATCCTTCCTAACTCATTTTATGAGGCCAGCAATATCTTGATACCAAAGCCCGGTAGAGACACAACAAAAAAGAAAATTTCAGGCCAATATCCCTGACAAACGTTGATATGAAAATCCTCAATAAAATACTGGCAAACCGAATCCAGCAGCACATCAAAAAGCTTATCAACCACGATCAAGTTGGCTTCATCCCTGGGATGCAAGGCTGGTTCAACATACGTGAATCAATAAACATAATCCATCACATAAATGGAACCAATGACAAAAAACATATGATTATCTCGATAGATGCAGTAAAGGCCTTCAATAAAATTCAACACCACTTCATGCTAAAAGCTTTCAATAAACTAGGTATTGATGGAACATATCTCAAAATAATAAGATGTTATTTGTGACAAACCTACAGCCAATATCATACTGAATGGGCAAAAACTGGAAGCATTCTCTTTGAAAACCCGCACAAGACAAGCATGTCCTCTCTCACCATTCCTATTCAACATAGTATTGGAAGTTCTTGTCAAGGCAATCGGGCAAGAGAAAGAAATAAAGGGTATTCAAATATAAAGAGAGGAAGTCAAATTGTCTATGTTTGCAGATGACATGATTGAATATTTAGAAAACCCCATCGTCTCAGCCCAAAATCTCCTTAAGCTGATAAGCAACTTCAGCAGTCTCAGGACACAAAATCAATGTGCAAAAATCACAAGCATTCCTATACACCAATAATAGACAAACAGAGAGCCAAATCATGAGTGAACTTCCATTCACAATTGCTACAAAGAGAATAAAATACCTAGGAGTACAACTTACAAGGGATGTGAAGGACATCTTCAAGAAGAACTACAAACCACTGCTTAAGGAAATAAGAAAGGACACAAACAAATGGAAAAACATTTCATGTTCATGGATAGGAAGACTCAATATTGTGAAAATGGCCATACTGACCAAAGTAATCTACAGATTCAATGCTATCTCCATCAAGCTACCATTGACTTTCTTCACAGAATTAGAAAACACTACTTTAAATTTCATATAGAACCAAAAAAGAGCTTGTACAGCCAAGAAAAACTAAGCAAAAAGAACAAAGCTGGAGGCATCATGCTACCTGACTTCAAACTGTACTACAAGGCTACAGTAACCAAAAACAGCATGGTACTGGTACCAAAACAGATGTATAGACCAATGGAACAGAATAGAGGCCTCAGAAATAATGTCACTTATCTACGACCATCTGATCTTTGACAAACCTGACAAAAACAAGCAACGGGGAAACAATTCCCTGTTTAATAAATGACATGGACAAAACTGGCTAGCCGTGTGCAGAAAACTGAAACGAGACTCCTTCCTTACGCCTTATACAAAAATTAACTCAAGATTGATTTAAGACCTAAATGTAAGACCTAAAACTATAAAAACCCTAGAAGAAAACCTAGGCAATACCATTCAGGACATAGGCATGGGCATAGACTTTATGACTAAAATACAAAAGCAATGGCAACAAAAGCCAAAATTAACAAATGGAATTTAATTAAAGAGCTTCTGCACAGCAAAAGAAACTATCATCAGAGTGAACAGGAAACCTACAGAATGGGAGAAAATTTTTGCAATGTATTCATCTGACAAAGGGCTAATATCCAGAATCTACAAAGAACTTAAACAGATTTACAAGAAAAAAAAGAAACAACCCTATCAAAAAGCAGGTGAAGGATATGAACAGACATGTCTCAAAAGAAGACATTTATGTGGCCAAAAAACATATGAAAAAATGCTCATCTTCACCGGTCGTTAGAGAAATGCAAATCAAAAGCACAGTGAGATACCATTTCACGCCAGTTAGAATGATGATCATTAAAAAGTCAGGAAACAAAGATGCTGGAGAGGATGTAGAGAAATGGAAATGCTTTTACATGTTGGTGGGAGTGTAAATTAGTCCAACCATTGTGGGAGATAGTGTGGCAATTCCTCAAGGATCTAGAACCAGAAATACCATTTGACCCAGCAATCCCATTACTGGGTATATACTCAAAGGATTATAAACCATTCCACTAAAAGACACTGCACATGCATGTTTATTGCAGCAGTGTTCACAATAGCAGAGACTTGGAACCAACCCAAATGCCCATCAATGATAGACTGGATAAAGAAAATGTGACACATATACACAGTAGAATACTATGCAGTCATAAAAAATGATGAGTTCATGTCCTTTGCAGGGAAATGGATGAAGCTAGAAACCGTCATTCTCAGCAAACTAACACAGGAACAGAAAACCAAACACCACATGTTCTCACTCATAAGTGGGAGTTAGACAATGAGAACACATGGACAGTGGTAGTGGAACACCACACACTGGTGCCTGTTGGGGGGGTGGGGGACTAGGGGAGGGATAGCATTAGGAGAAATACCTAATGTAGATGATAGGTTGGTGGGTGCAGCAAACCACCATGGCACGTGTATACCTATGTAACAAATCTGTACATTCTGCACATGTATCCCTAAACTTAACATTTAATAATAATAAAAACAGAAACTGCCAGAGAGCTAACTAAATTTTTCCTCCCTGTGAAGATACAAGGAGAAGTTAGCTGCCTGTAACCTAAAAGAGGGCCTTCATCAGAACTCAATTATGTTTGCACCCTGATCTCAGACATCCCAGCTTTCAAAACTATGAGAAATACGTGTTTGTTTTTCAAGCCATCCAGTCTATGGTAATTTGTTATAGCAGCCTGAACTGACCAAGACAAGAGTTCAGTGGAAAACTTAAGCAGGCAGAACACAGAATCATCAAACTTTAAGATAGGCCAACTGAACATTTCAGTCTGATAAGTAGAAAAAGAAATATATGAAGAAAAATAAACAAAACTTAAGCACCTGTGATATACCATCAAGTGAACTAACACACAAATTCTAGGAATTCCAGAAGAAGAATAGAGAGAGGACAGGGAAATAATATTTGAAAAACGGAATGCTGAAGTGGGTACTAAAAGTTGAAGGAAAAGGATGATAAACAGCAAACACAAAAAATAATCAAATAAAAATGTGTATTGTTGGTCTGAGGGATTTTCCCACAACAGTTCACTAAATATATTATCTCATTCGCTTGTATCCTGAAAGAATTCTTGTAAGAAATCTGCTGATACTCTACAAGAAGCCTTTTTTTTTTTTTTTTTTTTTTTTTTTTTTTTGAGACGGAGTCTCGCTTCAGCCAGGCTGGAGTGCAGTGGCGTGATCTCGGCTCACTGCAAGCTCCGCCTTCCGGGTTCATGCCATTCTCCTGCCTCAGCCTCCCGAGTAGCTGGGACTACAGGTGCCCGCCACCACGCCCAGCTAATTTTTTTTTTGGTTTTTTTTAGTAGAGACGGGGTTTCACCATGATAGCCAGGATGGTCTCGATCTCCTGACCTCGTGATCTGCCCGCCTCGGCCTCCCAAAGTGCTGGGATTACAGGCGTGAGCCACCACACCTGGCAAGAAGCTTCTTATACTTCATAGGTAGCTTTTCTGTTGCTGCTTTTAAGATTCTGTTTGTCTGTGACTTTCGACAGTTTGACAACAAAATGTCTTGATGTGGATCTCATTAGATTTATCCTATTTGGAATTTTTTGAGATTCTTAAATTTTTAGGTTCATTACTTTCCTCAGATTGGAAAAATTTGGGGATGTAATTTATTCAAATAAATTCTCTGCACCTTTTTTTTTCTTCTCCTCTAATACTCTCATAATGCATGTGTTGTTCTGATCAATGGTGTTCCATCATTCCTTTAGTTCTTCACATGTTTTTTTCTTTTTCTTCTCTGCCACAGTAATTTTCAAAGTTTTTTCTTTGGTTTCACTGATTCTTATATTTGGTCAAGTCTTTTGTTAAGCCTCTAGTGGATTTTTCAATTCAGTTATTTTATTTTTGATTCCAGAGTTTCTGTTTGGTTCTTTGTAGTTACCATATCTTTGTTGATATTCTCATTTTGTTTATTGGTTATTTTTCTAATTTCATTTAGTTGTCTATATGTGCTCTCTTGTAATTTATTGAGCATACTTGACAGTAATTTTGAACTTGTCATATGGCAATTTCTGTATCTTCATTTCTTTCAGGTCATTTTCTGAAGATTTAATTTACTCCTTTGAATTTGTTGGGGGGGTCTCTCTTTATATGCCTTGTTATTTTTTCATGAAAAAAGTCTGCATTTGATAAATCCAACAACTTTTCAGACTTTGTAGTCCAGTTTTCCATAGGGAGAACTTTTTCCATTCTACATGGCTAGAGAGATTCTGGAGCCCTCTCAGGTTTGTCTGGGTATGCATTCCTCTCTCTGTGCTTTGGCTCATACATAATCTTCTATTTGAAAAGGTTTGCTGGTTTCTATTCAAGACCCTCTCTCTGGCCGGGAGAGGTGGCTCACTCCTGTAATCCCAGCACTTCTGGAGGTCGAGGGTGGCAGATCACCTGAGGTTAGGAGTTCAAGACCAGCCTGGCCAATATGGTGAAAGCCCGTCTCTACTAAAAAAACACACACAAAAATTAGCCAGGCGTGGTGGCAGACGCCTGTAGTCCCAGCTACTCGGGAGGCTGAGGCAGGAGAATGGCGTGAACCCGGGAGGCGGAGCTTGCAATGAGCCGAGATCGCGCCACTGCACTCCAGCCTGGGTGACAGAGCGAGACTCCGTCTTAAAAAAACAAAAACAAAAACCAAAAAACAAAACAAAAAAAACCTTCTCTCATCTCTCTGATGTCTGTGATACTGTGACCTCTTTAGTGTCACAGTAAATTATGGTACTGGCTTTGCACCTAGTCTTTCTGTGGTAGTGCAGATTCTGATGCACATTTATTGTCTTTGTTCTGAGAGATACTCATCGTGCTTCTTCATTTCTATCAGTACTTGAATATAGGCAAGACAGAGACTAGGCCTCTGGCAGTCACCCTAAAGGTGAAAACATTGGACATAGGAAATTTAGATGCTTCATCCCCACTGCATGGAACAGTGTGAGATGGGAGGGTCTCTAGTGAGACAGAATAATGAGAATCATGATGTTTCTTTCCATGTTGTATTTATGCTTATTGGTGCAGAAACCTTGTAATTGGTTTCTGGAGTTCCCACAAAGGCATTTAGTTTATTTGTTGTTAAATCTGTCTTATGGGAGAATGAGGGTCCCAGGCTTATTATTCTGTCATTTGGCTGAAATCACTCCCTCCCACATTTTTTCCTTTTTTTTTTTTTCATAAGTTCTTTTTTTTAACGTTTATACTAAGTTTGTGTGTACATGCACGGCTTACCTTCACGGGTAAATTGCATGTTCCGGGGGTTTGATCTACAAATGATTTCATTACCCAGGTAGTGAGCACAGTACTCCATAGGTGGTAGCTTTTAACCCTCACTTTCCTCCCAACTTCCAGCCTCAAGTAGGCCCTGGTGACTATGGTTTCCCTCTTTGCATCCATGTGTACTTAATGTTTAGGACCACTTGTAAGTGAGGGCATGCAGCATTTGTTTTTCTGTTGCTGCATTAATTTGCTTAGGATAATGACCTCCAGTTCAATCCACATTGCTGCAAATAAAATTGTTTTATTTATTATGGCTACATAGTATTTCATAGTATGTCTGTACCATATTTTCTTTATCCAGTCCACCCTTGATGGACTTCTAGGTCCTATATATTTGCTATTGTGAATATAGCTGCAATGAACATACAAATACATACATCATTTGAGTAGAATAATTCATATTTCTCTGGGTATATATCCAATCATGGGATTGCTGAGTCAAATGCTAGTTCTGTTTTAAGTTGTTTGAGAAATCTCTAAACCGTATTCCACAGTGGAAGAACTAATTTACATACTCACCAGCAGTGTATAAGTGTTCCCTTTTCTCGACAACGTAGCGAGCATCCATTTTATCATCGCATGGGTTAGGAAGGAGTCCCTGCTCCTCAATTTTTTGGAATAATTTTAGTAGGATTGGTACCTGCTCTTTTTTATACATTCAATAGAAGTTGACTGTGAATCTCTCTGGTCCAGTTTTTATTTTAGATTGCAGGATTTTTATTAATAATTTAATATTTGCCATGTTATTGGTCTATTTAGGATTTCTCCTGGTTCAATGTTGGGAGGTTGTGTATTTCCAGGAATCCATCCTTTTTTTTTTTTTTTTTTTTTGATTTTCTAGTTTGTGTGAAAAGAGGTGCTCATAATAGTCTCTGAGGCTTTTTTGTTCTTCTCTGGGGTTGGTGTCATTTGTCATTTCCTATTGTGTTTATTTGGATCTTCCCTCTTAGCTTTTTTTATTAATCTAGCTAGTTGCCTATCAGTCTTATTTAATATTTCAGGGCCAGGCGTGGTGGCTCATACCTGTAATCCCAGTACTTTGGGAGGCCGAGGCAGGTGGATCATGAGGTCAGAAGTTCGAGACCAGCCTGCCCAATAAGGTGAAACCCCGTCTCTACTAAAAATACAAAAACTAGACGGGCGTGGTGGCACATGCCTATAATCCCAGCTACTCAGGAGGCTGAGGCAGGAGAATTGCTTGAACCCAGGAGGTGGAGGTTCAGGAGCTGAGATCGTGCCATTGCACTCCAGCCTGGGCAACACAGCGAGACCCCATCTCAAAAAAAAAAAAAAAAGGATTTCAATTTATTTCTGGTTTAATGTTGGGAGGTTGTATATTTCCAGGAATCCATCTGTTTTGTTTTTTTTTTTTTTTTTTTGGTTTTCTAGTTTGTATGAAAAGAGGTGCCCATAATAGTCTCTGAAATGATTATGATTGAACAATTTTCATTACTATTCTCTGACACAAAGACTGTATGTACTTCTGTATGTACAAGCTGTCAGAATTGACTCCTCTCAGATGAGAAGATAGGTTATTCATGGTCTTGTAGGTCATTGGAAAGGCTTGATATTGCTATAAGGCACATGGGAAGACACTGAGTGGTAGCATGATCTATTTATTTTTAAATTATTTTGAAAGGATTTCTTTAGCTACTGTTTTGAGAAGATGCCATTGGGCAGACTTGTGCAGAACTAGAAAGATGTATCAAGAGGCTATTGCAGTAATTGAGGCAAGACGTGGTGGTGCAAACCACTGGGAATATGGAAGGTGATAAGAAAGGGTCTCTTAATTTAGAAAGGTGGAATAGCAAAGATTGGTAACTAAAGAACAGAACTTTATTTCTCACATTTCTGAAGGCTGGGAAGTCTGAGATCAGGGTGCCAGCATAACTGAATTCTGATGAGGGCCTCTTTCTGGTTTGCAGATGGCTGTCTTCTCACTGTGTCCTCATATGGCATAGAGAGAGGGCGAGAATCTCTCATTTCTCTTATTATTAGGGTGTTCTACTCTTGTGACCAAGTACCCCTAAAATGCTCCATCTCCAATTATCACCACACTGGAAATTTGGGTTTCAGCATAAAAATTTGGGGGGAACACAAACCTGAAGTTCAGAAGTGGGTAATAGTTTAATAGTAGGGCTAAAGGAATAGGGTAAGGATGTAGATGTGAGCTTTAAGAGAAAGGATGAATCAATACATTTTGTTAAAATAAAATTGGAAATGAAAACATCTATAACCACTACATCTCACATTGATACAGTCACTTCTGTTGGTCATAAAATTCCTCTTTGCCTCCACAAAGTTCAATATTTTAGCTGGCTCCTGGAAATGCTACCTTTGCGAATGTACCACCACCCCCCTCCCAGTTAGCCTATGCTATTCACATGGAAATAAAAAATAGCTCACCATTGTGGCCATCTGAGAACAGTGTCTAGCTTCCTATAAATCAGTTAATGATATTAATTTAAAAATAACAACCCTGATTATACTCCTCTAACAATCGAATATTGTCACCAAGTTAGAAAATCATGCTTTACTAGTGTAATGATAATACTGTTATAGGATATTAGACATTTGTCAGATGGGTAGATTGCAAAAATGTACAAGAAAAAATAACCCATCAGAAAGTGAGCAAAGAATATGAAAGACACTTCTCAAAAGAAAACATTTATATGGCCAAGAAACATGATAAAAAGCTCAACATCACTGATCATTAGAGAAATGCATATCAAAACCACAATGAGATACCATTTCATGCCAGTCAGAATGGCGATTATTAAAAAGTCAAGAAACAAAAGATGTGAGGCTGTGGGGAAATAGGAACGCTTTTACACTGTTGATAGGAAAGTAAATTACTTCAATCATTGTGGGAGACAGTATGACAATTCCTCAAGGATCTAGAATCAGAAATACCATTTGACCCAGCAATCCCATTACTGAGTATATACCCAAAGTATTATAAATCATTCTACTCTAAAGACACATGCACAAGTATGTTTATTACAACACTATTTACAATGGGAAAGTCATGGAACCGACCCAAATGCCCATCAATGTTAGACTGGATAAAGAAAATGTGGTACATATACATCATGGAATACTACAGAGCCATAAAAAGGAATGAGATCATGTCCTTTGCAGGGACATGAATGAAGCTGGAAGCCATCATCCTCAGCAAACTAACACAGGAACAGAAAACCAAACACCGCATATTCTCACTCGTAAGTGGGAGGTGAGCAGTGAGAACACATAGACACAGTGAGGGGAACAACACATACCAGGGCCTATTGGGAGTTGGGGGGCGAGGGGAGAGAACTGAGAGGATGGGTCAATAGGTGCAGCAAACCACCATGGAACACATATACCTATGTAACAAACCTGCATTTTCTGCACATGTATCCTGGAACTTAAAGTAAAATAAAAAATAAATAATAAAAATAAAAACAAGAAAAGAAAATGTGGCATATATACACCTTGGAATACTACTCAGCCATAAAAAGGAATGACATAATGTCTTTTGCAGCAACTTGGATGGAACTGGAGACCATTATTCTAAATGAAGTAACTCAGGAATGGGAAACCAAATATTGTATGTTCTCAGTTATAAGAGGGAGCTAAGCAATGAGGATGCAAAGGCATAACAGTAGTATAATGGACTCTGGGGACTCGGGGGAATGGTTGGGAGGGGAATGAGGGTGACACTACATATGGGGTACAGTGTACACTCCTTGGGTGACAAGTGTACTAAAATCTCAGAAATCACCACTAAAGAACCTCTCCATGTAACCAAAACCACCTGTACCCCCAAAACTCATGAACTAAAAAAAATCACTAAAAAAAAAGTTATAGGGCTGACAAGTTCCAACTTGTACAGGAAAAAAGATGAGTATGCTTTTTAAGATAAAAATAATGTTTGTAAGTAAAGAAAAAAACTATTTTAATTCCACGTACCTATAAACATTATATAGTTCTTTAATTAATCAATTTTCTCTTTTCTTTCTGCTGTTTTTCAGATCTTCTTGACACTCCTGTCATTCAGCTATGTTGCTAAAGCACTAGCTGGAATTTTTATGAAAATATCAACCACTCAAATAGAAAGGAGATTTGAGATATCCTCTTCTCTTGTTGGTTTAATTGATGGAAGCTTCGAAATAGGTAGCTTTTTATTTTCTATTTTAATAACCATACTTGCATATGTTAAAAAAAAACTGTTTTTAACACTTGGCTCTCAGCCAGGTGTAAATTTGTCCCTCATGAGCAATTTGGCAATATCTGAAGGCATTTTTAGTTGCCATAAATAAGCTGAGGAAGGGAGGATGCTACTGGTACCCAGGGGTAGAGGCCAGGGATGCTGTTAAACATTGTGCAATGCACTGGACAGACTTACCAACAAAGAACAATCCTTCCCAAAATGTCTATAGTGATGATGTTGAAAAACTCTAATCCTACACAAACTCATTGTTTGCAAATTAATGCCTTGTGAAGCTTTACCTCCCTTGCCTCAAGGTGCCCCTGTGTGAAGAAAGGCTGAGGGAGGACTATAATTCTTATGGTTTTAGGAGGGAGGGACTGTATAGGAGCAACCTACACTAGATTCTAGTGTTTAACGGGGTACACAATTGAGGGGTTAAAGTCTTTTTGGGGGAACGTTGAAGATATTGCTTTGTTGCCTTCATTTTAATTTGTATTTCTGCAACAATAGTGAAGTTTTAAATAATAATTGAAATTTTTTTCTTATGTATTGCTAGCTCACAGTCTCTGCTAAATTTACCTCTTCTTTTCACTTTCTAATTATTTAGAGGGACCTCCCAATTGTCTGTTACATAAACTGCAAATATTTTATACGATTTTTGTTTCTAATGTAACTGTATTTACAATATGCTTAACTAAATAATATTTTAAAAGTAATTGTCAAAGGAAGACATCTCTTTAAATCAGTTCAAAATATTTGTGATTCAAAGATATTACACTTTACATGTCCTTCACTCTTTCACCTCTCAGGCTCAATGAAATCATCAAGGATTTTAGAATTAGAATGTTATTAGTTTTAAAGTTTAATTCACTGAATGTCTCCTTTTGTTAATAAATTGATCCTTCATATTTTTGTTAAACTTTGCACCTGTTTAACAGCACTTATTTGAACATCATTATCAGTTTTGTTTCTTTGCTTACCTCTGTTTCTTGAATCTTGTGACTTCAAATCTCATCTTTAGTCTTTCTGGAATATAGCTTCATGTGTAGATGACCTTCTCTATACACAGTTCCCACATCCATGGATTCAGCCAACCGTGGATGCAAGATATATTCAAAAAATATAAAAATTAAAAAGTAGCAATACAATTGTAAAAATAATACAAATAAAAGCAACACAGAATAACAACTATTTACATAGTATTTACATTATATTAAGTATTAGACGTTATCTAGATTTGATATAAAGTATACAAGAGGGTATGGATAGGGGATAGGTTATATGCAGTATTACACCTTTTTACTTAAGGAACTTGAACATCCACAAATCTTGGTATCTACAGAGCATCCTAGAAGCAATACCCCATGGACACTAAGGGATGACTGTAATTATTTTTTTAGGAAGAATTTAAAATGTGGCATATTATCTTGGAAAATGTGCTTATTTGACTACCATATTTAAGTGATAAATTGTCTGGATATGGAATTAAACATTCAAAATCTCTTTTTCTTAAAACGTTTAAATTATTTATCTACTGTTTTATAACATTCAGTGTTGTATATAAGAAATTAATGCCATTGTAATTTTTATGCACTGATATGAATCTCTTATCTCTAAATCTCTGAAAATATACCAGCATATATCTGAGACTGTCTCTGTCTGTATTAATTCTGCTGGACAAAAGCAGAAACTTTCATCTTAAGTCTTCCTCTAACACAGGGAATTTCTTCTCTTTTTCTTTTTTCTTTCTTTTTTTTTTTTGAGACAGAGTCTCGCTCTGTCGCCCAGGCTGGAGTGCAGTGGCGCGATCTCGGCTGACTGCAAGCTCGCCTTCCTGGTTCATGCCATTCTCCTGCCTCAGCCTCCCGAGTAGCTGGGACTACAGGCGCCCGTCACCACGCACGGCTAATTTTATTGTTGTTGTTGTATTTTTAGTAGAGACGGGGTTTCACCGTGGTCTCGACCTCCTGACCTCGTGATCCACCCGCCTTGGCCTCCCAATGTTTTCTTTCTTTTCTTTTTTTTGCGGGGGGAGGAGGGGAAACAGTTTTTCGCTCTTGCTACCCAGGCTGCAGTGCAATGGCGTGATCTCAGCTCACTACAACCTCCGCCTCCCGGGTTCAAGAGATTCTCCTGCCTCAGTCTCCCAAGTAGCTGGAATTACAGGCATGTGCCAGCATGCCTGGTTAATTTTGTATTTTTAGTAGAGACGGGGTTTCACCATGTTGTCCAGGATGCTCTCGAACTCCTGACCTCAGATTATCCACCCGCCTTGGCCTCCCAAAGTGCTGGGATTATAGGCGTTAGCCATCTCACCAGACCAGCGAGTTTATTTTCTGTTTTCTATTTGTTTTTTTCTATTTTATTCTGTAACATATATGATATAAATAATATATTTTCTGGGTATTTTTGCTTTTAAATTTTTTTCTTCTAAATTTCTACCTATTTTCCCTATGTTTCATCAATCTTCTCTGATGCCATCTTATTATATCAAGTTCTAATTTGTAAATTTTTAATAATATTTTAAATTTATAACAATACTTTATCATTCTTTTGTTACTTTTAGTCTGCCATTCTGATTTTATGGATGCTACATGCCCTTGTACCTCTAAATATGCTAACAGAATTTTTAAAAAAATGTTTTTACTGTTTTTAGTTTAATCTTGTTTAAGTACTTATGCTTATGTTGCTTTATCTGCTGGTCTGTTTTGATGCTCTTCTTTCATGCTACTATTTTCAATCAATGTTCAATAATTATTGATTGTTGTCTGTTAATTGTTATATATCAGGCTACAGATAAATCTGAATTGGTCTGCTCTGATTGCTCTTCTTCCACGTTTTAATCTAAATAATTTATACTCAACATTAAATCTCAAATGACGTCTCCTCCAGGAGATTTTCACAAAGCCCCTAATTTAAGCTATTTCCGTAACCTAATAGTACCTCTATTTATCTGTTTTATTTTATTACTAATGTGTTTCTAGAGAACAGGTACCATGGTTTATTCTTTTTTTATATTTCTGACTCTGAGCACCATGGTAGGTATATAGTATAAATTTAAAGAATGCTGGAAATAAATTTTAATAATGCCTGAATGATGATAAAAAGATTTCTCAGATTAGGAAGACATTTTTCCATCCCAACGCAATGCAGTAATCTCCAAACTTTCAAGAACATTTTGCTTCTCTCATATTGCCAAATTACCTAAGTGTTTTGTTTGCATATAAAACCTATTCTACTTATCATTAGTACTATACCAATTTCAATTAGTGGTTTAATGCAGGAGAGCTCATCTTCACAATTAAATTACATTGTCTTTGAGGGAAGGTATGATGTCTTGGGCTTTATTTGCAGTCATTCTGGGGCATTCAGTTCTATCAGATACAAAATTGAACTAAGTCATGTCAACATAATTTTGTTCTCTTTCTAGGAAATTTGTTTGTGATTGTATTTGTAAGTTACTTTGGATCTAAACTACACAGACCGAAGTTAATTGGAATTGGTTGTTTTCTTATGGGAACTGGAAGTATTTTGATGGCTTTACCACATTTCTTCATGGGATAGTAAGTGTTAAACAGCACTGAGCCATTCATTATCAGCAACTTGTAAATTAGCAGTAGAATTTTATTTTTATCCTTTAAATAGTTATCTTTTGAGAATATTCACCAAGTATGTCTAGAAATGGAGTATATTTCTTTTATATGATAGTATATTGCTTTATTCATCATGGCTTTCATAGACTTTGAAATAAGAATAATATTACATAAGGTGTAAAGTTTCAAATGAAATAAATAAGCTATTTATTACATGAAGTATAACACGTGTACTTCATGTCTTTGCCTGTAAGATTTTAATAATAGTAAGACTTCACAGCTTCATCCACTGCATATAAGTTTGCCCAACAGCATTACACCAAAGTTGTTCTTTCTAAGGTAACTGCATAGTTATGATTAGAGGAAGGTGTTCATAAGAGAAAACTGGAAATAGCTAAAACTTAAATAAGACAGAGCTTATTTTTTACATAAAAGTTAATGTAGTTAGTCCAAGGATGATATGGTTCTATTCTTTTCATCATAGTGCTATGCCTTGCATGGCCTTGGCCTCGTGGTACAAATTGTGGCAATGTATTTTCTGGCAGCAGGATAGAAGAAGGGAAGAAGAACAAGGAGAAGAACCAAAAATGCACACAGACTGAGGCTTAAGGAGCATTTTCAGAAGCAAAATGTTTCCACTGGCTTCACATTTACCAGAAATTGGTTACATTTTACACATAGATATATAGATACTGGGGGGGAAAGGCTTTATTCCAGGACGCGGTTACCAGCTAAAAACCCCAACTTCTTTTACTATGGAAGGAGAGAAAAAAGGATACCGAGAGACAATGAGCAGTCCCTGTTAGAGATGCCAATTACTTACTCATTGCCATATCCAGCAATCATGCCTTTTGGTCATCATATTAATTCTGTTCTTTTCCTACATTTGACCCTTATAAGAACTTTCTTCTTAATGGTACTGCTCTAATACTCATCATAGTCCATATCTTGATTCATTTTTCTACCTTTGTGGCCTCTTCATCATGCCCGTCCTTTTTCTCTACTTCTGACACCATAATTTCAGTGTCCCATAATTCCTTCTAATCTTCTTACTATCTTATTCTTCATGATTTTTAAGGAGAACATGCTTAGATGCAACCACCACAGCTTCATCTTGCATTGCTCCCCACATTTGAGGACCACATTCCAGGCTTACAGTTCTCTAAATGTGCCAGAGTATGTCATCTCTTTGCACCTGTTGTTTCTACAGCCTTGAATACTTTTCTTCCTTTGTCTACCAGTTAAACTTCTATCCATCTTCAATATTCATTTTATCTGTCACTCACATTGCGAAGTCTTCTTTGATCTACCCACCACCTCCAAGCAAAGCTGATCATCTCTTCTGTGTGTGTATGTGACAACTTGGGACCTTGCATATTAAACTTATTGTGTCTTTGATCATATGCTTTTATCTCAGAGAGTGTGAAATCTCTAAAGTACAAAAATTGAGCTTTACTTCTAGCTCATTGAAGCTGAACATATCTGGCACACTATGAGCTGCCCTCAGAGCTCACAGAGCTCCTTAGTACTTTTGGATATCAGCATCTGTCTCTAATTCAGCACCATCTCTTTGGTCCTTATTAAGTTCTTCCTCATAAAGTTAAAATAGGTTAGAAATTTTTAATTGAGTTTTGAAGAGTCAAGCATTAGTGTGTGTGTGTTCATGAAAGAAAATCAGACAGACTTACTATCTTTGGCGATAACTCAAAGGGATAAATAGATACAGTTAACAGACTAAAAAAAAAACAGGTGAAACAGGATATTTTACATCTTGACCAGAATATAAGCACTCCTAGGATTATAGAAAAGTGATAACCCACTTTATCCATGGTGTGTTGAATTATCTGTCTTAGTAGATGCTCCCATTCCCGCCCCACCCCCACCCCCTCTTATCACCTCCTCTTCTGACATACATCCTGGGAAATTGACAAAGAGAAGTCCGGTAATTCAAAGACAGTGTCAATAAAGGGGAAAATTTTTCTGCATTTTTGGGAAAGGTGAAAATATTCAGCAGATAAGCAAAATGTTCAATCCAGTGTTACTCTTATAGTTACAGGTATTCTAAAGAAACCAATATTGATCCATCAGAAAATTCAACATCAAACTTACCAAACTGTTTAATTAATCAAATGTTATCACTCAATAGAACACCGTCTGAGATAATAGAAAGAGGTAAGAATTAATACTGACAGTTAAAAAGTATAAAATTTGTATATCTAATTACATCTATAAAATGTGATTTTTTAGCAAAATTCATTTAAGAACAGATAGGAAAAATATTTAACCGTTACATACAGACAAAATCATACTGTTAATATACACAGTTGACCCATGAACAACGTAGATTGTAGTTGCATCTGTTCACTTATATATGGCTTTTGTCCAACCAAACAGAAGGAGAAACCCACCCATATGGAGATCTTACTTCTATAGGTAGTTTCCACGGGGGCAACCAGAGGAATTAAGTATGCATGAATTTGGGTACACATGAGTTGTCCTGGAACAAACATCCTACTATATATGTCAAGGGATGACTGTAATATATATGAAGGATATATTTAGGTAGATGAGAAAAGAGAAAAAATTTAATCGGTAACTGGCAAAAAACGTACACATTTAAAATTTAAAAAGCAGGAAGTGGCAGAAATATGTGAATAGTGTAACTTTGCTCTTCATAAAAAATGCAAAATATTATAGCATTTGAAGATTTTGTGCCTATTATAACACAAATAATAAATTATAATTATAACCCAAAAGTTTAATGAAAAGAAATGGAAAGGAGGAAATATAAGATTTCACATTTTATATACTTCTGGAAGTGTGTAAATTTGTAACTTTTTCTGGAGATTAATTTTTAATATATATTAAAGAACAAAAATATACTTGCCTACTTTAGTGATAAATCTTAAGAAAATAATCAGGAATGTGCACAAGGACTTATTTACAATTATAGCCATGACATCTGTGTTTAACAGAATAAAAAATGGAAATATTTTGTAACTAAAAAAGAAGAGATTGTTTAAACAAATGAGGGAATTGTTACTCAACCCACTACTGTACAGTCATTAACATTTTCACATAGAAGAAATCTTAACAACATGGGGAAATTGTGATAATATAGCGATAACTATGTATGCAGCTTAAAAATAACCTAGATATTTAATTATATATTGTACATAATGAATATTATGCATATTTTGTGCACCAAAAATGTAGAAGATCTAGAGTAACATTTGCAATGATCTTCGGTGTGTAGTGTGATTATAGATATTTTTTACTTGTTTTCTTTGTGCCCTTCCTTATTTTCAAACTTTGCAAAGTGAATATGAATCACTTGTAATTAGAAAAAAATAGAATAGCAAAGGGCTTAAAGTAGTTAAATTTCTAATAAGAATGTTAAAAATAATGTTTAAAATAAAACACTCTCTTGTCTCGATAGGTTGTGTGAAGGAATCTGGGTCACACATGTGGATCTATGTCTTCATGGGTAATATGCTTCGTGGCATAGGGGAAACCCCCATAGTACCATTGGGGATTTCTTACATTGATGATTTTGCAAAAGAAGGACATTCTTCCTTGTATTTAGGTAATAAACAGAAAATATTAAATTGCATGGTTAATCCTTAGGTCTACCTTTGGAATAATAGTATCATTAACTGTATTCTTTATTAGAATAAATATTTGGAGAAATGTATTGTGTAATATTACTTTTAAAAACATGTTGAATAAAAACCAAGTATTTGCGGTATCTGATTAAATTGTTTTGTAATACCGACAGGTACTGTGAATGTAATGGGAATGACTGGTCTAGTTTTTGCCTTTATGCTGGGATCTCTGTTTGCTAAAATGTATGTGGATATCGGATATGTGGATCTGAGTAAGTACAATCGGAACGAGGTACCATGATAGTGCTTTTTAAGTGCAGGACACCATTCTTCCAAATAATTAAATTTACTTTTTCAATAGTACTTTGCTTACTACTTTCCAAAAGTTACAGGTAGGAAATAAATGCGTTAATAATCAGAATAAAAATGAAATTCAGCTCCTTTTTATACTTTGCTTATAAAACTACATGTAAATGGAGATTTTTAACAAACTTATTTTAGATTACTTAAAATGTCCCTCTCTGAAAACTGACTGCCAAGTCCAGTACATTTTATTTTTCAGTTGATGATGACTTGGTTGATGTGTAGAACTCAGAGTTTGCTTTGCTAACATCTCCTTGTGGCTGCTTTATTGGCTTATGGCGTGGGTGGTTTAAGAGACAACAGAATGCACTTTGGTTATGATCATTTTTCCTGGCTTTCACTGATGGCTTGGCCTACGGCAACATTTAATGAGTGCTTGTAGAACAAATGAATGAAGGAGAGGACACGTAAATAAAATTTATGACTTTTGTCTTCACTCTCGGAGCATGCTTTATTTCTCCTCTCATAGAAGAATGAGAGCCCATGTTGTAATATCTGCCTTGACTTCATGCCCTCCTTCCTACAGATGTACCTGTACTATATCAATATTTATCTTGTTTTACCCATACTTATGAAAAAGTATCTATCTTTAGCTAATATTAATCAATCCAACTGGGGTTTAGATTTCATCTTTCTGCCTCTTGTTCATCTGCATCCCCTCTTTTTCTCAGCAAACACTCTCAAGTCTCTCCCATCTATTTACATATATACATTTTTTATATCCCCAAATGACTTCCCAGTTGATTAACTGTTTCCTCAATTCATCTTCAAAGCCAAGTACCTAGAAAAAAATCATCTAAGTGCCTCATCGTCTCATCTCCCATGTACTTCTCATCTACTATAACCTGCTTCTTACACTAATGAAACACAAAAAAATTCTATGTAATTTACTAATTGTAATGGATATTTTTCTATAATTTGTTTAAATATGTACTTCTACTATTTATTCATTTTTTTCTTAGATTTTTTAAAATAACTACCTAAAATTCAACCTGTCAAATGCTGGTCTTATCATCTTATTTCCAAACCCACTTTGTTCCCTATATTCCTTCTCTTGCTGAGTATCTGTACCTTAATTCAATGATTGACTGAATTTCTGTACCCTGTAATCTCACACTCCCCTTTATTTAAAATTGGAAAAACTTTTCTCTCTTTTATTTTCATAGTTCTTAAAGTCTCTTTCAACATGTGGCTTTCCTCAGATAACCCTTACTTAATCATTTTCCACTGGTCTCAAATTCGGTGCCCCTATTAATGACCAAGAGCATGTCTTTATTGTAGCCCTTCTCACAACAATCTGTAAATATGTGTGTACTTACCCACCATCTCTTTGAGAACATGACAGAATGTTGTCTGTCTTAACAAATAATAACTGATTAGTGTTTGTGAATAAACGAATATGATTTTCTATCTCACCAGGACTTAAATAGATCACTCCAATGAGACCAAAGGATTCATTCTGAGAGGAATAGACATCACAGTAGGCCAACAAATTTGAAAGTGCCTTCTAATATAAAACGAAAGCAAACACTTGATGATGATTTATATCTTCCGTTTTAGAAATGTGACTTACTGTAGCTACACATTATATATTATATTTAGTCATTTGATTCCAGTTTCATAATTGCTTTTATCACTGAGTACAAAATAAGTGGTGAAGGGCTTTAGATCTTTAGGGTAATAGTTTTGCAGTCTCTCTACTCTATTCAGAAATAATTACAGCATTTTAGAATTCATGGTTATTCAATTTCTACTCCTGGCCATTCAAATATTATCACATCTTCTCTACTCAGTGAGAAGCATGAAGTGCACTTATTATAAAGTATACTTTGGCAAACTTCAACTCCTACACAAGCCAAAGAGATAACACAAATAAGTAAAGAATGTCAAAGACCGGAAATTAGGGTTTGATGGTTAGAATGGGAAGGGTTGTTGTTGGTAAACTGCTATCGCCACACACCCAAAAGCTCAGGCGCCGCCCAGCTCTGGCCTGTACTTTTCAAGCAGAATTTTGGACCCAGCATTGAAAAGACCTCCTGCTTGGTTTTCTAGAACATCCAGAAACTAACATTTTTTTTTTTTGGTAGAATTTTCCACCTTTTAACACGGTATGTTACCCAACGGAAACACTGTCAGACAATATCTAGCTAGGTTATATTCTTTAGTTCCTATACAAAGACCAGTGAAAGAACCAAAAAAGTCCTCAAAATTACATTTCTGGCAGGTGATAAATAAATACTTAGCATGTATATGGAGTTACTGATTTAACCAATCATTTCCTGAATTCAGTCTGTGTTGTTGATTATAAAACAATATGATTATAAAACAATATGATCACATAAATCAATTTTAGAGACAGATTCATTATGGAAAATAATTTATTTCTAGATAGTTTTAAATCAAGACAATATTTTCTTATGTCAATATTTTCTTATGTCAATGAGTTTCCTTATAGATCAGAGTAATGGCATCATTTAATTGTGCTCTGAAGTTTTATGGTGTGTGTTTTTCCGTGTGTGTGTTTTCTCAATTCTTATTACTTTATTATTTTATTGTGGTAAGAACAGCTAAATTAAAATCTACCTTCTTAACAGATTTTTAAAAGTAGAGTTGACCTTTGAACAGCACAGGTTTGAACTGTGCAGATCCACTTATACATAGATCTTTCAATAAATGTATTGGAAATATTTTTTGAGATTTGTGACAATATGAAGAAACCTGCAGATAAACTACACAGCTTAGAAATTAGAAAATGTTAAGATACAGATATATCATGAATAAATAAAATATATATAGATGCTAAACTATTTTATAATTTGCTATAATAAAATATGCACAAATCTATTATTAAAAGTTAAAATTTGTCCAACTTTATACAGAAAAACTCTTATAGGTTTTACATGATGCCATTTGCAGTCAAGAGAAATGCAACCAAATATAACGATACAGTATTAAGTCATAACTGAATAAAATTAACTGTAGTGCATATTTTACTGCTGTAAAAATTATGTAACCATCTCCTGTTGTTATTGCAGTTAGCTCAAGTGTTGAGAGTATTTACTTAAAATGTCACATGTCGTTGATCATCTCCATGTGAGTGGTTTTCATCACTCTCCAGTAAGTGATGAATCACTTTAAAAAGTGAACTCCTGTGGTTCCTGTGTATTTTTCATTTTGTTTAGTACAATACCATCAACCTTAAATAACACTGTGTGAGCCATATGAAGTGCTGGAAGTGCTCCCAGAAGCACAGAAAAGTCATGACATTACAAGAAAAAGTCAAGTTGTTTAATATGTACTGTAGTTTGAGCTCTGCAGCCGGCCACTGTTTCAATATAAATGTATCCAGTAGAAGGACCATTGTAAACAGACACACACACACACACACAGAGAGAGAGAGAGAGAGAGAGAGACAGGGAGAGAGAGAAAGAGAAATGGAGCAACATGAAGCCTCACTGCAGCTACACCAGTGGGCACAAAACCTGTGCTTTTAGTGAAATAGTTTTTATCTAATATTGAAAATGCAGCTTTTATGTAGGTGCAACACTGCTATTAAATTAAAGACAAGGAATCATCCCAAATGCAGATCAAGGATAGACTGGATAAAGAAAATGTGCTATATATACACCATGGAATACTATGCAGCCATAAAAAGGAAAGAGATCATGTCCTTTGCAGGGATGTGGATGAAGCTAGAAGCCATTATCCTCAACAAACTAACAGGAAGAGAAAACCAAACACTACATGTTCTCACTCATAAGTGGGTACCGAAAAATGAGAATATGTGGACACAGGGAGGGGAACAACACATACTGAGGCCTGTCAGGGAGTGGGCACAGCAGGAGGGAGAGCATCAGGAAAAATAGCTGATGCATGTTGGGAGTAATACCTAGGTGATGGGTTGATAGGTGCAGCAAACCACCCTGGCACACGTTTACCTATGTAACAAATCTGCACACCCTGCCCATGTATCCTGGAACTTAAATTAAATAAAAAATTTTTAAAAAGCGTACCTGTAAGACTCAAACATGATTTGAGAAAAAGTGAAGTCATTATATGACAACTTAAAGCAAAAGGAAAATGAAGGATTTAAAGCTGGAGAATTTAATGTCACTAAAGGATAATTTGAAAATTTTAGAAAGAGATTTGCCTCAGAAAAGTGTCAAGATAACTGGAGAAGCAGCTTCTGCTAATCAGGAGGCAACAGAAATAGTGTTCTAGATAGCATTAAGAAAATCACTGAGAAGAAAGGACATCTACCCGAACAGGTTTTTAATTAGATGAAAGTTCCCTATTCTGGAAAAAAATGCCACAAAGTACACTTATTAATAAGGAAGACATGTGAGCACCAGGATTTAAGGCAGGAAGGGATAGGCTAACTCTGATGTTCTACGCAAATGCAGTGGGGTTTAGGATCAGAACTGTTCTTACCTATACAACTGCTAATCCCTAAGCCTTAAAGGGGAAAGATAAAAAACACTTTTTAGTGTTTTGGTTGTACAACAAGAAGGACTGAACAATAAGAACAATTTTTTACTAAAAAGTTCTGACAGTTTCCATTGATAGTTTGTTCCCCAAGACAAGGAATATGGCGGCAGAAAGGGTTTGCTTTTTTAAAGTTCTTTTGGTAATAGACAATGCTCTTGGTCATCCAGAACTCCATGAATTGAATACTGAAGGTGCTGAAGTGGTCTGCTTTATCCCAAACACAATGTCTCTAATTCAGCCTATAGATCTGAGGTTATAAGGACATTTAAGGCTCATTGCATGTTACGCTATAGAAAGGATTGTCATTAAAGTATAATAATAATAAAATAAAATAAAAAAATAAAGTTTGTTTTATGTAAACCACAAAAAAAAAGGATTGTCAATACTGTAGAAGAGAACCCCTATAGAGAGAACATTATAAAAGTCTGAAAGGATTACACCGTTGAAGTTGCCATCATCTTTATAGAAAAAGCCACAAAAAGCCGTCAAGCAGGAAACAAATTTCTACTGGAGAAAACTGTCCTGATGTAGTGCATAACTTCATAGGATTCACAACATGGTCATTCAAGGAAATTACAAAGAGATTGTGGATATGGCAAACAAAGATGTGAAGAATTTCAAAATATGGATCTTGGAGACATTCAAGAGCTAATTGGCACCACATCAGAGGAGTCGGCAGAAGACAACTTGATGAAGATAAGTGCTGAACCAGTCTCAGATGATGAGGAAAAAACATAGAAGAATCAGTGTCAGAAACAAATTGACATTAGACAATCTGGCAGAAGTGTTCTGATTATTCAAGACTGTTTTGGTATATTTTACAACGTGGAACCTTCTGTAATGTGGGCACTGAAACAAAAGCAAACAGTGGAAGAAGGATTGGTATCATATAGAAACATTTTTAGAGAAATGATTAAACATCAAAGTCAAATAGCAATTTTGATGTATTTCTGTAAAGGTGCACTGTGTGTACCTGCCTTTCCTGTCTTCCTTTTTACCCCATCCACTGCCTCCACCTCTACTACCCTACAGAAAGCAAGAACAATGCCTTCCCTCCCTCCTCCACCTACTCAATGTGAAGAGATGAGGATGAAAAACTTTATGAGACCCACTTCTATTTAATGAATAGTAAATATATTTCCTCGTGATTTTCTAAACATCATTTTCTCTAGCTTACTTTATAGTAAGAATACAGTCTATAATACATATAACATGGAAAATATATGTTGACCGTTTATGCTATTGGTAAGGTTTCTGGTCAACAGTAGGCTATCAGTAGTTATGTTTTGGGGGAACCAAAAGTTATACACAGATTGTCAACTGTGTGAGGGGTCAGCCACCCTAAATCTCATGTTATTCAAAGGTCAACTGTACAATACAGTATTATTAACTATAGGCACAATGTTGTACAGCAGATCTCTAGAACTTATTCATTTTGTATAACTGAAACTTTATACCCATTGACTAGCAACTCCCTATTTCCCCTGTTACCCAACCACTGTAAATCACCATTCTACTTTCTGCTTTCATGAGTTTGACTCTTTTATATGCCTCACATAAATATAATCAGTCAGTATTTATTCTTCTGTAATGGGCTTATTTCACTTAGCATAATGTCAGCAAAGTTCATACATGTTATCACATGTTGCAGAATTTCTTTTCTTTTTAAGACTGAATAGTATTCCATTGTTCATATTTATCATATTTTCTTAATTCGTCTTTCAGTAGTCATTAGGTTGTTTTCACATCAAGGCTATCGTGAAGAGAGTTGCAATGAACATGCAAGTGCAAATATCTCTGAGATCCTGATTTTGATTCTTTTGAATTAATTCTACACCCAGAAGTGAGGTTGCTGCATCATGTGGTAGTTCTATATTTAATTTTTTCAGGAATCTTCATACTGTTTTTTATACTAGGTGCATCATTTTGCATTCTACTAACAGTTTGTAAGTGTTCAGATATTTCCACATCCATGCCAACATTTTTCTTATTCTTTTTTTTGATAACACCTATCCTAACGGGTGTATGGGGATATTTAATTGTGTTTTTGATTTTCATTACCATGATAATAAGTGATGTTGAACATCTTTTCATATACCTGTTGTTATTTCTGTGTCTTCTTGGGAGAAATTTCTATTCAGGTCTTTAGCCTATTCTTAAAGCAGATTATTTTAATTTTTTTGCTATGGAGTTATAAGCATGTCTTGTATCTTTTAGAAATTAACCCCTTATCACATAAATGCTTTACAAATAAATTTTCATGTATTCTGTATGCCTTTTCACTCTATTGATTGTTTCTTTTGCTGGGCAGAAGCTTTTTAGTTTGATGGAGTTCCATTAGTTTAATTTTGCCTCTGTTGCCTGTGCTTTTGGTGTTATATCCATGAAATTATTGTCATGACCAATTTAATGAAGCACTTTCCCTAGATTTTATTCTAGGAGTTTTAAAGTTTCTGGTTTTAAATTTTGGTCTTCAAAACAGTCTGAGTTAATTTTTTTGTTATATGTAAGATAATACTATAAATTCATGTAAATATCCAATTTTCTCAACACCATTTGTTGGAGAAACAATCATTTCACCATTGTAGCCCCTTGACAAAGATCAGATGACTGTATATATTTATGTGAGCTCTCTCTTCTATTCTACTGGTTTCTATATCCAGCTTTGTGCCAGTACCATAGTGTATTAATTACTTTAGCTTTGGAAAATATTTATAATCAGGAAGTGTGAGCTATCAGCTTTCTTCCTTCTCAAGGTTGCTTGGCTATTTGATGTCATTTTTTGGTTTATATGAACTTTAGGATTATTTTTTATATTTTTGTAAAAGTGTCATTGGGATTTTGATAGGTATTGCATTGAATCTGTAGATGTATTTAGGTAGTATGGACATTTAACATTATTAGATTCATTAATCCATGGACACAGGATATATCTTTCTAACTGTTTGTGGCTTTTTCGATTTGTTTCATCAGTGTTTTGAAGTATTCAGTGTACAAGTCTTTCACCTGCTTAAATTTATCATGTTTTATTTCTTTTTATTTAATTGTGAATGGGATTGTTTTCCCAATTGCCTTTTCAGATAGTTATTTGTTAGTGAATAGAAAGGCAAACATTTCTTATGAATTTTTTATCCTGCAACTTTCCAGAACTTGTTCATTTAATTTAACAGATGTGTATGTGTGTGTGCGTGTGTGTGTGTGTGTGTGTGTGTGTGTGTGAAGTCTAGGGTTTTCTATGTATAAGGTCATATCATCTGCAAATGGAGATAATTTTACTTCTTCCTTTCTAGTTTGATGCATTTTATTATTTTTTTTTCTTGACTAATAGCTCTGGCATACAATTCCAGGGCTATATTGAATATAATTGGTGAGAATAGTCATCCTTTCCCTTTTCCTAAAAGCTTTCCTTTTTTCACTCTTGAATTTGATGTTCGCTATGGGTTTCTCATGTATGGCCATGATTATGTTGAGCAAATTTCCCTTTATTTGTAGCTTGTTGGAAGTTTTTGTCATGAGAGTGTTGAATTTTATCAAGTGCTTTTTTGAATTTTACTGATATGATTGTGTAATTTTGTCTTTTATTTTGTTAATGTGTTTTATTACACTGATTGATTTTTGTATGTTGAACTTTGCATTTCAGGTATAAATCCCACTTGGTTATGGCATAATATCCTTTTAATGTGCTCTTAAATTATGTTTGGTAGTATTTTGTTGAGGATTCGTTGCATCTGTATTCATCAGGGATATTGGCTTGTAGGTTTCTTTTGATGATTTTGTCTGGCTTTGATATCAGGGTAATGCTGGTCTCATAAAATGAGTTTGAAGCTGTTCCTTCCTCTTCAATTTTTGGCAAGAGGTTGAGAAGGATTGTCATTAATTTTTTCTTTAAAAGTTTTCTAACACCAGTAAAGCCATCTGATCCTCAGCTCTTTGTTGTTTAGAGGTTGTTGATTAGTGATTTCATCTTTTTACTGTTAGTAGGTCTATTCAGACTTTCTTCATGAATTAGTCACGGTGGATTTTTTTTTTGTATCTAGGAATTTATTCATTCCTTCCCAGTTATTTAATTTTTTATGTATAATTGTGCATAGTAATCTCTTATGATTACTTTATTTCTGTGGTGTTAGTTATAATTTCTCTGCTTTCTTTTCTTACTTTAGTTGAAACTTCTCTCTTAGTCTAGATTAAAGTTCATCAATTTTGTTCACTTTTCGAAAAACATCTCAACTCTTAGTTGTGTTGATTTTTTTCTATTCTTTACTTTGTTTTCTAACCTTTTCTTTCTGCTAACTTTGGGCTCAATTTGGTTTGCTTTTTATATTTTCTTGAAGTGTAAAGTTGTGTTTATTTGACATCATTCTTTTCTTACTGCTATAATTATGTAAAATTTATTGGTGTTTATTGACAATAAACAATTTCTCAGATGCTTCTAGTGACCAGAAATTCGAGAAGTTAACCTCTGATTATAGTCTACAGGAATAAAACTCACCCTATTAACGTAGGATTTATCATTATAAACTTCCCTCTTACTGCTACTCTTGTTGCATCTCATGTTTTCTAATGCTCTGTTTTCAGTCTCGTTTGTCTCAAAATATTTTCTAAATACACTTTTGGTTGATTTGAACAATCAATTTTTCAAAGATGTGTTGTTTAATATGCACATTCATGTGAACTTTCCAGTTTTGCTTCTGCTATTGATTTCTAGTTTTATTCCATTGTGGTTGCAAAAGATAATTAGTATGATTTTAATCTGAAATTTGTTAATACTTGTTGTGTGTTGTAACATGTGATCTATCTTAAAAATTGTTCCATTTCTGTTTGAGAAGAATATATATTCTACTGTTAATGAATAAAGTGCTCACTGACAATTGGGTCCAGTTGATCTGTAATGTTCTCCATTTCCTCATTGATATTCTCTCTGGTTGTTCTATTATAACTAAAAGTGGACATATTAAGGTCCTCTACTATTACAATCAGCCTATTATGGAGGGCCACTGCATGTCACCATTTTATATAAGGGACGTGAGCGTCTTTGTGTTTTGGTATCCATGGAAGGTACTGGAACCAATCCCTCGCAGGTACCAAGAGATGACTGTATTTTATTCCTCTATATTTTTTCCTTCAGTTCTGTCTATGTTTGCTTCATATATTTATATTCTCTGAGGTTGAGTCTATAATATATCCATAATTGTATCTTGTTGGTGAATGAACTTTTAAAAATCATTTTATAATGTCATTTTTTTGTCTCTTGAGACAGTTTTGATGTAAAGTTTATTTTGTCTAATATATGTATACCTACCCTTGTTTTATTTTGGTTACCATTTGTATTGAATACCTTTTTCCAACTCTTCATTTTCAGCCTATGTGTGTTATTAGATCTAAAGTGAGTCTCTTATAGACAGCAGGTAGTTTTATCCAATCAGCAACTCTGTATCTTTTGTTTGGAGATTTAATCCATTTATATTTAGGGTAGTTATTGACAAAGAAGGATTAACTTTGCTATTTTTAAGCTGTTTTTCTATGTCTTGCAGTGATTTTCCCCTCTTTTCCTGTGGTGCTGTCTTTCTTTATGGTTTGTTGATTTTTGTAATATGTTTATTTATTTTTCCTTTTTTGCTACTTCTATAAACATTTTCTGGGTATCATGGGACTTACATAAAATATAAAAGTCTCTTTTAAGCTGATAATAAATTAACTTCCATTACATAGAAAAATTCTACATTGATTAGCCTGCTCACACTTTATCTTAATGAAGTCACAGTTTACATCTGTTTATATTGTATATCCATAAATATATTTTAGATATACTTATTTTAATGCTTTTGTCACTTAAATTTTTATAATTTAATTAAAATAACTTACCCACAAATGATATACTAATATATTAATCTGTAGTTGTCTATGTATTTGCATTTACCAATGACTTTTGTCCTTTTAATGCCATTATATTGCTATTTGGCATCATTTTGTATTAAGTAGAAAATTTTCCTTTATTTTATTTATTTATTTTTACACAGGTTTATGGGTTTAGTATTCCCTCAACTTTTGTTTGTCTGGGGCTTTTATGTCTCTTTTTTTTTATTGCACAGGTATGTATTGTTTTTATTTTTTAAATTTTAAATTCTTAATTTTCATGGGTACATAGTAGGTGTACATATTTTGGGCACATGAGATATTTTGATAAAGACATGTAATGTGTAATAATCACATCATATAAAATGGGGTATCCATCCCCTCAAGCATTTTATCTTTGTGTCATAAACAATTCAGTTATATTATTTTAGTTATTTTAATATGTACAATTTATTGTTAACTGTAGTCACCCAGCTGTGCCATCAATAAATCTTATTCATCCATTCTAAATACTATTTTTGTACCCATTAACCATCCCCACTTTCCCCCCAAACCCCTACTGCACTTACCACCCTGTGGTAACCATTCTTCTACTCTCTATCTCCATGAATTGAATTGTTTTGATGTTGAGATCCCACAAATAAGTGAGAAAATGTGATATTTGACTTTCTGTCCCTGGCGTATTTTACTTAATGTAATGACCTCTAGTTCCATCCATTGTGTTGCAAATGACTGGATCTCATTCATATTTATGGCTGAATAGCCCTCCATTGTGTATATGTATAATATTTTCACTTCATCTGGTGTTAGACGCAGGTTGCTTCCAAATCTTGGGTATTGTAAATAGTGCTAAATCAAATGTAGGAGTGCAGATATCTCTCCAATATATTGATTCTTTTCTTTGGGGTATATTCTAAGCAACTGAATTGCTGGATTGTATGGTAGCTTTATTTTTAGTTTTTTGAGGAACCTCCAAACACTTCTCCAGCATGGTTATACTAATTTACATTCCCACCAACAGTGTGCCTTTTTTCCACATGCTCATCAGCAGTTGTTATTGCCTTTCTTTGGATATAAGCCATTTTAACTTCTGTGAGATATCTTACTGTAGTTTTAATTTTCATTTATCTGATGATCAGTGATGTTGAGTACCTTTTCGTATGTTTGTTTACCATTTGTATGCCTTCTTTTGAGAAATGTCCATTCAAACATTTAAAAATTGGCCCATTTTTAAATGGATTATTAAATTTTTTCCTATAGCATTGTTTGAACTTCTTATATATTCTGGTGATTAATCTTTTGCCAGATGGGTAGTGTACAAATATTTTTTCTTATTCTGTGGGTTGTCTCTTTACTTTATTGATAGTTTTCTTTGCTTTACAGATGCTTTTAACTAGATAGAATCCCATTTGGCCATTTTTGCTTGTATTTCCTGTGCTTGTGAAGTATTACTCAAAAATGTTTTGCCCAGCCTAATGTTCTGAAGATTGTCCTTAAGATTTTCTTGTAATAGTTTCACAGTTTGAGGTCTTAGATTTACATCTTTAATGCATTTTGATTTGATTTTTTAATATGGCAAGAAATAGGGTTTAGTTTCATTCTTCCGCATATAGATATGCAGTTTTCCTAGCACCATTATTGAAGAGCCTGTCTTTTTCCCAGTGTGTGTTCTTTGGCACCTTTGTCAAAAATGAGTTTGCTCTATGTGTCTGGATTTGTTTCTGGGTTATCTATTCTTTTCCATTGGTCTATGTATCTGTTTTTATGGCCAGTACCATGCTGTTTTGGTTAGTGTAGCTCTGTAGAATAATTTGAAGTGAGATAATGTGATTCCTTCAGTTTTGTTCTTTTCTGCTCAAGACAGCTTTGCCTATTCTGTGTCTTTTGTGATTCCATGCAAATTTTAAGATTTTTTTTTCTGTTTCTGTGAAGAATGTCATCGGCATTATAATAGAGATTGCATTGAATCTGTAGATTGTTTTGGGTAGTATGGACATTTTAACCACATTGAATCTTCCAATCCATGAACATGGAATATAATTCCATTTTTGTGTCTTGATTTCAATTTCTATCCTCAGTGTTTTAAAGTTTTCATTATTGAGATCTTTCCCTTCTTTAGTTAAGTTGACCTCCACACATTTAATTTTTTTGTGGCCATTGTAAATGGGATTTAATTATTTTATTCAGATTGTTCACTATTGACATATAGAAATGGTACTAATTTTTATATGTTGATTTTGTATCCTGCAATTTGACTAAATTTGTTTAACAGTTCTAATAGTTTTCTTTTTTTTGGTGGGGTCTTAGGTTTTTCTGAATATGTGATTATATCACCTGTAAACAAGGATAATTTGACTTCCTTTCCTTTTGGATGCCCTTTATATCTTTCACTTGTCTAATTGCTCTAGCTAGGTCTTCCACTACTATGTTGAATAACAGTGGTGAAACTGGGTGTCCTGGTCATATTCCAGATATTAGAAGAAAGATTTCAGTTTTTGCCCACTCGGTATGCTACTAGCTCTGTGGGCCTGTTATAAGTGGCTTTTATTACATTTGGGTATATTCCTTGTATACCCAGCTTTTTTATGGTTTTTACCATGAAGCATTGTTGAATTTTATCAAATGATTTTTTAGCTTTAATCGAAATGATTATATGGATTTTATCCTTCATTCTGTTGATATCTGTGTCATGATTGATTTGCATGTGTTAAACCATTCTTACATCCCTGGGATAAATCCAACTTGGTTATGATGAGTGATCTTTTTAATGTATTATTTAATTTGGTTTGCTAGTACTACGTTGAGGACTTCTGAATCAATATTCATCAGAGATACTGGCTTGTAGTTTTCTTTTTTTGATGTATGTTTGTCTGGTTTGCATAGCAGGATAATTCCGACCTTGTCTTAGGTTGGTTTTGCCATTAAAACCAATGGCAAATACTGCAGTTACTTTTGCACCAACCTAATAGAATGAGTTTAGAAATATTTTCTCCTTATCTACATTTTAGAATAGTTTGAGCAGGATTGATATTAATTCTTCTTTAAATGTTTGGTAGATTTCAGCAGTGAACCCAGCAGGTCCTTGGCTTTTCTTTCCTGGGAGACTTTTAATTACAGCTTCAATTTCATTACTTGTTATTGGTCTGTTCAGGTCTTGGATCTCAGTTCAATCTTAATAGGTTTTATATATTTAGGAATTTATTCATTTCCTCTTGATTTTCCAATTTATTGACATATGTTTGCTCATAGTAGCCTCTAGTGGACCTTTAAATTTCAGCAATATCATTCGTAATGTATTCTTTTTCATCTCTGATTTTACATATCTGGGTCTTTTCTCTTCACATTAGTCTGGATAAATTTCTGTCAGTTGTATTTATGTTTTCAAAAAACAGATTGTATTATTCATCTTTTGCACTGTTTTATCTCAGATTTATTTATTTCTTCTTTCATCTTTATTATTTATTCTACTAATTTTGGGTTTAGTTTGTTCTTGTTTCTCTAGTTCTTTAAAGTGTATCATTAGATTACTTATTTGAAGTTTTTCTTCTTTTCGATGTGAGCACTTAAAGCTATGAATTTCCCTCTTGGTACTACTTTTACTGTATCTTATCTCATAGGTTTTGGTATGTGCTTCCATTTTCATTCATTTCAGGAAAATTTTCAATTTGCTTTCTAATTTGTTCATTGACCCACTGGTCATTCACGGGCATATTGTTTAATTTCCATGTGTTTGGATAGTTTCCAAAATTCCTCTATTATTGATTTCTAGTTTTATTCCATTGTGGCCAGAGAAGATGCTTGATATGATTTCTTTTTTTTTTTCTTAATGTTTTAAGACTTCTTTTGTGACCTAATATATCATCTGTCTTTAAGAATGATTCATATGCTGATGAGAGAAAATGTTTATTCTGGAGCCCTTGAATAAAATATTCTGTAAATATGTATTAGGTCCACTTGTTCCATAGCTCAGGTTAAGTCTTTCTCTTTCTTGATTTTCTGTCTAATAGGTTTTTTCAATGCTGAAAGTGAGTTGTTGATATTTCCAGCTATTATTGTATTGAAGTCTGTCTCTCTTTTTCACTCTAATAATATTTGCTTTATATTTCTTGGTGCTTCAGTGTTGGGTGCAAATGTATTCACAATCCTTTTATTCCCTTGCCGAATTGAACCATTTGTTATTACATAATGACATTATTTGTCTCTTCTTTCAGTTTTTGTCTTGAAATCTATTTTGTCTGATGTAAGTATAGTAACTCCTTTTGGTTTCATTGGCATGTAATAATATCTTTTGCTGTCCCTTCATTTTCAGCCTGTGTTTATCTTTATGGGGAATTGCGTTTCTTGTAGGCAACAGATCATTAGGTCTTGTTTTATCACCCATTCAGACACTCTATTTCTTTTGATTGGAGACTGTAGTTGATTTACATTCAATGTTATTAATAGGTAGGGACTTACTCCTGCCATCTTGTTATTTGTTTTCTTGTGGTTTTGGGTCTTCTCTTCTCCCTTCTTGTCTGTCTTTTAGTGAAGGTCATTTTCTCTAATGGAATAATTTAATTTCTTCCTTTTATTTTTTAGTTTTTGGTCTGTCATATGTATTTTGACTTGAGATTACCATGAGGCTTGCACATACTTACTTATAACCCACTATTTTAAACTGGTAACAACTTAAAATGATTGCATAAAAAAATAAATATGCAAAAAGAAAACTAACAGGCTGGGCACAGTGGCTCATGCCTGTAATCCTAGCACTTTGGGAGGCAGAGGCAGGCGGGTGACCAGAGGTCAAAAGTTCAAGACCAGCCTTGCCAACATGGTGAAATCTCATCTCTACTAAAACTACCAAAATTAGCCAAGTGTGGGGGCAGGCGCCTGTAGTCCCAGCTACTCGGGAGGCTGAGTCAGGAGAATCTCATGAAGGTGGAGGTTACAGTGAGCTGAGATTGTGCCACTGTACTCTAGCCTTGGTGATAAGAGCAAGACTATGTCTCAAAAAAAAAAAAAAAGAAAAAAGAAAAGAAAACTGATAAAACCTCTATACTGCAACATCAACTTCTTATGTTTAAATATTTTTTCCCTTTTATCTTATTTACTGTGTATGTCTCAAAAAGTTATTGCAGTTATTATTTTTTATTATTTCATCATTTAGTCTTTCTACTTAAGAGTAGTTTGCACACCACAATTACAGTATTATAATATTTGGTATTTTTCTGTGTGCCTACTATTGACACTGAGTTTTTTTTAACTTTGGATGATTTCTTCTTGCTCAGTAACATTATTTTCTTTCAGATTTTAGAACTCCCCTTAGCATTTCTTACAGGACAGTCCTGGTGTAAATACAATCCCCCAGTTTTTTTTTTTTTTTTAATCTGGGAAGGTCTTTATTTCTTATTTATCTTTGAATTATATTTTTGCTGGACATAATATTCTAGGGAAAAAGTTTTTTTCTTTCTTTATCCTTCACCTTTGAGTGTTGGGTTATTAAGTGCCTTGAGGTACTCTTCTTTGGGTTATATTTTCTTGGTTTTCATTAACATTCTTGTACTTGAATGTTGATATTTTCTCTAGGTTTGAAAAGTTCTGTAATATTATCCCTTTGAATAAACTTTCTACCCTTTCTCCATCTCCCTTTTAAGGCAAATAACTCTTAGTTTTGCCCTTTTGAGGTTATTTTCTGTATCTTTTAGGTGTGCATTGTTCTTTATTCTTTTGTCTCTTGTGACTGTGCAGTTTCAAACAGCCTATCTTCAAGCACATTATTCTTTCTTTGGCTTGATCAGTTCTGCTCGTAAGAGACTCTGAAGCATTCTTTAGTATGTCAGCTGAATTTTTCAACTCTTAAATTTCTGCTTCATGGATTTTAATAATTTTAGTCTCTTTGTTTTTAAGATTTTTTTATTTTTAATTTTTATGAGTATATAATAGGTGTATGTATTTATGGGGTACATAAGATGTTTTGATACAGGCATGCAATATGAAATAAACACATCATGGATAATGGGGTATTAACCCCTCAAGCATTTATTCTTTGAGATACAAATAATCTAATTACATTCTTTAAGGTATTTTAAAATATACGATTAATTTATTGTTTACTATAGTCACCCTATTGCACTATCAAATAGTAGGTCTTATTCTTTCTATTTTTTTTGTGTGCATTAACTGTCCCCACCTCCCACCTCCAATCCTCTGCTACCCTTCCCAGCCTCTGGCAACGTCCTTCTTCTCATTATGCCTACAAGTTCAATTGATTTGATTTTTAGATCCCCCAAATAAGTGAGAACATGTGATGTTTGTCTTTCTGTACCTGGCTTACTTCACTTAACATAATAATCTCCAGTTCTCTCCATGTTGGATCTGGATCTCATTCTTTGAGAATGACTGGATCTCATTCTTTTTTATGGCTGTATAGTATTCCATATGTACCAAATCTTTTTTATGAATTCATCTATTGATGGACACTTAGGTTCCTTCCCAATCACAGCTATTGTAAACAGTGCTACAACAAACATAGAAGTGCAGATATGTCTTAAATAGACTGATTCCGTTTCTTTTGGGTATATACCCAGCAGTGGGATTGTTAAATCATATGGTAACTCAATTTTGAGTATTTTGAGGAAACTCCAAACTGTTATCCGTAGTGGTTGCACTAGTTTACATTCACACCAACAGTGTATGAAGGTTCTCACCAGTGTTTGTTATTGCTTGTCTTTGGGATAAAAGCCATTTTAACAGGGGTGAGATATATCATTCATCAGATATCTCATTGTAGTTTTGAATTGCATTTATCTAATGATTAACAATGTTGAGCACCTTTTCATTTGCATGTTTGTCATTTATTTGTCTCCTTTTGGGAAATGTCTATTCAAGTGTTTTGCCCTTGTTTTGATCAGATTATTAGATTTTTTTCTATAGAGTTGTTTGAGCTCTTTGTATATTCAGGTTATTAATCTGTTGTCAGAGGGGGAGTTTGGAAATACTTTCTCCCATTGCATAAGTTGTCTCCTCACTTTGCTGATTGTATTTTTTGCTGTGTGAAGCTTTTTAACTTGATGTGATCCCATTTGTGTATTTTTACTTTGGTTGCTTGTGTTTGTCAGGTATTGCTCAATATTTTTTTTTCACCCAGACTAATGTCCTGATGATTTTCACCAATATTTTCTTGTAGTAGTTTCATAGTTTGAAGTCTTAGATGTATGTCTTTAATCACTTTTGATTTGATTTTTGCATACGGTGAGAGACAGGGGCCTGGTTTTATTCTTCTGCATATGGATATCCTGTTTTCTCAGCACCATTTATTAAACAGACTGTCTTTTCCTCAGTGCATGCTTTTGGCACCTTTGTCTAAAATGAGTTCACTGTAGTTGTATGGATTCTGGGTTCTCTATTTTGTTCCATTGGTCTATGTGTCTGTTTCTATGCCCGTAGCATACTGCATGTTGTTTTGGTCTCTATGGCTCTGTAGTAAAATTTGAAGTCAGGTAATAGGATTCCTCCAGCTTTTTTTTTTTTTTTCCTTAGGATAGCTTTGGCTATTCTGTGTCGTTGTGTTACATATGAACTTCTGGTTTGATTTTTCTATTTCTATGAAGAATATTATTGTTATTTTGATAGAGATTGCATTGAATCAGTAGATTGCTTTGGGTAGTATGGACATTGAAACAACATTAATCTTCCAATCCATGGACATAGAATATTTTTTCAATTTTTGTTGCCCTCCTCAATTTCTTTCATCAATGTTTTAAAATTTTCACTATAGAGATCTTTCACTTCTTTTGTTAATTCCAAGGTATTTGCGGCTATTGTAAATGGGATTACTTTTTTATTTCTTTTTCAAATTGTTCACTGTTAGCATATAGAAATGGTACTGGTTTCTATGTTGTTTTTGTACTGTGCAACTTAACTAAATTTGTTTATCAGGTTGAGTAGCTTTCTTGTAGCATCTTTAGGTTTTTCTACATATTAGATCATATCATATACAAACAACTATAATTTGACTTCTTCCTTTCCAATTTGGATGCCTTTTGTATCTTTGTTGTCTGATTGCTCCAGCTAGGACTTCCAGTACTACGTTGAATAAAAATGGTGACAATGTCCATCCTGGTAGTATTACAGATTATAGAGGAAAGGCTTTCAGTTTTCGCCTTTCAGTATGATACTAGCTGTAGGTCTGTCATATATGGCTTTTATTTAAAGCCATATATGGCTGTAGGTCTGTCATATATGGCTTTTATATAAAGAGGATAATGAAGATACAAAAATGGTACAATAGTAACATTGTCTATGTTGGGCTATGTTTCTTCTATCCCCAGTTTTTTAAAGTTTTTTTTTTATTATGGAGGAATGTTAAATTTTATCAAATGTTTTTTCATCAATTGAAATGACCACATGATTTTTATATTTTATTCCATTGATACAATGTGCTCAGTTGATTTATTTCCATATATTGAACCATCCTTGCCTTCCTGGGATAAATCCCACTTGATCATGGTGAATGATTATTCTAATATATTGTTGAATTTGGTTTGTTAGGATTTTGTTGAGGATTTTTGCATAATTACTCATCAGAGATATTGGCCTGTAGTTTTCCTTTCTTGATGTGTGTTTGTCTGGTCATGGTATGAGGGTGATACTGGCCTCATAGAATGAATTTCGAAGTATTCCCTCTTCCTCTATTTTTTGGAATAGTTTGAGTAGTGTTGGTATTCATTATTTTATTCTCTTTGTTAAATTTATCTGATAGAATTCTGAATTCATTCTGTGTCATCTTGAATTTCTTTCAGTTTCCTCAGAACAGCTATGTTGAAATCTGTCTGAAAGAACACATATGTCTGTTTCACCAGGATTGGTTCCTAGTGCCTTATTTAATTTATTTGATGAGGTCATGTTTTTCTGGCTGACCTTGATGCCAATAAATATTCATTGTTGTCTGGGCCTTGATGAGTTAGATATTTATTGTAGTTTTTGCAGTCTGGGTTTGCTTCTACCCATCAATCTTGAATATGCTTCCTAGTTGTTTGAAGTGACTTATGCCCCATGATGATTAATATTGTGGTTTGTGCAGTGTTATAGAGGTACTGTCTTGGTGGCCTCAGATAAGATCCAGAAGAATTTTCTCGATTACTAGACAAAGACTCTTGTTCTTTTGCCCTACATTCTCCAAAACAATGGAATCTCTCTCTTTCTGTACTGAGCTACCTAGAATTTGAGGTTCAGTGATGCAAGCACCCTTGTGCCCACCACATTTTCAGACAACAATGAGGATTCATATTTTTTCCATGAGTAGTTATTAAATGGTCCTTGGGGTTAAGACTCCAATGATGACAGCTGTCCTGTCATGAAACCTGAAAAAACACCAAGTGCACACAAGCTCCAGAAATGAGAACAACGTCATGACTGATTTCTGGCCTACAGCAACTGCAAGATGTCATCAAATGTTAGACTGATTCTAGTTTCAAAGATAACAAAATATGAAAAGAAGAAAATAGTGTCTTAGAATTTATGACATATATTTTACTTTATTCATCTGTGGAGGACTGCAATCATTATCATTATTTCCCAGAACCTACTGTATTTCAAAATGATTTTTGACTGGCTTCTTTTATTTATTCTAGGCACTATCAGGATAACTCCTAAGGACTCTCGTTGGGTTGGAGCTTGGTGGCTTGGTTTCCTTGTGTCTGGAATAGTATCCATTATTTCTTCTATACCATTCTTTTTCTTGCCTCTAAATCCAAATAAACCACAGAAAGAAAGGAAAGTTTCACTATTTTTGCATGTGCTAAAAACTAATGATAAAAGGAATCAAATAGCTAATTTGACCAACCGAAGAAAATATATTACCAAAAATGTGACTGGTAAGTATTTTACATTCATTGTCAACTTGGAGTTGTTAATTTCAATGAAAGGGAGTGATGAGTATTCCGAAATATAAACCATACTCAACTCATCAAGAGTTAGCTTTCTTCTGCACTAAATGTAGCTGAATTATTTTTCTAAAAGTCATACTAAAGTTAACAAATATTTCTTGAGCACATAACAAGCAGAAGTGGATTAGGATTTTGCTCTTTAGCAGGCAGAAACCAATCAAAGGCTACAAATAAAACATTTGTTCCTTATAAGCCAAAGAGTATGTATTCATTTTAATATTATATAGTGTAAACTGTGAAGGTTAAAAAGATTATAATATTTCATTCATTCACTTATTCAACAGAAGGTACCAGCCACCACACTATGCCCTGGTGACAGAACATCACTTTTATTTTTCAAAAACCTAGTGGATAATATTGAGAAGTATATAGATCATTGTAGTAAAGTATCTTAAATAGTGGTAAGGTTATACTTAACTATTCTCAAGTGTAGAGATAGAATAAGGAGAAGGAATTCAGGAGAGGTTTCTCTGTAGGTAATTGGAGTAAGATTATTTTTCTTGGTAATTAAAATTATATATATTTTAATAAGATTATATATAATTTTAATTAGATTATATATAATTTTAATATATATATAATTATAGCTTACCTAAGTATTCAAAAATGAAGTGGAAACAATAGCTGTTATTAAAGTAATTGAAGTCAGTAATGTGAATTAGGATCCTTTACCACTTGATAGTGACTCTTCTTTTGAATATAAGCCCTGGAGGGCTAATGGAGAACCATGGAGAAGCAGTAATTGAGAGAATGATCTGACAGCAGTCAGAGCAAAATATTTGAAATGGTAAGGTATTGACAGCAGTTTTCAGATTGGGACAAAATGGTGAAATCGTAAAACCTGAAGTAGTGCAACCAACACCTAAACTCAGCAAATGTTTCAAGTTTTTATTGAAGTAAGGTTACAAATTTCCCAGGGTAACCTATGCTCTCCTCATCAATTCTTTCACTTCCCATTTGTTGTTGTTATTATTTTCTCCTCTCCACCACACTAACCCAAGAGCAATGGGATGGATGATGGAGCCTTGTGTATTCACTTATGAGAGTGGATTGTTCAATTTCAACTGCATTGGTAGCTTGAAATTGTCCATGGTAGGAGAATTTACCACCATACGTTACCATGGAAATTGAGAAATCCTACAAATCTGGTTTCCCAACCAACAAATCAGTTGTTAAACATTTACCAGCACACCACTGTTTTAAAAGTTTTTTAATAAGCATTCTAAAAATAGCATATCAAGGAATTTTTGTTTTGTGTGTGCCATGTTTCTGCTTTATCTAATCAAATCCATAATAATTAATGGATTTTCAAACCTATAAGAGTCAGAGTTGACTGTGAATCCAGAAATAATAAAGAGGATAATGAAGATACAAAAATGGTACAATAGTAACATTGTCTATATTATGAGCTGGTTTTCGGGGGGGTTAGTGACGTGAATAGTAAAGAGAATCTTAATTATTAATAAGTGCCTGTTAAGAATGGATAACATACCTAAATACCTATAGTCAGGAGAAAAGACATATTGGATTTATTCTCTATGTTCTTGTTGAAAACTAAGACTAATTGGTTAGAAAGAAAGGAAAATTTCAGTTCATTACAAAGACAATTTTTAAACAATGAGAACTGTTCAAAAGTTGAGCAAATTGCTCTCAGGTAGTCAGCTTCATGTCACTTGAGTTGTTTATTGATCTGTTTATTAAAAATAAGTAATACGTCACAATTGTATAGAAGTTCAGACCAGATGACATCCAAATTGCTGTCTGCCACAAAAATTTAACAGTTTGGTTAATCTACACGTTTCATTCCTTTTGACCAAAGATCACGACTCTCTTAGAAGGCCTCACAAATCAGTGGTGATTCTTACTCACAGGGGAGACCAATAGAGGGAAGTTTAGCACTTTGGCCTAACAATTTTAAATATTGTTTATTCTTACTATACATTTTCTTACCTCTTTTCTGTTCTGTGCCATTTCTCAAAATGTATTTTGTTTTATTATAATCAGAGGAAACTATTTTTTAAAGAAACTACTGTTAGTACTGTTCATATCTAATGAAAATCTTTAGAGGCCTATAGAGAACAAGATCTTTCAAAGCCCATATCATCCATCTCTCAATAACTATTTCCGGGCCTGTCTTGCTGTACTCTAAAACTTCCTTTTGTTCTAAGTAGTTCCTTCCACTTTTAACTTCTATTATAGTTGATTGACCTGGCAATCACAGACCCAGAATATAAAATTTCTGCCATGGACAGAAGTTAGAAATTTGTTATCACACCTATTTGTAGGCATAGGTTGTTGTACTATTACTGTCATAATGTCCCTTGGGACCAACATTTTTATCCCCTGCCTCTCCTTCTTGCGTCTTAACACAGGTGATTTATAATACTGCCAGATTTACTGAGGCAGTATTTTATGGTACAAAAGCTGTATACCAGGGAAAAAAGAAGTCTGAGCCCTCATACTAATTTTGTCTTTAAAATTTTTGAACATCAGAGATTTTATTTCTGTATCTCAGATTATGCTGTCTTTAATTTAAATTTATATTTAACAATTTTATTTTAATGTAATAATTATATTATTAAGTGCTGATACATAAGGGACATCACATTTCTTTTCTTTTCTTCTTCTTCCCCTCCTCCTCCTTATCCTTCTTGCTTCTTCTCCTTCTCCTTTTCCTTCTTCCTCTTCCTCCTACTCTTCCTCTTCTTCTTCACTGTGACAGGGTCTGGCTCCGTCCCCTAGGCTAAAACGCAGTGGCATGTATTATGACTTGCTGCAGCCTCAATTTCCCAGGCTCAAGTTATTCTCCCTCATCAGCCCTCCAAGTAGCTGAAGTGATGGGAGCATGCCAACATGCCAGTCTAATTTTTGTATATTTTGTAGAGGGGTGATTTTGCCATGTTTCCCAGTCTGGTCTCTAACTTCTGGGCTCAAGCAATCTGCGTGCCTCTGCCACCCAAAGTGTAGGGATTACAGACATTAGCCACTGCACCCTGTGAACATCACATTTCTGATTCAGTTTTTTTTCTTTCTGGGACGCTTAGTGTATTGCCTAGTACCCAATTGAAAACCAAACATTTGTGGAATGAATAAATAATTAATCTGTATGTAATAGTATGGTAGAGTGCCAAGGATAATAAAATGTTAAGTGAACAAAGTAAGTCACAAAACAGCATTTATGCATGATCCTATTTGGAAGTAAAATGAACTAAACCAATAATAATATGCATATGAAAAATATTGAAGGAATGTAGTTAAACTGTTAATAGTAGGATTGAAGGGTGCTCTTTCTGTGTTATGTAGTTTTGTAATTTTAAATCTTATAAAACTTATATTTTCAAAATTCAGATATTAATGTATTTTAATTACATTGAAATATTTTGTTTACTTTTATAATTCTGCAGGCTTTTTCCAGTCTTTGAAAAGCATCCTTACCAATCCCCTGTATGTTATATTTGTAATTTTTACATTGTTACACATGAGCAGCTACATTGCTTCTCTTACTTATATCATTAAAATGGTGGAGCAACAGTATGGTTGGTCTGCATCTAAGACTAACTTTTTGTTGGGTAAGACATACTTTTTACGTGTTTACTTGATAAATGCAACATTACTGGGTATTTGTGTTAAAAGACAGATTTTATTGTGAAGGTTATTTCACATTTTACTAAATATACTTTTATTATCTCTCTAACTTTGTAACATTTGTCAATATTGTGATATAACCATTGTTCTGCATTTGAAGTTGCATCTCATGTTAGGTGAGTTCTAAAACCAAAGTTGCTTTTGAATAAAACATTTAGAGGTAGTATCTGCATAATTGGATCTTATAGTGGTGAGATCCTGAGACTAGCCCTTTTGTAATATAACCATTATAAACCTATAATTCATGGACTGAAATAAGGCTTCAGCCACTGACAAAACATATGATATTGACGTTTTTTAAAAAAGAATCAATTTAAATGCCTCACAAAATATGCATGATTCAAAAAAAATCATAGAATTTTTTTCTACAGTATCTATTTTCAGTGTCATATTGAGACCTGCCCATTAAGAAGTTATAACACTTTGTAGTAACTATTCTACAAATCTATCTATTGTACAAAACTATCTATCAATTTGTAGAAAGATGGTAGAAATTTGATAAATATGTGATGAGTTAAAAAATTTATCAAGTGGTATGTGACTAGGTCATGAGTACATGAGAAAATAATAATTAGAAAATGAATGTACAGAAGCACTAGACCAGGCACCTGGATGATCTCCCTGTTGAACCTAAAAGTTTAAACTTAAAGGTTAAATTTTGGCTCCCAATAACTTGATCTGAAGTTTTTGTTAGAGGAAACTTCATCTTTAATAACTCTTACAGGACAATGAAATGGTAAAATTGTAGGAGGAATTAACCATTTTTAATCCTGTATATTGATCTTTTTTTATTATAGCAGGGTATATATGTTTTGATGAATAAGGATGAGATATTACTTCAGGAATTCAATTCTAAATCTCTGGGAAAATTTGAAGTAAGCTACTGAGGTTTGGAACTCTACTGTGAGAGATGTAAAGGATTTTAGATGGCAGGCTCAAAATCTCATAGGAAAAAAGATTTTGTTTTATTGTTGTTGATTTCCAGAAAAAAAGAACGTGCTTCATAGAAATAATCTGTTCAGACATACAAATATTCTTAGCCATTGCCTTTTGCTCTTGAAGAAACCAAACCCTCATAACTGGGAGGAAGAAATTATTTTTGTCTCTCTTACATGGTACACTGGTCCCCTACCTCTACCTTAGTCTGCCACCCTCCTTTTAAAGAAGTGATAAGATGGGATGAATTTGGTTCACCCAGCCTCATACTGTGTTTCATATAAAAACACATATCCAAAAAAATATATATATATTTTTATATATATATTTATTTAAATATATATTTAAATATGCATATATATTTTTATATATTTAAATGTGTATATATATTTAAATATACATATTTAAATGTGTGTGTGTGTGTGTGTGTGTGTGTGTGTGTGTGTGTGTATATATTTACAGCTTTTTTCTCTTATTTCTAGGAGTCCTCGCCCTACCTGCTGTTGCAATTGGCATGTTTTCAGGAGGATATATCATTAAAAAATTCAAATTGTCTTTAGTTGGACTTGCCAAATTGGCATTTTGTTCTGCAACAGTGCATCTCTTATCTCAAGTTTTATATTTCTTTCTAATCTGTGAAAGCAAATCAGTTGCCGGCCTAACCTTGACCTATGATGGGTTTGTATATATAATTGGATAATATGTTAACCATCCAATCAAAAGACTATGTGTAAGGAAAATAGGGTAGAAAACAATTGTAATTAAATTTTCTTTTCACTGAGAGAAATTTCATTTTTGAAATTCTTAAAATGTTCACTCCTTAAGACCTTAAAGTTATTTTATTCCTTCATTAAAGAAAAGCAACATATGTTGAAGTAATAATACCTATAATTTATGGGTAATTATAATGAGTGGTGGGTACTTTTACCCACATTTTATAAATGAGAAAGTAAAATTTAGAGAAATAGATAAATTATATGGCTAGCAATATTAAGATTCTGACTCAAATTTTGGGGTTTTGACTCTAAAACTCTTAGTCTTAACCATTAACATTTTAGATGGATCATAATAGTAATATAAATTACCTTCTCCAAAAGTGACTGAATAACCTTCATCTACAGTTCTTTTTGATATTAACAACTGTCTTTATGAAATAATACTTTTTCACATTGTACTTAATTCTCCTTTTTTGCAAGCTAATATTTTTTTCTTCTGGTAGTCTACAATGGAAATAGCATTAAGATATATTCTGCTTATAATTGTATGTTAGACCTTGGGATATCTTTACTTTTCCATTATTATCATGTTTTGTCAAGTATTTTTAGTACTACAGTCTCTACCCCAAATCGAGAGCAAGATTCTTACACAGACTTTTAATAATCACTTCAATATAGCCAACAATGTAAGTTTAGGAAGGTTCACAGTCAAGCAACAGGCAAAGATGCTCAGATTACAGTTCAATAACCATGATCTTTAGTGCTGTTACTATTGGCTCGGAGCTTTCAAAATCTGGATTCTATGAGGTGTTGATTTTAATTTGTCAAATATTCTCATTTTCTTATCTAAGTAACATCCTGTTCTTGGAGGCTTGTTAAACTAATCATGAATTATTTTCCTGCATGCTTCTAAATCTAAACTGTTTTTGATCTTTCCTATCAACTGTCACCTACTTTGGTAAGTCAATACACATTGTACCTAGAACATTGGATTTTAGAGATAAGAGAACCTTAGAGATCATGCAGCCCAACTTTCATATATCGCTTCCTTTATTATATGAGACCTACAGAATTATGACTTGCTTAAAGACACACAACGACTCCCTCTTGATCTTATATCACACCATTAGTTTCAAAGGCTTCCTGTTTTTCAGGGCAGGCTTTTTAGCATAAAGCTAGTTTCCTGAAAACAAGTATAGTAACTGTGCCATCTACTGAAAAGATGGAAGCAAGAGTTATACAGGAGTTGTTCAATTTAATTAAATTTACTGAGTCCTTCCTGAAAGGTGATTATTTGTGGGAAACATCAATTCCCTCATGGAACTCGTAATCTAATGATAGCAAATAATAAAATCAATGTATTCAACATTTATGAAATCTTAGTCACTAGGACTTGTTTTATAAGTCAAATTAGTGCAGGGGTCTCCGAATTATCCCTGATTATCTCTAAGGGTCCTTGAGACTTTATCAAGGGGTCCACAAATTCTAACCTATTTTTATAATGATACAAAGACTTTGCCTTTTTTATTCACATTATCTCATGAAGGTATAGTGATATTTTTAAGATTATATGATATGTGTTGATGCCACCAGTCTTACAGCTAAAAATATGTGTGCTTATGTATTAAAATGTATTAATATTAATTTCTAATAGAGTGTCTATAGATATAACTAATTAAAACAAAAAACTTGGGTCCTTCAATGCTTTTTAAGACTCTGAAGGACTCCTAAGAAAAAATATGTTTGAAAACTGTCCCAGAATTATTTTTCCCCAAAAGTCTCTATGAGGTTGACATTTTTTACAAAGAGTAGTCACATTGGTAAGCTATGGCAGAACTAATCCGAACACAGGAGGAACTAATTGCAATTTCTGGACTGGGTCATTATCTTAGTCCATTTGAGCTGCTGTAACAAAATATTGTGTAGTTTGTAGATACACAGAAATGTATCTCTCACAGTTCTGGAGGCTGGAACATACAAGATCAAGGTGCTGAGAGATTTGGTATCTGGTAAAGGCACACTTGCTAGTTCATAGATTGTGCCTTCTAGCTGTGTTTAGTCATGGTGGAATATGCAAGGGGTCATTAACTCCATTCAGGAGGGTTCGTCCTCATGACCAGATCACATCCTGACAGCCCTATCTCTTAATACCTTCACATAGGAGATTAGATTTCAATCTATGAATTTGGGGGGGCACAAATATTTAGACCATAGTAATCATAAACCATTCTCCATAACTACTCCCAGTAGGATGTCCTCAAGCAGAATAATTAGATGACTTTAAATAAAATTATTAATAATGTGTTTTCTAAATTACCGATCTACTTTTTTCTTAATTTAAATGCATACTCATTCAAAGGTACTTCATCAATCCTCAATCATAAACAAATTTTTGCAAAACAAAGTAGCTTTTAAAATCTTGAAGCAGAAAATGTATACAAATAATATGCTTTATAATTTTAGCCATGATTAAAATTATATTTAACAATTTATAGCCATATTGTAAAGTAAATCAGTTTAAAAACATTGTATTGTCACTTAAAAAATATACAGAACTTTTCTAGCCCTTTTCAACTGATTCTATTATTTTTTGCTTTTCATTCTTCAGAGGTTCAGCTCTAATCACAATGAATTCTTATTTTATGTAGTTAAGATACAGATTTTAAACTTCAACCACATTAACTAGCATCCATAGATTCACAGAACTTTATAGTGACCTGAGAGGAACTTCAATCTAACGCCATTACCTCACCAAAAAAAAAACTGAGTCTAGAAAAATAAAATTACTTTTCTAATGTGAACCTTCTTGATGGAATCATAACAACCTCTTGTCTAAGTCTTATCTAATCTCTTATTTCTTTTTTAAGTTTTACTTTTTCTAAGTAACAAATCATGTTTTGGTAAAGAAGGAGAGTTACAAGCATTAAAAAATTTAAAAGCATTTTTAAAAACCTATTTTGGCATCATCAGATCAAATTTCTTGATCTAATTGAAGAAAATCCTTTATTTCATTTCTCTTTTCTTTCCCTCACCTTCCCTCCTCCTTTATTTCCCTTCTACTTCCCCCTTGTCTCTCTCCTCCTCTTCCTTCTTTTCTTCCTCTCTCTTCTCTTTCTCTCTTTTTGATATATGTCTATCATATATTTTCAGAAATAGTCCAGTAAGATCTCATGTAGATGTACCACTTTCTTATTGCAACTCAGAGTGCAATTGTGATGAAAGTCAATGGGAACCCGTCTGTGGAAACAATGGAATAACTTACCTGTCACCTTGTCTAGCAGGATGCAAATCTTCAAGTGGTAATAAAGAGCCCATAGTGAGTATTTGTTTTTGTTTTTCCTTCTCTCCTTAATCAAAATCTCAGATTTGATTTTTTAATAATTGTTTATCACATCTTCCTATAGCTAAGGTATCCAGTATAAAGATAAAAGATTCCGGTATTATCTGTCATTGTGATGGCTGTGAAGTATAAACAAAGCTTCATATAAAGTCCTGCTTAGGACACAACCAAGTTTTTCTGTTATTTGAATTTTAATTTGAGATTACCCCACTTTTTTCTTGAGAGTGTAGAAATATGACCTATTAGAATTTAATCCACTTAGGATTTCTGAGAAGCATCTGATTTGACTGAAGCACAAGATTTCAATTAATTTGGAATTAATTTATCCATCAGAAGTTAGGAGAAAGTCCTGATTAACCTGTTGTCAGAACTACCTACTTTACTAGGACAACAATCTATGTGCATTTTCATATATATACCTCCTGATGAGTTTAGCTAGGGACTCACTGGGGCTTTTGACTTTCCAATAAATTAATCAAGGATTCATGCTCACTTGACTGCCAAATTCTCAATTTCCTATGTTGATTTCCTCACAGATGGCGCTTCTCTTACCCAGGATAATTTAGTATCCTGCCCACTTACTCCCAACATATCCATTTGAAATTCCATTGTTTTCTTCACTCAAATGGGTTTTTTTCCATGTGAGCCATGGGTTTTTCCTAATATCCTGGGTAACTCCCAATAGTTGGAAACTGGGTATGCTATTCCCCATACCTACCATTCACTCAACATCTCGCAAAGTTGTGTATTCATCTTTCAGACCATTTTCCTATTACCAACATTAGCAACATAGTCAGCTATGATGATTACTCTCTACCACACTCTTCTATGTTTCATTTTTAAACATTTTTCATCTTTCCCTTGCCCATTGTCATACCGATATATTATGGAAAGGCATGGAGAAATTTGATGAACAAAGCATCCTAGGTTCCTTGAAGATAGGCCATAACTTTAATAAACTTGCACAACATATATGGCCCACAGACTATACTTAAAAGCCCACATCTCATATTCATCTGCTATAATATCCTTCAGTAAGGGTGCCCTCATTTAATCCCTGGTTTCACTTTGCCCAGTAGTGAAGATCTGAAAGAAACGTAATATTAGAATCCTAAAAAGAGCTCTGTCTACATGGAGACGTCTTCTTAATGTGAACAATGGCTATACCATCTGGGGGCTACTGCAAAATTCCTTTACTAAATCCTCAGTAAAAAAGAAATCTCTTTTTAAAATAATGTTCTCTGTATCAAAGTTTGGTTTTATTGGCCAGTGTGCTTTCTCCATAAAAGATTGTTCCATATTATTCTTAGTGAAAAAAGGAGGATTAAAGGAAGCTTGGTGGAACCATAAAAGTATAGATTTAAATTCTTTTAAAATTCTTCCTTCAATAATTAGTCTTTAGCACTAGTAGGTTAAAGGCAAACTTCCCTTAAACTTTTGTTTAGCCTAGAATCAGAATAGATTTTTTTTAAAGCCACCTACCTACAAACACTGCCTGATTAAATCTCTCAAATCATTTGATCCTAATGTTCGCCTTCTGTGCTCTTACCATTAGTCAGGACATTCTGTTGTGTTGGACCTCTCTGGTAATAATATTATCTATGTTATTATCTGTCATTATGGTCTTGAATGCTGCTTTCGCCTGCTTAAATAGAATTCTGGCATCCATGCCCATCTCTATTTCTTCTGTACTCTGTCCTATTTTCAAGAGTGGCTCTAGTTCCAGATTTTGGCCCCTTTCAAACTGCTGTATTTTCTGAAGATTTGGGGTAATCCTTCCCCAGGGCATGTCCCTAATACTTAGTAGAGATTGTCAAAGTGAGTAAAAATGCATATTTTAGGAAGTAAGTGTGGGTGAAAGAGCAATATTGAAAACAATTTATATTAATGAGAAAATTATATACACTTTCATACACTAATTTCTTAAATTATTTCCCAATTTTAAAATTAAGAATTTATTAAATGTTAATATTCAATAACATTATCTTATACAGAAAGTAATTCAGGAAGCAATTTTGCCTTTCATTATTAAGCAACTGTATTTTCATAATATTTTTAAAACTGTAAATATTTTAGTTTGAGACTTCTTTAAATATAATGGAATGTATTCATAGCCCAGTTGCATGTGGCAAATGTATTTGGTAATATTTCAAAAATTATTTTTAGGTGTTTTATAACTGTAGCTGTGTGGAAGTAATTGGTCTCCAGAACAAAAATTACTCAGCGCACTTGGGTGAATGCCCAAGAGATGATGCTTGTACAAGGAAATCTTACGTTTATTTTGTAATTCAAGTCTTAGATGCTTTCCTCTGTGCAGTTGGACTTACCTCATATTCCGTGCTGGTGATTAGGTAAGTATGATGTTTTAAAACATTATCATGTATATTAAACTAAAAACACACCCAATGATATACATATTTTCCGTATTTAGCTCAAATTCATATTTTGTTACATTTTAATTTTCTGGGAATTCATTTTCTTAGAATTATTATGATATTTCAATGCTATCATTAATAATATAATTTTGTCTCTAATACTTCCATTGTGAAATCTAGGCTCTATATATTCTTCTTTTATTAAGAATCTTAAGACACACACTGATTGACAATTGCCTCAATTGTAAAAGAATCTCTATATGATTCAAAAAGAACTTTTAATTTTCAGTTGCCTTGGATCCTAATGGGCCAGTTAGAGAAAATCATCTGTTGATTTCATTGAAAGAAAACGTTTTGCAACAAGATATAAATATAAACTTCAGTGTGTAATGAAATTCTAATGCTGTAAATTCACCCACAGCATGGCTTCTGACCTAGTATCCCTTAATACCATTGTAGACAGAAGAAAAGTATATGTAAAGAATTCATTCCTTTCTTCACTCATTAAACAGATATTTAGACAGCATGTGATGCTTAATGAAGAATATTTCTTGGTAAATAAAACCAATAAGGTACTTGTTGTCTCATAGCTTTGAAAAACGACGAGTGACGTGAGACAAATAAGTTTAAAAATGAACACATAATTACAAATTGCTGTTAGTCTTAATAAGGAAAAAGACTGCTAATAAAGGGAATAAAAAGAGAAACGAAATTTGGGAGTGAAATGAGGGTATATGAGGGAAAGGACTTACAAAGTGCATCTTAAAAGAAGTGATATTTTATCTAAGGGCATACAGAAAAAGCCAAATGAAGGGCTTTCAGGGAGAGGGTCTAAGTGCTGCTTCCTTAAGACAGGAAAGCGCTGGTGTGTTTGAAGACCAAAAAGAATCCAGTTCATTGGAACATACTGAGTGAGAGGGGTGTGGTATAAGAGAAGTTTGGAAAATTAGGGAGGAAGCAGATAATGTGTGCCCTACTGGCCAATATAATAATTCAATCACCTAAAACTGTAAACATGTAAAGACAGGCAAGTAGATGTTAAAAATATACATGATAAGTAGAATGACCTGGGTTAACATCTAATTATACTTTTAAAACATACTACCTGATCACAGTCATGGTCAGCCAACAGCATGACGTGGTAGAAAAAAAAATGTGTTTTTAAATTTTGTTAACATGAAAATAAACCTGTAAACTAAATTTACAGTTGTTAAATTTTGACTCTGACTGCAAGTTTTATCAAATTATTTATAGTAAATATTCCACAAATATATCTTCATCTTCAATATAAAATGTCTACTCAGAGGGAGAAGCATATATTTGCTAAATTACAGATTCATTAACATAAAAATTCACCTCAAAATATCATACCAGTTTACATCTCAACGTGTTTCAGCTTCTTAATTGAAACTTTTTCATAAGGAGAGTTTTAAAAATACTGTTTCATCCTTGATGATAGTTATGATTTATCTAATTAAGAAAGTTATGAAATCAACATTACCACTTGTCAAAAGCATTTATTAATCTCTCACCAGCCTTTTTCTTTGAAGAAAAGTTTTGTGAAGCTGACAAGAGAATACAAATATAAAATATGAACTTCATTCTATTCATGATTTTCTAAAGTTTATATCATAAGGCTATTGCTAAAACTAGACTAAGCAGGAGTGTAGGCATTTACTCATCCAGTACATATTCATTATGTGTGTCAGCCACAGGTCCACACAATGAAGATGCAGATGTGAATGAAAGTGATAAAACTTCATTGGCATCCAGTGGGGATGGGAAATGGGGGGTGGATTGGCATAGGAGAAGAACTAATAAACAAATAAGTAAGTAAATATGTAAAATAGGGTAAGTGTGCAACACTAGAAAGAAGAATCTGAGTAAGAAAATAGAAAAAGTAGGGATAGGTAAGAGACACTAGTTCAGACATTGTGCACTGGAAATCATATGATAAGAGACCTAAATGAAGAGATGAAGAGTGAAACTACAAGCCATGCTAAATGGGGACAGGGAAGGAACAATCGAGGCAAGGTAGAGCAAAGGTAAAGGCCCTGGTGTGGAACATACTTAACATATACATGGTCAGAAAAAAGTGTGTGAGGAACAGAGAGGTATGAAGTACAATGACAGAGCTAGCATGATCCAGATTATATTGTTCCGGGAAAGTCTTTGGAACTTATTCTAAATGCGTTCAGATGCCCTAGAGGGTTTAAGCGTTAGTATTACCTAAAGCTTATGGCTTACCTAACGAAAAGAACACTCTAACTGTGCATGGAGATGGAGTGTGTTTTTGGAAGACAAGAATGAAATCATGGAAAACATAAGGCTATGATCATTCTTCACAAGATGGAGTCTTGATTGAGCATGGTTATGATAAAGGAAGTGGGAAGCGACTTGAGTCTCAGTCTTTGTTTTGTTTTTAAGGCAAAGCCAATATGATTTGCTGCTCAACTGAATACAGCAGGTGAGAGAGAGAATTTAAGGATGATCTGAAAGTTCTGGTCTGAGTTCTAGAAAAATGATAGTACTATCGAACAATATGGGAAAGACTAAGGAAGAGTAGTTTTGGGAAAGTGGACAAGTAAGACTTCTTGTGTCTCTAAAACTGAGCTGCCTGTTAGATATCTACCAACAATGTCATATGCAGAATCCACTATTCAGGAGAAACACTAAAGTTAGAAACATAAATTTTAGAGTTAGCAACATACAGATGCTATTTAAATTCAACGTACTGTTGAGATATTCTAGGGACTCAGTATAGATAGAAACTAGATCCTAGGACCAACACCTAGCACTCTAACTTTAGAGATCAATAATAGAAGAAGCCAGTGAAGGAAATTGAGGAAGTCCCATGAGTTATGAGAAAAACTGAGAAAAGATCATGTTCTTGAAGCATAATGAAGAATATATGAAGTAGTGAGTAAAGCAACTATGTCAAGGGCCGCTGAGAGTTCACAGGAGTTAGGGACTAGAAAGTGACCATTGGATTTCATTATATGCTGATCACTGTTAGCCCAAACAAAACTGGTGCATGAAGAAGGAAGGGAAAAATAAGGCTGTTTTGGTTATTAAAAAGTGTTTCATTTTTATGGATTTAGGGGTACAAGTGCAGTTGTGAAACATGGATATATTGTGCAGTGAAGTATGGGGTTTTGTGTTCTCATCATCCGAATAGTGTACATTGTATCCGATAGATAGTATTTCATCCCTCCCACCCTCCCATCCCATCCCATCCCTGCCACCCTCTCCCAACCTCCCACACTTTAGTCTCTAATTGTCTATTATTTCACTCTGTATGTCCTTGTGTACTCACTATTTAGCTCTCACATCAAAGTGAGTACATGCATTTTTTAACTTTCTGTTTCTGCCTCATTTCACTAAGGATAATGGCCTGCAGTGCTACCCAAAATGCTGCAAATGACTTGACTTCATTTTTTTATGGCTGACTAGTATTCCATGGTATATACATATATATCAAATTCTTAATCTAACTATCAGTTAATGGACATTTAGATTAATTCTACGACTTTGCTTTTGTCATTAGAGCTGTGATAAGCATAGAAGTGCAGGTATTTTTTGCTTGTTTGTTTGTTTTTGTTTTGAGACAGAGTCTCACTTTTTTTGCCAAGACTGGAGTGCAGTGGCAGGATCTTGTCTCACTGCAACCTCCGCCTCCCAGGTTCAAGCAATTCTCCTGCCTCAGCCTTCTGAGTAGCTGGGATTTCAGTCACCCACCACCATACCTGGCTGATTTTTTTTTGTAATGTTATGTTATGTTATGTTATGTTATGTTACGTTACGTTACGTTACGTTACGTTACGTTACGTTACGTTACGTTATGTTATGTTATGTTATTTTTTTAGTGGAGATGGGGTTTCACCATGTCAGCCAAACTGGTCTCAAACTCTTAACTGCAGGTGATCTGCCTGCCTTGGCCTCCTGAAGTGCTGGGATTGCAGGCGTGAGCCACTTCACCCAGCCACAGATTGTCTTTTTAATAAAATCATTTCTTTTTCTTTAGGTAGACATCCAGTACTGGGATTACTGGATTGAATGGTAGTTCAATTTTTAGAAAACAGTAAATCTCTATACTGTTTTCCATAGAGGTTGTACTAATTTACATTCCCACCAACGGTGTATAAGCATTCTCTTTTCTCCTCATCTTCACCAACATCTCTTGTTTTTTTGACTTTGTAATAATAGCTATCATAAGGATATAAGATGATACTATGATTTTAATTTTAATATCTCTGATGATTAGTGATGTTGGGGATTTTTTATATGTTTATTGAACACTTGTATGTCTTCCTTTGAAAAATGTCTGTTCATGTCCTTTGCCCACTTTTTAATGAGGTTCTTTCTTTTTTTTTCATTGAGTTGAGTTCCTCATATATTATGGATATTAGCACTTTATCAGAGCCATTGTTTACAAATATTTTCTCCCATTCGGTGGGTTGTCTGTGTCCTCTGTTGATTATTTCTTTTACTTAGCAGAAGTTTTTAAGTTTAATTAAGTTCCATTGGTGTATATTTGTTGTTGCTGTTGTATTTCCTTTTGAGGACGTAATCATAAATCCTTTGCCTAGACCAACATCCAGGAGAGTTTTTCCCCTAAGATTTTTTATAGTTTCAGGCCCTACATTTAAGTCTTTAATCAATTTTGAGTTAATTTTTATATATGGTGAGAGATAGAGATTCAATTTTATGTCTGCATATATGACTCTCCAATTTTCCCAGTACCATTTATTGAATAGGGTGTCCTTTCCTCAGTGTATATATTTTTTTGCCTTTGTCAAAGATCAGTATGTTGTAGGTATGTGGTTTTATCTCTAGCTTCTGTAGTCTGTTGCATTAATCTATGCATTTATTTTTATGCTATTACTATTTATACTGGCTTATAGACTTGAAGTATAATATAAAGTCAGGTAAGGTAATAACTTCAGCTTATTTTTTGCTTAGGATGAATTTGCTCTTCGGGATCTTTTTTGGTTCCATATGAATTTTAGGATTTTTTTTTCTAATTCTATAAAAAATGATATTGATAATTTAATGGAAATTGCATTGAATATAGGTTGCTTTGGGCAGGATGGTCATTTTACATAATATTAATTATTTCAATTTATGAGTGTGGGAAGTTTTTCCATTCAATTTTGTCATATATGACTTTTTCATCAGTTCTTTTTGTAGAGATTTTTTACCTCTTAGGTTAAATGTATTCCTATTTATTTTATTTTTTATCTATTATATATATCAGTAAAAAAATCTTGTTATAGACAACTATATTATCTATCAGTTATCTATCAGATAGATAACTGTATTGGGATTCATTTGTTGATTTGGTTCTCAGCTAGATCATTATTGGTGTATGGAAATTATACTGGTTTTTGAACATTGGTTTTATATCCTGAAACTTTACTGGAGTAGTTTATCAAGTCTAGGAGACTTTCAGAGGAGTCTTTAGGATTTTCTAGGTATAAGATTATATCATAAATAAACAGAAATAATTTGAACACTTGTTTTACAATTTGGATACCTTTTATTCCTTTTTTTCATCTGATTGCTCTAGATAGAACTTCCAATACTATGTTGAACAGGAGTGCTGAAAGTAGGCATCCTCACTTTGTTCTCATTCTTAGAAGTAATGCTTACAATTTTCCCTCCCTCAGTATGTTGTTGGCTGTGCTTTGCATTTTATGGCTTTCATTATTTTGAGGTATATTTCTTCTATGCCTAGTTTAGTAATGGTTTTTATCATAAAGGAATGCTTGATTTTATGAAGTGCTTTTTTTGTATCAGTTGATTTTGTATGCTTTTTGGTTTTAATTATGTTAATTTGATGAATCACATATATTGATTTGCATATGTTGAACCATCTTTGCATTTCAGGAATAAAGACCACTTCATCCTTGTGATGAACCTTTTGATGCGCTACTAATTTTTTGATGTGCTTTTAATTTTCTACTGTTTTGTTGAGGATATTTTGATCTATGTTCATCAGGAATATTGATCTGTAGTTTTTTTTATTTATTGTTTACTTGCCTAGTTTTGGTGTCAGGGTGATGCTGACTTCATAGAATGAGTTAGGGAGGATTCCTTCCTTCCTGATTTTTTGGAACAGTTTTGGTAGAATTGGTATCATTTCTTCCTTGTTTCTTTGGTAGAATTTGGCTGTGATGCCAACTGTTCTTGCACTTTTTATAGTTGTTAGGAGATTTCTTTTTTATTACTGATTCAATTTCATTACTCATTATTTGTTCAGTATTTCTATTTTTTCTTGGTTCAAATTCGGGAGGTTGTATGTTTCCAGGAATTTATCAATTTTCTCTAGGTTTTCTAGTTTGTGTATGCAGAGAGGTACATAGCAGTCTCTGGTGATCTTTTGTATTTCTGTGGTAATAGTTTTAATGTCACCTTTATCATTTCTGATTGTGCTTATTTGAATCTTCTTCCTTTTAATGGTTAACCTACTAGCAGTCTAGCAATCTTGTTTATATTTTCAGATAACCAACTTTTTTTTTCACTGATCCTTTGTAAACTTTTTTGCCCACATTTCATTTAATTTTGTTCTTTGTTATTACTTTATTCTGCCAGTTTAGGGTATGGGTTGTTCTTGACTTTCTAGTTCCATAGGGCATAATATTAGCCATTTAATGCTACAAACTTCCCTTTTAGCGCTGATTTGCTGCATCTCAGAGGTTTTGACATGCTGTCTTTATTTTCATTCATTTTGATTTTTAAAAATAATTCTGCCTTGATTTCATCATTGACCCAATAATTGTTCAGGAACAAGTTATTTAATTTCCATGTATTTGTATAGTGTTGAGAATTCCTCTATGTGCTAATTTCTATTTTTATTTCACTGTGTTCTGAAAAGGTACTTGATGTAACTTTGATTTTTAAAAAAATGTATTCACTCTTGCCTGTGGCATGGCATATGGTCAATTTTTTAGCATGTTTCACATGCAGCTGTGAAGAATCTATATTCTGTGGTAGTAATATAAGATGTTCTGCAAATATTTGTTAGGTTCATTCGGTCTAGTGTTCAACTTACCAGCTTTCTTTGTTGATTTTTAGCCTCCATGATCTTCCTGTTGCTGTCAGTGGGTTATTTATGGACCCTACTAATGTTGTATTGGCATTTCTCTCTTTTCTTCAGTCAAGTAGTATTTGTTTTATGAATCTGAGTGCTACAATGTTCGATGCATACTTTTAGAATTGTTATATCTTCTTGTTGAATTGAGCCTTTATAAAATATAATAACCTTTTTCATTTTTTGACTGTTTTTGATTGGAAGTTTGATCTAACACAAGTATAGCTATAGTTGGTTTATGTTATCATGGGATATCTTTTTGCACCCCTTTACTTTGACGCTGAAAGTGTCTATACCAGTTAGTTCAGTTAGGTGGGTTTCTTGTAAGTAGCATAAAGTTGTATCTTTTTTTTAAACATTCTGCCAGCCTATATTTTTTAAGTGGAGGATTTAGTCTGTTTACATTTAAGGTCAGTATTGATTTTTGAGGTTTTGTTTCCATAATATTGTTAATTAGTTCTTAATTGCTTTGGGGCATCAATTGGGTAATTTCTTTATAAGATCTGTGTGTTTTATGCTTTTGTGTGTTTCCATAATGATTAGTATTGCTCTTTCATTTCTGTGTTTAGAACACCTTTGAGTATTTCTTGTAATGCCAGTCTGTGACAAATATGTTTAGTGTTTGCTTATTATCTAGGAAATACCTTATTTCTCTTTGAATTATGAATCTTAGTTAAGGGGGATAAAAAAAATTCTTGTCTGGCCTTATTTTGTAAGAAGACTCAAAATAGGACCCCAGTTTCTTTTGGCTTGTTAAGGTTCCTGCTTACAAGGTTCCTGCAAACTCTGGTATGAGTTTGATGAGATTTCTTTTTAGACACTTCTCTCTTGCCTCTTTTATGTTGACTTTGGATAGTCTGAGTACTATATGTTTTTCTTAGGTTATTCTTGAAATACATATCCCAGGAATCATCTCAGATTTTTATATCTGGATGTCTAGGTCTGCAGCAAGACCCGGGAAGTTTTCCTGAGTTACTTATTCAAACAAGTTACCCACACTTTTTACTTTCTCTTCTTCCCCCACTGGAATACCTATAATTCATAAGTTTGGATGCTTTACATGATAACCTTTACATGATAACAAAGTGCTTGAAGGCATCGTTAAGTTTCGCAATTTAATTTTCTATATTTGTCTTACTGGGTTTACTTAAAAGACCTGTTTTCCAGCTCTTAAATGGTTTATGCTGCTTGTTCAGCCCATTGTTAAAGCTTTCAAAACCATTTTGCAATTCCACCAAAATATTTTTCATTTTCAGAAGTCATGTCTGTTTTTCTCAATAAAATCTATATTTTCTTTTATATGCTACATCATTTTTCTCATGTATTTGTGATGGCTTTCAACTTTGGATCTCAACCTTAAATAATCCTGTATTTCTTAAAGGCCTTATTTCTGGGAGGCTTCTTTAGAATTCTTTAGAATCAATATTTTGGATTTTTTTTTTTTTTTTTTGAGTTGGAGTCTCACTCTGTCACCAGGCTGGAGTGCAGTGGCGCAATCTCGGCTCACTGCAACCTCCACCTCCTGGCTTCAAGCGATTCTCCTGCCTCAGCCTCCTGAGTAGCTGAGACTACAGGTGTGCGTTCTTCATTGACTATATAAAAGATTTTATTGTGTTTAGAATCCACCGCTGGAGGTTAGTGTGGTCCTTTGGAGATGTTGTAACACTCTTTCTTCTTTATACTTCCAGAATTGTTTATCTGGTTCTTCCTCATTTGGATAAGCTATCTCTCCTTATTTTGAATTTATTTTGTTTTAACAGGATTTTTCTCCCTTTGAAACTGTGACTGTAATGTGTGCTGCATAGAATCTGAAAGGCTGTATTGAAGAGGATCAAGAAAAAATGCTAGAAAGGAAAGTGTAGCAGTCAGTATGGAAAGTTCTTTTCAGGAGAAGTGTTAGAAGAAGAAGCAGAGAAAAGATGTGGTAGTTAGCATGATTGTGTCATCAAGAGTTCTGTTTATGTTCAATGCTAGAAATCATACCATGCTTGCATACTAATGAGAATTAGCAGTACAGATGAAGGAAACTGATAATGCAGGAGAGAGGGAAAGTAATTACAGAGGAAGATGAAAAGAGATGTTAACAAGGACACAGAGTTTTTCTCTGTAGAAGGGAAAATTGTCTATGTGGGTAAAAAGCCGGTAAATGTGTACCTGTAGTGATAAAGAGTATTAAACTTTTTTTATCTAATTGCTTCTACTTTCTCTGTTATAAAAAAGCAATGTAATCAGATGAGAAGGACGATAAAGAAAAGAAAGAGTGTTCATATCAGAAAAAGTTACCTAGTAATCTTGAAGATTGGAGAAATATACTGACTGGCAAAATGGACTAGTAAAATATTGGACAATTGCACTGGAGGTCCCCTGAATATTTTGGCTTATGAATTTAAAGTGAGCCCAACCAGCATGGTTGAATTATTTCCTCCAGCCGTGCAGCACACTACATAGGTGTAGAGAAGGCAGAGGTTTAGATAAAAGCATTTTTGCTTGTCCAATACAATAAAGGATGAGATAGACAAAATGTTCAAGATATATGCAAAGGATTGATTATAACAAAAGATCATGATGAGATAGGACATGAAGAGGTGAAACTAGGGATGGCCTGTGAAGAGGTCAGAGGAGTCATAAGCCTAAAGAGCTAGGGCTGGGGTATATTGCAGCAGACGTATGAAACGGAGTAATTTTAAAATTTGAGATGTGGTCATGAGGAGTGGGATGCTCAAAATAGAGAATTTTAAAAGTGGGTACTGATGAACTGATTGTGGGTGAAAGAAATACGACTTTCCAGAGAAAAGGCCAAGAAACTGGAAGGGCAGAGCATTGGGAGCATAATCTATATGAATATTAAAATAACTAAGAAAAGGGGCAGAAATCATTTTGACAAAAACGACAGAGAGCCTAGAATGAAAATTGTCAAGAAATGATAAGAGTTGTGGTGTGCCAGTCTACAGCTAACTTCAACAAGGAGGTTAGAGAATAGTATATTAGTGTGGTGCACCTCTTACTGGGATCTAGAGGTCTTTCAGAGGAGAGACTCAGGTATGGAAGTGGTAAAAACAAAAGATCAATAAGGACTTCCACATTTCAGGCCCACTGATATGGAGGCGGTGGAAGGAAAACTTGATAGAGTTGCAAGGAAAGAGTGTTAATGGGAGTTAGATTTCATTTAGAACAAGAAAGTAAAAGAGCTAAAAAGAATGTAGGAAGTTGGCCAGGCACGGTGGCTCATGCCTATAATTCTAACACTTTGGGAAGCCGAGGCAAGCGGATCACTTGAGGTCAGGAGTTCAAAACCAGCCTGGCCAACATGGTGAAGCCCCATCTCTACTAAAAATACAAACAAATTAGCTAGTCGTGGTGGTGGGCACCTGTAATCCCAGCTACTGGGGAGGCTGAGGCAGGAGAATTGCTTGAACCCAGGAGGCGGAGGTTGCAGTGAGCTGAGGTCACAGCACTGCACTCCAGCCTGGGCCACAGAATGAGAATCCATCTGGAAAAAAAAAAAGTAAACATTTTGCTGGTAAGAAACAAGAGTTTCCATGGGCAAAATAACAGGGTTTGAGTGATGGGAAAAGAGTAGGAGAGTGAGTTGGATTAAGGAATGTGTATTAAACCATGTAGAATGAGAGTCTTTGTACCCAGAGAAGATCTAAAAATCTTGGCATTCTGCTGGTGACAACGGTGTGAGGCATGATGTAAGCTGATGACAAACAAAGCATCAATCTACAGTGAAAAATGTCTTTCATGATAACAGTGTGTGTGTGCATGCAAGTGAGCATGTGAGTGTGAGCATGCAAGGAGTAGTGTGAATGTGCATGCATGTAAATGTAGGAGTGAGTGTGTATGATTGTTATTGTATGTGTATGTTACTATATCACACACATCCATCATTTCCACTGAATTGAAGATTTCAGGCCCACTCTTAGGAAAATATTTACCCTATCTGCAAGTCCCCCAATTCTCCTGCATGCTAACCCTTTCCCTGGTAAAATACAAGTTGATAACAAATGTCAGTTTGCCTTGTGCGTATAGTATACAAACTGCAACTTTCGAAAACGAATTACAGTGAAAAATGCCTGTCAGGCAATTGTCAGAGAACTCAACCAGGGGTGAAGTGCAATCTCTCCCTTCCCCAAATCTCCTTTGAGAAATCTGATATTTGAGAGTAACATCTCCATAGAAAAGCTAACCTACCCTTCCTGGTGATTTTCTCCTGACCATCTCTTTATGAAATAAATTTCCTCCTTATATAGCAGACATGGATTCATTGTCCTCAGTGTGGTTGTTGTGCCCTCAACTGGGCTAACAAAGTACTGCTGTACTTGGTGAAAGGAGAGCCAAAACACACTTTCCATTTATTGTCTCTCCTAATATATAACTATCTTATGTTTAGCTTTTAATATATTATGTTTAATTTAACTTTTGCCTTTTAAAAGTTTATAAATTCTGTTGAATTCTTTTCAGAATCTCAATAAATGGTAGCTGTTTTGTAAAGTATACAGGTGATTATGTGTAAATTAAATTGAAGTTTAGAGTGCTAGCTCATTTTATTGGATTCTTATAACATGAGATAAGCATTATTATCCTCACTTAACCAACAAGGAAACTAAGGCTAAGAGAAATTAAGTGATATACTTCTCCAAGTCACTTAGATGAGAAGAAGCATAATTTGTCTATTTACTCCCAAGAATATTAACTAGCATAGTATCTCTTATTAGGTGCTCAGTGAATGTTTGTTGATTGATGACAGCTACATAGCTCTCTGAAAGAATAACCATCCAAGAGTTCAAGAAAAAAACAACTTTTTCATCAGTTAATTTACTCTTTCAGTAAAACTGGGTTTTTTGAGCCGCAGTCATCCTCCCTTATCCCAATCCACCCCCTCCACTAATGCAAAATAATTTTATTTCACTTGATATATACTAAGTTATCACAGGGTTGGTAGTGTAATCAGTTTATTGAACACAGAAAAATGGAATTGGGGAAATGTAAGAGTGAGTTAGTTTCTAAGTGAGGATACAAGTATAGTCTTACCTTCAGTATGACAGTTAAATACACAAGACACTAGAATACAGAAAAGTTTTTTGACCCTTCTGGTTGTATTATATAATTTATGAATCATATTAGTAAACTACCGTGTTAACACTGATGACAGAAATAAGATGGAAAAAAGAGGACTGCTAAGAATTACTTTTGGATAATGGTATATAATATTTTCATATGAGCTACCTAAATAGTCCACACAAAATCATTTTCTTCATAAACGTGGCAAGTCTGTTCATCACCTTTTTATAGGATTTTCATAAGGATCAAATATGAAAATATTTGTTAAACTGTCCTGAAATCATAAAGCATAGAATAAATAAGAAATAAAAATAATTATTACTACCATCCAGGTGTTTGCCTTTTAAAACAATTGAAAATATAACTATATTTAATGTGGGCCATTCACTTAAGGGTTCTCATTCAATCATGAAGAAAAATGATACTGATAAATGTTTTGATATTAACTCAGTTTGATATTTTAATGATGTGTATTGTTTCTTTGCTTTAATCATATTACAGGATTGTTCAACCTGAATTGAAAGCACTTGCAATCGGCTTCCATTCAATGATTATGCGATCGCTAGGTATGATAAATATACAGATTAGAAATTTAACATGTAAATATTCATGTTAAGGCTTAAAGACAATGTAATTAATTTTCAACTATGAGAATGTATAAAAAAGGAATAAGTAAGAATCATTTCCATTGTTGTGATAAATGAAAATAATAAGAGGAAAACTTGAGTGGCCTAGCAGAGAATTTGATTGTTAATTCTTGTTAAAGCCAATCTGTTAAGAGCAAGGAATCATCATATTTATATTATACTTTTTCTAACAGAAAGATAGGTAGTATTTGAAATTTTCCTTCTTTCAGAAAAATAAGAATATTTCTTCCAGGTATAGGCAGAGTGGAGAGTCTTCCTTCTAAATGGAGGCATTATTTAGGACAGGCCTCAATTAGCTTAGGAGCCCTAGGAATCTGGTCAGGCTGAAGTTGTATAAAACAACAGGAGATAACATGTAACTGGGCCACTTCTCACTACCTGGTCCTGTAAGGCTGACCAACTAACCACTAGCAGAAGTTAATGCAAAAGGGAATGAGAATTCAGACTCTAGAACTGGACATCTTAGATTAAGAGCGTGTACTGAATAAAAGAAAGATCAGAAAATTGTGGTTTATTATTGGTGAAGAGTAAGATTATAGACTCCAGAGGCTAAAGGCCTTTTTAAATTGTTTTTAAATTTATTTTTTGTTATTTCAGTAGGTTTTTGGGAAATAGGTGATGTTTGGTTACATGAATAAATTCTCAGTAGTGATTTCTGAGATTTTGGTGCACCCATCAACCAAACAGCGTGCACCGTACCCAATGTGTAGTCATTTATCTGTTACCCACCTCCCACCCTTTCCCGAGTCCCCTAAGTCTACTGTATCATTCTTATGCCTTTACATCCTCATATCTCCCAATTATGAGTGTGAACCTGTGGTGTTTGGTTTTCCATTCCTGAGTTACTTCTCTTAGCGTAGTAGTGTCCAATTCCATCCAGGTTGCTGTGAATACCATTATTTCATTCATTTTTATGGCTGGGTAGTGTTCCATGATATACACAGACCACATTTCCTTTAACCACTTATTGATTGATGGGCATTTGGGCTGGCTCCATATTTTTGCAATTGCAAATTGTGCTACTATAAACATGCATGTGCAAGTATCTTTTTCATATAATTACTTCTTTTTCTCTGGCTATATACCTAGTATGGGATTGCTGGATCAAATGGTAGATCTACTTTTATTTCTTTAGGAAATCTCCACATTGTTTTCCATAGTGGTTGTACTAGTGTACCTTCCCTCAAGCAGTGTAAAAGTGTTCCCTTTTCACCATATCCACATCAACATTTATTATGTTATAATTTTTTGATTATGGCCATTCTTGGAGGAGTGAGGTGGTATCGCATTGTGGTTTTGATTTGCACTTCCCTGATAATTAGTGATGTTGAGCATTTTTTCATATGCTTGTTGGCCATTTGTGTATCTTCTTTTGAGAATTGTCTATGCATGTCCTTAGCCCACTTTTTGATGAGATTGTTTGGTTTTTGTCTTGCTGATTTGTTTGAGTTGTTTGTAGGTTCAGAATATTAGTCCTTTGTCAGATGTATAGATTGTGAAGATTTTCTGCTGTTGTGTGGATTGGCTATTAACTCTGCTGATTATTTCTTTTGCTGTGCAAAAGCTTTTAAGTTTAATTAACTCCCATCTGTTTATCTTTGTTTTTGTTGTATTTGCTTTTGGGTTCTTGGTCACGAAGTCTTTGCCGAAGCCAATGTCTAGAATGGTTTTTCTGATGTTATCTTCTAGAACTTTTATGATTTCAGGTCTTGTATTTAAGTCTTTGATTCATCTTGAGTTGATTTTCATATAAGGTGGGAGATGAGGATCCAGTTTCATTCTTCTACATGTGACTTGCCAATTATCCCAGCACAATTTGTTGACTAGGGTATTCTTTCTCCACTTTATATTTTTGTTTGCTTTGTCAAAGATCAGTTGGCTGTTAGTATTTGGCTTTATATCTGGGTTCTCTCTTTTGTTCTATTGATCTATGTGCCTATTTTTATACCAGTACCATGCTGTTTTAGTGACTATGGCCTTATAGTATAGTTTGAAGTCAGGTAATGTGATGCCTCCAGATTTTTTCATTTTGCTTAGTCTTGCTTTGGCTATGCAGGCTCTTACGTGGTTCCACTTGAATTTTAAGATTATTTTTTCTAGTTCTATGAAGAATGATGGTGGTATTTTGACAGGAATTGCATTGAATTTGTAGCTTGCTTGTGGCAGTATGGTCATTTTCACAATATTGATTCTACACATCCCTGAGCATGGGATGTGTTTCCATTTGTTTTTGTCATCTATGATTTCTTTCAGCAGTGTTTTGTAGTTTTTCTTTTAGAGGTCTTTCACCTCCTTTGTTAGGTATATTCCTAAGAATTATTTTATATTTTTGCAGCTATTGTGAAAGGGGTTGAGTTCTTCATTTGATTCTCCACTTAGTCACTGCTGGTGTATAGCAGAGCTACTGATTTGTATACATAGATTTTTGTATCCTGAAACTTTGCTGAATTCATTCACCAGCTCTAGGGGCTTTTTGGATGAATCCTTAGGGCTTTCTATGTTTACAATCATATCATCACCAGTGACAGTTTGGCTTCCTTTTTACCAATTTGGATGCCCTTGATTTTTTTCTCTTGTCTGATTGCTCTGGCTAGGACTTCCAGTACTATGTTTAATGGAAGTGGTGAAAGGAGGCATCCTTATCTTGTTTCAGTTTTCAGGGGGAATGCTTTCAACTTTTCCTCATTCAGTAAAATATTAGCTGTGGGTTTGCCATAGATGGCTTTTGTTGCCTTAAGGCGTGTCTCTTCTATGCCAGTTTTACTGAGGGTTTTAATCATAAAATGATGCCTGATTTTGTCAAATGCTTTTTCTGCATCTATTGAGATGATCATGTGATTTTTGTTTTTAATTCTGTTTTTGTGGTGTATCGTGGTGTATTGACTGGTGGATGTTAAATCATCGCTACATCCCTGGTATGAAACCCACTTGATCACGGTGTATTATCTGTTTGATCTTCTGTTAGATTGAGTTAGCTAGTATTTTGCTGAGGGTTTTTGCTTCTATGTTCATCAGGGATATCGGTCTATAGTTTTCTTTTTTGTTATGTCCTTTCTTGGTTTGGGTATTAGGGTGATACTGGCTCTAAAGAAAATTTAGGAGGAATACATTCCTTCTCTATCCTGTGGAATAGTGTCAATAGGATTGATAACAATTCTTTTTTGAATTCCTGATAGAATTCAGCTGTGAATCTGTCTGGTTCTGGACTTTTTTTGTTGTTGTTGTTGGCAGTTTTTAGATTACCATTTCGATCTCACTGGTTTTTATTGGTCTGTTCAGAGTTTCTATTTATTCCTGGTTGTTTATTTCCAGGAATTTATCCATCACCTTTAGATTTTCTAGTTTATGCACTTAAAGGTGTTCATAGTAGCCTCGAATAATCTTTTGTATTTCTGTGGTATCAGTAGTAATATCTCCCATTTAGTTTCTAATTGAGCTTATTTTGATCTGCTCTCTTTTCTTGGTTAAGCTTGCTAATGGTCTATCAATTTCATTTATCATTTCAAAGAACCAGATTTTTGTTTCATTTATATTTTGTATTTTGTTGTTGCTGTTGTTTCAATTTCACTTAGTTCTGCCCTGATCTTTGTTATTTCTTTTCTTCAATTGGCTTTGGGTTTGGATTGTTCTTGTTTCTCTAGTTCCATAAGATGTGACCTTATGTTGTCTATTTGTGCTCTTTCAGACTTTTTGATATAGGCATTTAAAGCTATGAACTTTCCTCTTAGCACCACTTTTGCTGTATCCCAGAAGTTTTGATAAGTTTTGTCACATTTTTGTTCCTTTCAAAACTTTTTTAAATTTCCATTTTGATTTCATTGTTGACCCAACAATCATTCAGGAGACAGTTATGTAATTTCCATGTATTTTCATGGTTTTTGGTGTTCCTTTTTCTGCTAATTTCCAATTTTCTTTCACTGTGAGAGAGTACTTGATGTAATTTCCACTTTCTTAAATTTACTGAAACATGTTTTGTGGCCTATCATATGGTCTATCTTGGACAATGTTCCATGTGCTGATGAATAGAATGTATATTCTACAGTCATTGGGTAGAATGTTCAGTAAGTATCTGTTAAGCTCATTTATTCTAGGCTGTAGTTTAAGTCTATTGTTTCTTTGCTAACTTTCTCTCTTGATGACCTATCTAGCACTGTGAGTGGAGTATTAAAGTCCCCCACTATTATTGAGTTGCTGTCTATCTCATTTCTTAGGTCTAGTAGTAAGTTTTTTATATAAATTTGGGAGCTCCAGTGTTAGGTGCATATATATTTAAGACTCTGATATGTTCCTATAGGACTAGTTCTTTTATCATTATATAATGTGCCCCTTTGTCTTTTTAAACTGCTGTTGCTTTAAAGTTTGTTTTGTCTAAGAATAGCTACTCTTGCTCACTTCTAGTGTCCATTTATGTGGAATATCTATTTCCACTCCTTTAAGTTTATGTGAATCCTTATGTGTTAGGTGAGTCTCTCCTGAAGACAGCAGAAACTTCGTTAGTGAATTCTTATCCATTCTGCCATTCTATATATTTTAAGTGGGGCATTTAGGTCAGTTACATTCAACGTTAGTATTGAGATGTGAGGTACTATTCTATTCATCGTGCTAGCTGCCAGAATACCTTGGGTTGTGTGTGTGTGTGTGTGTGTGTGTGTGTGTTATTGTTATACAGGTCCTGTGAGATTTATGCTTCAAGGAAGTTCCATTTTGGTGTCTTTTGAGGATTTGTTTCAAGATTTAAAGCTCTTTTAGCAGTTCTTGTAGTGCTGGCTTGATAGTGGCAAATTCTCTCAGCATTTGTTTGTCTGGAAAATACTTTATCTTTCCTTCATTTATGAAGCTTAGTTTTGCTGGGGACAAAATTCTTGCCGATAACTTTCTTGTTTAAGGAGGCTAAAAATAGGAACTCAATCCCTCCTGGCTTGTACAGTTTCTGCTGAGAAATCTGCTGGGATTCTGATAGGTTTTCCTTTATAGGTTACCTGATGCTGATGTTTTTGCCTCACAGCTCCTAAGATTCTTTCCTTCATCGTGACTTTAAATAACTTGATGAATACGTGCCTAGGTGATAATCTTTTTGTGATGAATTTCCCAGGTGTTCTTTGAGCTTCTTGTATTTGGATGTCTGGATCTGTAGCAAGGCTGGGAAAGTTTTCCTTGATTATTCCCTTAAATACGCTTTCCAGATTTTTAGATTTCTCTTCTTCCTTAGGAACACCAATTATTCTTAGGTTTGGATGCTTAACCTAGTCTCAAACTTTCTGGAGGCTTTGTTTATTTTTTAAAATTCTTCTTTCTTTCTCTTTGATGAATTGATTTGGTTTGAAAGCCTTGTCTTCCAGCTCTGAAGGTCTTTCTTCTGCTAGTTTGATTCTATTGCTGAGACTTTCCAGTGCATTTTGCATTTCTCTAAGTGTGTCCTTGACTTCCAGAAGTTGCGATTGTTTTTGATTTAGCTTATCTATTTCACTGAGAAATTTTCCTTTCATATCTTGTATCATGTTTTTTATTTCCTTAAGTTGGACTTCACCTTTCTGTGGCGCCTCATTGACTAGCTTAATAATGGACCTTCTGAATTATTTTCCTGGCAATTCAGAGGTTTTGTCTGGTTTAGATCCATTGCTAGTGAACTGGTGTGACTCTTGAGGGTGTTAAAGAACTTTGTTTTGTTATATTATCAGAATTGTTTTTATTGTTCCTGCTCATTTTGTAGATTATGACAGAGGGAAGATCTGGAGCTCAAGGGCTGCTGTTCAGATTTTTTTGTCCCATAGGGTGCTCCTTTGATGTGGCAATCTACCCATTCCCCTAGGGGTGGGGCTTCCTGATAGTTGAACTGCAGTTGTTGTTTTTACTCTTTTGGGTCTAGCCACCCAGTGGAGCTACTGGGCTCTGGATTGGTACTAGGGAGTGTCTGCAAAGAGTCCCTGTGATGTGATCCATCTTCAGGTCTTTCAGCCATAGATACCAGCATTTGCTCTGGCGGAGGTAGCAGGAGGTTGAAGTGGACTGTGATAGGGTCCTTGGTTGTATTTTTGTTTAGTTCACCGGTTTTGTGTGGGTTGGCCTCCAGCCAGGCAGTGGTGCTTTCAAGAGTACATCAGCCGCAGTACTATAGAGAGGAAGCAAACTTGCCCTAGGATCACCTGGTTAAGTATTCAGGTTTCTCAGTTGGTGGGCAAGGCCATAGAGCTCCTAAGAGATTATGTTCTTGTCATCGGCAGCCAGAGCAGGTAGAGAAAGATCATCAGGTGGGGGCAGAGGTAGGCATGTCTGAGCTCAGACTCTCTTTGGGTAGGGCTTGCTGTGGCTGCTGTGGGGGATGAGGGTGTGGTTCCCAGGCCAATGAAGTTATGTTCCCAAGGGAATTATGGCTGCCTCTGCTGAGTCACACAAATTTCAAAAGAAGTAGTGGGGGACCAGGTGAGCGGCAGGGGGGCGTGGAAGGACCGGCAGTAACAGGCCTTACCCTACTCCTATCTAGCATGCAGTCCTACAGGCTGATCTCACTGCCACTGTGACCCCCAACAGCACTGAGTCTATTACCAGGTATTTGGTGACGAAGGCTAAAAACTTGCCCCTAACCACCAGCCTCCCTGCTGAGAAAGGAAGCTGACTCCGTTTTTTGGCATCTCAGGGAGCCTGCAGCTGGTGATACAGTTTCTTCAAAGGGTTTGTGGATTCTCTCAGCTTTCCCACTATGTTGCTATGGTAGTTCTTGGAGAAAAAGTTCGCGATGTGAGTCTCCACATGCTGCTCTGTTTGTCCAAGTGAGAGCTGCAAGCTAGTCCTGCCTCCTATCGGCCACCTTTTAGAGGCCTATATTTTAAATATTCAAAGTTGATTAGAAAAGATTTAGAAAATTACCCTTTCTCCCTTGTTGCCATTTGCCCTCTTTACTGCACAGCTGCCTGTTGTTAAACAATGTCTAGCCTAACCCCTGTGAGTGCTCCTTCGTAAGAACTGTAAACCTTATATGCTTATTCCTGGGAAGTAGCAAAAGGGCATCATCCATCTAGGGATTGGTGCAGAGGACTGATTATGGCCCATAGGTAACCACTGATGGCAGAAGGAAAAGGAAGTGGGAGGGGTCAGTTTCTGGGACCCTTGCAAGCAAAGGAAAAAGTATGGCCAAGTTACAATGGAGTTGTCATGAAGTGTAGTTGGTGAGAAGGTCACAGATCCTGAAAGGTAAAAAGAAGTGCAAAGGGAATAGGAGAGAGAAGATGGAGATGCTGCAGGGTTACATCGGTTCTCTTCCCAGTATTCCCTTTCTGTGTCCCTAATCTTCCAGCCTCTGTAATCTTGGCAGTTCTCTACCTTCAGATTCAGTGAAGATACCTCACTCCTGGAACTTGAACACAGAGGCTGAAAATAGTTCTGGGTAGTTAGTATTTCTTCTGATATGTTGAAATGAGACTGAAAATAGAAATTATTTTAGCAACATAAAATAGAAAAAAATAAATCTGGCCATCCTAATTGTGAACATCCAATTTCGATGTGTCCACCATATGCCACAATGAAGCTCAAATGCCTCTATGGGAAAAATGCACACTTAGTACCAAACTTCCAATTCACAAACAATCATCTTAAATATGGTATGTCTGTAAATTGTGGAAGGCCTATTATAATATATAGTGTATTAAATTGAAAAAGTTATTTAGAAAATAGGTCATCAGAGGTTTCTAATTCCAGTAATTAAGTGTTAGTTAACACATTTACTTCATAAAGTTTGTTTAAACCAGTGGCATAATGTGAAGAAAATAAATTGTTGACATCTATTTTTTATTTTTCAAAGGTGCTCCTGAGTTTTTGAAATCTGCAAATTTCTCACCCATTTTGTCAGCACTAGATTGCTTCAGATACATTGGCCTCAGACACCATTCCCTTGTCATTCTAATATTTCTTACTGTCAGAAATTGAGAATGATTAAAAATAAGCAGAATCAGTAAAGTGCCATATATAAATCACTGTCATGTTTTGTGACAAAATCTGAAAAGTATGAGTCACAAAAAAGAACAAGAACAAACTAAAATCTTGTATGCTTCAGTTCTAACATCTGAAGGATAGCTCTCTACTACGATGTCCTTCAAAATTTTGACCAAATTACCTATGCTTAAAACTAGGAGTTAATCTCAGAATGTATACTTCTCCTATAAACAATGTATGTATTCCTGGAATGCTGTACCTTCCGTGAAACCATGCACTACAGATAAAAATTGACTTAGGGACAGACCACTGAAATGTATGCACCGTTGTGATAAGACCACTAACAGAAACAAAATTTAGCAGCGAACCTGACCTGTACAGCCTAGGCTGCTTTAGGAGATATTAAGAAAAGCATTAAATCAATGGAAAGAAAATGCTGGACTGTGGTCTTTAAGAGCACCAAGAAGGAGGAAATGGGGTTCTGAGCCCAGAAAGAAGTAAAACTGGCCAATAGCTGAGCACTCTTTGAAACCAGGCCTGAACATCTCTGGGGGAGGGAATCCTGATGTAAGCATTCACTTTTTAATTTTCTTAAAATAGTATTAAAAATCTTTGACTTTACAGCAGTTGAGGTGAGAGCTTTTTCCTTTTCCCATAAGGTTGTAATTTGACTCCCAGTAATCCAGTCTTTCTTGCCTAAGAAAAATTGTATATGAATCAATATGATTTCCATGTTTTACTAATAACGTTCCCCTTTTACCAATCAGGTTTAAGTTAATCGATGTTATAGGAAGAACAGAGTATATAGGTATATAGTCCTCCTTCTTCCCTATGAATATAGGGAGGGAAGAGTAGATCAAATATGTCTATGACATTACCATATGACTTAAGCCTTTGAGCTTCCTAATAATTGTGATTCTTGGGTAGATGTAGGCCAAAACAATGGAATAATTTTCCAAAATTGTAAACTTTTTTAACTCAAAATATATCAATGTTGAATATCACCCAGTTATATCTGAAACATTTTCCTTGGATTGATATCTTCTTATCTCATGTTGCAGGAGGTATTCTAGTTCCAATATATTTTGGGGCTCTGATTGATACAACGTGTATGAAGTGGTCCACCAACAGCTGTGGAGCACGAGGGGCTTGTAGGATATATAATTCCACATATTTGGGGTAAGTTGTCATAAATATATTTTATTAATAGATTTTTTCTTTGACTATGTTAATTCCTAAGTCTATCATTTTAGTGTGATTATAATATTAATAATGATAGCTACCATATAGTGAACCCTTGCTTTGTATTTAGTATTGTTTCAGGCATTCTGGTATCTCATTTTAATAATCATAGAAACTGTAGAAAATCACTATTTTCTCCTTCTTTAAATATGAAGAAAATAGGTTTCAAGAATAATGAATAACTTGTCCAAAATAGCATAACTAAAAGAAATACAGCTGGGATCTGTACTTGAATCTCTTTTTATTACAAAATTCTCCTCCTCTGGCTTCTCCAGGAAGATGTAGAATGACCAGCTGGGCTCTGGTTATATGGTCATTGAGGAAAATATGGGAAAAAATGTTTCCATACTCTTCATAGGCAAAGGTATTCTCTTAGTGACATTAAGATAACTGGATGATCATCTGGAGGAAAACAAGCTGCTGCAAGTGTGCCTTACTAATTATAGAAACATTAGTTTGAAATTTATATATTGACCAAATACACAAATTTTACATGTGAAATTATAAGTATTAGAACTACTCACATAGGATTTCTTTTAATTATCTAGGAAGAAAAAAATGTGTTTCTAAGTGTATTAGTCGATTCTCACACTGCTAATAAAGACATACCCAAGACTGGGTAATTTATAAATGAAAGAGGTTTAATTGACTGACAGTTCTTCAGGTCTGGGGAGGCCTCAGGAAACTTACAATTATGGCAGAAAGGGAAGCCAACACATCTTTCTTTACATGGCAGCAGCAAGGAGAAGTGCAGAGTGAAGGAAAAGAAGAGCCCCTTATAAAACCATCTGATCTCGTGAGAACTCATTCACTTTCATGAGAAGAGCATGGAGGTAACCATCTCCATGATTCAATTACCTCCCAATGGGTCCCTGCCATGACACATGGGGATTATGGGAACTGCAGTTCAAGATGAGATTTGGGTGAGGACACAGCCAAACAATATCATTCTGTCCCTGGCCCCTCTCAAATCTCATGTCCTCACATTTCAAAACACAATTATGCCTTCCCACCAGGCCCCTAAAGTCTTAACTCATTTCAGCATTAACTCAAAAGTCCAAGTCCAAAGTCTCATTTGAGACAAAGCAAGTACCTTCTGCCTATGAGCTGGTAAAATCAAAGCAGATAAGTTGCTTCCTAGGTACAATGGGGAGTACAGGCATTGGGTTAATACACCCATTCCAAATGGGAGAAATTGGCCAAAACAAAGGGGCTACAGGCCCCATGCAAGCCGAAAATCTAATAGGGCAGTCTTTAAACCTTATTGTTCCAAAATGACCTCCTTTGGCTCCATGTCTCACGTCCAGTTTACACAGATGCAAGAGGTGGGCTCCCATGGTCTTGGGCAGCTCTACCACTGTGGCTTTGCAGGATACAGCTTCCCTTCAGGCTGCTTTTAAGGGCTGGCATTGTGTCTGCAGCTTTTTCAGGCACACAAAGCAAGGTGTTGGTAGGTCTACCATTCTGGGGTATAGAGGATGGTGGGCATCTTCTAACAGCCACACTAGGGAGTGCCCCAGTGGGGACTCTGTGTGGGGGTTCCAACCCTACATTTCCCTTCCACACTGTCCCAGCAGAGATTCTGCATAAGGGCCCCATCCCTGCAGCAAGCTTCTGCCTAGAAAGTTCCATACATGTTCTGAAATCTTAGCGGAGGTTCCCAAACCTCAATTCTTTACTTCTGTGCATCTACAGGTTCAACACCACATGGAAGCTGCCAAGGCTCGCGGCTTGCAACCTCTAAAGCCATGGGGCAAGCTGTACCATGGCGTCTTTTAAAAATGGCTGGAGTGTCTGGGACTTGTAGCACCAAGTTTCTGGGCTACACACAGCAGGGGTCCCTGGGCCCAGCCCACAAAACCAGTACTTCTCTTAGGCCTCTTGTTTTGTGATGGGAGGGGCTGCCACAAAGGTCTCTGACATTCCCTGGAGACATTCTCTCCATTATCTTGGCAATTAACATTTGTCTTCTCATTACTTATGTAAATTTCTGCAGCTGGCTTGAATTTCTCCGCAGAATATGGGTTTCTTTTCTACTGTATCATCAGGCTGCAAATTTTTCAAACTTTTATGCACCACTTCTTCTTGAACACTTTGCCACTTAGAAATTTCTTCCACCAGATACCCTAAATTATCTTTCTCAAGTTCAAAGTTCCACAGATCTCCAGGGTAGGGGCAAAATGTCACCCAACTCTTTGTATAGCAACAGTGACCTTTACTCCAGCTCCCAACAAGTTCCTCATCTCCATCTGAGACCACGTCAGCCTGGACTTTATCATCCATATCACTATCAGCATTTTGTTCAAAGCTATTCAACAAGACTCTTGAAAGTTTCAAACTTTCCCACATCTTCCTATTTTCTGAGCCCTCCAAGTCTCTAGGAAGTTCCAAAGTTTCCCACATTTTTCTGTCTTCTTCTGAGCCATCCAAACAATTCCAACCTCTGCCTGTTACCAAATTCCAAGGTTGCTTCCCCATTTTGGGATATCTTTACAGCAGTGCCCCCTTACCTGGTACCTATTTACTGTAGTAGTCCAGTCTCACACTGCTAATAAAGACATACTCAAGACTGGTAATTTATAAAGGAAAGAGGTTTAATTGACTTGCAGTTCTGGAGGGCTGGGGAGGCCTGGGTAAACTTAAAATCACAGCAGAAGGGAAAGCAAACACATCCTTCTGCACATGGCAGCAGCAAGAAGAAGTGCCAAGCAAAGAGGGAGAAAAGCACCTTATAAAACCATCAGGTCTCATGAGAACTCACTCACTACGAGAACAGTGTGGAGATAACCATCCCCATAATTCAGTTACCTCTCACTGGGTCCCTTCCACGACATTTGGGGATGATGGGAACTATAGTTTAAGATGAGATTTGGGTGGGGACACAACCAACCCATAACACCAAGTATGACCCAAATGCCCCAAATGATAATTAAAAAAAAAAAATGGTGGAAGGATTTTTATTGCTTTGGGTTTATACCCAGTAATACAATTAATGGGCTGAATGGTAATTTTGTTTTACATTCTCTGATAAACCACCAGACTGCTTTCTACAATGGCAGAACTAATTTACAATCCCACCAGTAATGTATGAGTGTTCCCTTTTTTTCACCACCTTGTCAGTATCTGTTATTTTTTTACTTGTTAACAATAGCCATTCTAACTGGTGTGAGATGGTATCTCATTGTAGTTTTGATTTGTATTTCTCTAATAATTAGTGATGTTGAATCATAAGTGAGCCTATGGAACAGAAAATCAAATACCACATGTTCTCTCTTTTAAGTGGGAGCTAAACATTGAGTACATATGGACACAAATAAGGGAACAAGAGACACTGGGGTCTGCTTGTGGGTGGAGGGTGAGAGGAGGGTGAAGATACAAAGCTACCTATAAGTGACTATGATTATTACCTGGGTGACAATAAGTCTGTACACCAAACCTGCATAGCATACAATTTACCTACATAACAAACCTGCACATGTACCCGTGAACCTAAAATAAATGTTAAAACAAAGAAGATAAAGAAAAGGAACAAATAATAAAATATTTTAAAAACTGCATCACCAGAACTTATTTTAAGTGAAATTCAACAGCAAAAGATAAATTAGAAGAATTTCTAAGTCAGACACAGACATAGGCAAATGTCCTATGTATATAAAAAGCTCTTAAAAATTAACAAAAACACCACCAAATGCTGGCAAGAATGAGATAACAGGAATTTTCTTTCATTGCTGGAGGTAATATAAAATGGTACAGCCATGTTGGAAGACAGAGTCAAAGTTTTTTAAAAGCAAAAGATAGATTTACTGTATGATTAAGCAATCATGCTCCCAGATATTTACCTAAATTAATTGGAAACATGTCCACAAAAAAAAACCCTGCATTTGAATGTTAAAAAGTGGAAGCATTTAAGATGTCCTTTAATAGGTAAACAAATAATTGAACTGTGGTACATTCATACAATGGAATATTAGTCATCAATGTATTAGTCCATTCTCAGGATGCTATAAAGAACTACCTGAGACTGGGTAATTTATGAAGAAAACAGGATTAATTCATTCACAGTTCAACAGGCTTTACAGGTAGCATGACTGGGAGGCCTCAGGAAACTTACAGTCATGGCACAAGGCGAAGGGGAAACAAAGCATATCTTCTCATGGCAACAGGAGAGAGAGAGAGAGAGCGCAAAAGTGGAAGTACCACACACTTCTAAACCATCAGATCTCATAACTCACTCACTATCTTGAGACCAGAAAGGGGGAAATCCACCCCCCATAATCCAGTCATCTCCCACCAGGCCCCTCCTCCAATTTGGCATGATATTTGGGCAGAGACACAAATCCAAATCACATCAATCAATTAAAAAAAAATGAGCTATCAATCTACAAAAAGAAAGAAAGGAAAATTAAATGTGTAAATAAAAGAAGGCAGCCTACAAAGCTTCAGATTGTATAATTTTAACTGTATAACTTTGTAGAAAAGGCAAAACAATGGGCAATGAAAAGATCAGTTGTTTCTTGGGGCTCAGTGGGGAAAAGGAATGGATGAATAGGTCTGAATAGGTCTGACACAAGACATTTTTTGGGCTAGTGAAACTATTCTATATGATATTATAATGTTGCATCATAATATGCATTTGCCAAACCTTTGGAAATTTACAACATAGAAAGTGAACTCTAATGTAAAATATGGACTTAATAATGTATCGGTATTCTTTCATCATTTGGAACAAATGTGCTGTACTAATACAAGGGGTTAATGATAGGAGAAACTGTGCGTATGTTGGGCAGGGAGCCCTCCATACTTTCTGTACAGTTTTCTGTAAAACTAAAATTGCTATAAGATATAGGAACTAGTAAAGAAAAAAAATCATCAAACATTTTCCAAAAAAGTCACTAGAGGTTATGAAACATGAAAATATGAACATCATTTTTTTATTCATTGACAATAAGAGAATTGCAATTAAAAGTCACCCAGATTGTCAACAAAGGTGTTGATTGGAGATTGTGTTTGCAAAGTAAATGACTTTGAGCCAGTGGGAGTACTTCTAGGAATTTATCCTCTAGCAAGCTATATTCCCAAAATACTGAAAACAATGTAAATATCAATCAATAAGTTATCAAATAGTGACACATGCAGGCAAATGAATATTCTGAGTTCTTAAAAAAAGAAGAAACGAGATATGTATTTTCTAATATGGACCCTATTCACAATATATTGTTACATTAAAAAAAAGGACAAAGCAGGAAGAATACGTGGAGCATGCTATTGTTTATGTAAAGTGGGGAATGTTTCTTAGTTCAGGTGAAATCCCTGGAGAAAACTCCCTGGGTCAAATTTACTAGAACCTTCTCTTACTTAATATGTAAATTCACTATCAAACATTCCCAACAAGTAATGATCCAGCTTTTCCTGGAATTGTAGTAAAGCAGCATTCACTACCCCACATTCTCCTAACTTTAAGTCTTATTATATAAAATGTCTTCCTAAATGGTAGATTTTATTTCCACGAATAAAAGTATGGAAAGAAATAAAAAAGCAACACTTACTAAATTTACTTTAATGACATTATGTTAAGAAAGTGTTTATTTCTGTCTGTTTGTTTGCTTTTTGAGACTGAGTCTCGCTCTGTTGGCCAGGCTGGAGTGCAGTGGCGCAATCTCGGCTCACTGCAAGCTCTGCCTCCAGGATTCACACCATTCTCCTGCCTCAGCCTCCCAAGTAGCTGGGACTACAGGCGCCTGCCACCAGGCCCGGCTAATATTTTGTATTTTTAGTAGAGACGGGGTTTCACCGTGTTAGCCAGGATGGTCTCAATCTCCTGACCTCATGATACACCCGCCTAGGCCTCCCAGAGTGCTGGGATTACAGGTGTGAGCCACTGTGCCCGGCCGAAAGTGTTTATTTTTATTTGGAATTATAACTCATTTTAGGACAACTGTCAAGATGCTCCTCAGAATCTCCCCAAAGCAATGATCACCAAGTCCAAGCATTAACATCACATTTTAGGATAGCATTACTTTAGTTACTTTAGTTTCAGTATGAAAAGACTTCTAAAACAATTTTTTAAAAAACCCATATTAGTTTCTTTTCCTTTAGTGAAGGTTTTGGTAGAACTAAAAGGAAATGTGTGTGTGTGTGTGTGTGTGTGTGTGTGTGTTGTGTACACCCACACATATATATGTATGTGTGTATGTAAGTGGGAAGCAACAGAAGAGGTCAGAGGGATGTGATGTGAGAACGACTATGCATATTGTTGCCGGTTTTGAAGTTGAAGGAAACGGCCCAGAAGCCAAGGAATGTAGGTCGCCTCTAGAAGTGGGAAAAGACAAGGAAACAGGTTGTAGAGCTTACAGAAAAAAAATGCAGGGCTAGGCGCGGTGGCTTATACCTGTAATCTCAGCACTTTGGGAGGCCAAGGAAGGTGGATCACTTGAGGTCAGGAGTTAGAGACCAGCTTGGCCAACATGGTGAGACCCCGTCTCTACTAAAAAATACAAAAATTAGCCTGGCATGGTGGCAGGTGCCTGTAATCCCAACTACTCAGGATGCTGAGGTAGGAGAATCACGGGAACCTGGGAGGTGGACGTAGCAGTGAGCCAAGATCTTGCCACTGTAGTCTAGCATGGGCAACAGAGTGAGACTCCATCTCAAAAATAAATAAATAATAAAATAAAATAAAAAGATGCAGCTCTATCAATACCTTGATTTTAGCCAATTAAGGCAAGTGTTAGGCTTCTGACATCCAGTGCATGCTTCAAGCTTATCTCATACACCCTTTCTTCAAAAGTTTGCACCACTTCAGCCAGCTAGAAATAACCATCCCTCTTTACAACTCTCCTGGCATATTGTAGCTGACACATGGCCCTTACTACTTTTATTTTAGTCACCTGTGTTCACTGCTGGATTGGTTAAAGTGGACATTTTTAAAAGAGCAGTTATTTGCCAATTAATACAACAGTTAAATGGTTATCTTATGATTATTAAAGGACTTTATTTTTTAGAATAGTTTTAGAATCGCAGTACAATTGAGGAGAAAGCACAGAGATTTCCCATATCCTGCCTGCTCCCACACATGCATAGCCTTGCCCGTTATCAACATCTCCCATCAGGGTGGTAGATTTGTTACAATTGACAACCCATATTGACATATCTTTATCACTCATGGTCTGTTCCATTGGTCTATATCTCTGTTTTGGTACCAGTACCATGCTGTTTTGGTTACTGTAGCCTTGTAGTATAGTTTGAAGTCAGGTAGGGTGATGCCTCCAGCTTTGTTCTTTTGGCTTAGGATTGACTTGGTATGCAGGCTCTTTTTTGGTTCCATATGAACTTTAAAGTAGTTTTTTCCAATTCTGTGAAGAAAGTCATTGGTAGCTTGATGGGGATGGCATTGAATCTGTAAATTACCTGGGGCAGTATGGCCATTTTCACGATATTGATTCTTCCTACCCATAAGCAGGGAATGTTCTTCCATTTGTTTGTATCCACTTGTATTTCCTTGAGGAGTGGTTTGTAGTTCTCCTTGAAGAGGTCCTTCACATCCCTTGTAAGTTGGATTCCTAGGTATTTTATTCTCTTTGAAGCAATTGTGAATGGGAGTTCACTCATGATTTGGCTCTCTGTTTGTCTGTTATTGGTGTATAAGAATGCTTGTGATTTTTGTACATTGATTTTGTATCCTGAGACTTTGCTGAAGTTGCTTATCAGCTTGAGGAGATTTTGGGCTGAGACAATGGGGTTTTCTAGATATACAATCATGTCTTCTGCAAACAGAGACAATTTGACTTCCTCTTTTCCTAATTGAATACCCTTTATTACCTTCTCCTGCCTGATTGCCCTGGCCAGAACTTCCAACACTCTGTTGAATAGGAGTGGTGAGAGAGGGCATCCCTGTCTTGTGCCAGTTTTCAAAAGGAATGCTTCCAGTTTTTGCCCATTCAGTATGATATTGGCTGTGGGTTTGTCATAGATAGCTCTTATTATTTTGAGATATGTCCCATCAATACCTAATTTATTGAGAGTTTTTAGCATGAAGGGTTGTTGAATTTTGTCAAAGGCTTTTTCTGCATCTATTGAGATAATCATGTGGTTTTTGTCTTTGGTTCTGTTTATATGCTGGATTACATTTATTGATTTGCGTATATTGAACCAGCCTTGCATCCCAGGGATGAAGCCCACTTGATCATGTTGGATAAGCTTTTTGATGTGCTGCTGGATTCAGTTTGCCATTATTTTATTGAGGATTTTTGCATCAATGTTCATCAAGGATATTGGTCTAAAATTATCTTTTTTGGTTGTGTCTCTGCCTGGCTTTGGTATCAGGATGATGCTGACGTCATAAAATGAGTTAGGGAGGATTCCCTGTTTTTCTATTGATTGGAATAGTTTCAGAAGGAATGGTACCAGTTCCTCCTTGTACCTCTGGTAGAATTCAGCTGTGAATCCATCTGGTCCTGGACTCTTTTTGGTTGCTAAGCTATTGATTATTGCCACAATTTCAGAGCCTGTTATTGGTCTATTCAGAGATTCAACTTCTTCCTGGTTTAGTTTTGGGAGAGAGTACGTGTCGAGGAATTTATCCATTTCTTCTAGATCTTCTAGTTTATTTGCGTAGAGGTGTTTGTAGTATTCTCTGATGGTAGTTTGTATTTCTGTGGGATCGGTGGTGATATCCCCTTTATCATTTTTTATTGTGTCTATTTGATTCTTCTCTCTTTTTTTCTTTATTAGTCTTGCTAGCGGTCTATCAATTTTGTTGATGCTTTCAAAAAACCAGCTCCTGGATTCATTAATTTTTTGAAGGGTTTTTTGTGTCTCTATTTCCTTCAGTTCTGCTCTGATTTTAGTTATTTCTTGCCTTCTGCTAGCTTTTGAATGTGTTTGCTCTTGCTTTTCTAGTTCTTTTAATTGTGATGTTAGGGTGTCAATTTTGGATCTTTCCTGCTTTCTCTTGTGGGCATTTAGTGCTATAAATTTCCCTCTACACACTGCTTTGAATGCGTCCCAGAGATTCTGGTATGTTGTGTCTTTGTTCTCGTTGGTTTCAAAGAACATCTTTATTTCTGCCTTCATTTCGTTATGTACCCCGTAGTCATTCAGGAGCAGGTTGTTCAGTTTCCATGTAGCTGAGCGGTTTTGAGTGAGATTATTAATCCTGAGTTCTAGCTTGATTGCACTGTGGTCTGAGAGATAGTTTGTTATAATTTCTGTTCTTTTACATTTGCTGAGGAGAGTTTTACTTCCCAGTATGTGGTCAATTTTGGAATAGGTGTGGTGTGGTGCTGAAAAAAATGTATATTCTGTTGATTTGGGGTGGAGAGTTCTGTAGATGTCTATTAGGTTCGCTTGGTGCAGAGCTGAGTTCAATTCCTGGGTATCCTTGTTAACTTTCTGTCTCATTGATCTGTCTAATGTTGACAGTGGGGTGTTAAAGTCTCCCATCAGTATTGTGTGGGAGTCTAAGTCTCTTTGTAGGTCACTCAGGACTTGCTTTATGAATCTGGGTGCTCATGTATTGGGTGCATATATATTTAAGATAGTTAGCTCTTCTTGTTGAATTGATCCCTTTACCATTATGTAATGGCCTTCTTTGTCTCTTTTGATCTGTGTTGATTTAAAGTCTGTTTTATCAGAGACTAGGATTGCAACCCCTGCCTTTTTTTGTTTTCCATTTGCTTGGTAGATCTTCCTCCATCCCTTTATTTTGAGCCTTTGTGTGTCTCTGCATGTGAGATGGGTTTCCTGAATACCGCACACTGATTGGTCTTGACTCTTTATCCAATTTGCCAGTCTGTGTCTTTTAATTGGAGCATTTAGTCCATTTACATTTAAAGTTAATATTGTTATGTGTGAATTTGATCCTGTCATTGTGATGTTAGCTGGTTATTTTGCTCATTAGTTGATGCAGTTTCTTCCTAGCCTCGATGGCCTTTACAATTTGGCATGATTTTTCAGTGGCTGGTACTGGTTGTTCCTTTCCATGTTTAGTGCTTCCTTCAGGAGCTCTTTTAGGGCAGGCCTGGTGGTGACAAAATCTCTCAGCATTTGCTTATCTGTAAAGTATTTTATTTCTCCTTCACTTATGAAGCTTAGTTTGGCTGGATATGAAATTCTGGGTTGAAAATTCTTTTCTTTAAGAATGTTGAATATTGGCCCCCATGCTCTTCTGGCTTGTAGAGTTTCTGCTGAGAGATCAGCTGTTAGTCTGATGGGCTTCCCTTTGTGGGTAACCTGACCTTCCTCTCTGGCTGCCCTTAACATTTTTTCCTTCATTTCACCTTTGGTGAATCTGACAATTATGTGTCTTGGAGTTGCTCTTCTCGAGGAGTATCTTTGTGGTGTTCTCTGTATTTCCTGAATCTGAATGTTGGCCTGCCTTGCTAGATTGGGGAAGTTCTCCTGGACAACATCTTGCAGAGTGTTTTCCAACTTGGTTCCATTCGCCCTGTCACTTTCAGGTATACCAATCAGACGTAGATTTGGTCTTTTCACATAGTCCCATATTTCTTGGAGGCTTTGTTCGTTTCTTTTTATTCTTTTTTCTCTAAACTTCCCTTCTCGCTTCATTTCATTCATTTCATCTTCCATCACTGATACCCTTTTTTCCAGTTGATCGCATCGGCTCCTGAGGCTTCTGCATTCTTCACGTAGTTCTCGAGCCTTGGCTTTCAGCTCCATCAGCTCCTTTAAGCACTTCTCTGTATTGGTTATTCTAGTTATACATTCGTCTAAATTTTTTTCAAAATTTTCAACTTCTTTGCCTTTGGTTTGAATTTCCTCCTGTAGCTCAGAGTAGTTTGATCGTCTGAAGCCTTCTTCTCTCAACTCGTTGAAGTCATTCTCCATCCAGCTTTGTTCCGTTGCTGGTGAGGAACTGCGTTCCTTTGGAGGAGGATTGGCGCTCTGCTTTTTAGAGTTTCCAGTTTTTCTGCTCTGTTTTTTCCCCATCTTTGTGGTTTTATCTACTTTTGGTCTTTGATGATGGTGATGTACAGATGGGTTTTTGGTGTGGATGTCCTTTCTGTTTGTTAGTTTTCCTTCTAACAGACAGGACCCTCAGCTGCAGGTCTGTTGGAGTTTGCTAGAGGTCCACTCCAGACCCTGTTTACCTGGGTATCAGCAGCGGTGGCTGCAGAAGAGCAGATTTTCGTGAACCGAGAGTGCTGCTGTCTGATCATTCCTCTGGAAGTTTTGTCTCAGAGGAGTACCCGGCTGTGTGAAGTGTCAGTCTTCCCCTACAGGGGGTGCCTCCCAGTTAGGCTGCTCAGGGGTCAGGGGTCAGGGACCCAGTTGAGGAGGCAGTCTGCCCGTTCTCAGATCTCCAGCTGCGTGCTGGGAGAACCACTGCTCTCTTCAAAGCTGTCAGACAGGGACATTTAAGTCTGCAGAGGTTACTGCTGTCTTTTTGTTTGTCTGTGCCCTGCCCCCAGAGGTGGAGCCTACAGAGGCAGGCAGGCCTCCTTGAGCTGTGGTGGGCTCCACCCAGTTCGAGCTTCCCAGCTGGTTTGTTTACCTAAGCAATCCTGGGCAATGGCGGGCGCCCCTCCTCCAGCCTCGCTGCCACCTTGCAGTTTGATCTCAGACTGCTGTGCTAGCAATCAGGGAGACTCCGTGGGTGTAGGACCCTCCGAGCCAGGTGCGGGATATAATCTCCTGGTGCGCCGTTTTTTAAGCCCGTCAGAAAAGCGCAGTATTAGGGTGGGAGTGACCCGATTTTCCAGGTGCCGTCTGTCACCCCTTTCTTTGACTAGGAAAGGGAGCTCCCTGATCCATTGCCCTTCCTGAGTGAGGCAATGCCTCACCCTGCTTTGGCTCACGCACGGTGTGCTGCACCCACTGTCCTGTGCCCACTGTCTGGCACTCCCTAGTGAGATGAACCCGGTACCTCAGATGGAAATGCAGAAATCACCAGTCTTCTGCGTCGCTCATGCTAGGAGCTGTAGCCCGGAGCTGTTCCTATTCGGCCATCTTGGCTGCTCTCCGATGATGTCTTTATTTCAACTTGACTTTTGAGAGATAATTGCACAGGGTACATAATTGTAAGTTGGAGGTGTTTTTCTCTCAACACTTTGAATATTTCAGTCCACTCTCTTCTGGAGTGCATGGTTTCTGAAGAGAAGTCTGATGTAATCTTTTGCTCCTCTATACATAAGGTTTGTTTTTTTTCTGGCTTCTTACAGGATGTTTTCTTCATCTTTGATTTTCTACAGTCTGAAAATAACAAAACTATGCATAATTTTTCTGGCAATTTTCCTTCTTGGTGTTTTCTGAGCTTCCTGGGTCTGTAGTTTAGTGTCTGACATTCATTCAAGAAAAATTTTCAGTGCTTTTTAGTTCAAATATTTATTTTGTTCCTTTCTTTCTCCCTTTCAAGTATTTCCATTATACACACGTAGTTATCACAAAGTTCTTGGCTATCCTTTTTTTTTTTCCTCTAGTCTTACTTTTCTTTGCTTTTAATTTTGGAGGTTTGTATTGGGATATACTTAGAGATAGTTTCCTCAGCTGTAATCTACCTAACAATAAAAAAATTAAGGTATTTGTCATATCTGTTACAGTATTTTTTAATCTTTAGTGATTCTTTTTGGCTCTTAGAATTTTTATCTCCTTGCTTACATTGCTCCCCTGTTCTTGCATGCTCTCTACATTATTCATTAGAGCCCTTAGCAAATTAATAATAGTTGTTTTAAATTTCCATTTTGATAATTCCAACGTCCGTTATATACCTGGATCTGGCTTTAAGTCTTATTCTTTTCAGACTGTGTTTATTGCCTTTTAGTATGAGACTTGCAATTTTTTCTTGACAGCCAGACAAAATGTACTGGGTAAAAGGAATGGCTGTATTTAAGGGTTTATTAATGTGGTGTAAGGTGCTGGAGAAAAAGTAGCATTCAACAGTTCTATGATAAGGTCTCAATCTTTTACCGAGCCTGTACCTGTGGATTGTGAACTTCGAACTTCCTTCTCAGTTTCTGTCTCCTGCCCTTATGTAGAATGAGAGGGTTTGAGAGGTCTGGAGATGTATATTTTTCTCCATCCCAGAGGAAGGCTAGAGAAAGCCGGAGTTTAGTTTCTGTAGCTTTGCATTTAAATAAAAAAAAAACAATAGGAAAGTTTTTTATTCCCCAATGAAAAGAATAAACAGAATTGCTTTCTTAATATTTGTATGTATAACTTCTGTTTTTTTTTTCTTTTAAGGTCTGCATACTGGGGAGAAAAAAATGTAAAATATTTTACACAATTTAATAATCTATTTTCTTTATTCTCTTTTCACAGAAGAGCCTTCTTCGGCTTGAAGGTAGCCCTAATATTTCCAGTACTTGTTTTACTTACTGTATTTATTTTTGTTGTAAGGAAAAAATCCCATGGAAAGGATACCAAAGTATTAGAAAATGAAAGACAAGTAATGGATGAAGCAAACTTAGAATTCTTAAACGACAGTGAACATTTTGTACCTTCTGCTGAAGAACAGTAAAGCATGTAATTAAGAGGAGGAAAAAAATAATTTTGCTGCTGTTTCCAACTAATGTATTGATTCCATAAGACGTTATTTTTGTGGTGTTCTGAGTCTTTTCACTGAGAATTCCCACATTCTTCACTTATGATGCAACAATGAATAAGCCTATGAATTTATAATGAAACAAACTATAAAAAATGGTACCCATGGTTAGGACATAGCTACACAAGCATTTGTAGTTTAGAATATATAATTCATAAAAATTTGAAGTGAGAGGAATAGTTAATATGTAATAGAAGAAAAAGTACTTGCTCAGGTAGTTGTAACTCTTAATAAAACCAATGACTAGAATACAAGTGGAAGTAAAAAGGTGGAGATAGATTAATAGCCTAAATAACGAGAGAACCTTATGCCTTTTTTAAAACAAAACAAAACCATTGAGACATTTTACTTAGTCCTAAAATCTAGCCTGGATTTATGCTATAATGATATCTATTTTTCATGTTAAATTGTACATTACTCAGAAATTATAAATATTATTACTTTATAATTTGAAATTGTGTTTGCTAGCCACCTTGATGTATTTTCTTCCAAACTCCCATTAAGATACTATTGAAAAAATAGAAATAGTCAAATATTTGCAAGGTATAATTGTTAGGCAACATATTATAGCATGTGTTAAGTTTCTGCTAGGCCTATGGAAATTTTTTTTTTTATTTTTGTTCCATTTTTATTCACTTTGAGGAAGTGTTGCCTTTTTTTTTGATGTACTTAAATGGCTAAAATAAAAAAGACAATCACAAGAAAAAAAAAGAAGAAAAAATAAAAATGAAAATAAAAATAAAATATCCATCAATTTTAATTTCACTCCAGTTAGAGAAAGTAAAAGCTCTGGTCTTAGATACATCTCTTGTATTTCATCTGTAGTGAGAAGAAAGAACACTCTTCATTGGCAATTATCAAATTATTTGTTTGAAGAGCATTTTTCCACATTCAGCTCCCCATCTTCTTGCATAAGGAAATGGTTTAAGAAAAGCTGACTTTGACTTGAGAAACAAAATCCATTGATAAGATGTGTCTTCATTGCATCTGTCTGTTCTCTGGGAGAAATAAAATCTGTGTCACTCTCTTGCATACTTGTTTGTTGGTTCATCATGCACAAAAAGATATCTTCCAGATCTCTACAAGCCAGGCAAGAAATAGGGAAAATGAGATCAAATATTGAAATATTGCATTTTCTAGTAGGAACAACTCTACTGTAATGAATGCTAGAGGTTGTAGTTTCTTATTCTTAATTGATTTAAATTTTTTTTGTATCAGAGTCAAGTGTAAAAATATATTTTCAACAAATATAATTATAGACCTACTTTAGAGATTCTGAATTCAAGCATTTGTGATATAGCTTGGACATCTTTAAAAAATTCCACATGATGTTAGTATTCCTTGATAGACAGAAAGCCATGTGATAAGACAAGGTATGCCTGAGTATAGCAAAGTCACACAAAATAAATATTACTAGAATCTGGGAAATGGCCTGAAAGTTATATATATACATACACAAATACCTATATATGTAATTTCCTATATATATACACACACACACATAAATGTAACTTCATATATATACACACACATATATATACACACACACATATATATGTAACTTCTGGTGTGTGTGTCTATGTATATATACACACACACATATACATACACACTTATATAAAAAAGTATTAATTTATATAATTAATATATGTATTAATGTTTCCCCAGTCTGTAAACTGGAGAAAAGATACATTAATTACACAAACAGAAACTTGAGGAAAACCACACATTTGCTAGGTTTGTAGGTGTCATATAAAAAATCTGATGGGATCATACACACGCACACATAAACACACATACACATATAATTGTACATATTTATGGAATACAATTTGATGTTTCAGTACATGTATACACTGTGTAATGATCAAATAATGGTTATTAGCATATTGATTACCTTACACATTTATCATTTCTTTATCGTGAGTACATTCAAAATCCTCTCTTCTAGCTTTTTGAAAGATACATTATTGTCAGCTATAGTCACCCTACTATACAGCAACTTATTCCTCCTACCTAACTTTAACATTTTACCATTAAAAAACCTCTCCCCATCTTCCACTTCCCGTTTTTCCCATCTTTGATAACCACTATTCCATTCTCAATGCCGTTGAGATCAATTTGTTTAGATTCTTCACATGAATGATACCATGCAGTATTTTTCTTTCTATACCTAGCTTATTTCCCTTGACACAATGTTCTCCAGGCTCAACTATTTTATTGAAAATGACAGGATTTCATCTTTTTTTGTGGCCGAATGGAGTTCATTATGCATATCTACCTCACATTTTCTTTATTCTTTTCTCTGTTGATGACATTTAGGTTGATTCCATGCCTTGGATAATATGAATACATGCCTTGGATAATATGAACAGTGCTGCAATAAACATGAAAGTGCAGAATGACTCTTCAACATATTTATTTCATTTTCTTTGGCCATATACCCAGTAGTGGGATTGCTGGATCATATGATAGATCTATTTTTAAATTTTTGAGGAGCTTCCATACTGTTTTTCATAACCCCTGTACTAATTTACATTAACAACTGTGTATAAAACTTTCCCATTCTCCACAGTATTGCCAGCATTTTTTTTTTTTTTTTTTTTTTTTGCCTTTTTGATGCTATCCATTCTGTCTGGGATGAGGTGATATCTCATTTTGGCTTCTATTTGCATTTCGCTGATTGTTAGTGATATTGAGCATTTTTTTCATATAACTGTTGGCCGTTTCTATATCTTCCTTGGAAAAATGTCTTTGCCCATTTTTAAATTAGGTTTTTCCTATTGAATTGTTTGAGTTCCTTATAAATTCTTTATATTAATCTCTTGTCAGATGTAAAATTTGCAAATATTTTCTCCCATTCTGTAGGTTTTCTCCTTAGTCTGTTGATTGCTTCCTTTGCCATGCAGAAATTTTTTAGTTTGATGTAATTACTCTATTTTTGCTTTTGTTGCCTGTGTTTTTGAGATCTCGCCTAATAAATCCTTGCCAAGACTGAAGTTATGTAGCATTTCTTCTTGTATTATTCTAGTACTTTCATAGTTTCAGATCTTACATTTAACTCTTTAGTCTATTTTGAATGGAATTTTGTATGTGGTGAGAAATAGAGGTCTAGCTTTATTCTATTGTATGTGGATATTCAGTTTTCCTAACACCATTTGTTGAAGAGACCGAGCTTTCTTCAATTTGTGTTTTTGGCATCTTTTTTGAATCTTTTGGTTGTCAATGCATTAATTTATTTCTGGGATCTCTGTTTGGTTACACTGAACTTTTTGTCTTTTCTAATTTTTTTTGGCCAATACAATGCTGTTTTCATTACTATAGCTTTGTAGTATATTTTTAAGGCAATTAGTGTGAGGTCTCTAGCTTTATCCTTTTGCTCAGAATTACTTTAGTTATTCAGAGTCTTTTGTGGACCTCCAGTAATATGTTGAGTAGGTCCAGTAAGAGTGGGGAGCTTCACATTGTTCCCGATCTTAGAGGAAAAGCTTTCAACAACTCCTCATTCAGCATTACGCTGCCTGTGGATTTGTCATATATGGCCTCTGTTATGTTGAAGTATGTTATTTCTGTACCTAATTGGTTGAGAGTTTTTATTATGAAGAGGTGTTAAATTTTGTCAAATGCATCTGCATTTATTGAAATGATCATATAATTTTTATCTGATTCTATTGATGTAATGTATCATGCTTATTGATTCACATATGTTGAAATATCATGGCATCTCTGATATGAATCCCAGTGAATTTTTTTAATATGTTGTTAAACTTGGTTTACTAGTATTTTGTTGACAATTTCTACATTTAAATTCATCAGGGATATTGACCTCAAGTATTTGTATTGCTGTTATGTCTTTCTCTGGTTTTGGAATCAGTGTAATTATGGCTTCATATAATAAGTTTGAAAGAGTTCCCGCCTTTTCAATTTTTTTGGAACAGTTTGTGAAAAATTGTATTAGTTCTTTTAAAAATATTTTCTAGAATTTAGCAATGACACCATCATGTCCTGGACTTTCTTTTCATGGAAGAGTTTATTCCTGCTTCAAATCTCATTACTCATTATTTGTTTGTTCATATTTTCTACTTCTTAGTGCAATCTTGGCAGGTTTGATAAATTGCTTGTATTTCTATAGTTTTTGGGTTACAGGCAGATTTTGGTTACATGAATAATTTCTTTAGTGATGATTTCTGAGATTTTCATGTACCTGGCACCTGAGTTGTGTATACTGTACCCAATATGTAGTCTTTATCTCTCACCCGTCCTCCCAACCTGCCCCACCCTTGGTAGGTTTTTGTGATTAGGAACTTATTCATTTCTTCTAGATTTTTCATATTGTTGGCATATCATAGTAGTTTCTTATGATCTTTTGTATTTCTGTGGTATCAGATGTAATGCCTTCTTTTTTATCTCTGCTTTTATTTATTTTACTCCTCTCTTTTTTTCTTGGTTAGTCTTGCTAAAAGTTTGTCGATTTCATTTATCTTTTCATAAAATCAGCTTTCTATTTTGTTTATCTTTTCTATTGTTTTTAAGTCTCGATTGTACTCTGATCTTTATTATATCTTTTCTTCTCCTAATTGTGAGTGTAGTCTATTCTTGCTTTTCTATCCTTGAGATCCCTCATTTGGTGGTTCATTTGAGAGCTTTTTTCTTTTTTTCATGTAGATATCTATTGCTATAGACCTCCTTCTAATGACTGGTTTTGCTGTATTTCATAAGTTTTATTTAGTATTTTGTGTTTTTATTTTCTTTTGTCTCTAGAAATTTTTTAAATTTTTCTTTCAATTTGTTCATCAATTTATTGGTTGTTTAGAAGCATGTTGTTTAATTTCCATGTATATGTAGCATTTCAGATCTCCTCCTATTGTTGATTCCTCGTTTACTTCATTTTCATGAAAAATGATATTTGATATGATTTTAATTTCTTGAATTTGTTAAGACTTTTTTAGTAGACTAACATATGATCTGTCCTGTAGAAAATACCACGTCCAGTGTAGAAGAATGTGTATTATTCAGCTGTTGGATGGAATGTTCTTTTAATGTCTGTTAGGTCCATTTGGTCTAGAGTGCAGTTTAAATCTGATGTTTTCTCCTTGGTTTTCTGTAAATAATCTGTCCACTGCAGAAAGCAGGGTGTTGAAATTCCCTACTGTTATTGTATTACTGTGTATCTCTCCCTTTAGATTGATTAATGTATCCTTCATGTATTTAAATGCTTTGATGGATGTTGGTTGTGTATGTATTCATGATTGTTATATGCTTTTATTAATCCTTTTATCATTATATAGTAGCCTTGTTTATCTCTTTATATATTTTTTACTTGAGATTTATTTTATCTGTTATAAGTATAGCTACTCTTGCTTTGTTTTGGTTTTTATTTGTATGAGTATCTTTTTTTCACTCATTCACTTTCAGTATATGCATGTCTGTACAGGTGAAATGAGTGTCTTGTAGGGAAAATATAGTTGAGCCTTGTTATTTTTATCCACTCCATCAAATTTATGTCTTTCAACTGCAGAATTCAGTCTATATATATTCAATGTGATTATTGAAAGTAAGACCTTACTACTGCCAGTTTGCTGCTCCTTTTTGAGCTGTAATTTTGTACATTTTAATAAATCTCCTCCTATTCCTCCTTTCTCCTTACCCTTTCCAGTCTAGTATCCTCTTTTTTACTTTTTACTTTTATGAGATCAACTTTTTTAAGCTTTTACATATGAGTGAAAACATGTGGTGCAAAACATTCTGCTCCTGGCTTACTTCATTTAATACAATGTTGTCCAATTCCATTTGTGTTGCTGTGAATGACAAGATTTCATTCTTTATTATAGCTAAATAGTATTCTCTACATCTCTCTAAATATGCAGATTTTTTCTTTCTTTCTTTCTTCCTTCCTTCTTTCTTTATATATATATATATTTTATTATGCTTTAAGTTCTAGGGTACATGTGCACAAAGTGCAGGTTTGTTACATATGTATATATGTGCCATGTTGGTGTGCTGCACCCATTAACTCGTCATTTACATTAGGTATATCTCCTAATGCTATCCCTCCCCCCTCCCCCCACCCCACAACAGGCCCTGGTGTGTGATGTTCCCCTTCCCATGTCCAAGTCTTCTCATTGTTCAATTCCCACCTATGATTGAGAACATGCAGTGTTTGGTTTTTTGTCTTTGCGATAGTTTGCTGAGAATGATGGTTTCCAGCTTCATCCATGTCCCTACAAAGGACATGAACTCATCATTTTTTATGGCTGCATAGTATTCCATGGTGTATATGTGCCACATTTTCTTAATCCACTCTATCATTGATGGATATTTGGGTTGGTTCCTTTGCTATTGTGAATAGTGCCACAATAAACATATGTGTGCATGTGTCTTTATAGCAGCATGATTTATATTTCTTTGGGTATATACCCAGTAATGGGATGGCTGGGTCAAATGGTATTTCTAGTTCTAGATCCCTGAGGAATCACCACACTGTCTTCCACAATGGTTGAACTAGTTTACAGTCCCATCAACAGTGTAAAAGTGTTCCTATTTCTCCACATCCTCTCCAGCACCTGCTGTTTCCTGACTTTTTAATGATCACCATTCTAACTGGCGTGAGATGATATCTCATTGTGGTTTTGATTTGCATTTCTCGATGGCCAGTGATGATGAGCACTTTTTCATGTGTCTGTTGGCACATAAATGTCTTCTTTTGAGAAGTGTCTGTTCATATCCTTTGCCCTCTTGTTGATGGGGTTGTTTGTTTTTTTTCTTGTAAATTTGTTTGAGTTCTTTGTAGATTCTGAATATTAGCCCTTTGTCAAATGAGTAGATTGCCAAAATTTTCTCCCATTCTGTAGGTTGCTTGTTCACTCTGATGGTAGTTTCTTTTGCTGTGCAGAAGCTCTTTAGTTTAATTAGATCCCATTTGTCAATTTTGACTTTTGTTGCCGTTGCTTTTGGTGTTTTAGTCATGAAGTCCTTGCCCATGCCTATGGCCTGAATGGCATTGCCTAGGTTTTCTTCTAGGGTTTTTATGATTTTAGGTCTAACATGTAAGTCTTTAATCCATCTTGAATTAATTTTTGTATAAGGTGTAAGGAAGGGATCCAGTTTCAGCTTTCTACATATGGCTTGCCAGTTTTCCCAGCATCATTTATTAAATAGGGAATCCTTTCCCCATTGCTTGTTTTTCTCAGGTTTGTCAAAGATCAAATAGTTGTAGATAGGCGGCACTATTTCTGAGGGCTCTGTTCTGTTCCATTGGTCTATATCTCTGTTTTGGTACCAGTACCATGCTGTTTTGGTTACTGTAGCCTTGTAGTATAGTTTGAAGTCAGGTAGGGTGATGCCTCCAGCTTTGTTCTTTTGGCTTAGGATTGACTTGGTGATGCGGGCTCTTTTTTGGTTCCATATGAACTTTAAAGTAGTTTTTTCCAATTCTGTGAAGAAAGTCATTGGTAGCTTGATGGGGATGGCATTGAATCTGTAAATTACCTTGGGCAGTATGGCCATTTTCACGATATTGATTCTTCCCATCCGTGGGATGCAAGGCTGGTTCAACATACGCAAATCAATAAATGTAATCCAGCATATAAACAGAACCAAAGACAAAAACCACATGATTATCTCAATAGATGCAGAAAAGGCCTTTGACAAAATTCAACAGCCCTTCATGCTAAAAACTCTCAATAAATTAGGTATTGATGGGACGTATCTAAAAGTAATAGCTATTTATGACAAACCCACAGCCAATGTCATACTGAATGGGCGAAAACTGGAAGCATTCCCTTTGAAAACTGGCACAAGACAGGGTTGCCCTCTCTCACCACTCCTATTCAACATAGTGTTGGAAGTTCTCGCCAGAGCAATCAGTCAGGGGAAAGAAATCAAGGGTATTCAATTAGGAAAAGAGGAAGTCAAATTGTCTCTGTTTGCAGATCACATGATTGTATATCTAGAAAACCCCATTGTCTCAGCCGAAAATCTCCTCAAGCTGATAAGCAACTTCAGCAAAGTCTCACGATACAAAATCAATGTGCAAAAATCGCAAGCATTCCTATACACCAATAACAGACAAACAGAGAGCCAAATGATGAGTGAACTCCCATTCACAATTGCTTCAAAGAGAATAAAATACCTAGGAATCCAACTTACAAGGGATGTGAAGGACCTCTTCAAGGAGAACTACAAACCACTGCTCAACGAAATAAAAGAGGACCCAAACAAATGGAAGAACATTCTTTTCTTTCTCTTTCTTTCTTTCTTTCTTTCTTTCTTTCTTTCTTTCTTTCTTTCTTTCTTTCTCTTTCTTTCTTATTTTCTTTCTTTCTTTCTCTTTCTTTCTCTTTCTTTCTATCTTACATTTTCTTTATCTGTTCATCTATTGTTGAACACTGAGGTTGATGTCATATTTTGGCTATTATGAATAGGAATAAGATAAATATCAAGGTGCAGATGTCTCCTCAATATTGTGATTTCATTTTCTTTGGATAAATTCCCAGTAGGGGTGTTGCTAGATCATAAGGCTTTTCCGTTGTAGTTTATTGAGGAACCTCCATACTGTTCCCTTTGTGGCTGTGCTAGTTTACATTACTATCAATAGTGTGTAAGAATTCTCTTTACTCTGCATACCTGCCATCATTTTTTTTTTTTTTGCGTGTTTTTTTTTATGATAGCCATTCTAACTAGAGTGAGATGTTACCTCTGGGTGTTTTTTATTTGCACATCTCTTTTAAGTAGTGATGTTGATCATTTAAAAGATATATTTGTTAGCAATTTGTATGTCTTCTTTTGAGCAATGTCTGTACAAACTCTTTGCCCCCTTTTTAAAATTAAATTGCTTGTCTGTGCTGTTGAGCTGTTTGAGTTCCTTGTATATTCTGGATAATAACCACCTGTTGAATCAGTAGCTTGAAAATATTTTCTCACATTTTGTAGACTGGCTCTTTACCCTGTTGATTATTTTGTTTGCTGTATAGAAGCTTTTTAGTTTGTTATAATCTCATTTATTCATTTTTGCTTTTGTTGCCTGTGCTTTAAAAGTCTTACTCATAAAATCTTTCACAGACCAATGTCCTGAAAAATTTCCCCCATGATTTCTTATAGTAGTTTTGTTCCTTCAGGTATAACATTTAGTACTATGACCCATTCTTAATTGATTTTTGTATAAAGTAAGAGATAGGAGCCCTGTTTCATTATTCTGCATATGTATATTCAGTTTTATCAGCACTATTATCTAACAGACTAACCTTGCCGCAATGAATGTTCTTGGCATCTTTGTCAAAAAAACAGTTGGCTTTAAATATGTGAATTAATTTCTGGATTTTGTATTCTGTTTCACTGGCCTGTGTATTGTGCTGTTTTGATTACCACAGCTTTATAGTATATTTTGAGGTATGATAGTTTAATGACTCTAGCTTTTTACTTTTTGCACAATACTGCTTTGGTGATTTGAGGACTTTGTGATTCTGTAAAAATTTTAGAATTTTTTTCCATTTCTGTGAAGAATGTTGTTGGCATTTTGATATAAATTGCATTAATCTGAAGACCGCTTTGGGTAGTAGTGTCATTTTAACAATATTGATTCTTCTGATTTATGAACACAGAATGTCTATTTATTTGTATCCTCTTCAATATTTTTCATCAGCATTTTGCACTTTTTCCTGTAGAGGTTTTCACTTCTTTGCCAAAATTTATTCATAGGTCTTTTTCTGAGCTACAGTAAATAGGTTTATCTTTTTTATTTCTTTTTCAGCTAGTTCATTATTCATGTATAGAAATGCCACTAATTTTTTGTATATTAATTTTGTGTAGAGTCTCTAGATTGTCTATATATGAGATCAGGTCATCTGCAAAAATGGACAACTTGACTTCCTCTCTTCCAATTTAAATGCCCTTCTTTTTCTTTTGCTTATTTGCTCTGGCTAGAAATTCCAGTATTGTGTTGATTAAGAATGGTGAGAGTGGACATACTCGTTCCATTGCTTAGAGAAAAATCTCCCAGATTTCTATTACTTAGGAAATAGTTAGATGTGGGTTTTTCATATATGACCTTTAGTATATTGATGTATTTTTCTTCTACACATAATTTATTAGGAATTTTTATCATGAAGGAATATTGAATTTAGTCAACAGCATTTTCTGTATTAAGACGATCACATGATTTTCGTTCTACTGATAAGACCTTATTGATTCACATATTTTGAATCATCCTTGCATTCCTTTGATAAATCTCACACAGTCATTGTATATTATTTTTCGATGTGTTGTTGAATTAAGTTTTCTAGTATTTTATTGAGTATTTCTGCATCTATGTTTGTCAGGAATACTAGCCTGTAGTTTCCTTATTTCCTGGTGTCCTGATTGGGTTTTGATTATAGTGTTATGCTGACCTCATAGAATGAGTTAGGAAAAATTCCTTCTGCCTCACATTTTTATAATAGTTTGATAATAATGAGTTAATTCTTCTTAAAAAGAATGGTACCAGTAGAAACCAGTAGAATTCAACAGTGAAGCTATACAGTCCTCAACCTGTATTTGTTGAAAGTCTTTTTATTACTAATTCAACCATGTTACTTGCTTTTGGCCTGTCAGATTTTCTATTCCTTCTTCATTCAATCATGATAGGTTGTGAGTCAAAAATTTATCAATTTTCTCTGGGTTTTCAAATTTATTGGAAACAAATAGTGCTTCAGAGTATCTTCTAATGATTCTTCATATTTCTATGGTAGCTGTTATAAAGTTTCCTTGTTTATTTCTGATTTTATTTATTTGGGTCTTTTTTTCTTAATCTAGTTAATGGTTTGTCAATTTTCATTTTCTTTTTATAGAACCAGCATTTTTATGTTAATCTTTTCTATTTTTTTTACACTCTTTGTCAATTAGTTCTGCTCTGATCTTAATTATTTCTTTTCTTATATTAATTTTGGGTGTGGTTGGATTTTTTTGAGTTGATTGAGGTGTACACTCAGGTTTTTATTTGAAATCTTTCTAGGTTTTTGATGTAGGCCTTTATTGCAACTTGCCTTTTAATGCCGATTGTACTGTGTCTCATAGATTTTGGTATATTGTGTTTCTATTTTCATTTGTTTTAAAGAATTTTTAAAATTTTATTAATTTCTTCACTCATTGGTCATTCAAGAACATGCTGTTTACTTTCCACTTATTGTATAGTTTTTAATGTTACTCTTATTATAATGTTAGTTTTATTTTATATGGTCAGATAAGTTACCTAACATGAATTTGATTTTTTGTAATTTTTGAGACTTGTTTTGTGTCCTAACATATTTCTATCCTGGAGATTTTTCCATGCACTGATTAAAAGAATATGCATTCTTCAACTATTGGGTAAAGTTTTTTGTAAATATCTAGTAGGACCATTTATTTATGATGAAATTTATTTATTTTAATTTCCTTTTGAAATTTTAGATTCAGAGGTACATGTGTAGGTTTGCTACAAGAGTGTATTATCTGGTGCTGAGGGTTGGGCTTCTATAGATTCTGTCACCCAGATAAAGAAAATATTATCCCAAAGGAAGATTTTTTGTCCCTTGTCCCCATCTGTCTCTCCCTCTGCTTGGAGTCCCCACTGTCTATTTTTCTCATGTTTATGTCTGTGGAAATGTAAGATTTAGCTCCCACTTATAAGTGGAAACATGTGTTTCTTACTTAGTTTGCTTAGGATAATAGCCTCCAGCTGCACCCATATTGCTACTCAGTACATGATTTTATTCTTTCATATGTCGTGTAGTATTCCATAATGTATTCATACCACATTTTCTTTATCCAATCCACCATTGATGGACACCTAAGTTCATTCCATTCTCTGCTATTGTGAATAGTTCTGCAAGGAACATGAGTGCCTGTGTCTTTTTTATAGAATGATTTATTTTCCTTTGAATATATACCTAGTAATGGGATTACTGGGTCAATTGGTAGTTCTTTAAGAAATATTCGATCTGCTTTCCACAGAAGCTGCACTAATTTGCAATCCCAACAACAATGTGTAAGTGTTCCCTTCTCCCATAACCTCACCAAAGCCTGATATTTTTTGACTTTTAAATAATAATAATTCTGACAGGTGTGAAATCATATCTCCTTGTGGTTGTGATTTTCATCTCTCTGGCAATTAGTTATAATTTTTTATTTTTTTATTTTTAGTGGCTGCTTCTATGTCTTCTTTAGAAAAATGTCTGCTCATATCCTTTGCTCACTTTTCAGTTGGGTTTTTGTGTTGTGATTTATTTAAGTTGCTAATAAACACTGAATATTAGTCCTTTGTTGGATGTGTAGTATGGAGATTTTTTTTCGTATCTTGTGGGTTGCCTGTTTGCTCCATTTACAGTTTCTTTTACTGTTTAGGAGCTCTTTGGCTTAAATTCTAATTGTTTATTTTTTATTTTGTTGCACTTGCTTTTGGGATCTTTATCATAAATTATTTTCCTATCCAGTATCTAGATAAATACTTCCTAGGTTTTCTTCTAGAGTATTTTTAGTTTGAGGTCTTACATTTAATTATTTAATTCATCTTGAGTTTACTTTTATATATACTGAGAGGTAGGGGTCCGATACTATTCTTTTGCATCTGATTAGCCAATTTTCCCAGCACCATTTATTGAATATGGTGTCCTTTCTCCATTGTTGATTTTTGTCAACTTTTTCAGAGATGAATTTGTTGTAGACAAGCAGCTTTATTTCAGGGATCTCTGTTCTGTTCCATTGGTCTATGTGTTTATTTTGTACCAGTACCATGCTGTTTTGATTACCATATTCTTAGAGTGTAGTATGAAGTCATGTAGTGTGATGTCTCTTTCTTTGTTCTTTTTGCATTTACTATTTGGGCTCTTTGTTGATACCATATGAATTTTGGAATAGTTTTTTTTATATTCTGTGAAAAACAATGTTCGTAGTTTGATAGGAGTAGCATATTCAATGCAATTTAGATTGCTTTGGGCTGAATGGACATTTTAATGATATTATTCTTCCCATCCATGAGGACCAAATGTTTTTTCACTTGTTTGTATCATCTTTTATTTCTTACAACATTGTTATGTTGTTCTCCTCATGGAGATCTTGCACGTCCATACTTAGGTTTATTCCTAGGTATTTTTATATGGTTATTGTAAATGGGATTGAGTTCTTGATTTGGTTCTGAGCTTGAGTATTATTGGTGTATAGAATGCTATTGATTTTTGTATGTTGATTTTGTTTCCTGAGACTTTGCTGAAGTTTTTCTATCAGGTAGAAATGTCTTTTGGCAGAATTTTTAGTGTTTTTGAGATACAGAATCATATCATCAGCAAAAAAGATAATTTGACTCCCCGTTTTCCTATTTGAATGACTTTTATTTCTTTATCTTGCCTGATTGCTCAGGCTAGGACTTCCAGTACTAGGTTTAACAGGAGTGGTGAGAGTAAGACAGCTTTGTCTTATTTCAGTACTTAAGGGGAATGCTTCCAGCTTTTTGCCCATTCCGTATGGTATTGCCTGTGGTTTGTCATAGATGATACTTATTATTTTGAGGTATGTTCCTTCAATGCCTAGTTGTGGGTGGGTTTTTTCATGAAGAGATGTTGTATTTTATCAAATGCTTTTTCTGTGTCTTTTGAGGTAATCCTATGGGTTTTGTTTTTAATTTTGTTTATGTGCTGAATTACCTTTATTTATTTGTGTATGTTGAACACTCTTGCATCCCAATAATATAGCCCACTTTATTATGGTGAATTAATTTTGTGTTATACAGCAGATTTGATTTGCTAGTGTTTAGTTGGGGATTTTTGCATCTATGTTTATCAGGGATATTAGCCAGCAGTTTTCTTTTTTCCCTGTGTCTTTGTCAGATTCTGGTATCAGGATGATGTTTGTTTCAATAATGAATTGGGGAGGAGTCCCTCCTCTTTAACTTTTTTTGAATAGTTTTAAAAGAATTCATACCAGCACTTCTGTATATATACACATGTAAAGTTTGGCTGTGAATCTATCAGCCAAGGGCTTTTTTGATTGGATGGGTTTCTAGCACTGATTCAAATTAGGACTCGATATTGATCTGTTTAGGGTTTCAGTTTCTTCCTGGTTCAAACTTGGGAGGTTTTGTGTTTCCAGGATAGTAAGAATTCTCCCATTTAATTCATGGTTCCATTCTGCCCACTGGTGAAGGCCTTAAAGTGACATGATATCAGAATCCTCAAGAGAGCTCTGTCTACATGGAGACAACATCTTCTTAATATCCACATACACAACTCTAACCACCAGCCAATTGGCACTGCAAACTTTGCTGTTGTTCCAAGTTCCATCATTAGAAATTTATGCCTCTGAATTAAGACTTAATCTCCAACAAAGTTGGAAGAGAAATGTTTTCATTCACTGTGTATTGTGAGTGATATATTTCTTTTTTAAGAAGCAGGTTTTTGATAGGAGTGAAAATAGAACATGAGGATATGCACAAACTGAGAGAAAAGACCAGAAAAGCGAGATTATAAATACAAAAAAAAAATCTCTATTCACCAGTTTGTTTAGGACTGATCTTACCAAAAAAATTATATACATTTAAATTCTCTACAAAAAATGTTTCTTTGATTCACATGCATTAAAAATAAATCTACCTTTGTCTGATAATTCCAACATCTGTGTCACATTGCAGTTTGGTTCTGATGATTGCTATATCTGTTCAGTATGTGTGTTTATTGCCTTTTGATGTCTCAGAATTTTTTGTTGAAATCCACAAATGGAGTATAGGAATGTTAATACTGAAGTAAATATTTATTTTACATGAAGATAATCACATCTTTCCTTCTGCTAGGCATGTATTGTGGGGGGTTGTGTCAATAATAGGGCTGAGTTTCAAGTTGTTGTTGCTATGATTACCCTGGGAATATCAAAAGTTTTAAATATTTTAGGAAAAACATGTATATAGAATCTGTCCCCCACCTAGATTTGGTTTCCCCTTTTGCTGTATTACCCAGAAACAATCTGTATCTTGCAGCTCTCCCAGTTATATTCCACTCTGATTTTTACTAGATACTCATTAGCATTAGGGTGATGTTCCCATGAAGCTCAATATTAGGCAAGCTCTGTAAATCTTGGTCTTGAGGATGACCTATTCCTTTCTGAGGAGTGGAGTTTTCTCCTGGCTTCCTTTCCCAGCTGCAAGGGTTTTCACCAGTACTCTCAAATCACAGTTTTTGTTGCCATTCCCTATTGAAGATAAGGACTTTTATTGTTTAAGGGAGAAAGGAGAGATCGGTCTTGAATAGGGCTTGAAGAGTAGTTGCTGTTCTCATGCCCCAGTCAGTACCAATGGGGCTCTCTAAAGATTATCTCTAATCTTCATGTAGAGTACATAGTGAGGCTACTAAAGAAATCAGCTGCAAGAGGCATAAAGCCCCTTATGTCTGCAGCCTTCAGGGCCTTCACTTTCTCTTGTCAACCCATCCTTGGTATTTAGCAACTTCTTAAAATTTTCTAGCTGATTCATTATCCTTACTTATACAGCATTGGGTGACTTCTGCCCCAGGTAAACAAGTGTTCAAATCCTGTTTCTTCCTACAGGAGCCCATCACTCTTGAGATTTTAAGTTAGCTGTTTACCCGTAAGCTCAAGTGACTAATGGGTTCAAGAAAAGTTACGATTTGCATTTTATTCATATTTTATTCATATTTTTTCCTATCATAAGGATGTAGGTGAGACACTCCTGCTCCCTGCATCTCGGATGGAAAGTGAAAGTCTCATTTTTACTCCTTTAGTATAAAGGGAAATATGTTTCTATTGCCTTCATAAATTTTCAAAACCAATTTGAATTATATGAGAGTACCTCTCTCCCTTTCCCTCACCTGATTTTTCTTAATAGAGTCTCTAATAATTCATACATTATGCATTCAGTAAACAAAGAGTTTACTGAAACAAACAGGATAAATCAGAGTTTAAGTAAGCCTGGATTATTTTACCAAAAGATTGATCCCTCACATCTCTCCATTCAGAGTTTTAGTGATGTTCCCCTCACAATATCTCCCATACTCTTAATCCAATCTTTTCATTAATATAAGGTCTCTAAACAACTGAAAAAGAAAAATAAAATGATGCCATTAATATTGAAGGTGGAAGAAAAAGTGTGATTTTGCAAATATATCTGATATTTTGAATAACTGCAAGAACATTTCCAGGGTGGCAAACTTGTTAGATGTTATTAGGTACATACTACACTAGATCTGCAAGTTACTTTTCTCATAGGCCTTAAGAAAACATGCAGAATTATTAAACAATAAGATTTTCAACTCATATTAAAGACCTATATAACTTTCTGCCATATTAGCTATTCCAAAAAAGTAGCACAGTGTATCTTTACTAACAGAAAGAATGTATCTCTTTCAACTTCTATTGCAGTCATTTAGTCATCAGAAATGATGTTGTTGAAGGGTATCTTGAATTTTTCAAACTTTTCATGTTATCAAGATAGGCTGAAGTAGTATTTTATTCAATAATTGACTTCAGCAGTAATGATAAACATCTGAGGGCTAGAAGAGTCCTGTGATAGTCTTTAATTTGATTTTGTTTTTCATAAATTTTTCTTACATTTTTCTTAGGACCAACTATAGAAAGGTTTTCCACTTTGCTTTTATCATCACAAAGCTTTACTTTATTAACAATTGTTTTTAACAAAGCTCTGAGGTCTTTCGTTGGGATACGAAATAACAGCCGCCTCACCACGTGGACCATTTCTGTAATTGGTGCCCTGTATGTCTAGAAAAAATAAAAGGAACATAGCTACATTTTTCAAAAACATAAAAATAATCTACTCAGATAGTTATTTGTTGGATCTAAAAACTACTTGAGTGATATCTTTTAAAACTAGATAAATGACCATATATTTAAAAATTATTTCCAACATTTCTTGTGCCCGTATGAACAAACTGAAAAACATTTTAGATAGACCATTATTATAAACAAAGTATTTCTTTCTATTCATCCTAGAGCAGGAGAAAACATGTAATGAATTTAAGTTTTAAAGCCATGATATTGTGTAATGGCATTTGTTAATCCAGTCCTAGGCATAATTGAGCTAAGGGTGAGACATAAGTAGATGTATGTATCTATTCTCTAGGCATGGGTCATCCATTATAATATTCACTTTCAAAATTTATTAAATATTCTGTTTTTTTCTTCTTCTCCATTCCATTCCATTCCCTTCCCTTTTTCCTTTTTTCGTCTTTTCCATTTTTCTTTCTGAATAATTTGAACTTGACCTATTAGATGGGACCTAGCAAGTGGGACTGTATATCAGGTAAGAAAGGGGGTGGTTCTCTAAGAGAAACTATAAGCACCTGAGTGTGGTGTAAGAGCCCAAGGGCCCAAGTGGTGTTAGAAGAGTGTCCAAGGAGAGTGAGAATTCAGTGGTGTGTCAGAACCCACTGAACTAACTAAAAGCAATTAGGGTTCACCAGAGAAAAAGAACATTTCTATTATATCTTAATACATATGCATGAGTCTGTATGTGTGTGTTTGTATCTGTGTATACTTGTAGTTGTCCCTTGAACTACGTGAGTGTTAGAAATGCCAACCTCACAGTTGAAAATCCACATCTAATTTTTGACTCACCACAACTTATGTACTAATTGCCTGCTGTTGAAAGGAATCCTTACCAGTACCATTAACATTTGATTAGCATGCATTTTGTATGTTGTATGTATTATGTACTGTATTCATTCAACAAAATTAGAGAAAAGAAAATGTTATTAAGAAAATCATAATGAAGAGAAAATATATTTACTATTCATTAAGTGGAAGTGGATCATCATAAAGATCTTTATTCCTGTTTCTTCACATTGAGTAGGCTGTCTTGCTGTCTCAGGAGTGGCAGAGGTAGAAGAAGTGAAGGAGGCGGAGGAGGGCTTAGGAGAAGCAGGCACACTTGGTGTTACTTTTATTGAAGAAATCCACGTATAAGTGGACCTGTGAAGTTGAAATCTGTGTTGTGCAAGGGTCAGCTATACACACACAGACACACACACACACACACACACATATACAGACAGAGAGAGAGAAAGTAGTCCTGCAAACTAGAGACCCGGAAAAGAACTGATGCTGTAATTCAAGTCCAGAGGTAGTGGGCTGGCAGGATTTCTTTGGGAAAGGTTAATCTTTTCCTATTAAGACTTTTAGTAGGAAAGGTAATATGTTTTACTCAAAGTCTATTCATTTAAATGTTAATATCTTCTAAATATACATTCACAGAAACATCTAGAATGATGTTTGACCAAAAATCTGGGGACCCTGGCTCAGCCAAGTGGAGACATAAATCACAGAGAGCAAGGAGAATATCTATACATGGAGTATCCTAGTATGAGTGTCAATACCTGAATAGGATGAGGAAGACATCACTGTGGTAGGGGGTGAACAGGGGAGAGGTCTGATATGAAGTGTTAGAAACTTAGTAAGGTTAGACTAGTGGCTAGACAGGAGAGTAGCCCAGTTCCTAGTGTGGAATCCCAAGCGAGGTGAAGAAGAGATCTGCAGGGGAAAAGATAGGAGATGAGTTGTCAGTCCCACATTGACTCAGTTACTTTGGCTTCATAGGAATTAATATCCCATGCTGGCTTCCTCCACCTTCATTATTCCTCAGGATTGCTTTCATTATTCTTGGCCTTTTACATTTTAAGGGAAAGGTTAACATTATGTCATCAATTTCCACATTTCAAAGAGTACTGGGATTTTGTTCGATATTTCGCTGAAACTATAGATGTATCTTTGGAGAGCCAACATTTTTACAATACTGTTTTTCAACTAATGAGCATGATATAGGTTTTAATGTCTTTAAATAATGTTGTGTAGTTTGGGAGTAGCGGTCTGGGGCACTCATTATGAAATCGATTCCTTGGGTTTCAATTTTTTTAAAACTACACTAAGTAGTATACTTTACTAATATTATTTTCTACTGTTTCTAATGTATAAATCACTACATTTGATTGTGTATATTTTATTCTATCCAGATAACTTGTAAAAATTAACATTAATTTTCAGAGTTTATATGTAGTAACTTTTAAATTATCTACCTATACCATATGTCACTGACATTTTATTTTTTTCTTTTCTTGTTCTTAAATTTAAATTCTTTTTCTTGCCATTTCTCTGACTAGAACATCCAGGATAATGTTTATTGGAAATGGTGATAGCAGACATTATCTTCTCACTCATGACATCAACAGGAAAGCTTTTAATATTTCCCATTTTAATATACTGGTTGCTGTAGGGTTTGTTTGCTTTTTTTTAAAGTCATGATCATATCCCGAAGCATATCACATGGAATTCGCTGTAAGTTTTTTCTCAGTCTAAGTAAATATTTCCTTCATATGCTCATTTTTATTTATAATTTTGGATTATTTTCTTATAAAGGCCTTCCCTTAAATTTTATAATCTTATAAGCACAGGAGTTCAAGGCTGCAATAAACTGTGGGATAATACCACTGCACTCTAGCCTTGGTGCTGGAGAGAGACCTTGTCTCTAAAAGAAAAAGAAAAAAAAAAACCTAGAAGCGTGAAACTCCACAACACCTACCCCATCCCTGTTGGTGCAAACATTCAGTGCTGCCTTGGGTAACGACCCTCCAGCAGCCTACCAGCTCCACTACCCTTCCTGTGTTGTCTTTCTTCCCTAGGCTGGTTTCCTCATGATTGCTAGGTGGCTACAGCTCCCCATGGTTAGTATCCCCAGTTCAGAAGAGAAGAAGAAAAATGTCTTCTCAGAAAGCTTTGTTGTTTTATTTCAGAAGGAAATTCCTTCCTAATTAGCAAGCCTCTGCCAATATCTCATTGGCCTAAGGGGTAACCACTGAACTGTAGCCAGTAGCAGAGGAGACATTCTTATATTTGCTTCTATTATTACATCAGTAAGGACTGGATTTTGTTATTCCTCTTCATCAATCTGCAGTCATCATTTCTCACCAGGACCTGCATTAAAAGCATAGGCAAAAAAACTCTAGTTAGTGACTTACCACATTTCCATAGGATTTGAAATTAACTAGTACTTTTACTTGTTGTTCTGTAATTCTTTTCTGTGTATATTTATTCATCCTAATAAAAAGATATCAACTTGAATTCTATATCTTACAACTTAGTAAGTTACCACCTGCCTCCCATACGCACACCAACATGCCTATCCTCTACAATAAAGAAATGAAACGAAATGAAATGAGAAATCAGTTGTTCCATAAACATCTATTGGGGATCTTCAATAACTCTTCTAATTTGGGTACTCAGTTTCTTCCCCTTTGATAAAATGCATTATTTCATTTATTATTATTATTTTTACTGATGTGAGGTTCTTTATAAACATGGTTATTATTATTATTATTAGAAATAGGGTACTGCTCTTTAGCCCAAGCCAGAGTGCAGAGGCACAATCATGGCTCACTGCTGTCTCAGTATCCTAGGCTCAAGCAATCCTCTCACCTCAGCGTTCCAAGTAGCTGAAACTATAAGGTCTCATTATGTTGCCCAGGCTAGTCTTGAACTCCTGGACTCAACTAGGCTCAAGCAATTCTCCCACCTTGGCCTCCCAAAGTGCTGAGATTACACACATGAGCCACCATATCTGGCCAAGGTGTTATTTTTTAATAATTTTTTTCTGTACTAGAAAAAAATATCAAATGACACAAAAGGAATTGAAATGAAACACAAATGTTTTGTCCTGTGATCCTCCTTATGACTAGTCCAATGCCCGACAAACACTTTTAAGCAGTTTTGTTTTTAGTTCCACTGGTAGTGAACTCCATAAATCTAATATATGTATACCACTAAATCTTTATTTACCAAGTTTAAAACACCTTTTAACTCCATGCCATAAAGTATTAGATATCGGTATTCCTCTCCTTCTATTTATATTTTTCCCAATTTTCATTTTTTGAAGTAGTTTTCAAATTACTGTAAATATTGATTGCATTTGGAAATATAAATAATATGTTAAACCACAGTTTTTAATGTCATTAACTTGAGACTTCTCATGATATTAAATTTAAAAAAAAACTGACCTTAACTTCTCACCACCTGTTTTGTTTCTCTCTTCTGCGTTTGTCTGCAGTTATTATCTCCTCCTTCATGAGGGTAGTGCCAGTGCTCAGAATAAGAACTGAACTCCCAGACCTCATGGATGCCAATGACAGAGATCATAAGGGATCCAAAAATGCTCCAACACCCACTTTCTCTGATCTGCTTTCCCCCACCAAGAAGTGTCAAAGGAGAAACCTATGCTTTCAGAGTAAAATACCATCTCCCCCATGAGGGAGTAAGAGTGAGCCCATGGTACTAAGTCCACCATCACGTCCCTCTGGGCCTACATTGCTGCATTGAGGGAGGAGTTTGAGTGGGTGAATTGTGCATAGAGAAAGACTCAGCTTTCTCCAATCACCTCAAACCTATCAATAGTGGTCAATAAAAGGGCCACAGGTGCTTGAATGAGTTACTACTTTTCCAATTTCCCTCCATGGCAAGGGGTTGCCAAGTAGTCCAGACATACTTACCCCAATATTGACACTCACCGTCTCACCAATACTGACTGCCTTCAATCCATAAGAATTAATCTCATTATGTCCTTTGCTCCCATTTATGTCAGTCACCTGAAAAGCTCCAGAATTGCAAGTTAGTTTTCATTCTTTTATAATTTCCATAACTCTAACCTCCATATACCTCCGATATTCCACCTTTTCTCCCAGCTTACAGTTCATAAATGAGCATTCTGTTCACCATTGCACACTCAGCAAAATCTGCTTCCTCTGAAACCTTATCATACAATGGGTGTTTACTTTGTCTTACAACTCTGTGGATAAAGGGCAAAACCTTGCTTCTCACTTTAGCTTCCAGAACATTATTCTCGCTCCCTCCTTGCCCCCAACAAAAAGCAGCTTCACATTTCATGTCCTTAGACCTTAATACTATACCTACGTCAAAGTTACATTCCGCTTTTCCAATGATTTGAGCTCCTCTCCCTTGTTTCAAGGCTGCCCTCATCTTGAATCTTGATTATTTTTAATACACTCAGAGATAAAGTTTCAAACTTCATGAACTTAAAACTTAAAATAGACATCTGTCTATTTTAAAAATAAACATTTTTATGTTAAATTTGCATAGGTACATAGTTGTATATATATTTTATGGAGTACATGAGATATTTTGATACAGGCATATCACACATAACAATCACATCAGAGAATGTGGGGTAGACATCACTTCAAGCATTTATCCTTTTTGTGTTATAAACAATTCAGGTTTACTCTTTTAGTTATTTTAAAATATACGATAAATTACTGCTTACTATGGTAACTCCGTTCTGCTACAAAGTGCTAGGTCTTACTCCTTCTATCTTTTTGTGACCAATAGCCATCCCCACATTCCCTTAGTGGCACCCCACTAACCTCTCAAGCTTTTGGTAACTATCCTCTCTATTTCAAGAGTTCAATTTTTTTTTATTTTCCCCTCCCACAAATAAGTGAGGACATACAAAGTTCATCTTTCTGTGCCTCATTCACTTAACATGATGACCTCCAGTTCCATCCATGTTGTTGCAAAAGACAGGATCTCATTCTTTTATACAGTTGAATAGTACTCTATTGTGTATAAGTACCACCTTTTCTTTAACGATTAGTCTGTTGCTGAACACTTAGGTTGCTTCCAAATCTTAGCTATTGTAAATAGTGCTGCAACAAGCATGGAAGTATAGACATCTCTTCAATATACAGATCTGCTTTCTTTTGGGTGTATACTCAGCAGTGGAATTGCTGGATTTTATGGTAGCTCTATTTTTAATTTTATGAAGACCCTCCAAACTGTTCTCCATGGTGGTTGTACTAATTTACATTTCCACCACTATATGAAGGTTCCCTTTTCTCCACATCTTTGCCAGCATTTGTTATTGCTTGTCTTTTGGATAACAGCCATTTTCACTGGGGTGAAATGATATCTCATTGTACTTTTGATGTGCATTTCTCTGATGATCAGTGAGGTTGAGCACTTTGTTGTATGCCCATTTGCCATTTGTATGTCTTCTTTTGAGAAACGTCTATTCAGATATTTTGCCCATTATTTAATTAGGTTGTTACATTTTTTTCTATAGAGTTATTTAATGTCCTCATATTCTTGTTATTAATCCCTTGTCAGATGGATAGTTTGCAAATATTTTCTTCCTTTTAATTGGTTGTTTCTACATTTTTTTTGTCCTTTTTTTCTTTTTAAATTTTTTTTTTTTCAATCAATGTGGACCAGGTTGGCCTCCAACTCGCACCCTCGCCTCCCCGAGGGCCCGAGGGCCGGCGCAACCGGCCAGAGCCACAATGGCTCCTTGTCTTTTTTTTCTGTATGAAAGTCCTTGAACTTGATGTGATCCCATTTGTCCTTTTTTACTTTGATTGGCTGTACTTCTGGAGTACTATTCAAAAAATCTTTGACCACTCCAATGTCCTGGAGAGTTTCCATGATGTTTTCTTATAGTAATTTCATAGTTTGAGGTCTTAGATTTAAGTTCTGAATGTATTTGTATTTCATTTTTGTAGATGTCAAGAGACAGGAGTCTAGTTTCACACTTCTGCATATGGATATCCAGTTTTCCAAGCACCATTTACTGAAGAGACTATCCTTTCCTTTCCAATGTATGTTCTTGGAAACTTCATTGAAGATGAGTTCACTGTAGATGTATGGATTTGTTTCTGGGTTCTCTATTTTGTGGCATTGGTCTATATGTATGTTTTTATGCCAGTACCATGCTGTTTTGGTTACTGTAGCTCTAGTATAATTTGAAGTCAGTAATGTGATTCCCTCGGTTTAATTCTTTTTACTCAGAATGTCTTTGGCTCTTCTGGGTCTTTTGTGGTTTCATATAAATTTTAGGATTGTTTTTTTCTATTTTGGTGAAGAATGCCGTTGGTATTTTGATAAGGATTACATTGAATCTGTAGATTGCTTTGGGTAATATACAAATTTTAACAATATTGATCCATCCAATCCTTGATTATTTTTTATTTTTTTTGGTATCCTCTTCAATTGTTTTCATCAGTGTCTTATAGTTTCAATTGTAAAGACACTTCACTTATTTGGTCAAGTTAATTCCTAGATATTTAATTTTACTTATAGCTATTGTAAATGACATTTTTAAAATTTCTTTTACAGATTTTTATTGTTGAATTGTAAAAATAATACTGATGTTTGCATGTTAATTTTGTATCCTGAAACTTCACTGAATTTGTTTATCTGTTCTAATAGTTTTTCTGGTTGAGTCTTCAGGTTTTTAAAAATAGATCATATCATCTGCAAGCAATGATAATTTGATTTCTTCTCTTCCAACTTTCATGACCTTTATTACTTTCTCTTGTCTGACTGTTCTAGACAGGACTTCTAATATTATGACTAATAGCAGTGGTGAAAGTGATTATCCTTCTCATGTTTCATATCTCAGAGAAAAGGCTTTCAGTTTTGCCCAATTTGGCATGATATTAGCTGTGAATCTGTGGTACACAGCTTTGGTATACAGCTTTTATTGTGTTGAACTATATTCTTTCTATACTCTTACTTTTTAAAGTTTTTATCATGAAGGGATGTTGAATTTTATCAAATATGTTTTCAGCATGAATTGAAATGATCATATGGTTTTTGTTCTACATTCTCTTGATGTGATATATCACATTGATTAATTTGCACATGTCGAACCATCCTTGCATCTCTGAAGTAAATCCCACTGGTTATGATGAATATTTTTAATGTATTGTTGAATTCGATCTTCTATTACTTGGTTGAGCATTTTTGCATCAATGATCATCAGGGATATTGGCTTATAGTTTCCTTTTTTTAATGTGTCTTTGTCTGGTTTGATTATCAGGATAATACTGGCCTCACAGAATGATTTTAAAAATATTCCCTACTGCTGTATATTTTTGGAGTAGTTTGAATAGGAGTGATTTTAAAAACATGTTTGGTAAAATCCATCAGTGAAGCCATTGAGTCTTAGGCTTTTCTTTGCTGGGAAACTTTATTATGGCTTCAATCTCTTACTTCTTATTAATCTGTTCAGATTTTGGATTTTTTCAAGGTTCAATCTTGGTAGGTTGTATGTGTCTAGAAATGCATTTGTTTATTTTAGATTTTCTAATTTATTGGCATATATTTGCTCATAGCTGCCTCTAATGATCTTTTGGCTTTCTGCAATATCAGTTGTAACATCTCCTTTTTCATCTCTGATTTTGTTTATTTGGATCTTTTCTTTATCTTAGTCTGGCTAAAACTTTGTCAGTTTTTTTTATCTTTTTTAAAACCAGTTTCATGTGGTTGATCTTTTGTATTGTTTTCTTCAGTTCAATTTTATTTATTTCTTCTCTGATATTGTTATTTATTTCTTTTACTAATTTTGCCTTTGATTTGCTCTTACTTTTTTAATTCTTTAAGATGTATCATTAGATTGTTTATTTAAATTTCTTCTACTTTTTTAATGTAGTTGCTTTCCTCTTAGCGTTGCTTTTGCTATAACCCACAGGTGTTCTTATGTTCCATTTTCATTACTATTTGCTTTAAGAAATTTTTCAATTTTCTTCACATTTCTTCATTGACTTTCTGCTCATTCAGGACCATATCATTTAATTTCTATGTGTTTATATATTTTTCAAAATTCCTCTTATTGATTTCTAGTTTTATTCTATTGTGTTCAGAGAAGACACTTGATACAATTTCAAAATTTGTATGTTTTAAGACTTGTTTTGTGACCTGACATATGGTTCATTCTTGAGAATTGTTCATATGCCAAGGAGAAGAATGTGTATTCTGCAGCCATAGTATGAAATCTTCTGTAAATATTTATTATGCCCATTTGGTCTATAGTACAGAGAATAGCTTCTACTGCTCTTTCTCACTTTTTTTTTTTTTTTTGGTTTTCATTTGCATGGAATATCTTTTTCCAACCCTTCATTTTTCAGTCTGTATGGGTCTTTATAGGTGAAGTGTTTCTTACAGGCAACAAATCACTGGGCCTCATTTTTTTCATTCATGGAGACACTGTATGACTTCGGATTGCAGAGTTTAGTACAGCTTCATTCAAAGTTGTTATTAATAAGAAAATACTTACTCCTGCCATTTTGTGATTTGTTTCCTGCTTGTTCTGTCATCTTATCCTCCTTTGTTCCTTCCTTACTGTCCTCCTTTTAATGAATTGATTTTTCTGGTGGTATGTTTTAATTTCTTGCTTTTTATTTCTTGTGTATTCATTATATATTTTTTGATTTGAGGTTACTATGAGGCTTGCAAATAATATAAACCAATATTTTAAACTGATGAGAGCTTAACGTTGATTGCATAAACAAATAAATATGGAAAAAGAAAACTAATAAAAGCTCTACACATTAACTTTATCTCCCACTTTTACATTTTTGTTTTCTCTATTTTTTTATTTTACTTTAAGTTCTGGCAGCAAGCCACCATGGCACATGTTGTCCCTATTTATATCTGATTGTACCATCTATGTCTTGAAAAGTTGTTATAGTTATTATTTTTGATCAGTTCATCTTTTAATTTTTCTATAAAAGATATGAGTAGTTTATGCACTACAATTACAGTGTTATAATATTCTGTGATTTTCTGTGTACTTATTATTACAGTGAGTTTTGTGCCTTCAGATGATTTATTATTGCTCAATTAATGGTTTTTTTTTTTTTCAGATTGAATAACTCACTTTGCCATTCCTTGTAGGACAGGTCTCATGTTGAAATTCCTCAGCTTTTGTTTGTCTGAGAACATCCTTATTTGTTCTTCAGGTTTGAAGAATATTTTCACCAAAGATACTATTCTAGGGTAAAGTTTTTTTTTCCTTTAGCACTTTAAATATGTTACTCTCCTGAAGTACCATATTTGAAGCAAGGTTTCCACTGAAGAGTCTGCTGCCAGATATATTGGTGTGCCATTGTTGTCTTATTTCTTTTATCTTGCTGCTTTTAAGAGCCTTTCTTTATCCTTGATTTTGGGGAGTTTGACTATTAAATGCCTTGGGGTAGTGTTCATTGAGTTAAATTTGCTTGGTGCTCTATAACTTTCTTGTACTTCGATGTGATATATTTCCTTAGGTTTGAAAAGTTCTCTGTTTTTTCCCTTTGAATAAACTTTCTAACCCTATCTCTTTCTCTGCCTCCTCTTTAAGCCCAACAACTCTTGCGTGTGCCTTTGTGAGGCTATTTTCTATATCTTGTAGATATATTTCACATTTTTTATTCTTTTTTCTTTTGTCTCCTCTGACTATATATTTTCAAATAGCCTGTCTTCAAGCTCGCTAATTGTCTCTTCTTTTTGAATAGTTCTGCTGTCAAGAGACTCTGACACATTCTTCAATATGTCAATTAAATTTTTCAACTTCAGAATTTCTGCTTATGTTTAATTATTTCAACTTCTATTAAGAATTTACCTGATAGGATTCTGAATTTATTATCTGTGTTATCTAAAATTTTGTTGAGTTTCTTCAAAACAGCTATTTTGAATTCTCTGTCTGAAACATCACATATCTCTGTCTCCCTGGGATTTTTCTTTGGTGCCTTAGTTCATTTGATGAGATAATGTTTTCCTGAATGAGCTTGATGCTTGTGGATATTTGTTAGTGTCTGGGCATTGAAGAGTTAGGTATTTATTGTAGTGTTCACAGTCTGTCTTGGGTGTCGTGATCTAAATTTTTGGTCATTGCAGCCATAAAATCAGTAGTAGGCACCCCAAGCTCAGTAATACTGTGGCTCTCATAGTGTCATAGAGGTACCATTTTGGTGGTCTTGGACAAGATCTAGAAGAATTATCTGGATTACCAGAGAGATTCTTATTCTCTCATCTTACTTTCTCCCTAACAAATGGAGTCTCTCTCTCTGTGCTAAGCTGCTTGGAGCTGGGAGATGGATAACACAAGCGCCCCTGTGTCCACTACCATTAGGACTGTGCTAAATGAGAACTCAAACCAGCGCAGCCCTAGGTCTTGCCCAATACCCGCACTGACAACTACCTGGCTACTACCTGTGTTTTCTCAAGGCCCTTGGGCTCTGCAGTCAGCAGGTGGCAAAGCCAGCCTAGCTTGTATACTTCCTTTTAGGGCCATGAGTTCATTTTGGCCACAGACAGGTCCAGAGATACCAGCCAGAAACCTGGGTCTGAAGTCAGAAGTCTTCAAAATCTACCTCTTTCCCTACTCCACTGCAGCTGAGCAGACACCCAAGCCACAAGACAAAATTATTTCTGCTCTTCCTCCCCTTTCTTTTCTCATGCCTACCACCATCTCAGGCCCACAGCAAGTATCACCTGGCTACCACCAGTGTTCACTCCAAGAATAAGGGCTTTTCAGTCAGCTTGAATGCTGCCCAGCCTGGGACATTCCCTTCAGATAAGTTGGCTCTCCTTTGGCTCAGGGCAGGCCCAGAAATGCTATCCACAAACCAAAGCCTCCATCAGGGACCCCAAGGGCCTGCTTGGTGCTCTACCTCATTATAGCCAAGCTGGTACCTATGGTATTTTTTTTGTTCCTTATGAAGGTGCTTTTTTTTTTTTGATAGTTTTTAAATTTGCTCTTGTGGAGAAGTCAATCAGTGAAGACTCCTATTTGGTCATCTTATTCCATCTCCTCACACAGACACTTGTTTTTAAGAAAGACTTTAGTGGCCAGGTTTGACTTGCTGGAAAAAAAAATTAACCATCTCTGCCACATGATTTTTCATAATCTGATTAAGTTGGTCAGTGCTGTGAAAAAATAAGTAAATATGACATGACTAATAGAGAAAATAAAGAATTGAAAGCATGAGATGGCATATTAATGAGTAATCTATTATATAAGGATCATGTCTGGAATGAATAGGAAGAGTTAAAGAGCAATTTCTGAATAGAATAAGGAGCTGTAGGCGTCTTTCACATGCAATTGATAAATTTGAATAAACTATTTAAATGTCCACATAAGCAGAAGGAGCATTTCAGTCTCTGAATAATCCTAATACCAAAGTACAAATTCAGTGAAATTAAATAGATTTTAATAACAAAACATTTTTAGAAGTGTTTGGAAAACAAAATGTAGGAAACATACCCTTACATGAATTAATAGAAATTGCTGTTTAACATAAAAATGAAGCTGGCTCAAAAGTTTTTTTAGGGGGTTTTTCAAATGTTCCTCCTATCGAAATCTCAACTGCCATTGATACCTCAGAAATACCATTGGTGAACATGTTTATCTTGAGTTAAAAAAAATGAGGTTCTTAAAGACAAAAAAATTACCTGCAGTACTTCTGTTGATTTTAAAAAACAATTAAGTTGCACCATGTTTTCCAGATCTGAGAAGAGTAATATAATAGGGCATTACAGTTTAATTCTCAATTCATCATCATTCAAAACTACGGAATTTTGCTGTACTCATTTTACTTCCCTGTGATTTTTGTCTCTACAACTTCAGTTACTGAAGAGACATTTTCACCAGGTAGGTGACATTTTCTCAAAAGAATTAGGATCAATAAGACTGTCCCTAACCGCTTCCTTGGCTGGGAGAGAGGTCCCCAGCTCTGTGCACTTCACAGTGAAGCGACACCCCACCCTGCTTCTGCTCACTCTCCGTGAGTTGCATCCACTGCCCAACCAGTTGCAATGAGATGAACTGGATACCTCGGTTGGAAATACAGAGATCACCTGCCTTCTGCACTGATCTCACTGGGAGCTGCAGACCGAAGCTGTTTCTATTCGGCCATCTTGGCCCCTCCCTGCCTTTTTAATTTTAATAGTGTTTATTTGTGCTTCCTCTCTTTCTTTACTTGCCTTTCTAGATTATTTTTATTGTTATTATGTTTCACCTTTTCAAAAACATAGTGTTTTATTTTTTGTTACCTCTGTTGTACATAGTCTATTTATTAAATTCTGCTATTTTTAGAATTTTATTTTATTATGAATCATTTCTGTAATATAGAAAAGACATTGGTGATTAGAGTTAAGTCATACTATAATCCAACATAACCTCATTTTAACTTTTAACTTAACTAATTCCATTTGCAAAGACCTTGTTTTCAAATAAGGTAATGTCATGAACTTCTGAATGAATATGAATATTTTGAGGAACATGACTCAACACAGTACAAGGTGTTCTATCTCATTAATTAGATTGAAATTATGAATCTGGATTAATCTCTTCATTCCACGTAGATATGTTATTTTCCCTTTGGAAACTGATATCCCAGAAACCATTGCCCATTTATAGACTTAGAGCTTGTGCATTCAGCCTGTGAATTCAGTTCTGTTACTCCTTTATGTTTCTGTTTAATTTCTGGAAAACCAGATGTCAAGGACAATGTTTATATTGTCTTTGAACATAGATATGTCCCTGTGGAATTTTAAAAACATATTGTACCAATTATTCTTATTTGAGATAGAAAATATTTCAATATGTAATTGTTGAATTATTTATCAGGTTGTTCTACTTTTTTTTTTTTTTTGAGATGGAGTCTCGCTCTGTCACCCAGGCTGGAGTGCCGTGGCATGATCTTGGCTCACTGCAACCTCCAGCTCCCGGGTTCAAGCGATTCTTCTGCCTCAGCCTCCCGAGTAGCTGGGACTACAGGCATCGCCACCACACACAGATAATTTTTGTATTTTTAGTAGTGACGAGGTTTCAACCATATTGGCCAGGCTGGTCTCGAACTCTTGACCTCGTGATCTGCCCACCTCGGCCTCTCAAAGTGCTGGGATTACAGGCGTGAGCCTCCATGCCCAGCTTCTTTCACTTTTAAACTAGCTTTTTTCAAATCCTTAAGTACCAAATCATCAGGCTTTTAGGAAATAGAGGGAGTAGGCAATGCTCTATTACTTCTGTTCTGTTACATTATCTTTTCCCCCTCTTTTCTCTCCCCTTTGTTTCCCCTTCTCAGTCTCAATCACTAAGCACAATGTCAGAAACATTGTAATTATTCAATGCATTGTATCTGTCAATAGTTTTTATCAAAGTATAGACAATACTGTAATAAACATCTTTTTATGTAATTATTTGAATACATCTGTAGTTTTCTACAGTAAATCATCTTGGAACCAAAATTACTGGATCAAAGAATTTAAACTTTTTGAAGTTCACTTTTCAAGTTTCTTTTCAAAAAGATTTTACCAAAAAATAGTTTTTCTAGACAGATTGCCCCTGCTTGTTCATATTTATCAGACATCAGCTTTTTTCAGTATTCAATAATTTATTCCAAAGTGGTATCTCACTGTTTACTCATTTTTATATATATCTGATTATAGATGGCATTTATGCTAATTTGACAGGAATTTATGACAGAGTCCTCTAAAATATTTTGCATGATAGAAACTTTTCTTTTCTCAACTCTTTCTAGTTCTCTTGGGCTCAAGTCTAGAATAATATTTTTTATACTCAATGGCTAAAAAATGTGTGTCCTCTTGAATAGCACCAATGTGACATTGGTTTACTCTAATAGAAATCCTAAATAGTGCTCAGTTTTTTTATATATGCTCAATAATATAGACAACAAGATAAAGAGATTGTTTTCTGAAAATTTCAACTTTCTCATAGAATTCTGAAGTCATATATTCTCACATGATATAACAAAGACCAATCACAATACCTCGGATTTTCTTTGGAGCAACAGCATTCTCCTGTCCTCAACTCCTGCTAATTAAGTGTCTCCTGAAATTCCAGTTGTGACCTGCTTGGATCATCTTGCTCATCTGCCTTAGACCTCTAAAAATGTGTTCCCTGTTCTGTGGACTGTAAGCCTTCTGAGATCCTCTTGGACACACTGGATATCTATAGCTGCCTAATAATTTTTATGGCACTTTAAATATAAAAAACAAGTTTTTATAACAACCCAAAAGATCACACTAGCTCACCAGCATCCAAAGCAAGCAAATGTGAATTGCCAGAAAAAGAATTCAGAAGGTTGATTATTAAGCTACTCAAGGAGGCACCAGAGAAAGATGTAAATCAACTTAAAAATTTTTAAAAATTTATAAGATATGGATGAAAAACTCTCTAGAGAAATAGATAACATAAATTAAAAAACAATCTCAACTTCTGAAAATTAAAGACAGAGAAATGCAAAACACACTGGAAAGTTTCAACAATGGAACTAAACAAGTAAAAGAAGGAACTTTAGAGCTTGAAAATAAGACTTTTGAATTAACCCAATCTGATAAAGACAAATAAAAAAGAACTTAAAAAAATGAACAGCCCTCAAGAAGTTTGGGACTATGTTAAATGACCAAACCTAAAAATAGTAAGTGTTCCTGAGGAATAAGGAAAATCTAAATGTTTTGAAAATTTATTTGAGGAAATAATTGTGGAAATCTTTCCTGGCCTTGATAGAGATCCAGAAATCCAAATACAAAAAGCTCAAAGAACACCTTGGAAATGTATCACAAAAACGTCATCACCTAGGCACACAGTCATCAGGTTACATAAAGTGATGACAAAGGAAAGACTCTCAAGAACCGTGAGGTAAAAGCATCAGGTAACCTATAATGGAAGACCTATCAGATTAACAGCGTATTTCTTAGCAGAAGCCCTACAAGCTAGAAGGGATTGGGATTCTATCTTTAGCTTCTTTAAACAAAATAATCATCAGCCTAGAATTTTGTATCCAGCAAAACAAAGCTCTATAAATAAAGAAAAGACAAAGTCTTATCTAGACAAACAAATGCTGACAGAATCTGCTACTACCAAGCCATTTCTACAAGAGATGTCAATAAGACGTTTTAAATATTGAAACAAAACCTCAAAATACACCAAAATAGAACCTATTTAAAGCATAAATCTCACAGGGTCTATACAACAATACACAATAAAGAAAAAATAAGGTATTCAGGCAGCAACTAGCATGATGAATAGAATAGTAACTCACATCTTAATAGTAATGTTGAATGTAAATGACCTAAATGCTCTACTTAAAAGATGCAGAATGGCAGGATGGATAACAATTCACCAATCAAGCATCTGCTATCTTCAAGAGACTCACCTAACAAATAAGGACTCACATAAACTTAAGGTAAAAGGGTGAAAAGAGATGTTCCATGCAAATGAACACCAAAAGTGAGCAGAGGTACCTATTCTTATATCAGACAAAACAGACTTTAAAGCAGCTGCAGTTAAAAAAAGACAAAGAGGGACATTATATAATGATAAAAGAAATAGTCCAACAGGAAAATATTACAATCAGAAGTATGTATTCACCTAACACTGGAACTTCCAAAATTATAAAAGAATTACTACTAGACCTAAGAAATGAGATGGACAGCAATACAATAATATTGGGAGACTTCAGTACTTCACTGACAGCACTAGACAGGTCATCAAGACAGAAAATCAACAAAGAAACAATGGACTTAAACTATACCCTAGGACAAATATTTACGTCAAATGACCAAACCTAAAAACTGGACTTAACAGATATTTAGAGAACATTCTACACAACAAATGAAGAATATACATTTTATTCCTCTGCACATGGAACATTCTCCAAAATAGACAATATGATAGGACACAAAGAAAGTCTCAATAAATTGAGCTTCTGCACAGCAAAAGAAACTACCATCAGAGTGAACAGGCAACCCACAAAATGGGAGAAAATTTTCGCAACCTACTCATCTGACAAAGGGCTAATATCCAGAATCTACAATGAATTCAAACAAATTTACAAGAAAAAAACAACCCCATCAAAAAGTGGGCAAAGGATATGAACAGACACTTCTCAAAAGAAGACATTTATGCAGCCAAAAGACACATGAAAAAATGCTCATCATCACTGGCCATCAGAGAAATGCAAATCAAAACCACAATGAGATACTATCTCACACCAGTTAGAATGGCAATCATTAAAAAGTCAGGAAACAACAGGTGCTGGAGAGGATGTGGAGAAATAGGAACACTTTTACACTGTTGGTGGGACTGTAAACTAGTTCAACCATTGTGGAAGTCAGTGTGGCAATTCCTCAGGGATCTAGAACTAGAAATACCATTTGCAGCCATCCCATTACTGGGTATATACCCAAAGGACTATAAATCATGCTGCTATAAAGACACATGCACACGTATGTTTATTGCGGCTCTATTCACAACAGCAAAGACTTGGAACCAACCCAAATGTCCAACAATGATAGACTGGATTAAGAAAATGTGGCACATATACACCATGGAATACTATGCAGCCATAAAAAATGATGAGTTCATGTCCTTTGTAGGGACATGGATGAAATTGGAAATCATCATTCTCAGTAAACTATCACAAGGACTAAAAACCAAACACCACATGTTCTCACTCATAGATGGGAATTGAACAATGAGAACACATGGACACAGGAAGGGGAACATCACACTCTGGGTACTGTTGTGGGGTGGGGGGAGATGGGAGGGATAGCATTAGGAGATATACCTAATGCTAAATGACGAGTTAATGGGTGCAGCACACCAGCATGGCACATGTATACATATGTAACTAACCTGCACATTGTGCACATGTACCCTAAAACTTAAAGTATAATAATAATAATAATAATAAAGAAAGTCTCAATAAATTTAGAAAAATCAAAATTATATCAAGTACTCTCTCAGGTCACAGTGGAATACAATTCTAAATCAACTCCAAAATGAACTCTCAAAGCCATGCACATACATGGAAATTAAATAATCTGCTCCTGAATAATCTTTGGGTCAACAATGAAGTTAAGATGGAAATTTAAAAATTCTTTGAACTGAGTAATAATAGTGATGCAACCTAACAAAACCTCTGGAATACAGCAAAAGTGGTGTTAAGAGGAAAGCACATAGCATTAAATGCCTACATCAAAAAGTCTGAAAGAGCACGAATAGGCAATATAACATCACATCTCAAGGTACTAGAGAAACAGGGACAAACCAAACCCAAGCCCAGTGGAAGAAAAGAAATAACAAAGATTGGAGCAGAACTAAATGAAATTGAAACAAAAAATATACGAAAGATAAATGAAACAAAAGCCTGGTTCTTTGAAAAGATAAAACTGAATTATTTGAAAACCATTATCTGTGCTTTCCCATCCTTTGGAAAGCCTTCTCCTATTTCTGAGTGAATATCTCACATTGAAAGCCACTGGGATAGAGGATTAATAGCTAAGATAGAAGAGGAGATGCCAGATCTCTTTCTGTGTGCCAGACATGTTCAGAATTCATGAAGTTGATAATGGAGAGGTTTTTGAAGGCATAGTTGATTCATTTATTCAATGTATTCATTTTCTATAATAATAATTTATTACAATATTGTTATAATGAACTTTATTATAATAAAGCTAAATTTATTATAATAAATTAATATTAATAAAGATTAAGTTCCTTTAATACATTATCTTAATTTATTTTAATATTAAGTTATTATAATAATAAATTATTTTCTATGTATAATGATTTATTCTTTCTGATAATATGCCAAGCACTATACTAGAATCTGATGACTGATCAAAAAGATGAAGTTCCTGATCTTTTGTTGATCATATTTACTGGAGAAAAGACAATATACAAACATATTTCATAAAATCATGTAATTTTAAGAGTTATGGGGGGTAGAGCAAGAAGGTAGAAATTTACAAATGTTACATTTTTAAGCAGGTCAGGGAAAGCATCTGCAAAGCAGTAATAATTGAGCAGAAAAACAATTGAAACAAAAAGTGGACGTCTGTAGATAAAACATTTCAAGTAGAAGGAAGAATCATGTAGCTTGCTCCATGGTCAAGTTTGACTCTTTAAACAAAATAAATTGTTGACTGCTTCCAATTTTTATCATATGTATTGATGATTGAATAACTGCTTTACATACAATTACAGTCATCTTTCTTACCATTTTAAAATACTATTGCAGATTAAGTCTTTGTTTTTAACATCAGTTCATTGGTATGCATTTTTAAAATAGATATTTCATTTATTTAAAAAATATTTATTGAGTATCTTCTAGGTATGAGACACTATTCTTGGAACTGAGTATACAGCAGTGAACAAATAAAACAAAAACCTATCCTTGTTCTTCTGGAGATTCCTCTGCAGTGTAACTTCATGGTTTTTGAGGCAAAGGAAGGCTGGCAGTAAACAAAATATGTGAGTAAAATTTATAGTATGATGGTGAGAGAATAAAAATTGAGTGTCAAAGGGAGTAATATTAAAAAATTGTTAGAGAAGACTTCGCTGGGAAAGTGTCATTTGTTTGGGTACTAGAATATGGTGAGGGAGTAAGTTATGCAGCTATAGGGAAAGAACATTCCAGACAGAAAGAAAAATAGGAACAAAGATTCTCAGTAGAGGATCTATAACTTATAAGGCCTTAAAGCTGTTCTTTGGATTTTTGAGTGATATGTGAAGCCAATGGGGGATTTGAGCAGAGCTATGACATGGTATGACCCTCACTTATATGTTAAGATTTACACAGGGGAAGGAGGTTGGGGAAGAGGGGCTGTGAGTGGTCAGGAGGAAAGCTGAGATACAAGTATGAGGGTATTGCAATAATTCAGGACCAGCCTGAAAGTTGTGGAGGAGGTAAGAAATCATCAGATTCTGGGTATATTTGGAAATTAGAGCCTAATGTGAGTGTGAGAAATAGAGAAGAATGATTCTAATATTGTATGTGGCTGTGCATGTGCACGCATGTGTGCAACTGGAATGACAGAATTACAATGTATGGGGATTATTGTCTTCCCTGGACAATAATCCCTGGAAATGGGGATTATTACAAGAGGAGAGGTTGGGGAAGGAAAGACAAAGATACCATGTTAGAAAATATTAAGTGTAAGATGCCTATTAGAGATATATAGGAAGATGGTGAGAAGTCAATGGATAAATCTAGAGTTCATGAGTAACTTGGCTAGAGAAAAAATTTTGGAATTATCAACGTATGGATAAGATTTAAAGACATGAGAATAGATGAGGTCACAAACACACACAGTAAGGTTATTGTCTGACATGCTTCAATTTAGAAGACAAAGATAAAGAATTTAGAGTAAATGAAGTGTAAATAAGTAAGTCAGTGAGTTAGAAGGCAAACCACAAAGGGTAGTGTCCTGCAAAGTTTTGCTTAGGGAGGGAATTCTCAGTTCTGAAAAATGCTGCTAATAGTTCAAGTCAGATGAGGACTATTAGATGTAGCATTTAGGTAATTTATGACTTAGGAAAAGTAGTTTCAGTGGAAATTTGGGGGCAAAAGCCTGATAAGAGTGTGCTCAAGAGAGAATGTAGAGAGAGAGATTGAAAGCAATAATTAGACAAGCTATTTCTCTGTAAAAATAGCACAGAAATAGGGCAATATTAGGAAAAAATGGGATCAAAAGAGAGATTTTTGGAAGATGAAAAAGTGACAGCATTCTTACATGCTGATGGAAACATTTAAAAAGAGGATAGTGCTATCCTTAAAAACACAAGGGGAGGAGTCAATGTCATATGCAAGTGGAGATTGGCCTTAGCTTAAACTTGGGTAGTTCACTAAGGCAGACCATGTGGTGGTACTGGGGCTTTACATAGATAAATGTGGTCAAGGGAGCTTTTGAAGTTTCTTCTTTATTTATTTATTTTTTCAGTAAAATAATTCATCAGCTGAAGGTGGGGAAGGGATGTATTAGAATTTCAAAAAAAAAAAAAAAAGATGAAGGCACAAAATGCTCAGAGTGCAAAATGGCGTGAATGATTTCTTGGCAAAATGAAAGGTCCATTTGGGCTTCCTAATCATACGTTTAAAGTCAGCATGGTTGAGAGATTTTCCTCAGTTACATTTAGCTTCATAAGGGAAATGTGCAGAGTTATTTGAGAGTTAAATTTAATCAAGATTGTGGCTTTGACATGCAATTAAAATAATGCAAAACAGTCAAAATTATATGAAGTTATATAGAAGAGAGTGATTACCGTGACCATTAAATTAACCCAGATGTATAGATAAGGAACACCGAAATCTCTGGCAAAATCAAATTGTAGGTTATACATCCTGGTCAGTGGAAGCATGTGGATCTAGGGTGTTACTGAGTGTGAGCTAGGAGTGATAAAGAGTGGTGCTCCAATCTTTGATATTATGGAGAGATTACAGTGGTGTGAAAAGCATAGGATATGCCCATAGCAGTAGGTAGAAGCCAAGATCATTGAGGAGAAGGCTAAAAAATAAAAAGAAAATAAAAAGAAAACAGAGAATTAAAAAGATTCTCTTCATGGTCATTACCATCATGAATAATTAAAATAGTAGTAGCATTTTGAGAGAATGGCTTTGGATCGAGAGCTAAAATTGTCATGAAATGAGTGGGAGTGACTGAGCGTTGATAGATGATTTCAACAAGAGGAATAAGTGATAGAGTCTTTCAATATGAGATCCAAAACTATGGATTATGAGTGTAAAGGGTGGGGAAATGTAAAGAAACTAGCAAAGTGAGGCACATTGGAAACCAGCCCATCTGGTTTGCAGCAATATGGGGGATAAGGCAACCCCTATGTATCACTGCTGCAGGAGAGGGAGTGTCTCAGGGAAGACCAATTTTTAAGTTCAAGGCAGAAGTGAAGCAGAATAACTCAGAGAAGAGGTAAAGGTAAGGGGAGTTTCAGTCATGACTAGTGATGGGTTCCAGAAAACTCAAGAGAAGAATTTCAGTCCAGGATTGGGAGAAAGAGAGAAGATGGGGGCAAACATAGGAATGTGCAGAGCCCTGTGGGGATTAGAGAAGAGGTGATGAGTCATCAGGGAATCCCTACCTTCTTATGGTGGTCACTACCATAAGAGCGATAATTGCCATGGTAATATTAGTCTTGATGATGCCAGAGCTTTGATCATTGGTGGGTATAGAAACATGTTTGGAGAATAATATGTAGAATAGGAGTTCTTTCCAGGAGAGTGTAGCTTTCTGGAGCTGTCTCTTAATCAGCACCAACAGAAGTGAAATGTTCGGGTAAGGGCGGATCTGCTTGGAGCCTGACGGTTCCCTCTTGAGGTGTGCCTGTGGTACACACCTGAGAACTCTGGGGCTAAAACCTATTGGACATAGGTTTTACAGATCTACAGGATACAGATCTCAGAGATTTTATTTGTATTCATTTAATATAAATTAACTGCTCTAAAATTTATAATATGCAAATATCATACAATTAATCTAATTAGGTGTTGAATCTATAATGTGCCAGGCATTATGTAAGGCACTTTACATACACTAAATCTTTATTCCAAATATAGACTTCTTACTTTATAGATGAGTGCACTGATGCTCAGAAATGGTAAATAACCTACTGATGTTTATACTGCTGGCAGGTAGCAGAGACATATCGGCATTTAAGTCTTTCAGACTTCAAAGGCCATGATATTTCATCAGAGCTGTGATAGCCGTTCCTGAAAAAAATATCAGCTGATTCTTTAAATCAATTTTTGTCATCTAACTGATGCGTGGCTGTTAGCATAATATTGATCTTGAAAGATGTTTTGCAACATCTTTCCCCTGGTGTACTCTTGTTTTTCCATGATCCCACAAAATGAGCAGTCTAATTATTTACACAATTAGGAAGAGAAAAGGGGCACAGAGAATGCTCTTTGACCTCTGAAAATATTGGAGAATTTTACAACTGGCACCTTTAGCTCAGGATTATAAAGGTTGTTAGTTAGTTTGTACTGTTTTATCTTCATTGTATATAATATATATATTAGTCTCCAAACATGTTGATGTGTTTTCAATGAAATGGATGTCTGAGGAGAAAACCATTAGCCTGAGAAAACCCAAACTGTATTCCCATTGTGAATAAAAGGAAGTCCATAAAAATGATGGAAAATGTTCTGCATTCCTGTTATGATATCAAAATCTGGCAGTACATGAAAATTTTTCAAAGTGCTTATTTAACAGGCATAATCTTTGGTCTCCTGAGCCAGAATCTGCTGGGTATGGGACTGGATTGCTATTTTGACAACTCGCCAGTAGATTCTTACTCAGCAGAGTATTTGGAAGCCTTACTCTAATATTTTGGCCTTGGGTCTACATTTCTCAGTTCTGCACAGTCATTCTTCCCCTCTACACTACTCTTTAGTTTGTCTCATGATTCCAATACTCTCAATAATTAACCAAGAATAGAACTAATCAATCAGATAACTGTGGCACAGACATCAAATACATTTTGCTGCAACCATATCAACAAATGTCCCATGAATGATAAGGGGTAACCATATTCTCATATATGCATCCTCACATTACCACATATATATATGTGCATATGTGTATACAGGTAAAAGTGTGTATATATGTATACATGTATGTTTGTGTGTATATACATACATATATCTTCACACTTTTCTGAAATATATATATTTATGTGAGAGAAGGGTCTGTACTTTATTTCAGAAGAGAGCTTAATGTCCAAGGTATAATTGAGAGTCTAAAATGTTTGAGTTATTGAATTAATTAAACTTCATCTCTACTCAAGAAAACTTTTAACTGAGTTAAGCTCTTCCTTTCTCCACAAGTCAAGTCAATAAAAGGAAACTGTGATATTAATAATTCTTTCCTGTTTTGATGTAAAGAATCTATCGCATAAAGCAGTCTTAATTTTCATCATTCAGAAAAATGGTCTTGCAGTTAATTGGGACTCTCTTATTCCAGGTGGTATCTCCAGTCTCCATACATACCACGTTAGAACCATACTTATGTACCAAGCAAAGAGGGTATATTTTAATTTTTAAATGCCAATGTAACCTGTAGGCATATTTTTTATTTGTCTTAAATTATTTCCTATTTGGAAGTTTTAAATACCTGGAATAATTTATTGTACTCATATTTTTAAAGAAAAAAATCTTATGCCACCAACTTAATTGAATAAACAAGTAAAAGCCATTCCCAAAAGTAAGGTTTACTTGTTAAGATTAACAAAAAATAATGTGAGAATTCTGAGAAATATAATCTTTAAATATTGGCAACTGGAGTGAACTCTTAAAACTAACTAGGTTTTATATGTTTGACTAGAGCAATGACATAATAAGGTGGTTAATCATCACTGGACTTGTTTTCAAAAAGCCAACTACTTTAAGAGGAATAAAGGGTGGACTTGTTGCAGTTGCTGTAGGATTCTAAATCCAGGTAAGAACCATTGAGATTCTCTAATTTTTACATATATTTTATGTAAGAAATTTTCACGGAAGAAGATTTTGATGGTCTTGAAAAATATTACGAATTTTATGCTCTGTGTCTTCCACACGCTTACATTCTGAGCCCTTAAAACATAGTAAATATTCCTTCTGGGAGTAGAAGAGCCTCAGGTTTATATACTGTTAAAAATAAAGTAGAGAAAATAATACCTTTATATATTTAAATATAAAGTTTCAAATCTTGGTCTTATTAATTTCCAAACAAATAAAAATCAAGTCTCAAAAATGAAGCTCTAGTTACCTTCTTAAAATATGCTACAGGATAATTATTTTTGTCAACTACATTGACTGATCACACTAGACTCCTTATTTCTTTGATGTCTTCTTAACTGGATGAAGGCAGCCAAGGGTGGGAGTAGAGGGAAGAGTTAATTGGCAAACATAAAAAACAGGTGTCTCAAAGTCACATAACCACCTCAGTTTCCTTGTTTCAACTCAAGTTTGATACAGGGTGAAGGGAAATATATTTTCTAGATAATTTATCTCCAATTAAATAAGCAAAAAGTCTTCTCAGTACAGTTTTTTTCTTTTTTTATTTCATTATTATTATACTTTAAGTTTTAGGGTACATGTGCACAACATGCAGGTTTGTTACATATGTATACATGTGCCATGTTGGTGTGCTGCACCCATTAACTCATCATTTAACATTGGGCATATCTCCTAATGCTATCCCTCCCCTCTCCCCCACCCCACAACAGTCCCCGGTGTGTGATGTTCCCTTTCCTGTGTCCATGTGTTCTCATTGTTCAGTTCCCACCTATGAGTGAGAACATGCGGTGTTTGGTTTTTTGTCCTTGCGATAGTTTGTTGAGAATGATGGTTTCCAGTTTCATCCATGTCCCTACAAAGGACATAAACTCATCATTTTTATGGCTGCATAGTATTCCATGGTGTATGTGTGCCACATTTTCTTAATCCACTCTATCGTTGTTGGACATTTAGGTTGGTTCCAAGTCTTTGCTACTGTGAATAGTGCCGCTATAAACATACGTGTGCATGTGTCTTTATAGCAGCATGATTTATAATCCCTTGGGTATATATCCACTTATGGGATGGCTGGGTCAAATGGTATTTCCAGTTCTAGATCCCTGAGGAATCGCCACACTGTCTTCCACAATGGTTGAACTAGTTTACAGTCCCACCAACAGTGTAAAAGTGTTCCTATTTCTCCACATCCTCTCCAGCACCTGTTGTTTCCTGACTTTTTAATGATCGCTATTCTAACTGGTGTGAGATAGTATCTCATTGTGGTTTTGATTTGCATTTCTCTGATGGCCAGTGATGATGAGCATTTTTTCACGTGTTTTTTGGCTGCATAAATGTCTTCTGTTGAGAAGTGTCTGTTCATGTCCTTCACCCACTTCTTGATGGGGTCGTTTGTCTTTTGTAAATTTGTTTGAGTTCATTGTAGATTTTGGGTATTAGCCTTTTGTCAGATGAGTAGGTTGCAAAAATTTTCTCCCATTCTGTAGGTTGCCTGTTCACTCTGATGGTAGTTTCTTTTGCTGTGCAGAAGCTCTTTAGTTTAATTATATCTCATTTGTCATTTTTGGCTTTTGTTGCCATTGCTTTTGGTGTTTTAGACATGAAGTCCTTGCCCATGCCTATGTCCTGAATGGTATTGCCTAGGTTTTCTTCTAGGGTTTTTATGGTTTTAGGTCTAACATTTAAGTCTTTAATCCATCTTGAATTAATTTTTGTGTAAGGTGTAAGGAAGGGATCCAGTTTCAGCTTTCTACATATGGCTTGCCAGTTTTCCCAGCATCATTTATTAAATAGGGAATCCTTTCCCCATTGCTTGTTTTTCTCAGGTTTGTCAAAGATCAGATAGTTGTAGATATGCGGCACTATTTCTGAGGGCTCTGTTCTGTTCCATTGGTCTATATCTCTGTTTTGGTACCAGTACCATGCTGTTTTGGTTACTGTAGCCTTGTAGTATAGTTTGAAGTCAGGTAGGGTGATGCCTCCAGCTTTGTTCTTTTCGCTTAGGATTGACTTGGTATGCGGGCTCTTTTTTGGTTCCATATGAACTTTAAAGTAGTTTTTTCCAATTCTGTGAAGAAAGTCATTGGTAGCTTGATGGGGATGGCATTGAATCTATAAATTACCTTGGACAGTATGGCCATTTTCATGATATTGATTCTTCCTGCCCATGAGCATGGAATGTTCTTCTATTTGTTCGTATCCTCTTTTATTTCATTGAGCAGTGGTTTGTAGTTCTCCTTGAAGAGGTCCTTCACATCCCTTGTAAGTTGGATTCCTAGGTATTTTATTCTCTTTGAAGCAATTGTGAATGGGAGTTCACTCATGATTTGGCTCTCTGTTTGTCTGTTATTGGTGTATAAGAATGCTTGTGATTTTTATACATTGATTTTGTATTCTGAGACTTTGCTGAAGTTGCTTATCAACTTGAGGAAATTTTGGGCTGAGATGATGGGGTTTTCTAGATATACAATCATGTGATCTGCAAACAGGGACAATTTGACTTCCTCTTTTCCTAATTGAATACCCTTTATTTTCTTCTCCTGCCTGATTGCCCTGGCCAGAACTTCCAACATTATGTTGAATAGGAGCAGTGAGAGAGGGCATCCCTGTCTTGTGCCCGTTTTCAAAGGGAATGCTTCCAGTTTTTGCCCATTCAGTATCATATTGGCTGCAGGTTTGTCATAGATAGCTCTTATTATTTTGAGATACATCCCATCAATACCTAATTTATTGAGAGTTTTTAGCATGAAGGGTTGTTGAATTTTGTCAAAGGCCTTTTCTGCATCTATTGAGATGATCATGTAGTTTTTGTCTTTGGTTCTGTTTATATGCTGGATTACATTTATTGATTTGCGTATGTTGAACCAGCCTTGCATCCCAGGGATGAATCCCACTTGGTCATGTTGGATAAGCTTTTTGATGTGCTGTTGGATTTGGTTTGCCAGTATTTTATTGAGGATTTTTGCATCAATGTTCATCAAGGATATTGGTCTAAAATTCTCTTTTTTTGTTGTTTCTCTGCCAGGCTTTGGTATCAGGATGATGCTGGCCTCATAAAATGAGTTAGGGAGGATTCCCTCTTTTTCTATTGATTGGAATAGTTTCAGAAGTATTGGTACCAGTTCCTCCTTGTACCTCTGGTAGAATTCGGCTGTGAATCCATCTGGTCCTGGACTTTTTTTTGTTGGTAAGCTATTGAGTATTGCCTCAATTTCAGAGCCTGTTATTGGTCTATTCAGAGATGCAACTTCTTCCTGGTTTAGTCTTGGGAGGATGTATGTGTCAAGGAATTTATCCATTTCTGCTAGATTTTCTAGTTTATTTGCCTAGAGGTGTTTATAGTATTCTCTGATGGTAGTTTGTATTTCTGTGGGATCGGTGGTTATATCCTCTTTATCATTTTTTATTGCATCTATTTGATTCTTCTCTGTTTTCTTCTTTATTAGTCTTGCTAGTGGTCTATCAATTTTGTTGATGCTTTCAAAAAACCAGCTCCTGGATTCATTAATTTTTTGAAGGGTTTTTTGTGTCTCTATTTCCTTCAGTTCTGCTCTGATGGTAGTTATTTCTTGCCTTCTGCTAGCTTTTGAATGTGTTTGCTCTTGCTTTTCTAGTTCTTTTAATTGTGATGTTGGGGTGTCAATTTTGGATCTTTCCTGCTTTCTCTTGTGGGCATTTAGTGCTATAAATTTCCCTCTACACACTGCTTTAAATGTGTCCCAGAGATTCTCGTATGTTGTGTGTTTGTTCTCATTGGTTTCAAAGAACATCTTTATTTATGCCTTCATTTCATTATGTACCCAGTAGTCATTCAGTAGCAGATTGTTCAGTTTCCATGCAGTTGAGCAGTTTTGAGTGAGTTTCTTAATCCTGAGTTCTAGTTTGATTGCGCTGTGGTCTGAGAAACAGTTTGTTATAATTTCTGTTCTTTTCCATTTGCTGAGGAGAGCTTTACTTCCAACTATGTGGTCAATTTCAGAGTAGGTGTGGTGTGGTGCTGAAAAGAATGTATATTCTGTTGATTTGGGGTGGAGAGTTCTGTAGATGTCTATTAGGTCCGCTTGGTGCAGAGCTGAGTTCAATTCCTGGGTATCCTTGTTAACTTTCTGTCTCATTGATCTGTCTAATGTTGACAGTGGGGTGTTAAAGTCTCCCATTATTATTGAGTGGAATTCTAAGTCTCTTTGTAGGTCACTAAGGACTTGCTTTATGAATCTGGGTGCTCCTGTATTGGGTGCATATATATTTAGGATAGTTAGCGCTTCTTGTTGAATTGATCCCTTTACCATTAGGTAATGGCCTTCTTTGTCTCTTTTGATCTTTGTTGGTATAAAGTCTGTTTTATCAGAGACTAGGATTGCAACCCCTGCCTTTTTTTGTTTTCCATTTGCTTGGTAGATCTTCCTCCATCCCTTTATTTTGAGCCTATGTGTGTCTCTGCATGTGAGATGGATTTCCTGACTACAGTGCACTGATTGGTCTTGACTCTTTATCCAATTTGCCAGTCTGTGTCTTTTAATTGCAGCATTTAGCCCATTTACATTTAAAGTTAATATTGTTATGTGTGAATTTGATCCTGTCATTGTGATGTTAGCTGGTTATTTTGCTCATTAGTTGATGCAGTTTCTTCCTAGCCTTGATGGTCTTTACAATTTGGCATGTTTTTGCAGTGGCTGGTACCAGTTGTTCCTTTCCATGTTTAGTGCTTCCTTCAGGAGCTCTTTTAGGGCAGGCCTGGTGGTGACAAAATCAGCATTTGCTTGTCTGTGAAGGATTTTGTTTCTCCTTCACTTATGAAGCTTCGTTTGGCTGGATATGAAATTCTGGGTTGAAAATTCTTTTCTTTAAGAATGTTGAATATTGGTCCCCACTCTCTTCTGGCTTGTAGAGTTTCTGCCGAGAGATCAGCTGTTAGTCTGATGGGCTTCCCTTTGTGGGTAACCCAACCTTTCTCTCTGGCTGCCCTTAATATTTTTTCCTTCATTTCAACTTTGGTGAATCTGACAATTATGTGTCTTGGAGTTGCTCTTCTCGAGGAGTATCTTTGTGGCGTACTCTGTATTTCCTGAATCTGAACGTTGGCCTGCCTTGCTAGATTGGGGAAGTTCTCCTGGATAATATCCTGCAGAGTGTTTTCCAACTTGGTTCCCTTCTCCCCATCACTTTCAGGTACACCAATCAGACGTAGATTTGGTCTTTTCACATAGTCCCATATTTCTTGGAGGCTTTGTTCGTTTCTTTTTATTCTTTTTTCTCTAAACTTCTCTTCTCACTTCATTTCATTCATTTCGTCTTCCATCACTGATAACCTTTCTTCCAGTTGATCCTATCAGCTACTGAGGCTTCTGCATTTGTCATGTGGCTCTCTTGCCTTGGTTTTCAGCTCCATCAAGTCCTTTAAGAACTTCTCTGCATTGGTTATTCTAGTTATCCATTTGTCTGATTTTTTTTCAAAGCTTTTAACTTCTTTGCCATTGGTTTGAATTTCCACCTGTAGCTCAGAGTAGTTTGATCATCTGAAGCCTTCTTCTCTCAACTTGTCAAAGTCATTCTCCATCCAGCTTTGTTCCGTTGCTGGTGAGGAGCTGCATTCCTTTGGAGGAGGAGAGGCGCTCTGATCTTTAGAGTTTCCAGTTTTTCTGCTCTGTTTTTTTCTCATCTTTGTGGTTTCATCTATCTTTGGTCTTTGATGATGGTGACGTACAGATGGGTTTTTGGTGCGGATGTCCTTTCTGTTTGTTAGTTTTCCTTCTAACAGACAGGACCCTCAGCTGCAGGTCTGTTAGAGTTTGCTAGAGGTCCACTGCAGACCCTGTTTGCCTGGGTTTCAGCCTCAGTGGCTGTAGAAGAGCGGATATTGGTGAACCACAAATGCTGCTGCCTGATCGTTCCTCTGGAAGTTTTGTCTCAGAGGAGTACCCGACCGTGTGAGGTGTCAGTCCGCCCCTACTGGGGGGTGCCTCCCAGTTAGGCTACTCGGGGGTCAGGGACCCACTTGAGGAGGCAGTCTGCCTGTTCTCAGATCTCAAGCTGCGTGCTGGGAGAACCACTGCTCTCTTCAAAGCTGTCAGAGAGGGACATTTAAGTCTGCAGAGGTTACTGCTGTCTTTTTGTTTGTCTGTGCCCTGCCCCCAGAGATGGAGCCTACAGAGGCAGGCAGGTGTCCTTGAGCTGTGGTGGGCTCCACCCAGTTCGAGCTTCCCAGCCGCTTTGTTTACCTAATCAAACAACTAACTCAGCAATGGTGGCCGCCCCTCCCCCAGCCTCGCTGCCACCTTGCAGTTTGATCTTGGATGGCTGTGCTTGCAATGAGCGAGACTCTGTGGGCATAGGACCCTCCAAGCCAGGTGCAGGATATAATCTCCTGGTGTGCTGTTTTTTAAGCCGGTTGGAAAAGCACAGTATTAGGGTGGGAGTGACCCAATTTTCCAGGTGCCGTCTGTCACCCCTTTCTCTGACTAGGAAAGGGAATTCCCTGACCCCTTGTGCTTCCCGGGTGAGGCAATGCCTCGCCCTGCTTTGGCTTGCGCACGGTGCGCTTCACCCACTGTCCTGCACCTACTGTCTGGCACTCCCCAGTGAGATGAACCCGGTACCTCAGTTGGAAATGCAGAAATCACCAGTCTTCTGTGTTGCTCATGCTGGGAGCTGTAGACCAGAGCTGTTCCTATTTGGCCATCTTGGCTCCTCCCCTCAGCACAGTTTTTAGCATGAACTAAGGCCTCAATAAATATTAGTTCCCTTCTCCAATTCAGAAAGTTGTCTGCCTTGATAAGACAATTGTTTTTATTGTGAAAGTGAGGTGGAGATGGGGGATTGTCTCTCCTATAAAAGGTCTAAGAAGTTAGCAAATGCTGTTTTTCCTTTTTGCTCCTCAGTTGCATAAGTACATGGTAGAAATTGGGTCACTTTGCCTAAACCGGTTTTCTATAACCTATTAAGTATTAAAAGCTTGACACAGATAAGTAGAGGCTGATAAGATTCTGTCCTGCACCCCACTCCTATCAAATTTGGAAGAACTGACCTCTTCCGGGAAGAATTGCAATGCTAAATCCAAATGCCTATGGTTCTATCTTATAAACAAATGGTGTCCTCAAAATTCATTTATGTAAATCATTTGAAATTTAAGAAAAAAATATGTTCAGAGAAAAATATGTTAAATGTCAAGGTGAATTAGAAAGTGTGGCATTTAGTCAAGCATAAATTAATATTCCAACTTTCTAGTTACTTTGTAGTAACTTATTTAACATTTTGGTGAAATGAGGAACAAAGTGTCCACCTTTTTTTCCTGAATATTTTATCTGAAGATCTAGGAGAGAGATGTGAAATAGTATTTTTCTGGGGAAGTAGGGGAAATACAAAGAAAAGTAATGACTTCAGGTATATTCTCCACTGGTACAGCAGGATGGGAGATATTATCAACAGGTGGTAAGTATAAAAATATTGAAGAGGTACAATTTGGATCAGCATTACAACCAAGAATGGAGAATGACATTCAGGATTGAAAGAAACATACAAGAGGGCAGAAAGCTTTCTTCTTGGGACTGTGGTTTCATGTGTCTGCAGGTGCTATGGGTATATTGAGAATGGTTCTAAAAACAGGGGCTTGGTTTAGGTTGTGAAGACCATCAAATAGAAACTGTGAATTTTATTTTGTGTCGTTAAAGGGATCTTTGAAAGATTCTTAGGATAAATATGATATGCATAGGATAGAAAGAAAGGTGGGAGACAGGACAAACAGAAGTTAATCAATTGAAATAAACCAGGTTTGGAGTGGTGGGACAATAGCCTTCAAGACATCAAGAATATTTGTTAGTAGAAAGAAAATCGAAGCCTAAAACTAAAGGAAGACTATCCACCTTGCAAGTCATACAGAGATATTTGCTATTATATAATTTTTTTAAAAAAAGATTTCCTAATATTTAAATTATGAAGAAAGAGATAGAAACAGATATTCATGGAAAAAATGGGGTGAAATTAATCAAAGGGCAGCTTATTACCTTGAGACTAAACAGCCATTGACTTTTTTCTTACCTCACTGAACCCAGAAACCCGACATATCTAGGTACAGGCATGCATAAAACATGTACACACACAAAATGTAATAATTGGAGTTCACTTAGAGGTACACATGTATGGGTTTCTGTATTCAACCATATGTTGATATATACTCACATATATGTAAGTGATAATATCCTGTTTGTTACTTCCACATTTATGCACTATCCCTTAAATATGTATTATATATATTTATATTATTCAGAATCCATCAGCCCTTGTTGAATAAATTAGTGAATAAAATATAGAGTCGAGTCTCATTATTCACAGATTCTATATAAGAAAATTTGTCTATTCACTAAAATTCCTTTGTAACACCAAAATCAATACTGCTGGACTTTCATGGGCATTCACATGCATGTGCAAAGTGGTGAAAAATTTGAGCTGCCATGTTCCCAACTAAGGTTGAACAAAATGAAGCTCTGTCTTCTTGTTTCTGCTCACATATGATAAAGAAATATCCTTTTCACACTGTATTTATTGCCACATTTTTGGCATTTTTGTGTTTTGTGTTTCTGAGTTGAATGTTTCGAATGGGCCCCAAAGATAGTGCTGAAGTGCTCTCCGGTGCACAAGAGTATCTGAGGGAAAAGATACATATGCTGTATAAGCTTCCTCCAGGCCTGAACTACAGTGTTGTTGACAACTAATTCAATGTTAATGAATCAATAGTATGTATTAAATAAAGTGTCTTTAAACAAAACATACATAAAACACAGTTCTATATTGAACAATTTACCAAAATATTGTGACCAGAGGCAGACAGGCATATAACTAACCCCACATCTCTCCAAGGAACAATGGTTCAATATTTGCTAATTCAGTGTTCCCAGCAACTTTATAAAACATAACTACTGCAACAAGTATCAACTGTACATATAATATATATTAGACATATTGTATAATTACTGCCCTATTAAAAATCATGTATCTATGCTGTGTCTGCTTATATAGATATCTTAGATACATAAATATGTATTGTTTACATACATAGGAGCAAGAATGTATTTCTAAAACTCCATGAAGAACACATTATATTCTATATAAAAGAGTCAGTTGAAGTAAAAAGTTAACTCATTTTACTAGTCTTTAAAGTAGGACTTTAATGACTCTCAAAATAACAATTTCTCTCATACATTGACTCCAAAACTTTAGTTGTTGAATTTATTCTGCAGATATGGCCACATAAAACCAAAATGGCATATGATATATTAAGAACATCTTTAATATGAAATGATTAGATACAACCTAAAAGCTGATGAATATAGAACCAGTTGCATATATTATGGACAACTTAATACCCTGCTACCATAAGAAAAATGAGAAAGACTTATTAAGATTAAGTATATAGAGAAGATAAAAAGGTAGAGAATGATGTTTAAGGTATGCTACCATTTGCATTGAAAAGGAAAATATTATGTACTTAATGAAAAATCCATATTATATTTCTGGATAATGGGACAAGAGTTAGAGGAAGAATCTTTGTTTTATTTTTTTAATTTGCATTTTCAACTATATGCATTTTCTCTTGGAAAAGAAATGAACAAAATCAAAATAAAGTAACATCATGATGGTGGTAAGGTCAAGCAATACCAGAGTTGCTCTGAGAAGTACTTGGAGTACACTTTGCTCTTTTTAACAAATCCAAATTCTGTTTGCTTTTTGAGCCTGATTCCAGTGGTGTCTCCTTTATAAAACTGAGGCCATTCTAATTTAATTCTTTATATTATTTTTGTATCTGTTTTGAATATCTACTCTGTGCAAGGGGCTAATAGGCACATTTTAAAACTAGAAGGATAAAGAAAACATATATTTGCTTTTATAAATTTTACAATATAGGTGTGTAGAAAAGATAATAATTTAAATTTCTATAATTTAAAATGTTCATGTAATCTGGTGTGTGATTCTATATTACTTACTTGTTTCAAATTTCTCTCCACAAATTTATTTTTCTATTAAATTGTAATCTCCTTAGGCTAGAATTTGTGTCTGTCTTTCCTACTTTTGTTTCCAGCATTGACCTAGCAGAGTGGTAACGACATAGTAGACCCTGAGTGAATGTTAGTGAATGGTTGATTGATTGATGATGATCTTGTGGCTTTTCTTATTTCTAAATTATATATTGTAAAAATAAAATAAACTATACTTTTTCTTCCTTAATAGGTGATTGTTTCAAACTGAGCATCAACAACAAAAACATTTGTATGATATCTATATTTCAATCATGGACCAAAATCAACATTTGAATAAAACAGCAGAGGCACAACCTTCAGAGAATAAGAAAACAAGATACTGCAATGGATTGAAGGTAGAATAAGTTTTATGTTTTTGAGCTAAAATAAGTAAATAGGGAACTTTAATGTATAGAAAAGCAAGTTGTTAAAAAGAACATTATGTTTCAAATTATAATTTTCAATTGAAGCATATATTGAAATATTAACATAATGATTCATACCTTGATTTAAACCAGTCTTTTAATCTGATTAAGTATTTCTTTGGCGAAATTTTTGATGCTTAATAGTTTATCAATGTAGAAAATTTAGAAATATTTTGATAGCTTCTCTTTGGTTTTGGATTGATCACGACATATTTAGGAATGTGATTAAAATAAAAAATGCATAATGAATAATATTTTAAAATTCTTAGAATTGACTTATAAACTTAGAATATTAATGTCTTGAGACTCACTTTGTGATACTGACTTATTTAAAAATTCTTTTAAAAAAAAAAACAAAAAACAGGATTTAAAAAAGTTCTGATAAGTAATTTAGGCTCATGGAACGGAGGTCTATGATAGTCAAAAACTTGGCCAAAAGACCTGTTTGACGATTTAGAAAAGCCATTTAATGTTTTCATTTGCCAGCTGGTAAAAGTAATAATTCTGCTTTTTGCTTTTGGCACAAACTGTATTAAATGATACAGTTGAGGTATTAAGTGATGCTGGCATTTTTATAAACAGGAATGAGTACTCCTAAGCACAATGCTAAATGAGAAGCCAAGACTCAGAAAAGTTAAGAAATTTTCCTGAAGTCATCTACATTGTGAATTGAAAACCCTGGAACCCAAGACAAAGCCTTTAAATCCCCATATGGAAGTCTTGAGGAAATCAAGAAATAAGGGTCACCTTTTATCAATGTTTTAACTTTTTTATTTAGTCAAATTTGTAGTCTTATACAGCTGAATAAAGGCCACCAAGATTGGAGTCAATTACAATAATGTTATAAAAGGTTCCTTTTAGCTCCTTCCAGGGAACATAAAATTTGTTTGTTTTCTGAGATTACTGATAAAGCCTTCTCTGATGAAATATTTGAGTAACATTTAGGCCAAGTGGCAGTCATAAGGAAAAAGTATTGGTTAATGCAAGTGAATTATGTTCTATATTCTAAGGATAATATAATGTACTGAATTGTTTTTATTTTTAAATACTGAGTGTTACAGTAATTTCACTGACATGTGCATAGCAAAATGGCAGCAAACTGCCTGAAGCAATAAAATTTCCAGAGTGATCCCTTATAGCATATCTGGAGAAGCTGGGAGTTAGGGAATTAGCAGTGTGTGGAAAGGACATTAACTGCAGCCCAATAAAGAAGACTAGAGCTAGAGGAAGATACTGGGATAAGACTGGCATCCCTAATGCTGGTATTTCAGAAACATCGCTAAATTGGTTAATCATGTCTACAAGTGATATTTAAAATAATATTTTCACTCACTTAAATTGTTAACATTGATATGTTGTTGATAAAGAATATTAAACTCAACAATCATTTTACAATAATTCTGTAAAGACTTGCGTGCCTGTAGTTGAGGTTTGTTGCATTTCTGAGCTTACTTTTTATTCATGAGAAATGAAAACATAATGGGAGAAAATTTTTTAAATAAAGGGTATTTTAATTTTTTATGAAGTTTGGGACTTCAAAGTATTAACAAAAGTTGCTGAAAATATATTGACTTTTACTTTCATTAAATTACATTTTATCATCTAATTTCTTAATTTTCTGTATTTGAAATATTATGATTTAGAGATATCTCTGTAGATAGAAAGATAATGAAAACAATAGTAAAACAAATGTAATTCAGGAGCATAAAAAAAGATGAGAGAAACCTTAATAATAGTAGCTAACATTTATCAAGCATTTACTATATGCCAGACATTGATTTAGTGTTTTACTTTTGCTAACAGATTTTTTCCTTACCATAATTCTATCAACTGGATGGTATTATCTCCCCTTTTCAGATGAAAAAACCTAGATATAGACAGGGCAAATGTCTTCTCCTAGGTCTCAAAGTTGGTAATTGGTACACTGAAGGTCTGAACTCAGGCAATCTGATTCCAAATCCTATGCTCTCAACTGTATTCCATATTGCTAAAATAAATGTGGATTTTTGTAATATTAGTACCCTCAAGATGTTATGGCAAGCAGGCTTTTATAAGTGGTGTCTTTAATAACTTTCCTCATTCCATACTTCTAAAAAATTATCTTAAGGTTAAATTATTGAGTGTCAAGCAACTGTGGATTCTAACACTTGCTAACATGCATGCACACACCCAAATATACATGTTGTTACTGACTTACATATACAGACACAGCAGGTGGCAATATATAAGTGCAAATTGATAATATATCCGTGGAAATACAAACAAAACTTTGAGAAATCAAATACTTGAATTCTTTTCTACCCCTTCTCCTCAATTTTTGTACTGAACTAACTACATTACATAGAACCTGCTAGTATATGTTTCATCATTACACTTGTCATTTCTTCTCTTCAAATTTAAACCCAACAAGATACAGGGGAAGATTTAAATGCAATCCAAAGAAAACAGGAAAACAATTCAAGAGTTTAAAGATGACATAGTCATTTTAAGAAAGAACCAAAATTAACTTCTGAAATTAAATATTTTACTACAGGAATTTCATAATACAATTATAGTAATTAACAACAAAATAGACCAAGCTTAAGAAAGAATCTCAGAGTTTGAAGATTACCCCTTTGAATCAACACAAGCAGACAAAATTAAAGGAAAAATATTAATGAAAAAAACCTCTGAGAAATATGGGATTATGTAAAGAGACCAAGCCTGTGACTCATTGGCATTCCTGAAAGAGGAGAAAGAGTAAGCAACTTGGAAAATGTCTTTGAGGATAAAGTCCATGAAAAATTTCCCAGTCTTGCTAGAGAGGTGGATATGCAAGTTCAAAAAATTCAAAGAATCCCTTCAAGATACTATACAAGATGGTCATCCACAAGACACATAATCATCAGATTCTCCAAGGTAAACAAGAAAGAAAAAAACCTTAAAGGCAGCTAGAGAGAAGGGGCAGGTCACTTACAAAAGGAGCCCCATCAGTCTAACAATAGATCTTTCAGCAGAAAGCTTACAAGCTAGAAGAGATTGGGGACCTATTTTCACCATCCTTAAAGAAAAGAAATTGCAACTAAGAATTTTATATTCTGCCAAACTAAGCTTCATAAGTAAAGAAAAAATATTATTTTCGGTCAAGCAAATGCTAACAGAATTTGTTACCATTAGACCTGCCTTACCAGAGATGCTTAAGGGAGTCCTAAACATGGAAATGAAAGAATGATACCTGTCACCACAAAAATAGACTTAACTACAGAGCCCACAGACATTATAAAGCAATTATGCAATCAAGCCAACATAATAACCAGCTAACAACACTATGACAGAATCAAATCCTCACATATCAGTATTAATCTTGAATGTAAATGGGTTAAATGCCTACACTTAAAAGGCATAGAATAGCAAGTTGGATAAAGAAGCAAGACCCAACCGTTTTGTTGTCTTCATGACTCATGTATCATGACATCCATAAGATAGAAAATGAATAAATTGAAATAATATTTATCTCAGAGTTGTCAGGATATTTATAAGGTGCTTAGCACAGTGTTACATAGAAACTCAATAAATTGGAAAGTTCCAACATAGTAGCATTATAGTTGCTGCACTTTTTTTGAGACAGGGCCTCTGTCACCCAGGCTGGAGTGCAGTGGCATAATCTTGGCTCACTGCAAACTCCACCTCCCAGGCTCAAGTGATTCTCCCACCTCCTGAGTAGCTGGAACTACAGGCACATGCCACTTCACCCAGCATTTTTTTCATTTTTTTTTTTTTTTTTTTTTTTTTTAGTAGAGATGAGGTCTTACCTTGTTGCCAGGCTGGTCTTAAATTCCTAGGCTCAAGCAATCAGCCCGCCTTGGCCTCCTAAAGTGCTGGAATTACAGGTATGAGCCATCACATCTGGAAGCTGTTTCTTTTTAAAGTGACTACATTAATTTACTTGATCACGAGTAATACATAAATGAAAATTTGAGAATACATTCACTCCAATATTTGGAATTATGTGACTTCTAGATTTTTGCAATTTAAGTAGGCATAAAATGGTACTTTGTTTTAGTATTTGTCTGTGCTCCTTGATTCTTATAAATATTATATTTTGTGAAATCCATTGCTGAATGCAAGTGGTGCTGGTTACATTTGCCTATTTCCAAGTTTTAGTACATTTATTTTTGAAATATATTTTATCAGTTTAAGGACTTACTTGTAATATCTTTGTGTGGTCTTGGTATTAGGTTAATGTTGGCCTCAATAAATGAGATAGGAAGTATTTTTTTCTGCTTCTAACCTCTGAAAAAAACTGTAGAGAATTGATATAAATTAATTCTTAGGTATTTGGTAGAATTCAACAGTGAAACCATGTAGGCCTGTTTCTTTCTGTTTTGGAAAGTTATTAAAATCAGTTCAATTTCTTAAACAGAAATAGTCCTTTTAATATTGTCTATTTATTCTTGTACAAAATTGGGTAGATCGTGTCTTTCAATATATTGGTCTATTTTATATAGGTTATCATAGTTGTAGGCAGAGTGTTGCTTATAGTATTTCTTTATTATCCTTTTCATGTATATTGGATCTGTAGTTATGTCCCCGCCTTTATTTCTGTTATTAGTAATTTGTGCCTTCCCTCATCTTCTTAGGTAACCTGGCTGGGTCAATTTTATTAATCTTTCTAAAGAATTAACTTGTGGTTTTGTCAATTTCCTCTATTGATTTCCTGTTTATGATTTAATTGATTTCAGGTCCAATTTTTATTCTATTTTTTCTTGTGCTTACTTAAAATTTAATTTGCTTTTCTTTTTGATTTTCCCAAGGTGGAAACTTAGATATTGATTTTAGCATTTTCTTGTTTTCTAACATATGCATTCAGTGCAATAAATCTCTAAGTCTTGATTTTGCTACCTTTCACAAATTTTGATCACTTGTATGTTTAATTTTATTTTTTTCAAGATGTTTTAAAATTTTTCTTCAGATTTCTTTTGACTCATAAGTTACTTAAAAGTGTGGTAGTTAATCTCCACATATTTTGGTATTTTTCCAGTTATCTTTCTGTTATATTCTAGCTTAATTTCATTGTCATCTAAGAGAAGACATTATTAGTTTAAATGTGTTAAGGTGTGTTTTATGGCTTAGGCTGTGGTATATATTGGTGAATATTCCATGTAAGCTTAAGAAGAATGTGTATTCTGTTGTTGTTGGATGAAATAACATATAGATGTTTATTATATCCAGTTAATTGATGATGTTGTTAAGGTCAATCATGTTCTTCCTGTTTTTACCTGCTGGATCTTTCCATTTCTAGAGAGATGTAGAGTCTCCAAATACCATAGTGTATTCATTTATTTCTCCTTGTATTTCTACTGGCTTTTACTTCAGATAGTTTGCAGCTCTGTTGTTTGGTGCCTCTATGTTAAGAAGTGTTATGTTTTCTTAAGAATTGACCCCTTTAACATTTTGTAATGCCCCGTTTTTACCTCTGTTAATTTCCTTGCTTTAGAGTCTGCTGTGTCCAAAATTAATTTAGATTGTCTTGCTTTGTTTTGGTTATTGTTACCATGGAATGTTTTTCTCCACTTCTTTACTTTTTTAAAAAATTACACTTTAAGTTCTGGGATACATGTGCAGAATGTGCACATTTGTTACATAGGTAAACACATGCCATGGTGGTTTGCTGCACCCATCAACCCGTCATCTACATTAGGAATTTCTCCTAATGCTACTCCCTAGCCCCCCAACCCCCAACAGGTGCTGGTGTGTAATGTTCCCCTCCCTGTGTCCATGTGTTCTCATTGTTCAACTCCCACTTATGAGTGGGAACATGCAGTGTTTGGATTTCTGCTCCTATGTTAGTTTACTGAGAATGATGGTTTCCAGCTTCATCCATGTCCCTGCAAAGGACATAAACTCATTCTTTCTTTTGGCTGCATAGTATTCCATGGTGTATATGTGCCACATTTTATTTATCCATTCAATTATTGATGGGCATTTGGGTTGGTTCCAAGTCTTTGCTATTGTGAATAGTGCTGCAATAAACATACATGTGCATGTGTCTTTATAGTAGAATGATTTATAATCCTATGGATACATTCAACAATGGTTGAATTAATTTACACTCCCACCAACAGGGTAAAAGCATTCCTATTTCTCCACATCCTCTCCAGCATCTGTTGTTTCCTGACTTTTTAATGATCGCTTCCAACTGGCGTGAGATAGTATCTCATTGCAGTTTTGATTTGCATTCTCTAATGACCAGTGATGATGAGCTTTTTTAATATGTTTGTTGGCCACATAAATGTCTTATTTTGAGAAGTGTCTGTTCATATCCTTGGCCCACTTTTTGATGGCATTGTTTGTTTCTTTCTTGTAAATTTGTTTAAGTTCCTTGTAGATTCTGGATATTAGCTCTTTGTCAGATGGATAGATTGTAAAAATTTTCTCCCATTCTGTAGGTTGCCTGTTCACTCTGATGATAGTTTCTTTTGCTATGCAGGAGCTTTTTAGTTTAATTAGATCCCATTTGTCAATCTGGGTTTTTGTTGCCATTGCTTTTTGTGTTTTAGTCATGAAGTATTTGTCCATGCCTATGTCCTGAATGGTATTGCCTAGGTTTTGTTCTAGGGTTTTTATGGTGTTAGGTCTTACATTTAAGTCTTTAATCCATCTTGAGTTAATTTTTGAATAAGGTGTAAGAAAGGGGTCCAGTTTCAATTTTCTGCATATGGCTAGCCAGTTTTCCCAACATCATATATATTAAGAAGGGAATCCTTTTTCCATTGCTTTTTTTGGTCAGACTTGTCAAAGATCGGATGGTTGTAGATATGTGGCATTATTTCTGAGGTCTCTGTTCTGTTCCATTGGTCTATATATCTGTTTTGGTAAAAGTACCATGCTGTGTTGGTTACTGGAGGCTTGTAGTATCATTTAAAGTCAGGAAGCATGATGCCTCCAGCTTTGTTCTTTTTGCTTAGGATTGTCTTGGCTATATGGGCTTTTTTTTTTTTTTTTTTTTGGTTCCATATGAAATTTAAAGTAGTTTTTTCCAATTCTGTGATGAAAGTCAATGGTAGCTTGATGGGGATAGCATTGAATCTATAAATTACTTTGGGCAGTATGGCCATTTTTACAATATTGATTCTTCCTATCCATGAGCATAGAATGTTTTTCCATTTATTTGTGTCCTCTCTTATTTCATTGAGCAGTGGTTTGTAGTTCTCGTTGAAGAGGTCCCTCACACCCCTTGTAAGTTGTATTCCTAGGTATTTTATTCTCATTGTAGCAATTGTGAATGGAAGTTCACTCATGATTTGGCTCTCTGTTTGTCTATTATTGGTGTATAGGAATGCTTGTGATTTTTACACATTGATTTTGTATCCTGAGACTTTGCTGAAGTTGCTTATCAGCTTAAGGAGATTTTGGGCTGAGACAATGGGGTTTTCTAAATATACAATCATATCATCTGCAAACAAAGACAATTTGACTTCCTCTCTTCTTATTTGAGTATCTTTTATTTATTTCTCTTGCCTGATTGCCCTGGCCAGAACTTCCAATACTATGTTGAATAGGAGTGGTGAGAGAGGGCATCCTTGTCTTGTGCCGGTTTTCAAAGGGAATGCTTCCAGCTTTCACCCATTCAGTATGATATTGGCTGTGGGTTTGTTATAGATAGCTCTTATTATTTTGAGATATATTCCATCAATACCTAGTTTATTGAGAGATTTTAGCACAGCTCCAGTGTGCAGCTCCCAAAAAGATCAACGCAGAAGGTGGGTGATTTCTGCATTTCCAACTGAGGTACCCAGCTCATCTCTTTGAGACTGGTTAGACAGTGGGTGCAGCCAACAGGGGGCAAGCCGAAGCAGGGTAGGGTGTCACCTAACCTGGGAAGTGCAAGTTGTCAGGAAACTTCCTCCCCTAGCCAAGGGAAGCCACGAGGGACTGTGCCCTGAGGAAAAGTGCATTCTGGTCCAGATACTATGCTTTTCCCAGTCTTTGCCACTGGCAGACCAGGAGATTCCCTCGGGTGCCTACACCACCAGGGCCCTGGGTTGCAAGCACAAAACTGGGTGGCTGTTTGGGCAGACACTGAGATAGCTGCAGGATTTTCTTTTTAAACCCCAGTGGTGCCTGGGACACCAGCAAGACAGAACCCTTCACTCCCCTGGAAAAGGGGCTGAAGCTAGGGAACCAAGTGGTCTAGCTCAGTGGATCCCACCCCCATAGAGCCCAGCAAGCTGAGATCCACTGGCTTGAAATTCTCCTTGCCAGCCGAGCAGTCTGAAGTCAACCCGGGATGCTCGAGCTTGGTAGGGGGAGGGGTGTCTGCCATTACTGAGGCTTGAGTAGGTGCTTTTCCCTCACAATGCAAACAAAGCCACTAGGAACTGGGTGGAGCCCACCGCAGCTCCACAAAGCCCCTGTAGCCAGACTGCCTCTCTAGATTCCTCCTCTCTGGGCAGGGCATCTCTTAAAGAAAGGCAGCAGCCCCAGTCACGGGCTTATATATAAAATTCCCTCTATCTGGGACAGAGCACCTGGGAGAAGGGGCAGCTGTGGGCGCAGCTTCAGCAGACTTAAACTATCCTGCCTGCTGGCTCTGAAGAGGGCAGTGGATCTCCTAGCACCATTCTCAAGCTCTGCTAAGGGACAGACTGCCTCCTTAAGTGGGTCCCTGACTCCCGTGCCTCCTGACTGGGAGACACCTCACAGCAGGGTTCAACAGACACCTCATGCAGGAGAGTTCTGGCTGGCATCTGGTGGGTGCCCCTCTGGAATGAAGCTTCCAGAGGAAGGAACAGGCCGCAATCTCTGCTGTTCTGCAGCCACTGCTGGTGATACCTAGGCAAACAGGGTCTGGAGTGGACCTCCAGCAAACTCCAGCAGACCTGCAGCTGAGGGGCCTGACTGTTAGAAGAAAAACCTACAAACAGAAAGGAATAGCATCAACATCAACAAAAAGGATGTCCACACAAAAACCCCATCTGAAAGGCACCAACATCAAAGACCAAAGGTAGATAAATCCACGAAGATGAGGAAAAACAAGTGCAAAAAGGCTGAAAATTCCAAAACCCAGAATGCCTCATCTCCTCCAAAGGATCATGTTTACTTTTAATCTATATGTGTTTATATATTTAAAGTGGGTTTCATGTAGACAACATATAGTTGGTTCTTGTTACTTGATCTACTGTGTCAATTTCAATCTTTTAATTAATACATTTAGATCATTTGCGTTAAAAGTGATTACTGATATATAGTCATGTGTCATTTAACAACAGGAATGCATTATGAGAAATGCATTGTTAGATAATTTTGTCATTGTGCAAACATCTTAGCGTGTACATACATAAACCTAGATATTATAGCCTACTACACACCTAAGCTTATGGTATAGGCTATTACTTTGATGCTACCAAAACCTGTACATTATTGTAGTTTACTAAATACTAATTACAACACAGTGATATTGGTGTATCTAAACATATCTGAGCACAGAAAAGATAAAGTAAAAATATGGTATTATAATCTTATGGGACCATCATTGTATATGCTCTCCAACATTGACTTAAATGTCATTATGACATGTGTGACTGTAGTTAGATTAGTATCTACCATAGCGGTTGGGTTGCCTGGGTGTTTGCAAGATAAATTTACAAATAATTCAAGTCCACTTTCACGTGACGTCATACCACTTCATGGGTAGTATGAGTACCTGATAATAGCAAATTATTTATAATACTTTCCTTCCATTTCTTGTATCATTATTGTCATTCATTTCAATTTTGTGTCAGCATACATAATCAAATACATTATAGATATTATTTTAAAAACAGTTATGTCTTAGATTAAGAATAAGAAAAGTAATAATTTATATTTTATGCTCACTTATTTCTCCTCCAATGTTTTCCTTGCTTTAAGTAGATCTGAGTTTCTGATTTATATTATTTTATCTTTCTGTAAAGAACTCCTTTTAACACCTTGCAAGGCTGATCTAAAGGCAAAACATTTCTTTCAGTTTCATTTCTCAGAGGAAGTTTTATTTCTCCTTCATGTTAGATGGATAAATACACAGGGTATGGGGAAGGTATTTTTTCCTCTGTATTCTTTTGGGATTTTTTTCCTTTGTCTGTGATTTTCTATAGTTTTAAAATGACATGACTAGGTGTAACTTTTTGGGCATTTATACAACTTGTTATTCTATGGACTTCCAGGATCTGTGGTTTGTTGTCTGATACTAATTTGGGGAAATTCTCGGTTGTTATTGTTTCAAATATTTCTTTAGTCTCTATTTCTCCTTCTAGTGATTCCATTATGTATATGCTATACCTTTTTTAGTTGGCCCACAGTTTTTTGATACTTTGTTCTGATTTTTTTGTCTTTGTTATTTTTATTTGCTTTTTAGTTTTGCAGATTTTAATTCATATATCCTGAATCTCAGATATCCTGTTTTCAGTCTTGTGCAGTATACTGATGTGTTTACCAAAGGCATTCTTCATTTCTGCTACGATGTTGTGACATTATAATTTTTTTAATGAAATTTTTATCTGTCTGCTTACATTGCTCTGTTCTTGTGTGCTTCTTTATTTTACCACTAGAACACTTAGCATATTAATCACAGTTGTTTTAAATTCTCAGTCCAATAAATCCAACATCCTTTCTGTATCTGAGTTTGGTTCTGATTCTTGCTCTGTCTCTTCAAAATTATATATATTTTTTTTCTTTTAGATGACTGGTAATATATTCTGGATATCCAGACATAATGTATTGAGTTTTGTAAAACCTGCTATACATAGGCCTTCAATAATTGTTGCTAAGGTGTGGGAGAGGAGAGGCTTTTTTTTTTTTTTTTTTGCCTCTGGACTGTAACCTTCACAAGTGTTTTTTTAGTATTTTTTTTCCTTCTTGGTCAGAATGGGTTTGGTAGAGTGAGATGGATTTTGGTATTTTCCTTCTGTCACATGGAAGACTAGAATTGGCTGGAGCTGGGTATTTCCTTTCCCTTCGGTCAGTTAGGCTCTAATAACACACCATCTTATGAGGCTCTGATAAACTAGTTCTGCCTAAGGGCAAGCACTAAAAGTCCTATTAAAAACAGAGGGCTCTAGTCTATTTCAAAAATGAGTCTTGTCTCCTCATGCTACTGAAAGAACAAGATAATTTTTCTCCAACATTTACTATAAGAACCTGGTCAAGCTCCTGGAGGGAAAACTCAAAATGTGGAGGTCACCGACTGGGTTCCCTTGGAGTGTTTAGTGCTCAGACTTAACCACACTGAGTGAGACTCTAGCAGTTTATCAATTATAGTGAAGGTATTTCTACCTTGTCACTGGTTCCTGTGCAGTTTCTGTTCATGAGTCTCTACTGCTATAAGCTGTGACACTTTGTAATCACCTATTTGTCTCTCCAATCTTGAAGGCAGTCGATTGCCATTGGTCCTCACCTCTTTTACAGATCCAGAAAGAGTTGCTGCATTTTAAATTGGTTCAGTGTTTTTCTTGTTGTTACTATAAAATGGCAAGCTCCAAGCTCCTTGAAGGTTTCCAGAGCCTAGAAACCAGAAATACCAGCATATATTTTTTATTGTATTTTCTTATCTCATGTCTTACAGTTCTACATTTTACTTAAGAATTCATTGTGATTGCTTGATTAATATACAAGTTATTTTAAAATAACATTTTCTTCAAATATTTGGAGATTTTTCGTAATAAATTTTTTGCCAGTAATATTTGTCATAATTGCATTGTGGAAGCTATGACAACTAATTTTTGAAATTAGTTGAGACTTCTCTATGTCCTAGTACATCATTGATGTTTGTAAGTCTCCCTGATGTACTTAATAAAAATGCATATTCCATATTCTTTCAATTGTTGGATGTATAATTTTATATGTGTCTGAGAGGTCAGTCTTGTTAATTGTGTTATTCAGATCTTCTATGTCCTTGCTAATATTTTAACTATTTCACTTATCATAATTGAAAGAAAGATGTTGAATTTTTTTCTTACAAAAGCAGTTGTATTGATTTTTGCTTATATATTTTGCATCTACTAAGTGCATTATTATATAACCGTTTTATCTTTTAGGATGATATAATTCAATATATGGAGGACTTCTCTATCCTTAATGATGTTTCTATGTCTATTTGGGCTATTATTTATACACCTATAAAATTTTCTCTAAGTGGTTATATTTTCTTATCATTTTACTATCACGAAGAATTTCTTCGTGATTTAGGAATATCTCTTATAAAAAGCACAGAGGTAAATTTTGAAGAAAAATCCAAACTAAAAATTATCTATCTTTAAACTAGCAATTTTCTACACTTATGTTTATTGTATCTATTGATATAGTTAGACTTGCTTTTACTATCTTACATTATTATGGTGATTTTCCCCTTTTTTAATGCTCCCTTAAAATTCTTTCTTATACTTTTTGAATGTATATGCCTATCTCTCTCATAACAAGACAAACATTCTAGCATGATTCTATGATCTGAATGTTTGTTTCCCCCCAAATTTGTATGTCGAGTCATAATCACCAAGGTGATTCTATTAGAAGGTGGAGACTTTGGAAAGTGATTAGTTCATGAAGGTAGAGTCCTCATGAACAAAATTAGTGTCCTTATGAAAGAGACCCAATAGAGCTTCCTTGCCTCTTCTAACATGTGAGGTTACAGTGAGAAGATGGTTCTCACCAAATACCAAATATGTTGGTGTCTTGATCTCAGACTTCCCAGGCTCCAGAGCTGCAAAAAGTAAATTTCTATTGTTTATAAAGTACACAGTTTTCTTATATGCTATATTTTGCTATATTTTCTTACAGCACCCCAAACAGACTGAGACATATGTTCACATACTCTTTTATATGCCTCTTTACCCTCTATACAATATGATGCTATCTGGATTTTCAATCTAAAATTTTAAATTCTAGACACTATGACTATTTTACCTCCTTTCCTGTTTTTAGTTTTTTTTTAAGACATTGAGAAAATTTATCAAGTATTTTATTCACTTTGCTTTACAAATCTCATGCAACACCTTCAGAATTGGATTCTTCTTTTATTTAAGCAATTCTTCCAAAATTGTTTCCAGTACGTGTTTGGTTGCAGTATTTTTGAGGCCTTATATGCTTGAGCATATATCTCTTTATAGCTGAGAGGCTGTTTATCTCAATGTAAAATTATGGGTTCAATGCTCTTTTACTTCAGTACTTAAAAAATATATTTCTTTGTCTTTTGTGTACCCACTTTTGCTGTTAGAAAGTGATATACTTTCTTTCCTGAAAGGCCTCAATTTTTTTTCTTGTCTTTGATATTCATAAATTTTAATATACTTCTTCCAAATATGTCTGTGTTCTTACTTATCTCTTGTGTTGAGCATTCAATGGGCACTCTCAACCTGCATTTTTTGTTTTTTTTAATCTTAGTAAATTATTTGAAAATTTTCATTTATTATTTCTTTAAATATTTCTCCTCTTCAACTTATTTTTTCTCATTTTAAGGCATTAATAATTAAATTATTCTCAATTTTAGTTAAAAATTATGTATATCTTAACCTTTTACCTATATATGCTTTCAATGTTTTAAATGAAATAACCAATTTTATTTTCCAATTCTTTCTTGTTTTAAGCCCATATATTATTTTATACTATTTTACATCTTGTACTCCATATTTTCTACTTGTTCTTTTTTGTTATCTTATTTTGCTTTTATTTCATTTTGCTAATATTCTTTTCTTATATATTTTGTGTATTTGTAATGCTTAAACTCCTGTTAAGTGTTTTGTAAAACAATTACTCCTTATGGTGTCTTCAAACCAGTTTACTTTTTTCTTTCTCTTTTGAAATGTTTTCTCAAAGACATCACTATTTTGCCCTGAAGTCACATTTACTTAGTTATGATAGTTTCTTTTTTATAGTAATTGCACAGGGGAAGAGCTAAAGGATAGAACTCTGTCATTGTGAACCCTGAAAGCTCAGAAAAAGGGGAGGGAAATGAGCCTCAAGGTGATGACCAGTAACCAATAAATCACGTCACTCTGCCCTTTGACAAACATTTCTTTATCCATGGCTCCCTCAGTCCCCTGAATGCGAAATTGCTTTGAGGAGATTGTTAACTAGTACTGCAGAAATACTGAGGGGATTACCTGTAGAAGGGAATGCTCAAGGCTAGTCAGCCTTTCCTCCTTTGCTCAGCTGCTCTGATTCAGAGCTACTCTGATTTTACTCTGGAGGACACATGCAACCAATGTCTGAACAGTCATACTCAATCCCTGCATTGAGGTAGAAAGCACTGATTCCTAGAGGCTGATCTGAATCATGCAACTGTATTGAAGGCAACAAAAAATAATAAAATAGCCATGTATTTTAATAGGGAAAGTATATAGTAATTGAAAAGAAAAACCAAAATCAATACAAGTAGTATTGTGACCGAGAGACAAAGGTAAATTTGAAGATAGGTTTGTGATTTCATAATGGAGACCTTTGAATGCTAGAAGCTACCCCCTCCCTTTGTAAAGAACAACATTAGGTAAATGATTAAAAAATTATGTCAAAGTCTATGATTTTGAAACTCTACCATATTTGAAAATATTATATTAAAATAATGATACTAAACAAAGAATTTATGACAAATGTTCATCTTTTAAGTAAAAGAACCTTAAAATTTGTAAGCAGCTAAATCTAATGATATAGGCAACTGCTAGGATATCACAAAAGAATGGGATTTTAATAGTGAACTTATACAATTTGCCTGAAATTAATCAAATCAGCACAGAAATGCACAGATGACAAACACTGTAAGATGTAAGAGGAATTAATCATAAGAGGTTTATTTGGCTAAAGTGACAATTGTTAAAGATAGAATTGCCTAACGTTAGTTAATAACAGAAAAAATATCAGAAATTTTAAAAAATGCTGTCTTAATCTATTAAAATTATATAAAGATAAAGCAAAACAATGTAGGTTTATAAACAAGAACCTTTAAAAAAGCATAATACTGATGCTTATTACAAATTTATATCTTGAGCTGGGGTACATCATCCAATTTACGCATGAGAAAAGTGTTTTATAATTTTTCACTCTGTAATTCATATTTTAAGTTCATCTGAAATGTATTTTACAGAGGTAAGAACAAGCAACTTGGTGCTCAACTCTCTTCCTGCTCTTCGCCTAGTGCTAAAATAATTTGTGTAAATGAACTGTGAATGAATTTAAGTTTCAGAAATAAAATTTATATTAATAGAGAGAAAGAAGGATAAATCAATAGTCTTCCAAATATGATACATGTACAATGCAATGATATTCACAAACATCTTCATGAACACACGAACATAATTTCTTTTGAATCTTACCATGACCTTCTAAAATAAGTAAGCTAAATATTCTATATTATACTACTATTTATGAGGAAACTACATTTCTGTGAATTGTGTAACTTTTTCATCTTTATAAGGTTAGCAAGCAAAAACAAACAAATAACAAAATAAACAAAAAAACAAAAACTTGGCCCAGATCTGACTTTAAAGTACCTTCACTTTTATTGTATCACATACGATCTCAGTCCACAGATGGGTTCCTGATTTAGCCAAGAATATAGTAAAGTGAGTGTAAAGTAGAAGAAAAAAGAAGGAAAATATTAGGTATAGAAACCTACATGAAATAAAATGAAATAAAGAGAGCCTACTCTTTCTGAAATGCACCAGTAAAATGTACTCCTATCTTGTGTATTAAGTTTATAATCATACATTCAATTCAAAATTTAACTAAAACTATGGAAACTGAGAGCTAATAATAAAATGATATACACAGCATTCTAACCAGAAAATCTTCTAAGCAATTGTACAATTCAGATAAGAAGAAATAATTACAAATGTTCAGAAATTAAGATTAATTAAGACTGTAAAATTTTTTTTTTTTTTTTTTTGAGACAGGGTCTCACTCTGTCACCCAGGCTGGAGTGCAGTGGCGCGATCTTGGCTCACTGCAAGCTCTGCCTCCCAGGTTCACGCCATTCTCCTGCCTCAGCCTCCCAAGTAGCTGGGACTACAGGCGCCCACCACCACGCCCACTAATTTTTTGTATTTTTAGTAGAGACGGGGTTTCATCATGTTAGCCAGGATGGTCTCGATCTCCTGACCTCGTGATCTGCCCACCTCGGCCTCCCACAGTGCTGGGATTACAGGCGTGAGCCACCGTGCCCGGCCAAGACTGTATAATTTGTTCCTGAAGGGCAGGGAAAATGTAGTGGTAATTTTTCAAGATGAATTGGAAGATAAAGAAAGAGAGGTCACATTATTTGTGTTATTCAACTGAAATAGTTTTGAATTTCAATAAAACAAGCTAAGAAATGCCCTTTGTCATCAAATTGATGTGAAGAGTAAAAAAATTTTAAAAATGAAATTCTCTAAGATAATATGTGAAAATAAGACTATTTAAATTTCAACAAACATTTAACAAGTGTATACCCATCCTATGTTCGTTTTATCCAACTTCTTATCATTCCTAAGTATATTAAGTAAAGTAATAGCTATTAATATGTTGACGTCATTAGCAGAAAAATAACTTTGCAAATGATTAAGTGATGACAGTTGTATATCCATGTTATTAGATGTTTAAAATTCAAAAAATAATTAATTCAATAAATTTTTGAAACAAATCCATAGAATAAAAACATAGTTTTTCAAAATGTATTTTTCAAAGGTAAAAATTTCTCACATTAGGCTAGGTGCGTGGCTCATGCCTGTAATCCCAGCACTTTGGGAGGCCAAGGCGGGCAGATCACGAGCTCAGGAGTTCAAGATGAGCCTGGCCAACATAGTGAAACCCCATCTCTACTAAAAATACAAAAATTAGCCAGGTGTGGTGGTGCCTGCCTTTAGTCCCAGCTACTCAGGAGGCTGAGGTGAGAGAATCGCTTGAACCCAGGAGGCAGAGGTTGCAGTGAGCCAAGACCACGCCATTGCACTCCAGCCTTGGGGGAAGAGTAAGAGTCTGTCTCAAGAAAAAAAAAATTCTCACATTATTGTAAATACTATTACAATAGCTAACATAAATTCAAGATTTATAATTATTTTTTTCTGATGCTCATACAAATACACATTTTACTGGATCTTGGGTGTTGTAGTAAAAAACAATTTACTAAAACAAAAAAAAAGAATGTATACCTTAAATACATAGAATTTTATTTGTCAATCATACCTTAATATGAGAAAATAATGTTCTTCTTTTCCAAAGTAAAAAGAAATTAATAGAGCAAAGCTATATTTTACAACAATGTACATATAATCCATAATTCTGTCTAATACTTGATATTCTACTAACTGAATTGAAGCAGTACTTGCCAACATTTACATATATATGAATAATTGAATTATAAAAGTTATGAGATGCTGATCTGAATTACAAAAGTCCCTCTGTGATAGTAAACACATGCATAAATTAATTCTATAAAGTGTTATTGCATTTTCTCAAAATACATTGAAGTTCTGTAGTCAAAGTAATCAATAGAGAGCCAAAACTGTTTTTGAACAGTTTAGCATATTTTCATTATTAAAAACAAAACTTGCCAATAGATATAAGAAAAAGAGCTGACCAAATTAGAGTTTAAATAGCATAAAATAATAATTTTGAAATTCTAAAATTGTATTTTAGAAAATCATGACACGTAGAAAAATTATTTTAATACAGGTCTCATTTGAATTAGATAAACTTATATTCTATACCTGAATAAAAAGTAATTGAAAATACCTATGACTTTGCAGCAATAAAAAATGGCAAATGATAAAAAATTCAAATTTTTCTTACATAAATATTTGTGAAAAGGGGAAACTGAAGAGAGAAAATATGATAGTTTATTTAAAGTGAAACATTTACATAGTTTGATGTAGATAAAAGTAAATTGAGAAAATTCCTATTTGGCATTATTTGCTGTGAGTTTACCAAGATAATGTTTTTCTCCATTTTAAAAACAATGGTCTATGGTCAAAAAGTAAGTCAAACTATCCCTGTTTGCAGGTGACATGATTCTATATCTAGAAAACCCCAAAAGCTCCTTCAGCTGATAAACAACTTCAGCAAAGTTACAGGACACAAAATCAATGTACAAAAATCAGTAGCATTCCTATACACCAACAACAGCCAAACCGAGAGCCAAATCAGGAAGGCAATCCCATTCACAATTGACACAAAAAGAATAAAATACTTTGAAATATAGCTAACTAGGGAGGTGAAAAATCTCTACAATGAGACTTATGAAACACTGCTCAAAGAAATTAGAGATGAAACAAACAAAGAGAAAAACATGCTTATAGATAGGAAGAATCAATATAATTAAAATGGTCATACTGCCCAAAGCAATTTATAGGTTCAGTGCTATTCCTATTAAACTACCAGCAATATTCTTCACAGAACTAAAAAAAAAAAAAAAAAAAACTATTTTGAAATTCATACAGAACCAAAATGGCCAAATAGCGAAGACAATCTAAGCAAAAAGAATAAAGCTAGAGACATCATGCCGTCTGATTTCAAACTATACTACAGGACTATAGTAACCAAAACAGCATGGTACTAGTAGAAAAACAGACACATAAACCAATGGAACAAAATAGAGAGCCCAGAAATTAGGCCGCATGCCTATGAACATTTGATCTTCAACAAAGCTCACAAAAACAAGCAATGGGGAAAAAAAACCCTGTTCAATAAGTGATTCTGGGATAACTAGCTGGTCATACACAGAAAATTGAAATTGGACCCCTTCCTTACACCATACATAAAAATTCTAAAAATTCAAATTATAAAAAAGGAAAAAAAAAATCAACTCCAGGCAGACTAAAGACTTAAATCTAAAACCTCAAACTACAAAAACCCTGGAAGACAACCTAGGCAATATCATCCTGGACATAGGAATGGCAAAGATTTCATGACAAATGACACCGAAAGCAATCAAAACAAAAGCAAATATTGACAAATGAGATATAATTAAACTTAAGAGCTTCTGCACAGAAAAAGAAACTGTCAACAGCATAAACAGACATCCTACAGAATGGGAGAAAATATTTACAAATATGCATCTAACAAAGGTCTAATATCCAGCATCTATAAGAAACTTAAATTTACAAGAGAAAAACAAACGGCCTCATTAAAATGTAGGCAAAGGGTATGAACAGACACTTTTCAAAAGAAGACATACACATGGCCAACAAGCACTTGAAAAAAAGGCCAATATTACTGATCATTAGAGAAATTCAAATCAAAACCACAATGAGACATTATCTCACGCTAGTCAGATTATTATTATTAAAAAATAAAAAACTAACAGATGCCTGGCAAGGTTGTGGAGAAAAGTGAACACTTATACACTGTTGGTGGGAGTGTAAATTAGTTCAACCATGTGCAAAGCAGTGTGGCAATTCCTCAAAGAGCTAAAACCAGAACTACCATTCAACCCAGCAACCTCATCACTGTGTATATACACCCAGAGGAATATAAATCATTCTACTATAAAGACACAGGCATGTGAATGTTCATTGCAACATTATTCACAATAGCAAAGAAAGACATGGAATTAACCTATATGCCCATCAATGACAGATTGGATAAAGAAAATGTGGTACATACTATGGAATACTATGCAGCCATAAAAGAACAAGATCATGTCTTTTGTGGAAACATGGATGGAGCTGGAAGCTATCATCTTTAGCAAACTAACACAGGAAGAGAAAACCAAATACTTCATGTTCTCACTTATAAGTGGGAGCTAAATGATGAGAACTCATAAAGACAAAAAAGGGAATGACAAACACTGGGGTCTAGCTGAGGTTGGAGGGTGGAGGGTGGGAAGAGAGAGAGAAGCAGAAGAAATAACTATTGAGTACTAGGCTTAATACCTGAGTGATGAAATAATCTGTACCACAAACCCCCGTGACACGTGTTTACCTGTACAATAAACCTTCACATGTACCTCTGAACATAAAAGTTAGAAAGAAAATATTAACAACTTTAAATTTAGTAATCATAAATGTCAAATTAAAAAAAAAAGATTTTAGACTCACACTTATAATCATAGCACTTTGGGATGCCGAGGTGGGCGAATCACTTGAGGTCGGGGGTTTGAGATCAGCCTGGCCAACATGGTGAAACCCTGTCTCTACTGAAAATATAAAAATTAGCCAGGTGTGATGGCATGTGCCCATAGTCCTAGCTATTCAGGAGGCCGAGGCAGGAAAATCTCTGGAACCTGGGAGGCAGAGGTTGCAGTGAGCCGAGATCACAACAGTGCACTTTAGCCTGGGTGACAAAGTGAGACTCTGCCTCAAAAAATACATATAAAATAAAAAAGATTTTAAATAATATTATAAATAAACTAAAATTTCTAGGAACAATTTTTTAAAATCAGAAAAATAAGTCATATGATAATACAGATACTCTTAAGAAATGCATAAAATATATGAATATACATGTGTACTTATTGATGTGCATGAAGATACACTAATATATCCAACAAGAATAAGCACATCCATTATTTTATAATATTAAAGTAAGCAATAAAAGGAACACTTAAAAATATTTTCTTCAATTTAATTGACTATATTTTTTTATTTGGAAAACAATTTTAACACATATTTTAAATAGTTTAAATAGAGAAAAATGTAAATAAAGCTGTATTACAAAGATATTCATTGATAAACACTTCAAAAAATTTTTCAACTTCCTTATTTTTATCACGTATTTTGCTCTAGAAAATTTCCATTCCACATGATACATTTGTTGTATAAGAGATACAAAACAAATTCCTACTAGGGGAAATAAAGCTTCAGTAAGGAGGTGGCATTAAGCTGGGCTTTAAAATTCATGCAGAATTCCCGTTGCTTCAAATGGAGAGAAGCAGCAGTGTACCACAGATAAATGAAGTGAGACGTAATAAGGGTTTGGCTCAAGATAATAAGGAGATGTATAATACTTTTTTATGTATAATACTTTTGTTCCAATTCCCTTTATGCTTTACTTCAGTTTTGTTTCTCTAGTTAAATAACTTTGCATCTCTAAACTTTATTATTCTTATTTGTATAATGAAGAGAGTAACTTATGCCAGGCAAAGATTTTACAGACACTAGAAATAATATATACAAAATAGTTGGAATAGTTCCTGAAAAATAGTAGGTTCCACATGATAACAAGATTTATGCTTGTGCTCTTTCTGTATTATTTGGAAAGAAATATGTGAAGTGCAGGAAAGTGGTGTGAAGTTATTTTTGTGGGATATCTGGTGTAATCTTTCTCTTTTATCTATGTTATCAAATATTTTTCAAAAGCTGTATTTCTCATTAGTGCTTTTTGTGAATAAATTAACTAGGAAAATTAGAAGAATGGCAACAATATACATCATAGAAAGGCATAGATTACAAAGAGAGTATATACACAATACCTGTCCAGAAGATGTGGTATAAGCCAATATTTTAATTATACTTATTTACTTCAGATATTGCAAATTTTTCTTATTTTTATACCTTCTTTCTTTTAATGACATTTCCTATATTTTCATTCACTATGACATTGTTTTCTTTATATCAATACTTATGAAGAGAACTAACTATTCTAACTAGGGAGTAGTTAGACTAGTTATTTTAAAATACTTCATTAAAGGACTACAACGTGTGTACCATCTATGACTTAGTATTGATTGATTGTCATCTTTCATGTTCTTCATAAGTGGGTAATTTTGAACACTGTTATATTATTTCAAAGGGTGTTATTTGTTTGTTCAGATGTTTTACAAAGTAATTAACTTTGTTGGCTTGAAATTGCAAACTCTGTCTTCTTGGTGTCTTAGTCAATTCAGGCTGCTATGACAAAAATACCACAGACTGGGTAGCTTAAACAACAAACATTTATTTCTCACAGTTCAGTAGGCTGGGAGACCAAGATCAGGGTGCCAGTATGGTTAGCTTCTGGTGACAGTTCTCTTCTTGCTTTCCTGACATGGCTAAAAGAGAAAGAGAATGGAAGTGAGTTCTCTTCTTAAAAGGGTACAAATCTCATTCATGAGGGTTCCACAGCCATTATCTAATCACCCCCCAAAAGCTTCACCTCCTGATACCATCACATTGGGTTAGGATTTGACATGCGCATTTGAGAGGGACACAAACATTCATTCTATGACAGATGGTAATCGAAGCAAAGACAATGAATGGGTTTGCCCAGCAAGAGTATGTAGAGTAAAAAGAGAAGACGGTATGAAACAAATCACTGAAAAAAAAAAAATGTAACAGCCAGAATAACATGATCTAAGGATACTTGGGAGGAATTATGCAAAAAATAGGATTTGAGTCATGCAGGCAAACTCTTTAAATTTTTACTGGAAAAGACATGAGAGACAGAGTTATGGAAAAGAAAGCATTTGGTGGAGGCAGATCCATTTTTTCTAATAAAATAAATTAATATGGATGAATTGTACAATCATTCCTTAGTAAATTTCAAAACTGCATCCAGGCAAATCTCTTATGCAACAGGCCTGCCTTAGTTGTGTCTACTGGGTACTTGTTTATTTTTAGGCATGTCAAATTCGACTTGTGAAAAGATGATTATATTGTCTTTAATGCTGTCTTCTTTTTCCCACCAAATGACAGTTATTCAAACCAGAAACTATAAAACAAACATACAGTTATCCGAACTAGAAAACAAAATCAGAATTTACATTTTCTATTTTCCCCACCTCCTGTTGGTTCTCCTCTTAAACTTCTCCTTGTGTGTCTGTAAGCTTGTTATACACTTTTCATCTCTACTCTTTTTTATTTTCTGAAGTCAGCTTTCTAACAGATCTCTTTTTCCTAAGTTCTTCTTCTTCATGGCTGCCAGAATTAACCATCTAAAATTTAATTTTGTTATGTAACATTTTAAAGTGCATATTGACTCCTCAATGTTGAACATATTTCTATCCTTACACTTCACCTACACAAATAATATTTCTGTTTTTCAAATAATCCGTGTTATTTCACTTCTTAGGGGCTTTTCATGTGCTTCCTATTTTGTTTTAAGTATTTTGTGTCTTCAATATCTAAGCTTCTATAATCAACTGAAGACTTAGCCCCAATGTCAACACATCTTTAAGAACTTTAACCTGTAAGGTCAGAATAGTCCCTTTTTCCTATCTGCACATAACATTACAAACTTATGGCAATTATAAAACTCAATACATATTATACTGTCATTATTGGTTTATTGCTGCTGAAGATTATAATTTTCAGTGCATTGATTATGTCTTATTTGTTTTTACTGCCCTTGTTCCTGTTCCTCTGTACCTGCCTCAACTACATAGCTTAGCAGACTAACTGCTATATTACAGTTGCTCAATGAATGTTTCTTGAGTAAATCAGTTGAGTTCCAAAGCTAATCCAAGTTGTGCGTTTGACAAATTAGAAGCTTGGAACTGTCTTCTGACTTTAAGTTTAGAACTATTGCCATAATAAATTAATGACCGATCTGCCATGATTGCAGGCAAGTAGAGACTTTATTTCTTATCTCAATGTCAGTTGTCTCTTTCTGCCAATGCACATTTTATTTGATGATTGTGCACATTTATATCTCTGGTTTTTATTTAAATAAATTTAGAACATATAGCTGGAGACGGTAGCTCAAACTGAGGATGAAAATAGACATTTATCAAGGTTATTATGTAGCTAGCACTGCATGTACACAGAGGTATTTAGGGAGCCACACATATGTCCAAGGCAAGACATATGCTCATAAAACGTCTGAGAAGATTGTATCCTTTTACCTAATGCTAATCCCCAAGCTTAGAACAAGGCAAGTGAAAGGTCAAAGGGATAAAAAAATACAATAAACAAAATAAAAATTTACAAGAAGTTGTTATGGACTAAATATTTGTTCCCCTCTCCCCAAAATTGTGTATTGAATTTCAAAATCCAATGTGATAGTATTTGGGAGTCTTTGGGAGCTAAAGAGATCATGAGAAATTTGCTCTTATAATGTGAGTAGTGCCTTACAAGAAAATGCTGGAGAGCTCACTAGATTTTTTTCCTCCATGTGAGAATACAAAGAGAAGTTAGCTGTTTGCAGCCTAGGAGAGGGCCCTCACCAGAAATTGACCATGCTGGCACCCTTATCTCAGACTTCTCACCCTTCAGAACTGTGAGAAATAAATGTTTGTTGTTTAAGCCATCCGTTCCATCATAATTTGTGATAGCAGTCTGAACTGACTTAGACAAAAGTTCAACAGCAAATTTGAGCAGTTAGAACACAGAATCCGCAAACTTGAAGATAAGACAATTGAAATGATTAGTCTGAGAAGCAGAAAGAAAAAAAAAACGAAGAAAAATTAACAAAACATACGGAACTGTGGGACACTATCAGGTGAACCAGCATAACAATTACAGTAGTTCTAGAAAGAGAAGAGACAGAGAAAAGGGAAGAAATAATATTTGAAAAAAAAGTGGCCGAGAACGTCCCAAATTTGATAAAATATATGATCTCAATATCGTAGAAGCATAAGAAAATCCAAATAAACTCAGAGATCCACTTTGAGGCACATTATGATCAAACTGTCAAAGGCCAAAAAAATAAAAATAAATTCAGAATCTTGACAGCAACAAGAGTAGGAAATAATCATGGGCAAGAGTTCCTTAATAAGATTAACAACTGATTTCTCATCAGAGACCAGAAGACATTGAAATGATATATCCAATAAAGAACTGATATTCAAAAGTATGCAAAGAACATCTAAAACTCAATAATTAGAAAAATAACCCAATGATAAAATGAGGATGATATCTGAACAGATGCCTCACTGAAGAAGATATAGAGACAACAAATGAGCATGTGGAAAAATGCTCCACATCCCGTCATTAGGGAATTGTAAATTAAACAATAAGCTATGTCACTGTATACTTGTTAAAAGGACTAAAATTCCAAACACAAAAATATACCAAATACTGGCAAGAATGTGGAGCGACAAGAACTCTTATTTACTGCCAGTGAGAATGCAAAATAGTGCAGCCACTTTGGAAAATATTCTAATAGTTTCTTACAAATTTAAAGATAGGCTTACCATACAATCAAGCATTTGTAGTCCTTGGTATTTACTGAAATAAGTATCAAGTGGAAAGCATGTCTACACAACAGCCTACAAAGAGGTGTTTATAGCAGCCTTATTGATAATTGCCATAAGTTAGAAGCAACCAAGGTGTCCTTCAATATGAGAATAGGTAAAGCGACCTTGGTACATTCATGCAATAGAATAAGAATATTTTTAGTGATTAACAAGAAATGAGACATAACCAATGAAAAGACATGAAACATTAAAAGTATATTTATAAGTAAAAGAACGCAATATTAAAATGTTACCTACTATATGATTCCAACTATATGACAAATTTTATTTTATAAATGCTTTACCACAAAAGTTAATTCTAAAAATGTTTGCCACCAAAAAACAAACAAAAAACATGGTAGAGATCATCTTTATAGTTTTTTATAATAATCCTCTTGATAAAGATTATATCATAAGAAATCTTGACAGTTTACATTCAAGGATATGACATTTTATTTACAAATTAATGAAATCTAATAAAATGTGACAATGAAAATTTAGCTGAGTATAAAAGAACCTAAATTAGTAGACAGTGAGAGAGGAATGGGGGAGGGGATGTTTACAAGAAGTTCTACATCAGTACAGAACTTCATAAATTAGTGGATAAGAGCATGGTGAAGAGCAATTGTAAATCAAATGAAAATGTTGTGGAACTCTTATTAGTATCTGCAGCCACTCTGGCACTTTAAACATATCCAGTAGGAGAGGTTAATTCTCTCAGCAGGAGACCACTCACATTACTTTTTTCTCCCTATAAAATAATGCATCGTTTTGTCATGCTGGTAAAAAACACATAACATTAAATGTACCTTTTCAACCAATTTTTAAGTGTACAATTAAAAAGTGTAAAGTACACTCACATTGATGAACAACAGATCTCTTGAACTTTTTCATTTTCCATTGCTGAAACTTTGTATCCACTAAACTATCTTCTCCTCAGTTCTAAGTAAGTACCTTTCCACTTTCTGTTTCTAATTTTTTGACTACTTTAAATATTTCTTTCTTTTTTCTTTCTTTTCTTTTTTTTTTTTTTTTAAGATGGAGTCTCGCACTGTCACCCAGGTTGGAGTGCAGTGGTGTGATCTCGTCTCACTGCAACCGCCGCCTCCTGGGTTCAAGCGATTCTCCTGCCTCAGCCTCCCAAGTAGCTGGGATTACAGGTGACTACCACCATGCGCAGGTAATTTTTTTTTTTGTATTTTTAGTAGAGATGGGGTTTCACTATGTTGGCTAGGCTGGTCTCAAACTCCTGACCTCGTGATCCGCCCACCTTGGCCTCCAAAAGTGCTGGGATTACAAGTGTGAGCCACTATGCTTGGACTACTTTAAATATTTCATATGATAGAATCATACAGTATCTCTCCTTTCGTGACTGGCTTATTTAGCTTAGCATAATGTCCTTGAGGTTCATCCATATTGTAGCACATGATGTAATTTACTTATTTTTTAAGTCTGCATAATATTCCATTGTGTATGTATACCACATTTTCTTTATTCATTCATCAGTAGACATTTGGGTTGCTTCTACATCTTGGCCGTTGTTAATAATGCTGCATGAATATGCATGTACAAATATCTCTGCTAGATCCTGTTTTGAATTACTTTGACTATATACCCAGAAGAATAATTAATGGCTTGTATGGTGATTCTATTGTTTAGTATTTGTGGAACCTCCAAACTCTTTTTCATGAAAGCTGAACCATTTTATATTTCCATCAACAAACATGAAGTTCCTAACTTCTCTTACTCGTTATTTTCTATTCTTGAAATAGTGGCTTTTCTGATGGTTGTGGGGTGATATCTCATTGTGGTTTTAATTTGCATTTCCCTGATAAGTAGAAAGTTGAGCATCTTTTAATGTGCTTATTGGCTCTTTGTATATCTTCTTTGCAGAAATGTCTATGTAAGTCCTTGACCCATTTTTAAATTGGGTTGTTCTTTGTTGTTGTTTCCTTGGAAAAGTCCATATATTCTAGATATTAACTCCTCATCACTTATATTATTTGCATTTATTCTGTGCCATTCCATAGGTTATCTTTTCACCTGTTGTTTTCTTTTATGTGCAGATGATTTAAGTTTGATATAGTCTGATTTGTGTATTTTTAATTTTGTTGCCTGTGCTTTTTGTATCACATTTTAAAAATTGCCAAATTGAATGTCCTGAAGCTTTTCTTTTATTTTTTTCTGGAAGTTTAAGGTCTTACATTTAGGTATTTAGTTCATTTTGAGTTAATTTTTGCATATAGTATAGGGTAAGGGCCCAATTTCATTTCATTGCATGTGGGTATCCAGTTTCCCAAACATCATTTGAAGAGGCTGTCCGCTTCCTTGTACTAAATGAATGGTGTTTTGCTGCTTCTTTTAAGAGTCTCTGTTTGTGTGTAACTTTTGACAGTTTGATTATACTGTGTCTTGGTATAGAGTTTTTTAGATTTATCTTATTTGGAATTACTTGAGCTTCTTAAATGTTTAGGTTCCTTTATCTCTTAAGATTTAAAAAAATGGGGTCCATAATTTACAAGTTTTCAGACCTTTCTCATTTACTTCTCTTCTGGTATTCCCATAATGCATATGTTGCCCTGCTGGATGGAGTCCCATAATTTCTTTAGGCTCTTCTTTTCTTTTTGCTCCTGTGACTCTAATTTTAGAAGTTCTGTCTTTGATTTTCCTGATTTTTTCTTCTGCCTAGCCAAGTTACCTGTTGAGTCTTTCTAGTGAATTTTTCAGTTCAGTTACTTTATAATTCAACTCCAGAATTTCTGTTTGGTTCTTCATAGTTTATAATCTGTTAATATTGCTATTTTGTTTATTTGTTATGTTCCTCATTTCATTTAATTGTCTGTTCATATTCTCTTTTAATTCATTGCACTACTTGACTAATTTCAAGTTCTATGTCTGGCAATTCCTATATCTTCATTTGTTTTTGGTCAGTTTCTGGAGATGTAATTTTTTTTTCCTTTTAATGTGTGAGAATCCTTTCTTTCTTTTTATACTTTGTATTATTTTGTTGTTGAGATTTTAACATTTAAAAAATCAGTCAACTCTCCCAGATTTTGTGAGATGATTTTCCATAAGGAGAACTCTCCTCACTAATTCTGAATAGAGATTCTGTGGCCTACTCATGCTTTTTTTCTAGTATGTTTTCCTTTCTTTCTCCTTTAGGCTTGTGTGTGTGATCTGTTTGAAAAGGTTTGTTGGTTTCTATAGAAGACCCTCCCCTGGGGCTTGAGGTACAGTGGCCTTTCTGGGGCTGCATTAAATTGTTGTACTGGTGCTCCACCTCGTGTCTCTGTCTGGAACTGCAGTTTTTGGTGTACCTTTGCTTGCAAAGACCGCATTTTTATTAGTACTTGAATATAGGCAAGTCAGAAGCCTGTCCTTGGGCAACCTCCCTAAAAGTCAAAATATTGAACATAGGAGATTTAAATGTTTCCTTCCAATTGCATTGCACAGGGTGGAGTGAGAAAGACTCTAGTGAGAGAGACTGGAAACAATCATGATTTTTCTTGCCAGGTTGTTTTCACGATAGCCTGGAGGTACAGAAACCTTGTAATTGGTTCTGAAGTTCTCACAGAGGCATTTAGTACATATGTTGTTAATATTGTGTCTTGCTGTTGAGGTTCCAGGGCTGTTCTGCTCTCTTGCTGATGTCACTCTCTTCCACATTTCTTAGTCCTTTTTAATAAAATGATTTTTTAATGATTAGGACCTGAACAATTTTCATCACTATTCTATGGCACAAAGACTGCATACATTTTTACAAGATGTTAGAATTGACTATCTTTGAAGAAAATCTTCATAATTTTTGTCTAACTCTGTTGCCCCTTTCTCCTGTTTTATTATTCCCATCATCAACTTAATACAACTAGTTTTGATACTCTTCTACATTTTATGCTGTTTCTTAGATAACTTTTTACATTTTATTTTAAAACTTTTAGTTATCTCTATAAGTTGTATCATTTAATAAATCTTTTGAATTCCTTTTATCTTCATTGATAGCATATATCATTTGATAGTTTCTTATGCAGAAAGGAACACACCCACATTTTGTCGGCTATCAAAGAGTTTTGTTGGGCCTTTTATCTCTGTCCCCCAAACATGGCCTAGGGCCAGACACAGAGTAGGTTTTGGTTATATAAATGTTCACTCATTATTTCTTAAGCATCTTTGTGACAGACACTGTCCTAATCACTGGGGACGGAGCAATGAACAAAACAGACAAAAACCTATGACTTGATGGGGCTAATATTCTGCTGTGGCAATATAAAATAAACTCATAAAGGAATAAATGTATTGTGAGCAGAAAGGGGTGCAATTTTAAAGAGATTGATCAAGGAAAACCTCACTGTGAAAGTTCCACTGAGCAAAACTCTTAAGGGTGTGAAGGAATGAATGATAGAAATACGACTATGGGGAAGAGCCTTTCATGTCAAGTGAAAAGCAAGAACAAAAAGCCTGGAGCAATATAATGAATCTGGAATGCTCAATATACAGCAACAAGGTCTAATGTAGCTGGAGAGGAATGACCAAGGACAAGAGTAACAAAGTATAAGATTAGAAAGATAAAGAGGAATATTTGTGGGGAGGTGGGTGTAAAAAAGAGGATAGGTTGTTTATGGTCTCATAGGTTATTGGAAAAACTTGATATGACTATAAGTTACATAGGAAAACAGAGGGGCAGCATGATCTATTTCTGATTTGTAAAGGACTTCTTTAGCTACTTTGTTGAGAAGAGACTGTTAGGCAGATGTGCACAGAAGTAGAAACATGGCTCAGGAGGCTCTTGCAATAATTGAAGCTAGGCATGGTGGTGGAAACCACTGGGAAATATAGGAGGTAATTAGAAGAGGTCGTTTAGTCAGTTCAGGCTGACAGAATAGAATAGACTTGGTGACTTAAACAACAAATATTTGTCTCTCACATTTCCGGAGGCTGAGAATTCTGATATCAGGGTTCTGGCATAATTGAGTTCTGATAAGGGCCCTATTCCTGGTTTCCAGAAGGCCATATCCTCATTGTGTCATCACTTGGGGGTAGGGGAGAGAGAGAGAGAAAGAGAGAAATAGAGGGAATCCCTAATTTCTTGTCTTATAAGGGCACTGATCTTATCAAGAGGGCTCCATTCTCATGACCTAATTTCCTCAAAAAGACCCTATCACCAAACATCAACACACTGGAAATTAGAGTTTCAACATATAAATTTGAGGTAGGGGATATAAAGATGTAATACATAACAGGGTAAATATTAATAGTAGAGAGCCCAAAGAAATTTGTTTATGGATATAAATGTGAGCTGTAATAGAAATGATTAATCGATACATTTTATTAACATGAAATTGACAAATAAAACATCTATAACCACTGCATCTTACACTGGATGTCAGTCACTTGTGTTGGTCATAGAATTTTTCTTTGCCTCTGCAAAGTTCTGTTTTTCAGCTGGCTTCCTGGAAATGCTGCCTTTGAGAATGTACTGCCACTCCCCTCCCAGTTAGCCAATGCTATTCATATGGAAATAAAGAATAGCTCACCATCATGGCCATCTGAGAACATGATGTAGCTTTCTATAAATCAGTTAATGAGATTAATTTAAAAATAACAACCTTAACTGTAGTGCTCTAATATTTTGATATTATAACCAAATTAGAAATGATGCTTTATCAGTGTAGTGATAATAACATTTAAATGGCTGAGTAGTAGTACCTGGTAAAAGGGAAAACTAAGTATGGTTTTTAAGATACAAATAATGTTTTTAAGTAAAGAAGAAAGCTATTATAATTCCATGTGCCTATTGACATTATATAGTCCTTCGATTAACCATTTTCCCCCTTTCCTTCTGATTTTTCTTAGATGTTCTTGGCAGCTCTGTCACTCAGCTTTATTGCTAAGACACTAGGTGCAATTATTATGAAAAGTTCCATCATTCATATAGAACGGAGATTTGAGATATCCTCTTCTCTTGTTGGTTTTATTGACGGAAGCTTTGAAATTGGTAACATTTATTTTCTATTTTAATAACCAAACTTGCAAAGTTAAAAAATATATATGCTTTACACCACTGGTTATCAACTGGGGTAAATTTATCTCTCACAGGCAATTTGGCAATAACTAAAAACATTTGTGGTTGTCATAACTGCACAGGGGTTGGGGGCAATGGAAGTGCTACTGGTATCTAAAGGTAGAGGTCAGGGGTACTGCTAAATATTCTATAATGCACAAAGAATGATGTAACTGAAAATGTTGATAGTGAGGATGTTCAGAAACCCTGATTCTACACAAATTCATTTTTTGCAAACTAACGCCATGTCATACTTTACCTCCCCTCTCTCAAGATGAAGAAACTTTGGGAGAGGACTGTTATTCTTAAGGAGAAAGGAATCTTTTCAGAGCAACCTACGTTAGACCTCTATTGTTTCACTGAGCACACAAAAATCTTTCCTTTGAAATACTGAAGATATTTTGTTGTCTTCATTTTATGTTGGATTTCTCCAATAACAGCTCAGGGAAAACATTTTCTGGTTCATATTTGTGTTTTTCCCTATTAGTAATTTTTTTCTAGATAATTTATAAGATGAATATTAAATTTTCTGGGAATTTTTCTCTTTAAATTTTTTTCTTCTAAATTTCCATTGTTTTTCTTTATGTTTCATTAATCTTTGATGCCATCATCCATCTTACCATATTAAGTTCTAATTTGTATATTTAATCTGTATTTTATATTTACAACAGCACTTTATTATTCCCTTATTATTTTTAGGCTGCCAGTTCTGATTTCATGGATGCAATGTGCCCTTGTACCCGTAAAGGTACTAAATTTTTTATAAAGTAAAAAAAAAATTTACTCATTCATTTTGGTGCTTTTATTCCAAATTATTTTTATGCTATTTTTTTTCAGAAGTGCTCAGTTATCCTTAACTGCTATTTGTTTATTGTTATGCCTGAGGCTCCAGATGGATTAGAAGTGGTCATGACTTTTTTTTTTTTTTTTTTTGAGACGGAGTCTCGCTCTGTCGCCCAGGCTGTAGTGCAGTGGTGCGATCTCCCCTCACTGCAAGCTCTGCCTTTCTCCTGCTTCATCCTCCCGAGTAGCTGGGACTACAGGCACCCGCCACTATGCCCGGCTAATTTTTTGTATTTTTAGTAGAGACGGGATTTCACTGTGTTAGCCAAGATGGTCTCGATTTCCTGACCTCGTGATCCACCCACCTCAGCCTCCTAAAGTGCTGGGATTACAGGTGTGAGCCACCATGCCTGGCCTCTGGAAGTTCTTAATTAAGTTCCGCCTTTCTGTGGTTTAATAGCACCTCTGTCCATCTATTTTTATCGTTAGTATGAAACTTCTTGAAGACAGATGCCATGGTTTATTCTTTTTCAAGTAACTTTCTTATTTCTGGCTCTGAGCTTCATGTCAGGTTCATGTTAGAAATTTAAATAATATTAAGAATAAATAAAGAAACGCATGAAGGAGCACCTTACCCTCATCAGGAAGATTCATCTCCATTTTTCTTCATTCCAGTATAATCCAGTCAACTCCAAATTTTTCAATAAAATTTTACTTCACTAATATTGCCAAGTAATTCAAGTGCTTTTTTTTTGTATTTAAAACAACTTTTCAATGAGTGGTCTAATGTAGGTGAATTCACCTTCTCAATTAAATCACATTGTCTTTGAGGGAAGGCACTATGTCTTGGACTCTATTTGCATCCATTCTGGGGTTTTCAATTCTAGACGCAAAATTGAACTAAGCTGTATCAACATAATTTTGTTCCCTTTCTAGGAAATTTGCTTGTGATTGTATTTGTGAGTTACTTTGGATCCAAACTACATAGACCAAAGTTAATTGGAATCGGTTGTTTCATTATGGGAATTGGAGGTGTTTTGACTGCTTTGCCACATTTCTTCATGGGATAGTAAGTGTTAAAAAAAAAAAAAACCTCTGTGCCACTATCAGTACCTTGTAAATTAGGAGTAGAATTTTATTATTATCCCTTTAAATAGGCAGTTACCTTTTGAGAAGATACCCACTAAGTGTGTACAGAAATGAAATAGTGTCTATTTGTCTACATAATCATTTTATTTATCGTAGCTTTCATATACTTTGAAATAACAAAAAGACTAAACTGTAGAGTTTCAAATGAAATAAATAGGCTTTTTATGAATTTTTAGTATAACGTATATACTGTACGTCTTTGCCTATAAGATTTTGATTATTTTTTATAAGACCTCAACACTTACACCTATACCCACTGAAGTATAGTTGTTCCCATCATTTCACTGAAGCTGTTATTCCTAAGGTCACTGTGTAGTTATAATTACAGTCAGATGCTCCTGAGAGAAAAGTTAAAATGGCACATGGGGGAGAAACTTATTTTTCACATTACAGTTAATGTAGCCAGTTCAAGGATGATATGATTCTACCTCTTTCCATCATAGTGCTATGCCTTGCATGGTCTTGGCTTCATGATCCAAATTGTGGCAACGTATTTCCAGGCAACAAGATAGAAGAAGAAAAGAATAAGAAGCAACAAACAGTCCACACAGGCTGAGGCTTAAGAAGCATTTTCAGAAGCAAAATATCTCTACTGACTTTACATTTACCAGATGTTAGTTACATTTCACACATAGATATATAAATGCTGAAAAAAATAGACATTATTCCAAGTTACCAAGTTCCCGGTTAAAAATCCCAAGTATAATTACTGTGGAAGGAAAGAAGAGAGGATATTAGGAGACAATGAGCAGTTTCTGTTAGAGACACCAATTACTTACTCATTGCCAAATCCAGCAATGACATCATTTGCTCACCATATTAAATCCATTCACCCACCATATTTGGCCCTTATAGGAAGTTTCTTCTTAGTGGTACTGCTCTAGCTTGTTTTCATCATACTGCACTCTCTTGATTCATTTTCTATCTTTGTGTCTTCTTCATCATGTCCATTTTTTTTCATCTGCTTTTGGCACCATACCGTCAGAGTCCTCTAATTTCCTTTTTAATCTTTATTTATGATTCTTCATGAGTTGTATGGAAAATAAACCTTAAAGGCAAGTATCACAGCTTCATCTTCCATTCTACCCTAAAATTAAGGACCACAATCTAGATCAGCATTGCTCTAAATATGCCATAATATGTGACACTTTTGCACCTGGTATTTCTACAGCCTTGAATACCTTTGTTTCTTTGTCTACCCTTCTATTCATCTTCCAGATTCGTTTTACCTGTCATTCTCATGTTGATGTCTTCTCTGATCTATTCCCGCAACCTCCAAGCAAAGTTGATCATATCCTTTGTCTTTGTGACAACTCAGGACCTTATATATTAAACTTATAACTTTTATCATCTATGTTTATACTAGTGTGAAATTCCCTAAGTACAAAAACTGTGTGTTTTATTTCTAGCTCTTTGAAGCTTAGCATAATGCCTGGAATACAGTAGGCTGCCTTTAGAGCTCACGTGGTACCTAATTATTTATGGATATTAACATCTCTGTTATTCCTATCAAGTTTTCTCTCATCTAGTTGAAATGGATTAGATTTTATTTTTACTACATTTTGAAGAGTCATACATTAGAGCGTGTGTGTGAATATGTGTCCATGAAAGAAAATCTGACAGACTGATCATCTTTGAAGATAATTCAAAAGGATGAATGGTTACACACAATTAATAATTACTTTTTAAAAAGGTGAAACTAGGATATTTCATATCTTGACCAAGATATAACCACTCCTAGGATAATAGCAAGGTGATAACCCACTTAGCCTGGGGTGTATTGAATTATCTTTCTTGCTGGACACTTCCATTTCACTTTTACCCATCACATCTCTTAAAACACATGCTGGGAAATTGACAGAAAGTACTCTGGTAATTTGGGGAAGATAATGGTGCAAATAAAGGGGAATATTTCTCTGTATTTCTAGGAAAAGTGAAAATATTCAGTAGATAAGCAAAATGTTTAATTCAGTGATGTTCTTACAGTTACAGGTATTCTAAAGAAACTAATATCAATTCATCAGAAAATTCAACATCGACCTTATCCACTTGTTTAATTAATCAAATTTTATCACTCAATAGAGCATCACCTGAGATAGTGGGAAAAGGTAAGAATTAATATTGACAGTAAAAAGTCTTCTAAAATGTATACATTTAATTACATCTCTAAAAATTGTTGTGATATTCATTAGCAAAATTTAATTAAGAATGAATAGGAAAAACATTTGACTCTTACAGACATAATTATAGTGTTAATATACACAGTTCGCCCATTAACAACACAGGTTTAAACTACGCGTTTTCACTTCTATGCAAATTTTGTCCATCTGAACTGGATGATAAACCTGCCGGTAAGAATATCTGACATTTTCTATATTTGGATTGAACAGGGCCAACTGCAGAACTTAAGTGTGCATGAATTTGAGAACACACAGGCAGCCCTGTAACAAATTCCTTAATATACCAAGGGATGACTGTATTATATGTAAAAGCATTTAGAAGTAGATCAGAAAAGAGAATATTTTCAATAGGAAATTGACAAAGAATATATGCATTAAAGTAAAACAGAAGGAAATGGTATAAATATGTAAATAATATAACTTTGCTTTCATTGCAAAAGGCAAACTATTATATCATTTAAAGACTTTTTGCCTATTATAACACAAATTATAAATTATAATTGCAAATTGTACTGCTAAAGATTTTTTTAACCTATTAAATAGAAAAAGACTAAAAATACATAGAGACGAGGTAGAGGCAAAAAAGGATTTCACATTGTATATATTGCTGGAAGTGTATACGTTTGTAAATCTTTCTGGAGATTCATTATCAATATATGTTAAGAACAAAAATATACTTACCTACTTAGTCTGAAATTCTGCTATTATTGATTAATCTTAAGGAAATAACCAGGAAACTGCAAAAGGACTTATTTACAGTTATAGTCATGATAAACCTAATAGAATAAAACAACAAAAAAGAAATTAAAACATAAGATACTGAATAAACACATTTGGAAACTTATTCAGCACATTACTGTCCAGTCATTAAAGTTTTGATATTAAAGAAATCTTAACAACATGGAACAATTGTTATAATATGGTGTTAACTGTGTATACCATTTAACAATATGAACTAGATTTTTAAATATATAATGGATATAATGAATATAATGTATATGTTTTGTGCAAATCTAGAAGATATATAAAAAAGCTTGAGGTGATCTTCTGTGTGTAATGTGATTACAGATAATTTTTACTTGTTTGTGCTTTTCTGTATGATATGGCTTGACTGTGTCCCCACTCAAATATCACCTTGATTGTAATAATCTCCACATGCCAAGAGTGGGGCCAGGTAGAGATAATTGAATTTTGGGGGCGGTTTCCCCCATACTGTTCTCGTGGTAATGAAGAAGTCTCACAAGATCTGATGATTTTATAAATGAGAGTTCCCCTGCAAAAGCTCTCTTGCCTGCCACCATGTAAGACATGGCTTTGCTCTTCCTTCATCTTCCGCCATGATTGTGAGGCCCCCCAGCCATGAGGAACTATGAGTCCATTAGACCCTTTTCCTTTATAAATTACCCAGTCTCAGGTATGTATTTATTAGCAGCATAAGAATGGACTAATACACCATATTGTCAAAGTTTGCAAAGTGAATATAAATTACTTGTACTTGTAAATTAAAAAAAAATAAGTAGAATAATTAAGAGTTTACAAGTAGTTAAATTTGTAATAGAAATGCTAAAATTAATGTTTAAAATGAAACACTCTCTTATCTACATAGGTTGTTTAAAGGAATCTGGGTCATACATGTGGATATATGTGTTCATGGGTAATATGCTTCGTGGAATAGGGGAGACTCCCATAGTACCATTGGGGCTTTCTTACATTGATGATTTCGCTAAAGAAGGACATTCTTCTTTGTATTTAGGTAATGTACACAAAATATTAAATTGTATGATCACTTTCCCTTTGTCTACTTTTGAAATAGTAGAGTTACTAAACTTATTATTTTACCTATTAGAACATATATTTGGGTATATGTATTGTATCATATTTCTTTTAAAAACATGGTGAATAAGAACCATGCATTCTTGGCATCTAGTAAAATTGCTTTATAATATTTTCAGGTATATTGAATGCAATAGCAATGATTGGTCCAATCATTGGCTTTACCCTGGGATCTCTGTTTTCTAAAATGTACGTGGATATTGGATATGTAGATCTAAGTAAGTACAACCAGAACAAGGTACCATGATAACGTCTTTCTAAGCACACATGCGAAAAACATTTTTTCAAATAACTGAATTCACTCTTTCAATAGTCCTTTGCTTAATATAATTAGAAAGTTACAAGTAGGAAATAAATGTATTACTAATCAGAATAAATATAAAATCCAGCTCCTATTTATACTATCTTTATAACTAAGTGTAAAATGAGAGAATGTAAACAAATTTATTTTCATGAGCTTGGTCCAAAATAACCAAATGTAAAATGTCTCCCTCCCAAACTGACTGTCCAGTCAAGTAAATTTTATTTTTCAGTTGATGGTGGCTTGGATGTTGATGTGTACAACTTAAAGTTTGCTTTGCTAAAGTCTTCTTGTGGCTGCTGCATTGATTTATGGCTGGAGTCATTTGAGAGACTTCACTGTGTATTTTATGGTCATTTTCCCTGGTCCTAGCAGAGGGCTTGGCGTATGGCAATGTTCAGTAAGTACTTGTTGAACAAAGGAATAAAGCAGAGGACACATAAATAAAATCTATGATTTTCTTCTTCATTCTCAGAGCATACTTTCCTTCTTATCTCATAGATGAAAGAGATGCCATGTTATAAAAACTGTCTCAACTTCAGGCCCTTTTCCCTAAAAATATTCTTGCACCATATCTATCTTTATCTTCTTTTTCTTTTTTGCAGCTCAGTGGAAAATATATACATCTGTATCCAATGTTGATAGATCTAGCTGGAGCTTAGATTCTCCCTTCCCGCTTCTTTATCTCCATCTTCTCTTTTATTCAGCAAACACACCCAAGTATTTCCCATCTTTATATGTAGATACAGTTTTTTATACCCCCACACAACTTTCCAGCTGAATCCTTTTTTTATTCCTCTTTAGAACCAAGCACCTAGGAAAATATCAGCTAAATTAGCTAAGATATCTCACCTTCTCACCTCCCATCCACTTCTAAATCCAGTATAATCTGCTTCTGTTATTAGTGAAACACAATCAATTTCTACCTACTTTACTATAGATTTGTAAATGGGTATATTTCTATCATTTGCGTTAATTGATATTTCCAGTGCTTCTTCATCCATTTTCCCTCCTTAGATATCTTATTAGTACCTAAAGCACAATATGTCAAAATCTGATCTCATCACCTTACCTCCAACCCCACTGTATTCCCTATATTCCTCCTTTTGATGAATATCCATACCTTATTCAATTATTGACTGAGTTACTGTGCCCTGTAATCTCACATTTCTCTGCATTTACACTTGGTAAAACTTTTCCCTCTTTTTCATTTGCATAGTTCTTGAAGCCTCTTCCAAAATGTGGATCCTCTTAGAGAAGCCTTACTTCACCACTTTCCATTAGTCTCAAATTAATAGCCAAGAGCATGCCTTTATTGTAACCCTTCTCACAATGAGCTATTAATATTTGTGTGCTTACTTGCCATCTCTTTACCACATGACAGAATGGCATGTTCTTAGCAAATAATAATTAGTTAAGTTTGTGAATAAATAAATATGATTTTCCACCTCATTAGGCCTTCAATAGATCATTCCAAAGAGATCAAAGGATTCATTTCCAAGATGGGATAGACATCACAGTGGGCCAGCAACAGCCAAAAACTTGAAAGTGTTTGCTAATCTAAAACTATAAAGAAAATACTTGATAAAATGTTTTACATGTTCAATTTTAGACATATGCCTTAGAGTAGCTACACATTATGTACATTATTTCTACTCATTCAACTCCAGTTTCATCACTGCTTTATCACGAAGAGTACAGAAATACGTGGTAAATGTCCTTAGGTTAATTATTTTATAAGCTCTCTAAATAAGAAATTATTACATTATTTGAGAATTCATCACCATACAATTTCTAACATTGAATGTTCAGATATCATTATATCTTCTCTTATTCAGTGATGAGTATGAGCTTCACTTACAAAGTATACTTTGGCAAACTCCAATGCCTAAAGGAGCTGAAGACATAAAAATAAATGAGTAAAGAGTGCCAGGAACAGGAATTTAGGGTGTGATGGTTAGAATAGGAGAATTCTTTTGGTTGTGAACTGCTCTCCCCATGCATCCAAAAGCACTTGTGTTCCTCAGCTCTGGCCTATTCTTTTAATGCACAAATTTAGGCCCTGCATTGGCAAGGACTTCTGATTGGTTTCCAAGAAAATCCAAACACCAAAATTTTTGTGTAGAATTTTTCAATTTTTAAGACTGTGAGTGAGCCAAGAAAAACTTTTTCTCACGTCCTATCTAGCGCGATTATGACCCTTAGTTACTATGTGTAGAACAGTGAAAGAACAGAAAAAAAAGTCATCAAAATTACATTTGTCACAGGTGATGAATAAATACTTTGCATGTAGATGGAGTCACTGATTTAACCAATCATTTCCTGAAGTCTGAGTTGTTGATTATGACATGGTATGATCATATAAATCAAATTTAAACCCAGATCTGTGCATACTTGAAAATAATTATTTCTAGGTAGTTTGTTATCAAGTCAATGTTATCTTATATTAGTGAGTTTTCTTATAGATTAGAGTAATGGCACCATTTAATCGTGCCACAAACTTCTGTGGTGTGTGTTTCTGTATGCATATGCTTTTTTATTTCTTATTATTTTTCTTTTATTATGGTAAGAACAATTAAAATGACATCTACCTTCTTAACAGGTTTTGAAACATACAGTGGACCCATGAACAATAGGTTTAAATTATGCTCGTCCACTTATGCACAGACTTTTTTCAATAAATATATTGAAAAAATTTGGGGAGATTTGTGAAAATTTGAGAAAATTTATAGATGAATTGCATAGTGTAGAAGTAAAGGAAACCCTAAGAAAAAGGTATATCATGAGTGCATAAAGTATGTTTAGATACTCCACTATTTTATCATTTACTACCATAAAATATACACAAATCTATTATAAGAAATTAAACTTATTAGAGGGTACAAGATGGCCAACTAGACACACTCAGGAAGCACCACTTCCACTGAGGAAGCCCAAAATATTGAATAAACTAACATACTTCGAGCATATCTTTTGAGAGAAAACACTGAAAGTCAATAGAGAGGTGACACAGACACTGAGGCTGAAGAGAGAGAAAGCTGGAAACCCAGTGCAGGGTTGTTGAACACCAGAGATAGTTTCCAGCCCTGAGTGGCTCCTAGCTAAGGGGTGAGTAAAGTGGCAGTGGGACAGCCTACTCTCACTGTTGACATCTGGGATCCTACCTACAAGAGAACCCACGACCCCCAGAGACATTGGAACAGGCAGGGGCATCTGCCCAGAGAGTAGGCAGAAATAGAACTACAGCCAGCCTTGAACCCAGGGGGTTTTGCATGTTGGGTAGCTGCAGCAGAACGCAGCCATAGGCGCCCAACATCCAAGGCTCTCTTTCTTCCACCAAGTAGCTCTCAACTCACCTGACTTCTGAGCGAAGAGACAGCGGGGCCAACTTTCCTGTGAGCTGGGACACATCTGTATTGTAGGCCCTTCTGCCCGCCAGTCCCTCCCAGTACTCCTGCCTGGCCACACCTGCAAGAATATGTGCACAGCACAGCCTCCACTGCTCAGCCTGAGGGTTTTTTCAAGGACCCCCACCTGAGTACTTCCTCAGTATCCTTGGAGCACTTCAGATCCCCCAGTGTAGCTACTGCCTGAACCAGAGGGGCCAGACAGTGGAGACACAGGCTAGTCCCAAAACCCCAGGGCTGCAGTGCATAGCTTGGGAGTGTGAGCTGAGATTGGTGCCCAGCACTCAAGCAGAGGAAGAATTCTGAATCTCAGAACACTGAGAGGGGTGAGATGCACGGGTTCATGGGCCAGTGCAGAATGAGACATGCCTCATTTCATAGGCCCAGTCCAGGAAGGCTGTGTCCTGTCTGCCAGCTGCTGCCTCTGCCTAAGGGAGCTCCATGGCTCAGAACAGTTTCCTAACAAAAGAAATGCAAGTGTGGCACCAGTGACCAGAGCGGGAGATTGGGGGGGTGTCCCCTATGGCCCAGGCACAGGCCTGTTAAGGGGGTCATCTCTCTTGCCCGCTGCCACAAGCACTGTTGTAAACACACTGAAAAACAAAAGAGTTATGTCCCCGAGTAACAGCTTATCTGCCAGCCATTACTCTTAAGCACCATTTACTGGATCACAGCTCAATTTAAAACATCTGCCTATATATTTGAGACTGTACCTCACTCTGTTACCCAGGCTAGAGCGCAGAGAAGCAATCGTAGCTCACTGCAGCCTCAAGCTCCTAGGCTCAAGCCATTCTCCCACCTCAGCCTTCTGAGTAGCTGGGACTACAGGCACACACCACTACACTTGGCTAATATGTGTTATTTTCTGTAAAGACAGGGTTTTCCATGTTGCCCAGGCTGATCTCAAACTTCTGGCCTCAAGTGATCCTCCCACCTTAGCCTGGCAAAGTGCTGGAATTACAGGCTTGAGCCACTGTGCCTGACTTCAAAAATAGTTTGTCAGTATACATTGCATATGAAACTGAGAGCAAGAATCTAGCTATAAATAAAAATATTGTGCAGAGTCTTATCCCAGAAATTAAACCAACTGACCATACTCAACTTATACCACAGTTAAAGGAACACCATTCCTTCAAGATGAAAAAGAATCAACAAGAAATCTGGCAATTCAAAAAGTAAGAATGTACCTTAACCTTCAAATGGGTGCATTTGAGCTCTCCAGCGATGGTTCTTAACCACATTGGAATGACTAAAATGACAGACAGGCAATTCGGAATCTGGATGGCAAGAAAGCTCATTGAGATTCAGGAAAGTGCTGAAACACAATTTAAGGAATTCAATAATTCCAGTAGAATGATCCAAAAGCTGAAAGACATAATAGCCATTAAAAAAACACTACTTCTGGAATTAAAAAAAATACTACATGGATTTGATAATACATCCAGACCTTTAGCAACAGAACATACCAAAGAGAGAAAAGAATCTCAGAGCTTAAAAACCAGTTTTTATAATCCACTCCATCAGACAAAAAGAAAGAAAGAAAAAAAAACATAAAAATGAAGAAAACTTCTAGGAATTTGGTTTCCTTCTGTAAAGAAACCAAGCCTATGATTCATTGGAATTCCTGAGAGAGAAAAAGAGAGAGTAAACAACTTGTAAAACGTATTTGCAGATATAGTCCATGAAAATATCCTCAAACTTGCTAGAGAGATTGATATGCAAATTCCTAAATTACAGAGAACCCCTTTGAGATGCTATAAAGATGACAATCCCCAAGGCATCTACTCATTAGATTCCCCAAAGTCCACATGAAAGAAATAAATATTTTAAGATTTTTTTGGGGGGCAGCTAGAGAGATGGATCAAGTCACTGTCAAGGGGAACCCCATCAATCTTGCAGAACACCTTTGAGCAAAAACCATACAAGCCAGAAGAGATTGGGGACCTATTTTCAGCACCCTTAAAGAAAAGAAATTTCAACCAAAAATTTAATATCCCACCAAATTAATTTTGTAAGTGAAAGAGAACTAAACTCCTTCTCATACAAGCAAACATTGAGGAAATTTCTTATCACTAAACCAGCCTTATAACAGGTCTCTAGAAGAGTGCTAAACATGGAAACAAAAGATTAATACTTGCCACAACAAATACTCACTTAAATAGGTAGCCCAGACACATAAAGCAACTATACAACCAAGTCTATGAAACAACCAGCTAACAACATGATGCCATGATCAAAATCTCACGTATCAATAATAACCCTGAATGTAAACAGGCTAAATGCCCCAAGTAAAAGACACTGAGTGACAAGCTTCATAAGTAGACAAAACTTAGCCTTCTGTTGTCTTTAAAAGACACATCTTACATGTACAATACCCACAGGATCAAAGTAAAGGAACGGAAAGAGATCTATCCATGCAAACAGAAAACAAAACAGGGCAGTAATCACTATTCTTATATCAGATAAAACAGACATTAAACCAAAAACCATCAAGAAGGACAAAGAAGGGTATTACATAAGGATAAAGTGTTCCATTAAACGAGAAGACTTAACTATTCTAAATATATATGCAGTCAAAAGTGGAGGACCCAGATTTACAAAAAAGATTCTTAGAGACCTAAGGAAACTAAAAACAGACAGCCACACCATGATAGTGGAAGACTTCAACAACTCACTGACAGTGTTAGATATCGAAGCAGAAAATTAAAATGTAAATTTTGGACTTAAACTCAACTCTCAACCAACTGGATCCAAAAACATCCTACAGAATACTCCACCCAGCACTATCAGAATATGCTTTCTTCTCATCTGCATATAGATTGTATTCTAAAATCAATCATATGCTCAGTCATAAAGTCTCAATACATTCAAAAAATTAAAAGATTTTGAGTACATTCTTGAACAAAAGTGCAATAAAAATAGAAATCAATACCAAAAAGATTTCTTAAAACCACCCAAAAGTATGGTAATTCAACAACTTTTCCTGAATAATTCTTGGTTTAAGAATGAAAGTAAAACCGTTTTTGACATTAAATAAAATAGAGACACACCTCACTAAAATCTTTGGGATCTATCTAAAGCAGTGTTAAGAGGAAGTTTACAATGCTAAAGGCCTTCATCAAGAAGGCAGAGAGATTTCAAATTAACAATTTAACATTGCACTTACACTAACTAGAAAAAAAAAGGACAACCCCAAAGCAAACTGAAAATAAATAACGAAAATCAGAATGAAATTGTGATGCAAAATGTATACAAAAGATAAATAAAACCAAGAGTTTGTTATTCAAAAGAATACAAAAAGATTAATAGACTGTTAACTAGATTAACAAGGAAAAAAAGGAGACCCAATTAAGCACAATCGGAAATGACAAAGATCACATTACAACTCCCATAGAAATGCATTACAAATGCCCCTCTGCACACAAATTAGAAAATCTAGAGGAAGTAGAGTCATTCTTGGAAACAACCTCCAAAGATTAAACCAGAAAAAAAGTGAAAACCTGAACAGACCGATAACAAGTTATCAAATTGAATTAGTAATAAAAAACCTACTGACCAAAAAAAAAGCCCTGGACCAGATGGATTCTCAGCCAAATTCTACTAATTCTAATTTTATTCTAACATAAAAGTTCGCTTTTTTAAAGTTAAACTTCAAATTTAAGCACAGAAACACATATGTACCTCATATTATCTCATCTACAGTCAAGAGAAGTGAAAACAAATGTGAAGATGTACTATTAAAGCATAACTTTATACAATTGACTGTAATATATACGTTACTGCTGTAATAATTTCATAGCACCTCCTGTAATTGTAGTAATAAGGTTGTGTTGAAAGCACCTGCTTAAAACACCATGTGACACTAATTATCTCCACATGAACAGTTCCTCTCTCCAATAAATTGCGGATTGCAGCAAAATCTGATTGTGATTCTTGTGCGTTTTTATACTGTTTAGTGCAATACTGTCAACTTTGAATAACACCGTTGGAGCCATATGAATTGCCACTAGTGATGCTGAAACTGCTCCTAAGAAACTGAGAAAAGTCACGACATTACAAGAAAAAGTTGTATTGCTTGATATATAATGCAGATTGAGGTCTTCAGCTGCCCATTGTTTCAATACAAATGAATCCAGCATAAAGATCATTGTAAAAAACAAAAAAAGGGAAAAAAAAAGGAAATTCATGATGGCATTGCTGAGTCTATGCCAGCAGGCACAAAATCTTGCACTTTTAGTAATATACCGTCTTATCTCATATTGAAAATGAAATTGTTATATGGCTGCAAACTTTTATAAGAAAGGCATAACCACAGACTTTAATGTGATTTGAGAAAAAGTGAAGTTATTATATGACCATTTAAAGCAAAGGAAGGTGAGGGATCTAAAACTGGAGAAACTAATGCAAGCAAAGGATGGTTTGATAATTTTAGAAAATGATTTGGGTTTAAAAATTTTCAAAATAACAGAAGCAGCAGCTTCTGCCAAATGAGAGAAAGTGAACAAGTTTTCAGATTCCACTAAGAAAATCATTGAGAAAGCATATCTGCATGAGCAGGTTTTTAATGCAGATGAAAGTGTCCTATCCTGGGGAAAAGAAAGCCACGAAGGACGTTTATTAATAAAGAAGAGAAGTGAGCACCAGGATTTAAGGCAGGAAGGGATGAGGTAAGTCTACTATTCTGTACAAATAAGGTCAGGCTTATTATCAAAACTGCTAGTATCTACAAAGTTGATAAGTCCCAAACCTTGAAGGCAAAAGATAAAAATCAACTGCTAGTCTTCCAGTCATACAAAAGGAAGGTCTGAACAATTAGTACTCTTTTTCAGAATTGTTTCCATCAATGCCTTGTTCCTGAAGACAGGAAGTAGCTTGACAGTAAGGGACTGCCTTTACAGTTCTTTTCATATCAGTCGATGCCCCTGGTCACCTAGAAAGCCCATAAGTTCAACATCAAAGGCATTGTAGTGATCTATTTCTTCCACCACAACATCTCTAATTCAGCCTCTAGATCATGGAGTCATAAGAAACTTTAAAGGATCATTACAGATGATACTCTAACGAAAGGATTATCAGTGCTATCAAAGAAAATCCTGATAGGCAGAACATCATAAAAGACTAGAAGAATTACACCATTTAAGATGCTATTGTTATAGGGAAAAAAAAAAGTGAAAGTCATTAAGTGCAAAACAATACATTTCTACCAGAGAAAATTTTGTTCAGATGTTGTGCATAAATTCATAGGATTAACAACATGGCCAATCAAGAAAATTATGAAAGAGATTATGGATATGGAAGAAAAAGTGAGGAGTAAAGAATTTCAAGATATCGGTATTGGAGAAATTCAAGAGCTAATTCATACCTCATCAGGGAAGTTAACAGAAGATGACCTGATGGAGATGAGTGCCTGCGAACTAGTGTCAGATGATGGGGAAGGAGACATAGAAGCAGCAGTGCCAGAAACAAATTGTTATTAGGCAATCTAGCAGAAGGATTCTGATAATTCAAGACTGTTTTTGGCTTCTTTTATAACAGGGACTCTTGTCTAATGTGGGCACTGAAACTAAAGCATGTGTTGGAAGAAGGATTAGTTCCATTTAGAAAAATTTTTAGAGAAATGACAAAACCACAAAGTCAAATAGAAATTATGGCGTATTTATGAAATAGTTACTGAATGTACTTGCCTCTTTTGCCTTCCCTCTACCTCCTCCACCTCTTCCACCTCTTCTACCCTAGTGAAAGCAAGACCAGTGCCTCCCATTCCTTCTCCTCCTCAGCCTACTCAATGTGAAGAGATGAGAAAGATCTTATGATGGTCCACTTCAACTTAATAGTAAATATGTTTTATCTTCCCTGTGATTTTCTTTATAACATTTTTTCTCTAGCTTACTTTATATTAAGAATACTATATATAATACATATAACATACAAAACATGTGTTAATCAACTGTTTATGTTATTGGTAAGGATTCTGATCAACAGTAGCTGGTATGATTTGGATCTGTGTTCCCGCCAAAGTCATGTAGAATTGTAATCCCCAATGACGGAGGTGGGGCCTGGTGGGAGGTGATTGGGTGATAAAGGTAGTTTCTCATGAATAGTTTAACACCATCCCCCTTGATGCTGATCTCATGATACTGAGTGAATTCTCATGAGATTTATTTGCTCAAAAGTGTGTAATACCTCCCCCCTCTCTTCTTCCTGTAGAGACTGCAGAACTGCATAACTGAAACTTTATACCCATTGACTAACAACTCCCTGCTTCCCCTTCCCCTTAATCACTGGCAATAACCATTCTACTCTTTGCTTCTGTGAGTGTTACTGTTTTATGTTCCTCACATGAATGTAATCATGTAGTATATGTCCTTCTGTAACTGGTTCATTTTGCCTAATGTCCTCAAAGTTCATCCAAGTTATCACATATTGCAGAATATCCTTCTTTTTAAAGACTGAATAATATTCCATTGTATGTCTATACAATATTTTCTTTATCCATTTATCCCTCAGCAGACATGAGGTTGTTTTTACAGCTAGCTATTATGAATAGTGCTGCAATGAACGTGCAAATGCAAATGGTCTCTTCAAGATAATGATTTCAATTCTTTTATATATGTACCCAGAAGTGGGATTGCTGGGTCATATGAGAGTTCTGTATTTAATTTTTGAGGAATCTTTATAATACCTTTTATACTGGCTGTACCTTTTTGTATTCTACCAGCAGTGTACCGTGTTCAAATATCTCCACATTCTTGCAAACACTTTCTTTCTTAAATGATAGCCATTCTACAGGTGTAAGGTGTAGGAAAAGAGTGGAGTTGTGCTTTTGATTTGCATTTCCCTGATATGCAATGTTGAAAATCTTTTTATTGACCTGTTGTTCATTTGTGTGTCTTCTTTGGAGAAATTTCTATTCAGGTATGTAGCCTAATTGTTTTTTCAAATTAATTTTTTTTTTTTGAGTCACTCTCACTCTGTCACCCAGGCTGGAGTGCAGTTGTGTGATCTCAGCTCACTGCAATCTCTGCCTGCCAGGTTCCAGTGATTATCCAGCCTCAGCCTCCAGAGTATCTGGGATTACAGGTGCCTCCACCACACCTGGCTAATTTTTGTATTTTTAGTAGAGATGGGATTTCACCATGTTGGCCTGGCTGGTCTCAAACTCCTGACCTCAGGTGATCCAATTTGTCTTGGCCTCCCAAAGTGCTGGGATTACAGGTTATCAGCCACTGACTGACATATATAAAATTGTATTTTTATCATGTACACTCTAATGTTTTGAAATACATATATAAGTGGAATAGTTAAATTTAGCTAATTAACAAATGCATTATCTTACATAGTTACTTTTGTAGTGGAAACACTTAACATCTACTCTCTCAGCATATTTCAAAAATACAACATATTGTGGTTAAGAATAGTCACCCTGCTGCATAATAAATCTCTGCAATTTTTTCCTCCTAATTGTAATTATGTATGCTTTGACCAGTATCTCCTCATGTGGGAGATCAGTCAGAGTGGTGGAAGAAGCTATAGGGAAGGAAGCAGGCCTTTAGAAAGGTCAGAAGGCTCTGCAAAACTTCAGGGGAGACTAAGCTGAAGATAGCTGTTCTCTTACCCTGAGGCAGAGCACAAGAAATAGGTATAAGGAAGTATAGGGGAATTTATCTAAATAGGCTTGTCTACCCATGTTGTCCAGAAACTGACCTTTGACCATCCGTACACGTGACTGTTCCCAGTAAGGGGGAACAATAATGTTAATTACACACAGATTGTGTTGGCTCCAGCCTTTCGGCATTATGTCTGTACTAAATAAAAGTGAGCAGCTCCAGCTTGTTGGGACTGCTACTCACTCTTTGGCAGTCCCCTAGCCACTCTTTCACCACATACCTGTGTCTGAGTACTCCTTTCATCTGTTGGTAGGCCAGGGTCTACCAGGATGGACCAGGCATCCTCAACTCCACTGTTCTCCCAACCACCTGGCTTCTGGTAGCCACCATTCTACTCACTAATAACTAATTAATTTTTATTTCAATAGCTTTTGGGGTAGATGTTGTTTTTCGTTACATGGGTGAATTCTATAATGATAAATTTTGATATTTTACATACCTGAGTAATGTACATTGTACCCAATATGTAGTTTTTTTATCCCTCAGTCCCCTTCCATCTTTCCCCTTCTGAGCCTCCTAAATCCACCACATCAATCTGTATGTCTTTGTATCTTCATGGCTTAGCTCCCAATGATAAGTGAGAACATACAGTATTTGGTTTTCCATTCCTGAGTTACTTCACTTAGAATAATGTCCTCCAGTTCCATCCAAGTTCCTGCAAAATTTTTCATCGTTATTATTTTTTTGCTATTGAGTTGTAGGATTTCCCCGTGTGCTTTAGAAATTAACCCCTTTTCATATATAAATGATTTATAATATTTTATTTTATTCTGCATATTTCTTTTTTACCCCATTTATTGTCTCTGTTCTGTTCCATTGGTCTATATTTCTGTCTTTATGCTGGTACCATATTATATTAATTACTATAGCTTTAAAATACATTTTGTAATTAGGAAATATGAGGCAGCTTTATTCTTTCTCAATGCTTTTTTGGCTATTTGATGTCCTTCTTGGTTCCATATGTATTTTAGAATTGTTTGTTATATTTTTGTAAAAATACTATTGGGCTTTTGATAGGTATTGTATTGAATCTTTACATATATTTGGGTAGTATGGACATTTACTATTAATAAGTCCTTCAATTATTAACACAGAATGTCTTTCTAATTATTTATGGCTTCTTTATTTCCTCAGTGTCTTGAAGTATTTCATGCACAAGTCTTTCACCTTCTTAAATTTATTTTTGTGTTTTATTCTTTATGATTTTAGTGTAAATGGAATTGCTTTCCTAATGTCTTTTCAAATAGTACTTGGTTAATTCATAGAAATATAAGTAATATCTTATAATTATTTTGTATCCTGCAACTTTACAGAATGTGTTTATTCAATTCTAACAGGTGTGTGTGTGTGTGCATGTGTCATCTTTAGGGTTTTCTATATACAAAATCATGCCATCTGCAAGTAGAGGCAATTTTACTTCTTTCTTTCAAGTTTGAATGTCTTTTATTTCTTTTTCTTGGTTAATTGCTCTGGCATAAAATGGCAGGACTGTGTTGAATAGAAGTGATGAGAATGGCCATTCTTCCTTTGTTCCTGAAAGCTTTCTGTTTTTCACTCTTGAATTTAATGCTAGCTGTGAGCTTTTTAAATATGCACTTCATTTTGTTGAGGCAATTTTTATCTATTCCTAGCTTGTTGAAAGTTTTTATCACAAAACATTGTTGGATTTTATCAAATGCTGTTTAACATCTGCATATTTGATCATGTAGATTTTGTCCTTTTTTTGTTAATGTGTTACATTACGCTTGGTGATATTTGTTAAACTTAGCATTTCAGGTATAAATCCCCCTTGAATATAGTGTAGTATCCTTTTTATATGCTATTAAATTTGGTTTACTAGTATTGTTTGAGGATTTTCTCCTCTGTCTTCATCAGATATATTGGTTTGTAGTTTTCTTCCTTTTGGTGTCTTTGTCTGGCTTTGGTATCAGAATAATGCTGGCCTTATAAAATTAGTTTGAAGATGTTCTCTTCTCTTCAATTTTTGGCAAGAGATTGGAATGGATTGCCATTAATATTTTCTTTAGCTATTTAGTAACACGCACCAGTAAAGCCATCTGGTCCTAAGTTTTTTGTTGAGAAGTATTTGATTATTAATTCAATATTTTTACTGGTTGTAAATCTCTTTATATTTTCTATATTTTCTGTGTTTTATGTCTCCAGGAATTTATTTTTTCTTTCTTATCTAATTTTTGATGTATAATTTCTCATAGTAATCTCTTATGATTGTTTTATTTTTCTAGCATCAATTAAATGTCTCTACTTTCAGCTCTTATTTTGTTTGTTTGAGTCTTTTCTCTTTTGCTTAGTCTAGTTTAAAGTTTGTCAATTTTGCCTCTCTTTCAAAAAGATCAACACTTAGTTGTGTTGATATTTTTTCTAATGTTTTTTTTTCCATATTCTTTATTGTATTTATTTCTTCTCTAATCTTTTTTTCTCCTGCTAACTTTGGCCTTAGTTTGTTTTTCTTTTTATAATTTTGTGAGGTGTAAAATAGGTTGTTAGTTTAAGATAATTCTTTACTTTTTACTAGCATAATTATGTGATATTTATCAGTGTGTACTGAGAGCAAACAATGCCAGATGCTACTAGTGACCATAAATTAGAGAAATAACCTATGTTTTTTGGATATGGAAATGAAATTTACCCTACAAATGTAGATATTTTTTACTGAACACTTCCTCTTACTACTGTTCTTGCTGCATCTCACATTTTAGAATGTTTTGTTTTTGATTCTCTTCGTATCTAAATATTTTCTAATTTCCCTTTTGATTTCTTTGACAATTTAATTATTGAAAAGTTTGTTAGTATCCATATTTTTAAAATTTTCTACTTTTCTTTTTGATACTAATTTCCAGTTTTATTCCATTGTAGTTAGAAAAGATAATTGGTATGATTTTAATTTTAAATTTATCAAGACCTGTTGCATGATGTAACATGTGGTCTATCTTAGAAAATATTCCATTTCTATTTGAAAAGAATATACATTCTGTTTTTATTGAGTGAAGTATTCTCTATGTGTCTGTTACGTTCAATTGGTCTATAATGTTGTTGAAGTCCTCTGTTTCCTCATTGATTTTCTCTCTAGTCATTCTATTTATAATTGAAAGTGAGATATTATGAAGTCAGCCTACTATGGAGGGCTAACTGTAATACACTATTTTATATAAGAGACTGGAGCATCCTTGGATTTTGGTATCCATAGGGAGTCCTAGAACCATTGTTCACAGATACCAAGAGATGATTTTATTGTATTTCTCTATATTTCTCTTTTCAGTTCTGTCCATGTTTGCTTTATAGCTTTTGGGTCTTTGAGATTGGGTGAATATATTGGGTTGTATATTCTTGGTGAATTAACTTAAAAAATCATTTTATAATGTCCTTTTTGCAACTTGAGACAGTTTTTTACTTAAACTCTTTTTCTTTCTTTGACAAATAGTTAGGTTGCAAATTTTCCAAACTTGTATGCTCTGCTTCCCCTTTAAATATAACTTTCAACTTTAGGTCATTTCTTTGCTCTCATATCTGAGCATTGCATGTTAGAAGCAGCCAACCTATATCCTTAATGCTTTACTGCTTAGAAATTTCTTCCATCAGATGTTCTAAGTCATTGCTCTTTTTTTTTATTTTGGAGACAGAGTCTCACTCTGTGGCCCAGGCTGGAGTGCAGTGGTGCGATCTCGGCTCACTACAAGCTCCACCTCCCAGGTTCACACTATTCTCCTGTTTCTGCCTCCCAAGTAGCTGGGACTACAGGTGCCCACCACGATGCCTGGCTAATTTTTTTGTATTTTTAGTAGAGATGGGGTTTCACCGTGTTAGCCAGGTTGGTCTCGATCTCCTGACCTTGTGATCCACCCACCTTGGCCTCCCAAAGTGCTGGGATTACAGGCGTGAGCCACCGTGCCCGGCCAAGTCATCACCCTTTATTTCAGACTTCCACAGATCCCCTAGGGTATGAACAAAATGCAGCCAAGTACTTTGCCCGACACCATGCCCGGCTTATTTTGTACTTTATTAGTGGAGACGGGGTTTCTCCATGTTGGTCAGGCTGGTCTCAAACTCCCGACCTCAGATGATCCACCCGTCTCAGCCTCCCAAAGTGCTGGGATGACAGGCGTGAGCCACCGCGCCTGGCCTATTTTATTTTCTATAGCCTCATAACAGAGGTGAGACTAGTGATTTTAGAGCCACACTTCCTGGCTTCTGTTTTTATTATTTTAATTATTTATTATTATTATTATTAATTTTGTTTTTTTGGGGGGGTTGTTTTGTTTTGCTAAGGCATAACAAGAGTGACTTTTGCTCTAGCTCCCAATAACTGTCATTTCTATTTGAGACCTTTTCAGCATGAACTTCATTGTCCATGTCACGATCTGCATTTTGGTCATAATCATTTATCAGTTTCCAAGAAGTTTCAAACTTTCCTTCATTTTCTTATCTTCTTCTGAGTCCTCCAAGCTCTTGTAAGCTCTGCTCATTACCTAGTTCCAAAGTCAAGTCCACATTTTCAGGTATCCTTATAGCAATGTCCCACTTCTTGGTAACAATTTTCTGTGTTAGGCCATTCTGGCATTCTTACACAAGAATGCATGAGACTGGCTAATTTATCAAGTAAAGAGGTTTAATTGGCTTATGATTCTGCAAGCTGTACAGGCATGGCACTGGCATTATCTCAGATTCTGAGGAGACCCCAAGGAGCTTTTACTCCTGGCAGAAGTTAAAGCAGGAGCAGGCACATCACATGTTGAGAGAAAGAGCAAGGGGGAGGCAAGGTGCCACACACTTTTTAAGCAATCAGATCTTCTCCTGAGAACTCATACACTATTGCAAGGACAGCACCAAGCAATGAAGGATCAACCCCCATGACCCAAACACCTCCCACCAGGCCCTACCTCCAACATTGGATATTACATTTCAGCAGGAGATTTGAACAAGACAAATACCCAAACCATATCAGCCTCCAAGTCTTCATGGACTGGTATTGTATAGGAGAAAACTTTCTTCATTCAACCCCAGCAGAGCGTCTGTGGGCCTCTCAAATTTTGATTCTTTTTTAAACTGCTATCTTTTTGTTAGGAACTTTCAGAATCTAGAGTATGTAGGGTCTCATGAGCACTTTTAGACAGTGGACAGAGAAGCCCGTCACTTGGTCAACTCCCAGAAAATTTTGAATATTTCACATGCTATCCAATTTTTTCCTTCCCAAGGAGAATTTGAAAACTGAGGTGTTTTCTTTGTTTTTTGTTTGTTTGTTTGTTTTTCTTTTCTTTTTTACCTCCTCACTCTGCATAGATCTGGGAGCAGGGAGGAGCTGTAGCAAGTGCTCATGTGCTAATTTAAGCCACCATTTTTGTGCTCTTTGTAGCCCATTGGAAGCAAGCATATGCCTAGCCCCAAGATAGGCAAGACAATGACCAGCTGCTGGAGTTGGACACAGAAAAGATGAAATGTTAGGTTTGTGGTCGAAATATTTCCCTCCCCATAGAGAAGCTGGAGTTAAGTTTTTGTTTCTAATTTTTTTTAACTTGGTCATTCTGCCCTAAGCTATGGGCCAGGAGCTATGGGAATGCTTACATACTAGTTCAAGCTGCCTTCTTTATTTTCCGTAGCCTCCAAAGGTCTGGTATATGCTGAGTCCTGTCAACACTTCAAGATAGGTGATATAGAAGACAGTCGCAAGGGTAGTACCTGAAAAGTTACAGTTTTGGATGTGCAGTCTCACTCTGTCTCTCCACAGGGATAAGCTGGAGATGCAGTTTTCTTACATTCAGTCTATGTTGAGCCAGGGAATAGAGCTATTGCAAGTGTTCATAGGCACTTGCAAATTTCTAGTTCCTCTTGAATGCATGGTATTATAATGAGGAGAGGAACAGCAAAGAGGTGTCTCCAATTTTCTTAAAAGTGTCAATGTAGCTAATATTGCACTTCCCTGGGGTACAATGGCCTGTCAACTAGCTTCTGGATTTTCCACTAATGGAATTGATCGCTGTATAATTGTTGAATAAAATATTGTTGAAAGAAAAAAGGGTCCAGTCCTTCCTATTAGGCTATCTTGCTGATAACTCATATTGGCTTTTTTTATTACTTAGATTGTTTATTTTATACCTGTTAAAAGAGTGCATTTACACTTGAGATATAGCATTTACATAATACTCTTATTCATGATTTAAAGAAAAATATGACTGAAATAAAATGGTTAAATTATCCTTAACTTTTAGAGTCTAACTCTTCAGGGTTACTTTTAAACTCATATTTTCACTGTATTTTCTTATCCTCTGTGCTGTCAGGAGAGTTGGAAATGCTTATTTCAGGCATGGTGGGAAGCCCCTTTATTGACTCAGTAGATTTCTTGCAAACTGCTAAAATTTCATTGCTGACCCTTTCTTGATTTTATTAGCTTGTGCCAATAGACATTTTCAGACAACAATGAGACGTCATAGTTCTTCCACAGGTAGTAATTAAACAGTCTGCAAGCTTAAATGTCCAGTGATAGAAACTGTCCAGTCATGTAATCAGAAAAGCCATCAAGTGCACACAAGCTCAGGCAATGACAACAATATCATGACTGATTCCTAGACAGTATCTGTTGCATTATGTCATCAAATGTTAGACTGATCCTAGTCTCAGAGATGACAAAAAATTAAAAGAAAAAAATCGTGTCTTGGAATTGAGGAAATGTAGTTTACTTTCTTCATACCATTATTTCCCTGAACCTATTGTATTTCAAAATGATTTTTGACTGGCTTCTATAATTATTTATTCTAGGCACTATCAGGATAACTCCTACTGATTCTCGATGGGTTGGAGCTTGGTGGCTTAATTTCCTTGTGTCTGGACTATTCTCCATTATTTCTTCCATACCATTCTTTTTCTTGCCCCAAACTCCAAATAAACCACAAAAAGAAAGAAAAGCTTCACTGTCTTTGCATGTGCTGGAAACAAATGATGAAAAGGATCAAACAGCTAATTTGACCAATCAAGGAAAAAATATTACCAAAAATGTGACTGGTAAGTATTTAACATTCATTGTCAATTTGGAGTTGTTAATCTCAATGAAAAGGAAGAATGAGTATTCCAAAATAATAAAGCATACCCAACTCATCTGGAGTTGGCTTTCTTTTGCACTAAATTTAGATAAATTATTTTTCTAAAACTCCTATTAAAGTTAACATATATGTCTTGAGCACATAACAAGTGGAAGAGAATTAGGTTTGTACTTTTTAGCAGGGAGAAACCAACAAAAGTTTACAAACATCCATTTTTTATGAGCCAAATAGTAAATATTAATTTTAGTATTATATGGTCTAAACTGGGAGAGTTCAAAGAATTATAATATTTCATTCCTTCATTTATTCAACAAGTAGTACCAGGAACTGTACTATGCCCTGGTAATAAAACATTACCTCTATTTTTCAAGAACCTAGTGGGTGATGCTGAGAAATATATAGACAATAGCAATATAGTGCCTTAAGTATTATGGTGAAATTAAACTTAACTATTATCAGGTGTAGAGATGGATTAAGGAGAAGGAAGTCGGGAGAAGTTTCTCCCTATGTAATTAGAGTAATATTTATTTTGGTAATTATCTATCTATCTATCTTATCTAAATATTCAAAATAAAGTGGAAGCAAAGGTGGTAGTTAAGATAATTAGACTAAGTAATGTAAATTAGGATGCATCAGCATTTGACAGTGCCTCCTCTTTTGAATATAAACCCTGGGACTAATGGAGAACCATTGAGAGTCAATAAACAAAGAGAATGACTTGGCAGTAGCCAGAGCAAGATATGTGAATCAGTGAGGTGTTGACAGCAGTTTTCAGATTTGGGAGAAATGGTGAAATAGCCAAAGCAATGCAACACTTAAACCCTCAGCATCTTTTTCAAGTTTTCTTTAAAGTAAGATGACAAATTCTCCAGTGTAGCCTAGGTTCTTCCTTTCATCAGGTCTTTTACTTATTACTTTATTGCTATTTTCTCCTTTCTATCACACTAACCCAAGAGCAGTGGTGTTCTGGTACTCTTTATATTGGCTCATAGCAGAGGACTGTTAAGTTTCAGCTACATTGGTAGGTTGAAATTGTTCATGGCAAGAGAATTACCATGATTTATTACCATGGAAATTGGGATATACTACAAGTAGAAGTTTGTTTTCCTAAGAATCAGATGTTAAACATTTATGTTTTTAAAATTTAACATTCACACTAAAAGTACTATACCAATAATTTTCATTTTGTATATGATGTTTCTACTGTACCAAATCAAATCTTTAAAAAATAGTAGATTGTCTAAACCTATAAGGAGCGGGGTTGACTGTGATCCAAACAGAACAGAGAGGATAATGAAGTTGTAAAAATAGGACAATTGTAGACATAATCTCTATTATGAACAGTTTTTGTAGGTGTGACCCTAAGAAAGAGGATCTTAAGTATGTATCTATTAGGAATGGATAAAATAAGAATATATAGTCAGAAAAAATATTGAATTTATTCCATATGCTCTTGAATAGAACTAAAACTGATTAGAATGAAAAGATGATTTCAGTTCATTACAAAAACAGTGTGTAAACAATGAGAACTTTTCAAAAGTGGAGGAAATTGCTTCCTAAGGTACTTAGTTTAATGCCACTTAAGTTGTTTATTGATCCACTTATTAATGATATATAGTAGATCATGACTATACAGAAGTTTACACTGGATGACATTGAATTTCTCATCCTCAAAAATGCAACGCTTGTGTGAATGTATATACTCCATTTCTGTTGAAGAAAGGCCACAACTCACTTATAATACTTACAAATCAGGGATGGTTTTTCATGACTGGGGAGACCTGTGGAGAGAAATGTGGCACTTTTGCCCAAGAATTTTAAATGTTGTTTATTCCCACTATACATTTTCTTATCTCTTCTTTTTTTCTTTTCTGTTTCTTTTCTCTAACTCCTTCTACTCCTTATTTCAAGCAGATGCAACTGTTTCGTAGCTGACATTAAATGGATGTCTTAGTTCTGACCATATCTAATGAAAATCTTTAGAGATTTAAATAGAGAAAAATATTTCAAAGTCCGTATCATCCAACTCTCAGTAACCATATCTTGGCTCTGTCTTGATGAACTCTGATACTTCCTACTGTTTTTCTAAGTAGTTCCTTCTACTTTTAAGTCCTATTACAGCTAGTTGACCTGGTGATCACAGATCCAAATGACATAATTTCTACCATGAACAGAAGTTAGAAGTTTGTTACCACAGCTGTTTGTAGGGATAGGTGGTTGTATTATTACTATTATAATACTACTTGGGACACAATATTATCCCCTGGCTGCTTTCCTTGTATCTTAAGACAGAGGGTTAATAATATTGCCAAATTTACTGAGAAAGTATGTTATGGTAGAAGAGCTGTATACTAGAGAAACAGGAGGTCTGAGTCCTCATACTAAATTAATCTTTAAGAATTTTGAACCTCAATGGTCTTATTTCTGTGAGTTTTGAATTATGCTGTCTTTACATTTCCATTTAATAGTTATATTTTTAATATAATACTTATATCATTAAGTACTAATAAATAAGAAACATCATATGTCTTATTCACTTTTTGTTTGTTTGTTTTTGGGTTTTTTTGTTTGTTTGTTTGTTTGTTTGTTTGAGATGGAGTCTTGTTGCTCTATTGCCTAGGCTGGAGTGCAGTGTCACCATCTCAGCTCACTGCAACCTTCGCCTCCCTAATTCAAGCAATTCTCCTGCCTCAGCCTCCCAAGTAGCTAAGATTACAGGTGTGTGCCATCGTGCTGGCCAATGTTTGTATTTTTAGTAGAGTTGGGGTTTCACCATGTTGGCCAGGCTGGTCTCGAATTCCTGACCCCAGGTGATCCATCTGCCTCGGCCTCCCAAAGTGCTAGGATTACAGGAGTGAGCCACTGTGCCCGGCCTTCACTTTTGTTTTTTGAACAATTAGCATATTGTCTGGTACCCAGTTGAAAACCTAACATTTGCTGAATGAATGAATAAGTGAATTAATATGTTTGCAATAGTATTGTAAAGTACCCAGGATAACCAAATATTAAGTGAAGAAAGCAAGTTACAAAACAGCACTTACGTATGACCCTATTTGAGGGTAAAATAAACTAAACTAATAAATATTAATATTCGTATGGAAAATATTGAAAGAATATATTTAAAAGCTGTGAACAGCCTGTGGTATTGCAGGCTATTCTCACTCTTTGTGTTATGTGTTTATAGAATTTTAAATCTTACATGACTTACGTTCACAAATTTTAGATATAAATGTATATTTAAGTTGCATTCAAATATTTTCTTTATTTTTACAATTTTACAGGTTTTTTCCAGTCTTTTAAAAGCATCCTTACTAATCCCCTGTATGTTATGTTTGTGCTTTTGACGTTGTTACAAGTAAGCAGCTATATTGGTGCTTTTACTTATGTCTTCAAATACGTAGAGCAACAGTATGGTCAGCCTTCATCTAAGGCTAACATCTTATTGGGTAAGACATATTTTTTACTTGTGTGCTTAATAAGTGAAATAATACTAAATACTGTATTCCAAGTGGTATTTTATTGTGAAAGTGATTTTGTATTTTAGTAATACAGGATAAGTATAATTTTCTTGTATTCTTTCTCAAATGTTATTAAACATATAAAACTTGTGATGTCACTATTGCTCTGCATTTGAAGTTGCATCTTATTTTAGATGAGTTCCTGAAAAAAATGTTGCAAATAAATGGACAATTTAGAGGTAGTATCTGTATAATTGGATCTTATAATTTAGTGCTAAGATCTGAGACAAACCCTTTTGTAATTATAATCATTATAATTCTATAATTTATGGACTTTGAAATCAAGACTCAGTTACTTACAAAAATATGACACTAATAGTTCCAAAAAGAGTATCGATTTAAATACATCAAAATATGCATAATTCAAAACAAATATATTTTACAGAGTATTTTTTGCTACAATATCTATTTTCAATGGCACATTTAGATGTGCTTATTAAGGAAAGTTTCCTTGTATTATTCTTCCCACAACTCTAGTATTGTAGACACATTATAGAAATTCAATATAAATATATGATGAATTAAACAACTTATCATGTGGTATGTAACTAGGTCATAAGTAAACAAGAAAATGAATGTACTGAAGCAGGAGACCAAGCTTCCAGATAATCTCTTTGTTGATCTTAAGATAAAAGTTTAAAATCGAAAAATAATGTTTTGACTCCCAGTAACCTAGCCTGAGCTTTTTCCTAGAGAAGACTTCATCTTTGTTAACTCTTATTAGACAAAGATATGGAAAAGTTATAGGAGGGATTAAACATTATTAATCCTGTATGTAGAGCGATTTGTCAGTTCAGGTTCTGTATGTTTTTTAATAAATGACAAAGATATATTAATTTTTATGTTGTTAAGCTCTGGGCAGATTTAGTGTGAGTTACTGAGGGTTAGAACTCTATCTGAGAGAGGCAAAAGGCTTTAGATGAAGTTCCATAGGCAGAAAGATGGTGTTTTGTTGTTGTTTATTTCCAGAAAAACAAAATTGCCTCATAGAAATTATCTGCTCCAACAAATATCCTCAGCCACACTGCCTTTTGCTATTGAGGAAACCAAACTGTCATCATTGGCAGGAACAAATTACACAGATCCCCTACCACCATACTGCTATATCATTCTTCTTTTTAAAAAGTAATAAGATTGGCATTCTACTATAAAGATACATGCACACATATGTTTATTGCAGCACTATTTGCAATAGCAAAGACTTGGAACCAACCCAAATGACCACCAATCATAGACTGGATAAAGAAAATGTGGCACATGTGTACCATGGAATACTATGCAGCCATAAAAAAGAATGAGTTTATGTCCTTTGCAGGGACATGGATGAAGCTGGAAACCATCATTCTCAGCAAACTAACACAGGAACAGAAAACCAAACACTGCATGTTCCCACTCATAAGTGGGAGTTGAACAATGAGAACACATGGACACAGGGAGGGGAACATCACACACCGGGGACTGTTGAGGGGTGGGAAGCAAGGGGAGGAAGAACATTAGGACAAATACCTAATGCATTCAGGGGTTAAAACCTAGATGACAGTTTGATAGGTGCAGCAAACCACCATGGCACATGTATATGTATGTAACAAACATGCACATTCTGCACATGTATCCCAGAACTTAAAGTAAAATTTTAAAAAGAAGCAATAATATTGAATAAATTTGATTGACATACATTGTGTTTCATCTATAAAGACATATCAGAAAACTCATATATGATTACAACTTTTTTTCTTTTTTTTCTAGGAGTCATAACCATACCTATTTTTGCAAGTGGAATGTTTTTAGGAGGATATATCATTAAAAAATTCAAACTGAACACCGTTGGAATTGCCAAATTCTCATGTTTTACTGCTGTGATGTCATTGTCCTTTTACCTATTATATTTTTTCATACTCTGTGAAAACAAATCAGTTGCCGGACTAACCATGACCTATGATGGGTTTGTATATATCACTATATCAATTGCATAATATGTTAACCATCAAATTAAGAGTCTCTGTATAAGTAATATAAGGCAGAAAACAATTTTAACTAAACTTTCTTTAAGTTAAGAGAAATTTCAATTTTAAAATTTTTAAAATATCTGTTTCTTAAGACCTCAAACACATTCTTTTATTCCTCCACTAAAGAGAAGCAACATAGGTTGTAATAATAATAACTATTATTTATGTGGTACTTACAATTAGTAGTGGGTACTTTTATCATTATTTTATGAATGGGAAAAGTAAGGCTTAGAGAAATACATGGATTACACAGCTAGCATTATTAAGATTCTAACTCAAATTTGAGTTTTTTAAGTCCAAAACTCTTAGTCTTAACCACCACTGTAATCTTGGATGGATCATAAGAGTTACATAAATGGCATTAGCCAAAAGTGACTAAACAACTTTTATCTACAGTTCATATCGATGTTCAACAACTATCTTAACAAAAGAACACTTTTAATGTTGTACTGAATTTTCTTTTTTGCAAGCTAATATTGTTTTTTTCTGATATTATCTACATTGGAAGTAGCATTAAGAAATATTCTATATATAATTGCATATTAGACATTGAAGAATCTTTACTTTTCCATGATTACCATGTATAGCAAAGTATTTTTAGTGCAACAGTCTCCACCTCAAATCAAGGGCAAGAATCCTATGCAGTTTTCTGATAATTTCCTGAATATAGCCAACAATTTAAGCTTAGGAAGGTTCACATTCAAGCAACAAGCAGAGATGCTCAGATCACAATTCAGTAACCATGTTCTTTAGTGCTGCTTACTACTGGTGCTGAGCTTTCAAAGTCTGGATCCCATGAGGTGTTGGTTTTAACTTGTCAAATATTCCCACATTTTCTTCTATAAACATTGTGCTATTCTTGGAGGCTTGCCAAGGTTATCTGAAATTGTTTCCCTGCACACTGCTAATTCTGAACTGTTATTGGTATCTCCTATCCACCATCAACTACTGTAGTAAATTAAAATACATTGTCCTAGAATACTGAATTTTAGAGGTAAAAGAACCTTAGAGATGATGCAATCCAACCCTTGTATTATACTTTCCTTTATTATTGAAGAGTCAGAAAAAATGTAACATGTTGAAGTCACACAATGTCTTTAGACTCTAGACTGATCCTATGTCACACCCTTAGTTCAAAAGCCTTCTTGGTTGTAAGGACAGGCCAGTTTCTTGACAACAAGGTTAGTCACTGTACAAAGTATACAAAAGATGGCAGCAGAGTTAAACAGAATTTGTTTCATTTAATAAAATTTTATTAAGCCTTTCCTTAAAGGTAAATATTAAGGATATTTGTAGGATACATCAGTTCCCTCATGGGACTCATAATCTAATGATAAATAATATAATTAATGGATTCAACATTCATAAAATCCTGCGACTGGGATAAGTTTTTTTTTAAGTATGAATTATTGCAGAGGTCTCGGAATGTGTTCTGAATATCTCTAAGGATCCCTGAGACTTTATCAAGGGGTGCACAACTTCAAAACTATTTTTATAATAATACTAAGACATTATTTGCCTTTTTATTCTCATGCTATCCTGACAGTATAGTGATATTTTCTAATGCTCCAAGGTATGTTATTAATTCATTAATCTGACTGCTAAAATATGTGTGCTTATGTACTTTTGTGTATTAAAATTTTCTTAGTATTACTTTCTAATATAGTACATGTCAAGAGGTACAACTTAATTTAACAAAATCCCTTTGGAACAAGCCCTCAATCTTTTATAAGAGTGTGAAGGACTTCTGAGAACCAATTTTTTTTCCAAAAAAAAAAAAAACCCTGTGAGGTTGGCATTATTATCTATGACTTACAAATGGCAAAACTGATTTTAGAAAGAAGTGCCAGAATTAATATAAACACAGATGTGACTGATTGCAATATCTGGACTGGGTCATTGTCTTAGTCCATTCAGGCTGCAAAGTTCTAGGTAGCTTATTAATACACAGAAATTAATTTTTCAAGATTCTAAAGGCTGGAACATGTAAGACCAAGGTGATGGCACTTTTGGTGTCTAGGAAGGGCCCATTTCTTAATTTATAGACGGTACCTTCTCATTGTGTCCAGGCATGGTGGATGGGGCAGGCAAAGGGTCAGTAATTCCATTCATGAGTACTCATCCTCATGACCTTATCACTTTCTAGAGGCCTGACTTCATAAAGTCTTCATATACGAGATTAGTTTTCAATCTATGAATTTGGGGGCCACAAACATTCTGACTATAGTAGTCATAAACCATTCTACTTAACCACTCCAAGTAGTATTTCCTCAAGCAGAATATGCTTTTTAATAAAATTATTGATAATGTAGTTTCTGAAGTATGAATCTTAGTTTTTCATTTAAATTATGTGCTCATTCAAAGATAACACATCAATCCTCAATTATTATCAAATTAAACATTTGAAAGAAAATAATTTTTTAAATGTTTAAGCAGAAATGAATTATACAAAAAATATATTTTATAATTTTAGCTATGTTATAATCATATTTTATAATTTATAACCATTTCATAAAGGAAATCAGTATAAAGTATACTATAGTTTTATTTCAAAAATATACTGAGCTTTTCTAGCCTTTTTCAACTGATTCTATTCTTGATTTTTCATTTTGTAGAGGTTCTGCTTTAAGCATGTCTGTTTTTTTCTTACATATTAAAATAGAGATTTTTAAATTCAACCTAGTTAAATAGCATTCGTAGACTCACAAGACTTTACAGTGAGCTGAAAGGAATGTCAGTCTAATGTCATCACCTTACTGAAGAGAAACTCAGTCTCAGAAAAAAGATGTAACTTATCTAATGTGAAGTTTCTTCATAGAATTATAACAACTTCTTGTCTAAGTCCTACTTAACATCTTTGGTTTATTTTTACATTTTGCTTTTTCTAGGTCACAAGTCATGTATTGGCAAAGATGGAGAGCGTAAAATAAATAAGCATTAAAAAAAACTTTGCCATTTCGTCATCATCAAAGCAAATTTCTTCATATAAAGAAAAATTCTTTATCTACTTTTTTTCCCTCTTTCTCTGCTTTCACTTTACTTCTTCCTTCTCCTCCCCTTCTTTGTCTTTTTCTTCTCTCTCTCTCTTTTTGATATATGTCTATCATATATTTCCAGAAATAATCCAGTGACATCTCATAGAGATGTACCACTTTCTTATTGCAACTCAGACTGCAATTGTGATGAAAGTCAATGGGAACCAGTCTGTGGAAACAATGGAATAACTTACATCTCACCCTGTCTAGCAGGTTGCAAATCTTCAAGTGGCAATAAAAAGCCTATAGTGAGTATTAGTTTTTACTTTCCTCTCCTTATTCAAAAGCACAGATTAGATTGAACAATTTTTTACCAAATATTTCTGTAACTAAGGACTCCATTAAAAAGATAAAAGAGAAAGTTTCCAGTATTATCTGTTATTGTGATGGGTGTGATGTATAAACAAAGTTTTATATAAAAGTCTGCTTAGGGCACAATCAGGTTTTTCTGTTACTTGAATTCTAATTGGAGATCACCCCACTTTTTTCCTTTGAGATTGTAAGACTATGACCTTTTAGAATTTGAATGCATTTAGAATATCTAAGAAGCACCTCATTTGACTAAAGCCTATAATTTTCATTAAGTTGGAATTACTTTATCCCTCAGAATTCAGGAAAATGAGTTAACCCATTGTCAGCACTTCCTATCTTACTAAGACAACAGTCAATATGCAATGTTATATACAGATTCTGATCTGTTTAGCTCTGGGATCACTACCCTTTTTACTTTTTAAGAAATTAATCAAGGCTTCATGCTCACTTGACTGCCCTATTCTTGATTTTCTATTTTGATTTTTCCAAAGCTGGCACTTCTACCCAAGATAATGTAGTATCCTGCTCACCTAATGTCAATATGTCCCATAGAAATGTCATTTATTCCGTCCTGCAAAACCTTTCTTTCCATGTGAACTACAGTTTTTCTCTAATCTCCTGGGTAGCTACCTGTCACTGGGAATGGGTTATGGTGTTTCCCATACCTACAATCCACTCAACATCTCACAAAGTTGTGTAATGTTTTCCTAGGAACTTTTACTATTACCAACATTACTAAAACAGTCAACTATAATTATTGCTCTCTGCCACACCCTTCTGTGTTTGATTTTTAAACATTCTCCATCTACTCTTGCCCATGGATCTACCTACCAATTATAATAAGGAATGGCATGTAGAATTTTAAAGAATAAAGCATCCTGGACTTTTTGAAGAAAGGCCACAACTTTAATAAACTTGCACAAATATGGCCCAAAGACTACTTAAAAGCCCACATCTTAGTCATGGCAACAATGAATCTTTTGTGCAGTTGTTTCCTTTTCCTTTGCTGTTTATTTTTATTTTGCTGTTTTTTAAAAAAATAATTTAACTCTTATTTTAGGTAAAGGGGATACAAATGAATTTGTGTTAGATGGGTATATTGTGATAAGCTAAAGTTTAGGGTACAATCATTCCCATCCCCCAGGTAGTGAGCATAATACCCAATAAGTGGCTTTTTAGTACTTGCTGTTTTTTATCTCTCCACTCTAGTAGTCTGTAATATGTATTTTTCCTGTCCTTATATTCGTGTGGACCCAGTGATTAGCTTCCACTTATAAGTGAGAACATGTGGCATCTGGTTTTCTGTTCCTATGTTAATTCACTTAAGATAATGACCTCCAGCTGCATCCAGGTTGCTGCAAGGGACATTATTTCATCCTTCTTTTGGCCATGTAGTATTCCATTGTCTATATGTACCACATTTCTTTATCTAATTCACTGTTGACGGGCACCCAGGTTGAGACCGTGTCTTTGCTATTGTGAATAGAGCTGTGATGACCATAGAAGTATATAAGTAGATGTGTTTTTGGTAGAAGAATTTATTTTCCTTTGGGTATATACCCGGTAGTGGGATTGCTGAGTTGAATGGTAGTTCTGTTTAAGTTCTTTGGGAAATCTCGAAACTACTTTACACAGTGACTGAACTAATTTACATTCCTACCAACATAGGATAAGCATTCCCTTTCTTCTGCAGCCTTGCCAGCGTCTGTTTTTTTAATGTTTTGAACCAGTCAGCCCTTCTGACTGGTGTGAGATGGTATCTCCTTGGGATTTTGATTTGCATTTTTTTGATGATTAGTGATGTTAAACATTTTTATGTGTTTGTTAGCTGCTTGTATGTCTTCTTTTGAGAAGTGTCTGTTCATGTCCTTTGTCTACTTTTTAATATTGTTTTTGTTTTTTGCTTGTTGAATTGTTCAAGTTTCTTATAGATTCTGGATATTAGTCCTGTGTTAGATGCATGGTTTGCAAAGGTTTTCTCCCATTCCATAGATTGTCTTTTCACTCTGTTGATTATTTTTGTTGTGCAGAAGCTCATTAGTTTAATTATATCCCACTTGTCCATTTTTTTTGTTGCAATTGCTTTTGAGAACTTAGTCACAAATTTTTTGCCAAGGCCAATATCCAGAATCTTTTCTTGGTTTTCTTCAGTGGTTTTTATAGTTTTAGGTTTTACATTTCAGTCTGTAATACATTTTGATTAAATTTTTTATATGAAAAGAAGGGGTCCAGTTTCATTTCTCTGCATAGTTAGCCAGTTATTCCAGCACCATTTACTGAATAATGAGTACTTTCCCCATTGCATTCTTTTTGCTAACTTCATTGAAGATCAGATGGTTTTAGGTGTGTGGCTTTGCTTCTGGGTTCTCTATTCTGTTCCTTTAGTCTAGGTGTCTGTTTTTGAACCAGTACTATGCTGTTTGGTTACTGTGGCCTTGCAGTATAGTTTGATATCAGGTAATGGGATGCCTCTCACTTTGTTCTTTATGCTTAGGATTGCTTTGACTATTCAGTCTCTTTTTTCCTATGGAATTTTACAATAGTTTTATTCTAATTCAGTGAAAAATCATGCCGGTTGTTTGATAAGAATACCATTGAATCTGTAGATTGCTTTGGGCAGTATAGACAGTTTAATGATAATTTTTCTACCAATCCATGAGAGTAGAATGTTTTTCCACTTGTTTGTGTCACCTATAATTTCTTTCATCAGGGTTTGTATTTATCCTAGTAGAGATCTTTCACTTCCTTGGTTTAAATGTATTCCTAGGTATTTAATTTATTGTAGTTATTCTAAATGGAATTGCATTATTGATTTGGGTATCAGTTTAACTGTTATCGGTGTATAGAAATGCTACTAATTTTTTTCCATTGATTTTGTATTCTGAAACTTTATTAGAGTATGTTGTCAGTTCTAGGAGGCTTTTGGCAGAGTATTTAGGGTTTTTTTTTAATTAATTAATTTATTTATTTTTAATTATACTTTAAGTTTTAGGGTACATGTGCACATTGTGCAGGTTAGTTACATATGTATACATGTGCCATGCTGGTGCACTGAACCCACTAACTCGTCATCTAGCATTAGGTATATCTCCCAATGCTATCCCTCCCCCCTCCTCCCACCCCACAACAGTCCCCAGAGTGTGATATTCCCCTTCCTGTGTCCATGTGATCTCATTGTTCAATTCCCACCTATGAGTGAGAATATGCGGTGTTTGGTTTTTTGTTCTTGCAACAGTTTACTGAGAATGATGTTTTCCAGTTTCATCCATGTCCCTACAAAGGACATGAACTCATCATTTTTTATGGCTGCATAGTATTCCATGGTGTATATGTGCCACATTTTCTTAATCCAGTCTATCACTGTTGGACATTTGGGTGGGTTCCAAGTCTTTGCTATTGTGAATAATGCCACAATAAACATACGTGTGCATGTGTCTTTATAGCAGCATGATTTACAGTCATTTGGGTATATACCCAGTAATGGGATGGCTGGGTCAAATGGTATTTCCAGTTCTAGATCTCTGAGGAATCGCCACACTGACTTCCACAATGGTTAAACTAGTTTACAGTCCCACCAACAGTGTAAAAGTGTTCCTATTTCTCCACATCCTCTCCAGCACCTGTTGTTTCCTGACTTTTTAATGATTGCCATTCTAACTGGTGTGAGATGGTATCTCATTGTGGTTTTGATTTGCATTTCTCTGATGGCCAGTGATGATGAGCATTTTTTCATGTGTTTTTTGGCTGCATAAGTGTCTTCTTTTGAGAAGTGTCTGTTCATGTCCTTCGCCCACTTTTTGATGGGGTTTTTTGTTTTTTTCTTGTAAATCTGTTGGAGTTAATTGTAGATTCTGGATATTAGCCCTTTGTCAGATGAGTAGGTTGTGAAAATTTTCTCCCATTTTGTAGGTTGCCTGTTCACTCTGATGGTAGTTTTTTTTGCTGTGCAGAAGCTCTTTAGTTTAATTAGATCCCATTTGTCAATTTTGTCTTTTGTTGCCATTGCTTTTGGTGTTTTAGACATGAATTCCTTGCCCATGCCTATGTCCTGAATGGTAATGCCTAGGTTTTCTTCTAGGGTTTTTATGGTTTTAGGTCTAACGTTTAAGTCTTTAATCCATCTTGAATTGATTTTTGTATAAGGTGTAAGGAAGGGATCCAGTTTCAGCTTTCTACATATGGCTAGCCAGTTTTCCCAGCACCATTTATTAAATAGGGAATCCTTTCCCCATTGCTTGTTTTTCTCAGGTTTGTCAAAGATCAGATAGTTGTAGATATGCGGCATTATTTCTGAGGGCTCTGTTCTGTTCCATTGATCTATATCTCTGTTTTGGTACCAGTACCATGCTGTTTTGGTTACTGTAGCCTTGTAGTATAGTTTGAAGTCAGGTAGTGTGATGATGCCTCCAGCTTTGTTCTTTTGGCTTAGGATTGACTTGGCGATGTGGGCTCTTTTTTGGTTCCATATGAACTTTAAAGTATTTTCCAATTCTGTGAAGAAAGTCATTGGTAGCTTGATGGGGATGACATTGAATCTGTAAATTACCTTGGGCAGTATGGCCATTTTCACGATATTGATTCTTCCTACCCATGAGCATGGAATGTTCTTCCATTTGTTTGTATCCTCTTTTATTTCCTTGAGCAGTGGTTTGTAGTTCTCCTTGAAGAGGTCCTTCACATCGCTTGTAAGTTGGATTCCTAGGTATTTTATTCTCTTTAAAGCAATTGTGAATGGGAGTTCACTCATGATTTGGCTCTCTGTTTGTCTGTTGTTGGTGTATAGGAATGCTTGTGATTTTTGTACATTGATTTTGTATCCTGAGACTTTGCTGAAGTTGCTTATCAGTTTAAGGAGATTTTGGGCTGAGACAATGGGGTTTTCTAGATATACAATCATGTCATCTGCAAACAGGGACAATTTGACTTCCTCTTTTCCTAATTGAATACCATTTATTTCCTTCTCCTGCCTAATTGCCCTGGCCAGAACTTCCAACACTCTGTTGAATAGGAGTGGTGAGAGAGGGCATCCCTGTTTTGTGCCAGTTTTCAAACGGAATGCTTCCAGTTTTTGCCCATTCAGTATGATATTGGCTGTGGGTTTGTCATAGATAGCTCTTATTATTTTGAAATACGTCCCATCAATACCTAATTTATTGAGAGTTTTTAGCATGAAGTGTTGTTGCATTTTGTCAAAGGCTTTTTCTGCATCTATTGAGATAATCATGTGGTTTTTGTCTTTGGCTCTGTTTATATGCTGGATTACATTTATTGATTTGTGTATATTGAACCAGCCTTGCATCCCAGGGATGAAGCCCACTTGATCATGGTGGATAAGCTTTTGGATGTGCTGCTGGATTCATTTTGCCAGTATTTTATTGAGGATTTTTGCATCAATGTTCATCAAGGATATTGGTCTAAGATTCTCTTTTTTTGTTGTGTCTCTGCCTGGCTTTGGTATCAGAATGATGCTGGCCTCATAAAATGAGTTAGGGAGGATTCCCTCTTTTTCTATTGACTGGAATAGTTTCAGAAGGAATGGTACCAGTTCCTCCTTGTACCTCTGGTAGAATTCAGCTGTGAATCCATCTGGTCCTGGACTCTTTTTGGTTGGTAAGCTACTGATTATTGCCACAATTTCAGATCCTGTTATTGGTCTATTCAGAGATTCAACATCTTCCTGATTTAGTCTTCGGAGAGTGTATATGTCAAGGAATTTATCCATTTCTTCTAGATTTTCTAGTTTATTTGCGTAGAGGTGTTTGTAGTATTCTCTGATGGTAGTTTGTATTTCTGTGGGATCGGTGGTGATATCCCCTTTATCGTTTTTTATTGTGTCTATTAGATTCTTCTCTCTTTTTTTCTTTATTAGTCTTGCTAGCGGTCTATCAATTTTGTTGATCCTTTCAAAAAACCAGCTCCTGGATTCACTAATTTTTTGAAGGTTTTTTTTTGTGTCTCTATTTCCTTCAGTTCTGCTCTGATTTTAGTTATTTCTTGCCTTCTGCTAGCTTTTGAATGTGTTTGCTCTTGCTTTTCTAGTTCTTTTAATTGTGATGTTAGGGTGTCAATTTTGGATCTTTCCTGCTTTCTCTTGTGGGCATTTAGTGCTATAAATTTCCCTCTACACACTGCTTTGAATGCGTCCCAGAGATTCTGGTATGTCGTGTCTTTGTTCTCGTTGGTTTCAAAGAACATCTTTATTTCTGCCTTCATTTCGTTATGTACCCAGTAGTCATTCAGGAGCAGGTTGTTCAGTTTCCATGTAGTTGAGCGGTTTTGAGTGAGATTCTTAATCCTGAGTTCTAGTTTGATTGCACTGTGGTCTGAGAGATAGTTTGTTATAATTTCTGTTCTTTTCCATTTGCTGAGGAGAGCTTTACTTCCCAGTATGTGGTCAGTTTTGGAATAGGTGTGGTGTGGTGCTGAAAAAAATGTATATTCTGTTGATTTGGGGTGGAGAGTTCTGTAGATGTCTATTAGGTCCGCTTGGTGCAGAGCTGAGTTCAATTCCTGGGTATCCTTGTTGACTTTCTGTCTCATTGATCTGTCTAATGTTGACAGTGGGGTGTTAAAGTCTCCCATTATTAATGTGTGGGAGTCTAAGTCTCTTTGTAGGTCACTCAGGACTTGCTTTATGAATCTTGGTGCTCCTGTATTGGGTGCATATATATTTAGGATAGTTAGCTCTTCTTGTTGAATTGATCCCTTTACCATTATGTAATGGCCTTCTTTGTCTCTTTTGATCTTTGTTGTTTTAAAGTCTGTTTTATCAGAGACTAGGATTGCAACCCCTAACTTTTTTTGTTTTCCATTTGCTTGGTAGATCTTCCTCCATCCTTTTATTTTGAGCCTATGTGTGTCTCTGCACGTGAGATGGGTCTCCTGAATACAGCACACTGATGGGTCTTGACTCTTTATCCAATTTGCCAGTCTGTGTCTTTTAATTGGAGCATTTAGTCCATTTACATTTAAAGTTAATATTGTTATGTGTGAATTTGATCCTGTCTTTATGATGTTAGCTGGTTATTTTGCTCTTTAGTTGACGCAGTTTCTTCCTAGTCTTGATGGTCTTTACATTTTGCCATGATTTTGCAGTGGCTGGTACCAGTTGTTCCTTTCCATGTTTAGCGCTTCCTTCAGGAGCTCTTGTAGGGCAGGCCTGGTGGTGACAGAATCTCTCAGCATTTGCTTGTCTGTAAAGTATTTTATTTCTCCTTCGCTTATGAAGCTTAGTTTGGCTGGATATGAAATTCTGGGTTGAAAATTCTTGTCTTTAAGAATGTTGAATATTGGCCCCCACTCTCTTCTGGCTTATAGGGTTTCTGCCGAGAGATCCGCTGTTAGTCTGATGGGCTTCCCTTTGAGGGTAACCCGACCTTTCTCTCTGGCTGCCCTTAACATTTTTTCCTTCATTTCAACTTTGGTGAATCTGACAATTATGTGTCTTGGAGTTGCTCTTCTCAAGGAGTATCTTTGTGGCATTCTCTGTATTTCCTGAATCTGAACGTTGGCCTGCCTTGCTAGATTGGGGAAGTTCTCCTGGATAATATCCTGCAGAGTGTTTTCCAACTTGGTTCCATTCTCCCCATCACTTTCAGGTACACCAATCAGACGTAGATTTGGTCTTTTCACATAGTCCCATATTTCTTGGAGGCTTTGCTCGTTTCTTTTTATTCTTTTTTCTCTAAACTTCCCTTCTCACTTCATTTCATTCATTTCATCTTCCATTGCTGATACCCTTTCTTCCAGTTGATCGCATCGGCTCCTGAGGCTTCTGCATTCTCCACGTAGTTCTCGAGCCTTGGTTTTCAGCTCCATCAGCTCCTTTAAGCACTTCTCTGTATTGGTTATTCTAGTTATACATTCTTCTAAATTTTTTTCAAAGTTTTCAACTTCTTTGCCTTTGGTTTGAATGTCCTCCTGTAGCTCAGAGTAATTTGATCGTCTGAAGCCTTCTCTCAGCTCGTCAAAGTCATTCTCCATCCAGCTTTGTTCCATTGCTGGTGAGGAACTGCATTCCTTTGGAGGAGGAGAGGTGCTCTGCTTTCTATAGTTTCCAGTTTTTCTGTTCTGTTTTTTCCCCATCTTTGTGGTTTTATGTACTTTTGGTCTTTGATGATGGTGATGTACAGATGGGTTTTCGGTGTGGATGTCGTTTCTGTTTGTTAGTTTTCCTTCTAACAGACAGGACCCTCAGCTGCAGGTCTGTTGGAATACCCTGCCGTGTGAGGTGTCAGTGTGCCCCTGCTGGGGCGTGCCTCCCAGTTAGGCTGCTCAGGGGTCAGGGGTCAGGGACCCACTTGAGGAGGCAGTGTGCCCGTTCTCAGATCTCCAGCTGCGTGCCGGGAGAACCACTGCTCTCTTCAAAGCTGTCAGACAGGGACATTTAAGTCTGCAGAGGTTACTGCTGTCTTTTTGTTTGTCTGTGCCCTGCCCCCAGAGGTGGAGCCTACAGAGGCAGGCAGGCCTCCTTGAGCTGTGGTGGGCTCCGCCCACTTCGAGCTTCCAGGCCGCTTTGTTTTTCCTAATCAAGCCTGGGCAATGGCGGGCGCCCCTCCCCCAGCCTCGCTGCCGCCTTGCAGTTTGATCTCAGACTGCTGTGCTAGCAATCAGCGAGACTCCATGGGCGTAGGACCCTCCAAGACAGGTGCGGGATGTAATCTCGTGGTGCGCCGTTTTTTAAGCCCCTCGGAAAAGCGCAGTATTCGGGTGGGAGTGACCCGATTTTCCAGGTGCTGTCCGTCACCCCTTTCTTTGACTGGGAAAGGGAACTCCCTGACCCCTTGCGCTTCCCAAGCCAGGCAATGCCTCGCCCTGCTTCGGCTCACGCACGGTGCGCGCACCCACTGACCTGCGCCCACTGTCTGGCACTCCCTAGTGAGATGAACCCGGTACCTCAGATGGAAATGCAGAAATCACCCGTCTTCTGCGTCGCTCACGCTGGGAGCTGTAGACCGGAGCTGTTCCTATTCGGCCATCTTGGCTCCTCCAACCAGGGTTTTTGAGATATAGAATCATATCATAGTGCAGAGAGATAATGTGAGTTCATTTCCTATTTGTCAGTGTTTTATTTCTGTCTCTTTCCTGATTGATCTGTCTAGGATTTCCAGTACTATGTTGAATAGGAGTGGTGAGAGTGGGCATTCATGCTTTGCTCCTGTTCTTAAGAAGAATGCTTCCAGCTTTTGCACATTATATATGAAGTTGGCTGTGGTTTTATCATAGATGGCTCTTATTATTTTGAGCTATGTTCCTTCAATGCCCAGTTTGTTGAAGAACTTTATCATAAAAGGATGGTGGATTTTATTGAAAGCTTTTTCTGCATCTGGTGAAATGCTCATATACTGTTTATCCTAAATTCCATTTATGTAGTGAATCACATTTATTGATTGTGTATACTGGACCATCCTTACATCTCAAAAATAAAGCCTACTTGGTCATGATGAATTCACTTTTTGATGTGCTGCTGGATTCAGTTTGCTAGTGTTTTGTTGAGGAATTTTGCACCTATATGCATCTATATTCATCTATATTCACCAGGGATATTGGCCTGTTGGTTTGTTTTTGATGTTGTTGTTGTTTTTGTGTCTTGCTATATTTTGGTACCAGGATGATTCTGGCTTCAAAAAAATCAGTTAAGAAAGAGTCCTTCTTTCTCAATTTTTCAGAATAATTTAGTACAGTGGGTACTCACTCTTTTTTGTATTTCCAGTAGAATTTGGCTATGAATGCATTTGGTCTAGGGCTTTTATTGATAGGCAGGTTTTTTCAGTACTGATTCAAATTTGGAACTCTATATTAGTGTTCAGGGTTTCAATTACTCTTTGTTCGTCTTGGATGGTTGTTGGATGGTTCATTTTGGATGGTTGGATAAGAATGACCCAGTTAATACATGCTCCCTCTTTGCACACTAGCGAAGGCCTGAAAGTGATAGAATATTAGAACCCTAAAAAGAATTGTGTCTACCACAAGACATAATCTTCATTATACTGGCAATGACTATGCCATTTGGGGACTATTGCAAAGTTTTTATTATTTATTTATTTGTGTATTTATTTATTTATTACTAAATCCTCAATAATGAACCATCACTTCTTAAAATAGTGTTCTTTGTACCAAAGCTTAGTTTTATTGACCAATACACTTGTTCCATAAAAAATTCCTCTATATTATTCCTAGTGAAAAAAAATAGTAAGAACTGTAAGTTTGGCAGAACTGTAGATGTATAGATTTAAATTCTTCTACAATTCTTCCTTCAATAATTGATCTTTAGCATTAATAGATTCAACGTGAGGTTCCCTTAAACTTTAGCCTAGATTTAGAACAGAATTTATTAAAGCCACCTGTCTATATAAACTGTTCAACTGATTAAAAATCTGAAATCACTTGTTTCTACATTTTCCACTTCTGTGCTCTAAACACTAGTGGGGCATTCTGTTGTGTTTAACCTCTCTGGTAATAATATCATCTGTCATTGTATCCTTGGATTTTGTTTATGCCTGCTAAATTAAAATTTTAGCATCTCTACCTGTCTCTATTTTTCCTGGACTCAGTGCCATTTTCATGGGTGACTCCAGTTAAATTTTGATTACTCCCAAACTGCTAAATTATCTGAATTCTTTGGATAATTCCTCCTCAGGGCATGTCTCTGAAACTTAGAGATTGTCCAAAAGAGTATGTGCTCTGCAGAGGGTAAAAGGGAATGGAAAATAATTATTAAAGAGAATCTATAGTGATGAGAAAATTGTATACAGAGTTCTAGGCACTAATTTCTTTGTTTCTTAGTTTTAAAATTAAGAATGAACTAAATGTCAATCATGAATTACATTGTCTTATATAGAAAGAAATCCACAAAACTATTTTACCTTTTATCTCTTAAGCAACTGTATTTTTAGAATCTTCTTAAACTGTAAATATATTAGTTTGAACAAGTGAGACTTCACTAAATATAATGCAATGTATTTGCAGCACTGTTAGGTCTTGCAAATTTCTTATGTCATATTTTATACACAACGCTTAAGGTGTTTTACAACTGCAGTTGTTTGGAAGTAACTGGTCTCCAGAACAGAAATTACTCAGCCCATTTGGGTGAATGCCCAAGAGATGATGCTTGTACAAGGAAATTTTACTTTTTTGTTGCAATACAAGTCTTGAATTTATTTTTCTCTGCACTTGGAGGCACCTCACATGTCATGCTGATTGTTAAGTAAGTATGACTTTTAAAAACATTTTCATATGCATGAGACTATAAACACACCTAATGATATGCATATTTTTACATAATATACTGGGAATTCAAATTCATATTTCATCAAATTTTAATTTTCTGAGAATTCATTTTATTAAAATTACTATGAACTCTCAAGGCTGTAATTAATAATTTTGCCTCTAATTCTTCCATTAAAAGTCCAGATTCCATACGTTTCTTCTCTTACTAAGAATCTGAAGACACAGACTGACAATTCTCTCAGTTGTAAAAGAATCGCCCTAGGATCCTAAAAGAACTTGTTGAATTTTGAGTTGCCTTACATCCTAATGAGAGATGCCTTGCATCTCTCAGGGTAAATCTATTGATTTCACTAAAATAAAGCATTTGAAAACTAGATATAAAATATGCTCCATTTGATAACATTCCAAAACTTTTAATCGACTCACAGCATGACTTTTATAATACCCTTGTAGAAAAATAAAAAAATACACAGGAAGAATTAGTTCCTTTCTTGGCTCATTAGAAAAGATACAATGCTTGGTGAATATTACATGGTAAATGAAACCAATAAGATACTTGTTGTCATACAGCTTTCAAAATTACAGGAAAGACTGGTGTGAGATAAATAATCTTAAAATCAAAGCACATATTTATAAATTGTTCTGAGTCCTCATCAGGAAAAAGATTTCCCTAAAAAGAAAGATTCAAAAGGAAAGTTAATTTAGGATTGAGGTGGGGGGCTGTGAAGAAGAGGATTCAGAGTACATCTCAAAATAAGTAACATTTATTCTAAAGGTCTAAAGAAAAAGCCAAATGAAAGGGTTTCCAGGAGAGGGTCTTGGTGCTGACGCCTTAATACAGGAAAGAGCTGGTGTGTTTGAGAAATGAAAAGAAGCTGGCAGATTGAAACATACTGAATGAGAGGTTGTGACACATGATAAGATTGGAGAGTTAGGAAGGGTGCAGGTAATGCATGCCCTACTGGCCAAGTTGATTCAATCACCTAAAACTTGTAACATGTAAATAATTGCTTTTAGATCTTAAAAATATACATGTGTAAGTATAGTGACCTGGGTTAACATTCAATTGTACTTTTAAAACTTACATTGTTGATCATAAGTTCACTGTCAGCCAACAGCATGACATGGTAGAGATGAAAAAAAAAAGCATTTTTAACATTTGTTAACATTAGTATCAACCTGTAAATTGAATTTACAGTTGTTTAATTTTGACCCTGACTGCAAATCTTATCAAATTATTTATACTAAATATGCCACAGATATAGCTCCATCTTAATATAAAATGTTGTCTACTCAAAAGGAGAAGTCTTTCATATTTGCCAAATTAAATTCATTAACATATTAAAAATAACCTTAAAATTAAATAATAGTCTGCATATCAACAGGTTTTAGCTTTTTATTTTAAACTCATGAGTTTGAAAAAACACTGTTCCATCATCGATGATAACAATATCATATCTGTTTCAGAAATTGATTAAATCAGCATTACAACTTGTCAAAAATATTTAACTCTTGCTAGCCTTTGATTTTATTGAAATAAGCATTTTGTGAATATGACTACAGAATAAAAATATAAATTTCAGTTTGTTAATAGTTTTCTAATGCTTAACACTATGAAGCTATTTTTTAAACTTGATTAAGTAGGCAGAAGGACATCCATTTATTCAATATGTATTCATTTTTTATGTCAGGCATAGTTGTATGCACTGAGGATGCAACTGTGAACAAAAGTGATAGAACTTTATAAGCTTTTAGTATGGGTGGGGAATGAAGGAATGAATGTGTGTAGCAGAAAACACAGTAAACAAATAAGTGAGTAAACATCTAAAATAGAGTAAGTGTGAAGCACTAGAAAGATAAATAAATCACAGTTAAGAAAATAGAAAAAAATGAGAAAATAGGCAAGAGATACTAGTTCAGATATGGTGCTTTGGAAGTCCTTTGAGTAAAGACCTGAATGAAGAGATAGAAAATAAAGGTACAAGCCATGCTAAATGGAGACATAGGAGGAACAATCCAGGCAAGGTAGAAGAAAGGTCAGCGTCCTGGTGTGAAGTATAGTTGACATGTACAAGGTCCAAAAACGTGTGTAAGGAGGAGAGAGGTGACAAGTGCAGCAAGAGAGCTAGCCTAGTTCAGATCCTATGGGTCACAGGAAAGACTTTGAAATATATTCTAAATGTGTTGAAAGCCCAAGGGGATTTAAGCATTAGTATTTGCAAAGATGCCTTACATAACTAGAAGATCACTCTGGCTGTGGGTAGAAAGTGTGTTTTGTGAAAACAATAGTGAAGTCAGGGAAAACAGAAGGCTTGAATTGTTCTTCTCAAGATGGAAGCTTGATTGAGAATGCTGATAATAGGAAAATATGAAGTAAATGAAATGAGTAAATGAAACAAATATGAGTCTCAGTTGTTTTGCTTTATTTTATTATATTTATTTATTTATTTTTGAGAGACAGTCTTGCTCTGTCACCCAGGCTGGAGTGCAGTAGCACAACCTTGGATTGCTGCAACCCTCCGCCTCCCAGGTTCAAACGATGCTCCTGCCTCAACCTCCTAAGTAGCTGGAATTACAGGTGCACGCCACCGTGCCTGACTAATTTTTGTATTTTTAGTAGGACCTGGTTTTACCACGTTGGCCAGGCTGGTCTCAAACTCCTGACCTCAAGTGATCTGCTAGCCTCTGCCTCTCAAAGTGCTGGGATTACAGGCCTGAGCCACAGCACCTGGCCTTTGTTTTATTTTTTAATGCAAAGCCAGTAGGGTTTGCTGAGACATTGAATGTGGCATGTGAGAAAGATAATTTAAGGATAATCCCAAAGTTCTGGCTTGAGTTCTGGAAGGATGGTGGTACTATTGAACAAAATGGGAAAGACTAAGAAAGGGTAGATTGGGAAAGTGAAAAAGCAAGAATTTGTTCTATCTCTATAAAGCTGAGCAGCCTGTTCAATATCTAGCAATGTCATATATGCAATCCAACAGGAGAAACCTTGATGCCAGAGCCATAAATTTTAGAGTCAGCAACGTACAGATGGTATTTATTTTTATTTTTACTTATTTATTTATTTAGAGACAAGGTCTCATTTTGTTGTCCAGGCTGAAGTATAATGGCATGATTATAGCTCACTGTAACCTTGAATGCCTGTATTCAAGCAATCCCCCAAGGCGGTATTAAAATCCATGGAACTAATGAGATCTTCTAGGGACTGAGTACAGATAGAAACAAGATCCTAGGATCAGTTCTCAATCACTCTAATTTAAAGATCACTAATAGGAGAAACCAATAAAGAAAACTGAGGAGGTTTCATGAGAAAAACTAGGAAAGAGCGTTGTCCTCAAACTAATAAAGCATATGTCAAAAAGAGCATAAGTAACTGTGTCAAGGGCTGCTGAGAGTTCACAGGAGTTGAACCTGGGAGGCGGAGGCTGCAGTGAGCCAAGATCGCTCCACTGCACTCCAGCCTGGGAGACAGAGCAAGACTGGTCTAAAAAAAAAAAAAAAGAAAAGAAAACCACAAACCAATATCCCTGATGAACATATGAAAAAATTATCAATAAAACACTAGCAAATCAAATCCGATGGCACATAAGAAAAATTTTATAACATGATCAAGTTGTTTTTATTCTAGGGATGAAGGGTTGGTTCAACATATATAAATCAATAAATGTGATTTGCCACATAGAATAAACTAAAAACCAAAACCATTTGATAAGACAAAATTAAAAACAAAAACCATATGATCATCTCAATAGATGCAGAAAAATTATTTGATAAAATTTAACATCTTTCATGACAAAAATCCTCAACAATCTGGGCATCAAAGGAACATACCTCAAAATAATAAAAGCTATGTATGACAAACCCACTGCCAACTTCATACTGAAAGGAAAAAAGTTGAAAGCATTCTCCTGAGACCTGAAACAAGACAAGTGTGTCTATTTTCACTACTCTTACTGCACATAGTATGGGAAGTCCTAGCTAGAGCAATCAGGCAATAGAAAGAAAGAAAAGGTATCCAAATTAGAAAAGAGGAACTCAAATAAACTCTGTTCACTGATGATATGCAACAATAACAACAAAAATAGACTAATGGGACTTAAACTAAAAATTTCCTGCACAGCAATGGAAATAATCAACAGAGTAAACAGACAACCTACAGGAAGGGAAAAAATATTTACAAACAATACATCTGACAAAGGGCTAATATCCTTAATCTATAAGAAATACAAAAAAACTCATCAAGAAAAAAATTATTAAAAATAGGGTAAATGATACGACCAGCATGTTTCAAAAGACAAACAGTCAACAAACAACAAACATATGACAAAATGCTCAATATCACTAATCATCAGAGAAATGAAAATTAAAGCTACAGTGAGATTCCATTTTATACCAGTCAGAACGGCCATTACTAAAAAGTCAAAAAGCAAGATACTGGTAAGAATGTTGAGGAAAAGGAATGCTTATATACTGTTGAGAATATAAATTAGTACAACCTTTATGAAAAACAATGTGGAGATTTTTCAAGTATCTGAAAATAGAAGTACCATTTGACCCAGCAATCCAACTATTGGATATCTACCAAAAGGAAAGTAAATCATTTTATGAAAAAGACTCATGCTCTTTCACACTTATTATAACACTGACTAGACCACAAAAAATCAGTATCTTCAGAGGCATAATAAAGTCTGTTCTAACCACTTCCTCATAGGATTTTCATAAGTACCATATGAGAAAATATTTTAAGCCATCTTGAAATCATGATGCATTGAATAAATAAGGGAATAATTATTATTATTGCTCAAGTGTTTGCCTTTTAAAACAATTAAAATATAATTTTATATAATGGGGCCATTCAACTGTGAGCTTAATTCTATCATGGAGAAAAACAACACAGGAGAAGGTTTAATGTTGTTTCGTTTTGATATTTTAATGATATTTAATGTTTCTTTGCCTTTGTCTTGTTTCAGAATTGTTCAACCTGAATTGAAATCACTTGCACTGGGTTTCCACTCAATGGTTATACGAGCACTAGGTATGATGAAAAAAAAAAAAAAAAAAAAAAAAAATATATATATATATATATATATATATATATACACACACACATACATATATTAAATTTAAGTTATAAATATTAATGTCAAGGATTAAAGACTGTAATGAATCTTTAATTATGATAGTAAATAAAATTAGTATCCTTTCTATTTCTGTGATAAATAAAAACAATAAGAGACAGAGTAAAATTGAGTGATGGACCTAAAGGAGAATTCGATTGTTAATTATACATAAAGTCAATCTGTTAAGACTAAGGAATTATTGTATTTGTATTACACTCTTTCAAACACAAAGATAGATGGTCCTCCAAATTTTTCTTTTTTTTCAGAAAAATAAGAATATTTCCTCCCAGTAGGCAGAGTGAAGGGCCTAACTTCTAAACTGTGGCATGATTTAGGCAAGGCCTAAAGCTAGCTTGGGAAGCGTGGGAATCTGGTCAGAGAATCTGGCCAGGCTATGGCCAAATTACAATGAAGAAATTGTCTAAGAAGCGTATTTGATGATAAAGTCACAAATCCTCAAAGTTAAAAAAGAAGAAATATAAAGGGAATAGAAGAGAGGAAATGAGATGCTATAGTATTCTGTTGGTTTTCTTCCCTCCGTTCCGTTTTGTGTGTCTCTAATCTCCCAGACTCTGTACATTCTGGCAGGTTTCTACCTTCAGTTTCAATGGAGATACCTCTCTGCTAGAACCTGGGTGACAAAAGCTTAAAGTAACATCTGGGTTGTTAGTACTCCTTCTCATATGTAGAAATGAGACTATGAGAATGGAGTAAAATTTTTTTTAGCAATAGAAAATAGGAAAAAAAATGAGTTTCACCATTCTAATTCTGAGTATCCTATTTCGATGTATCCAATCTGTGGCACGATGGAACCTAAATGCACCTATGGAAAAAATACACATTTAGTACAAAACTTTCAATTCATAAACAATTGTCTTGAATACAATAAACGTGTAAATTGTGGAAGGCCTATATATTTACCTGAAAAAGTCATTTAGAAAATAGGTTATGAGTTTTAAAATTGTAGTGATTAGGACAAAGTTTATTACTTAAAACAATCCATTACGTTTGTTCAAATCAGTGGCATTATGTGGGGAAAATAAACTGTTAGCATATATTTTTCATTTTTCAAAGGGTGGCTGTGATTTTTGAAACCTGAAAATTTCTCACTCATTTCCTCAGTACCGGGTTTTCTCAGATACATTGGCCTCAGTCCCTTGTCATTTTAATATTTCTCACTCTCAAAAAATTGAGACTGAGGAAAACTAAATGGAATTAGTAAAATTGTGATATATCAATCACTATCATTTTATCCATGGCAAAATAAATTCTGAAAATTATTCACCACAATACAAAAAAAAACAAAGTAAAGTTATGAACACTTTAGTTGCACCATCTTAAGGACAGTTCTCTACTGGCGTGTCCCTAAAATTCTTCATCAAATTACCTTTGCCTAGAACCAGGAGTGAATCTCAGAGTTCATTAAAACAGCAGTGGAAGCAGATGGACACTTATTATATAAACAACATATCTGTCTGTGAAAAGCCTTGCATTCTGCTAAATCATGAGCTACAAATAAAAATTAACTAAGAAAAAGACCACTGAAAACTTATCATTGTGATCAGAACACTAACACAAACAAAATTCAGTACCACAAGCCCTAACTTAGCCTAAGCTGCTTCAGGAGGTATTTACAAATGCACAAAATCAATTGTAGAAAATCACTGGACTGTGAGCTCTAATGACATCAATAAGTGGGAAGTAGATGTCTGAGCCCAGAAAAAAGTACAACCTGCCAAAAGCTAAGCACTCTCTGAAGCTCAGCCTATACTTATCTGGGGAGGGAGTTCTGATGAAGCACTCACTTTTAAATTCTCTTAAAATAATGTTAAAAAAAAAAAAAGTCTGCTTTTACAGCAATTGAGCCAAGATCTTTTTCCTTTCCCCATAAAATTGTAATTCTACTCCATTTCAGGTTTCTTTGCCTAAGAAAAATCCCATATTAACCAACATAACTTCCAAGTTTTACTAACAACATTCTCCTTTTTACCATTCAGGCTTAAGTTAATTGTTATCATAAGAAGAACAGAGTATATATGCATGTATGTAGGGAGGGTACGAGTAGGTAAAAGGTGTCAATGACATTACTACATGATTTGGGTCTTTGAGATTTCTAATAATCTTTATTATTGGGTAGATGCAGAACAAAATAATAAACGAATCCTCCAAATTTTTGAACTTTTATTTAATCAAAATATATCAATGTGGAATATCATGCAGTTACATTTAAAATATGTTCCCTAAACTGACATCTTCTCTTCTCCTATTACAGGAGGAATTCTAGCTCCAATATATTTTGGGGCTCTGATTGATACAACGTGTATAAAGTGGTCCACCAACAACTGTGGCACACGTGGGTCATGTAGGACATATAATTCCACATCATTTTCGTAAGTTGTCATAAATATATTTCATTATTTTTTCTTTGACTATATTAATTCCTAAAAAATATCATTTTCATTATATAATAATATTAATAATGATAGCCACCATTTAATGAAAACTGACTTTGCATGCAGTATGGTATCAAGCAATCTCGTATCTCATTTTAGTACTCATAGAAACTATAGGAAATGGATATTTTCTTCTATTCTGTTATATACGAAGAAACTGTGATTCAAGGATAATAACCAACTTGTCAAAAATCAGAGATAATAGAAAATGGCTAGGATTTGTATGTGAATCTTTTTTGTTTCCAAAACTCTCCTCATGTCAGTATATATAAGGATAAATATACACATGTAAATATAGACACAGACATATATATATGCATGTGTGTGTATTCGATTGCCTCTGACTTCTCTAGAAAGAAACAGAATGACTAGCTGGGGCTCTGGTCATATGTCAATTAAGAAAAAACGGGAAAATATGTTTCTATATTACTCTATTCGTGGGGAGAGATATTCCGTAAGTGACATGAAGATAACTGCATGGGCATCTGGAAAAACAAAAAGCTACAATTATACTTTACCTCTTTAAAAAAAAACTAATTTCAAATTCATATATTGACAAATTATACACTTTGAAATGTGAAACTACATGTATTAAAACTCATAGTATAATTTCTTTCAATTATCTACGAAGCAGAAACTAAGTATGACCCAAATGCCCAAAACCATAATAGAAAAAAAGACAAAATATTTATAAAATCTGCATCATTAAACTTTGAAAAGGAAATTTCAAAGTGAAAGTATAAATTAGGAGAATAATTTGCAACTTGTAACACAGACACAGGCAAATATCCCGAATATATACGGAACTCTTAAACATCAGCAAAAAAACCATCCAATGCTGGCAAGGATGCAAAACAACAGGAATTTCCTTTAATTTTTCTTTCATTGCTGGTGGATATGTAAAAAATAGTACAGCCATGGTAGAAGACAGTCTGGAAGTTTCTTACAAAGAAAAACACAGGCTTATGATACTGTTAAGTAATCATGCACCTAGGTATTTACCTAAGTTAGATGAAAACATGACCCCACAAAAACCTGCACTTGCATATGAAAAAATGGAAGCAAACAAGATGTCTTTCAATAGGTGAATGGATAGCCAAACTGGGGTATATTCATACAATAGAAAATTATTCAGCAATAAAAAGAAGTGACCTATCAACTCACAAAAAGACAAGAAAGAAATTAAATGCATGTAGCTAAGTGAAAGAAGGCAGTCTAAAGAAGCTTCTGGGCCTGGTGCAGTGGCCCATGCCTGTAATCTAGGCACTTTGGGAGGCCAAGGTGGGAGGATTCATGAGGCCAGGATTTCAAGACCAGCCTGGACAACATGACAAAACCCTGTCTCTACTAAAAATACAAAAATTAGCCAGTCACGGTGGTGCACATCTGTAATTTCAGCTACTTGGGAGGCTAAAGCACAAGAATCCCTTGAACCCAGGAGGCGGAGGTTGCAGTAAGCCAAGCTCATGGCACTGCTCTCCGGCCTGGCTGACAGAGCGAGACTCTGTCTCAAAAAAAGAAAAAAAAAGAACATTAAAAAAAATTAAAGAAGCTTCTGACTGTATTATTCTAACTGTATGACCTTTTGTAAAAGGGCCAAACTATGAAGACAATGAAACATCAGTGGTTGCTAGGAGCTCAGTGGGGAGAAGATAAGGATGAGTAGGTGGAGCACAGGGCATTTTAAGGGTGGTGAAATGATTTTATATGATATTATCATGTTGGATACATGATGTTATGTATTTGTCAAACCTATGGACCCATACCCATACAACATACAAACCACATAAAAAGCAAACTCTAATCTAAAATATGAATTTAATAATAATGCATTCATATTGGTTCATCAATTGTAACAAAGTTACACACTAATACAAACTGTTAATGATAGGGGAAACTGTATGTGTGGGGCGGGGAGTATATGGGACTTCATACTTTCTGTACAGTTTTTCTGTAAATCTAAAATTTCTGTAAAAAGTATGTTCTATTAAAAAAAATCAAGTATCTCCCAAAGAAAAAATCACGAATGGCTATTAAATATATAAAAAGATGCTCAAATTAATTGATAATGACAGGATTGCAATTAAAACTCACCCAAATTGTCAACCATCAAAAATGTTAAGTAGACATTGTCTTGGCAAAAGTACAGAACTTTGAGCCAGCAGCAAACTTCTAGAAATTTATCCTACAGATAACTATACTCCCAAATAGATAAAATGGCACATATATAAGATTACATACATGTGTATGGCAACATTGTTTATGATGGCAAAATATTGGAAGCAACTTAAATATCTCTTGATAAGGGAGTAATTAGATAAATAGTTCTACCTGCAGGAAAATGAATAGTCTGATGTCTTGAAAAAAGAAGAAAAAATTATTTGTTTACTAATATGGAACCTTCTTCAAGACATATTTTTATATGAAAAAAAAGAACCATGAAGAATGTGTATGGAGCATGCTATCATTTATATGAAAGTGGAGGTTTATTAGTTCAGGATACATCTCTGGAGTAAAGACCTAGGATCAAATTTACCAAACAGACTCTCTTCCATTTAATGTGTAAATTCACTATCTAAAATCCCCAGCAGATAAAATGATCCAACTTTTTCCAGAATTGTACCCCACAGACATTCTCACAAATTTATTTAAATATTAATGACAGAAAATGTCTCACAAAATGGGAGAAAGAAATGAAAAGAAATTACAAATGAAAACTTCATAAATTTATCTTAATGACTTTATTTAAGAATGTGTTCATTTTTTATTGAAATCATCATGTATTTCCAGGACACCTGGCAAGATGCTCCTCAGAATTTCCCCAAAGCAATGACCACAACTTCAAGTATTAATGTAACATTTTGAGATGGCTTTATAATGGTTTGAGTATAAAAAGACCCTAAAACTATTTTTTAAGCCATACTAGTTCCTTTTTGTTCAGTGAAGGTTTAGTTAGAACTAAAATGGAATTTAAAAATATTTTATGTTAATTGATTTATTAATGCATTCTTCTTGTTGAACAACTGGTATAGTATCCAAATTTTTAATATACTGCAAAGACCATTGTGATAACATTATATAGTGTATATGTGTACTATATATATTTAATATGCATATATATGCATATATAAGACAGACATATTATATATATGTTATTCTTGTGTACTTTAATTTATGCTCATCCCAAGACTTTAAGATTTAAAGGGTCGGTCTTTGTACATCCCCACATATTTATCATTTTCTTTTCTCTGATTTCTTCTTGCATGTCAGATTCTATCTAGGGTCATTTTCCTTCTGATTAAAGTCGATTTTTAAAAATGTCTTTCAGTGAGCTCTTTAGTGGCAAATTGCCAATTTAAATTTCTCTGGAAGGAACTTTAGTTCAACTGTATACTTAAAAGAAATGTACAAGGTATAGAATTCTAAATTGACAACTATTTTCTCTTGTCAGATTGAAGATATTACTCTATTGTCTTCTAAGTTCCATTTTACTCTTGATAAGTAAGCTGTTGTCTGTTTTCTTGTTCCTTTAAGGTAACCTCACTCCTCTGTGGATTCTTTAAATATCTTGTCTTAATCCCTGGAATCTGTAATTACACTATGTTCAGGTTGCAGATGGAATAAGTTTGCTAATTAGCTGAACTCAAGATAAGAAAATTATTTGGTTGGGCCCAATATAACCACAAATATCCTAAAAAATAAAAAGAGGAGGTCAGAAGGATGTGATGTGAGAAAGACTCAGTCTATTGTTGCTGGGTTTGAAGATGGAAGAAAGGGGCCAGGAGCCGAGGAATGTAGGTGGCCTCTAGAAGTGAGAAAAAGCGAAGGAACAGCTTATTTCCTGGAGGTCCCAGAAAGGAATACAGCCCTGCTGATACCTTGATTTTAGCCAACTAAGACAAGTATTAGGCTTCTAACTGCCAGGAAATGCTCCGGGCTTAGCTCACACACCCTTTTCTTTCATAAAGTTCACACCATTCCAACCAGCTGGAAATGACCAACCCTCTTTGGGACTTACCACATTGTAGCTAACTCATGGCCCTTATCACTTTCCTTTTGGTCACTTGTGTTCTTTGCTTGATTGTGTAAAGTGGAATTTAAAAAAAAAAAAAGAGCAGTGCATTTACCAATGAATACATAAAAAGTTAAATTGTTACCTTAAGAATTTTTTAAATAAACTCAATTTTAGAGAGTTTTAGGATCACAGTAAAATTGAGGAGAAATTACAGAGATTTCCCACATACCACCTGCCCCACACATGCATAGCCTATCCTACCATCAATGTCTCCCAACAAAGGGTGATACAGTTGTTACAAATGATGAAACAACATTAACACATCTTTATCTCCCAGAGTCCACAGTTTACATTAGGTTTCACTCTTGACATTGTACTTTTATGGGTTTGGACAAATGCATAATGACATATATCCACCATTACAGTATTATACAAAGTAGTTTCTCTACCCTAAAAATCCTCTGCTCTGCCTATTCATTCCTTCCTCCTCTAAAACCCCTGGAGACCACTGTGCTTTTTACTGTTTTCATAGTTTTGCGTTTTCCAGAATCATACAGTATGTAGCATTTTTAGACTAGCTTATTTAACTTAATCACATGCATTTAAATTTCCTCCAGGTGTTTCAATTGCTTGATAGCTCATTTCTTTTTATTGCTGAATAATATTCCATTGTCTAGATGTATAACAGATTATTTATATATTCACCTACTGAGGGCATCTTGATGGCTTCCAAGTTTCATGTTTCTTTGATGATATATATGAAGATGTTTGATTCTGTTATATTAACCCTGGATCCTGTGTCCTGAAACCTTGCAATAATTGCTTATTAGTTCCAAGTGTGTTTTTGTCTGTTATTTTAAACTTTCTACTTAGACAATTATGTCATATTGCAAACAAAGACAATTTCTTTCTTTTCAATCTATATACATTTCATTTTCTTTTCTTTTTAAAAATTACATTAATTACGACTCCCAGTACCATGTTGAAAAACAGTGGTGAGAGGGGACGTTTTTGACTTGTTCCTGACCTTAGTGGGAAGACTTTGAGTTTCTCACTATTAAGTATGAAGTTAGATGTAGGGTTTTGGCAGATATTTTTGATCAAGTTGAGGAGGTTCTCCCCTATTCCAAGTTTAATGGGAGTTTTTATTATAAATGAGTGTTTGATTTTGCAAATTCACTTTTCTAGATCTATTGATGTGATCATGTCATTTTATTATTCTTCTTTAGCCTGTTAATGTAATGAACTGTAAGAATTCATTTTGAATGTTGAACCAGTCTTGGAAACCTGAGGGAAATCCCACTTAGTCATGATGTATACTATATTTATACATTGTTGGATTCAATCTGATATTTTTTGAGAATTTTTGCGTCTATGTTCATGAGAGAAGTTGCTCTGTAGTATTCTTTTTTTTTTTTTTTTTTTTTTTGGAGACATAGTTTTGCTCTTGTTACCCAGGCTGGAGGGCAATGGTGCGATCATGGCTCACCGCAACCTCCGCTTCCCAGGTTCAAGCGATTCTCCTGCCTCAGCCTCCCGAGTAGCTGGGATTACAGGCATGCACCACCATACCCGGCTAATTTTGTACTTTTAGTAGAGACAAGGTTTCTCCACGTTGGTCAGGCTGGTCTCGAACTCCTGACCTCAGGTGATCCGCCCACCTCGGCCTCTCAAAGTGCTGGCATTGCAGGTGTGAGTCACCATGCCCAGCCCTCTGTAGTATTCTTTTCTTGTAATGTCTTTGTCTGATTTTGTTATTAGGATAATGCTAGCCTCACAGAATGAAATAGGAAGTACTTCTGCTGCTGCTATCATCTGAAGAAGATTGTAATGATTTGGTATAATTTCTTACTTAAGTGTTTGATAGAATTCACCAATGAACCTATCTTAATTTGATGCTTTCTTTTTTATTATTATTATTATACTTTAAGTTCTAGGGTACATGTGCACAATGTGCTGGTTTGTTACATAGGTATACATGTGCCATGTTGGTGTACTGCACCCATTAACTACTCATTTACATTAGGTATATCTCTCAGTGCTATCCCTCCCCCCTCCCCCCACCCCACGACAGGCCCCAGTGTGTGATGTTCCCCTTCCTGTGTCCAAGTGTTCTCACTGTTCAATTCCCACCTATGAGTGAAAACATGTGGCATTTGGTTTTTTTGTCCTTGTGATAGTTTGCTGAGAATGATGGTTTCCAGCTTCATCCATGTCCCTACAAAGGACATGAACTCATCCTTTTTTATGGCTGCATAGTATTCCATGGTTTATATGTGCTACATTTTCTTAATCCAGTCTATCACTGATGGACATTTGGGTTGGTTCCAAGTCTTTGCTATTGTGAATAGTGCAGCAATAAACAAACTTGGCTTTTTGGCTAATATCAAGTATAGTATCTGTTCTTTTCAGTTTAGTTTGATGCTTTCTGTTTTAGAAGGTTATTAAATATGGATTCATTTTTAGAGAGTTCTATCCTCCTTCAATGCCTGGGGTTCCATGAGGAAATCAGAGCTTTTTCCCAAAAATGGTACCTCCTATTTTTCCCAAGGACTCCTCGTCTGTTAGAAATGAACTTAGTTCCTTTCATGTGGTCATCAAGAGGGGCAAAAAGACAGACTGAGGAAATAATTCACTCAAGTGAGAAAAATAAATAAATAAAAACTTCTCAAAAAAACAAGATCCAAGAAGAGAAAAAGCACAAAGGTCTTGTATATAGATATATACACACACAGACACACACACATATATATACATATATGTATATATGTGTGTATATATGTATATGCTATATATACATGTATATATGTGTATGTATATATACACACAAACGTATATGTGTGTCTGTAAAGAGAGAGGGAGAGCGAGAGAGAGTATGGGAGAGCACTTGGATATCCATTTTTAATTAAGCTGACTTTTAGCTATAGTGCCCTTTAAAAAAAATCCTTTATATCTCTTATTATCTGACTTTAGCAAGGCCAAACAGCCAGTATTTCTGGCTTTTGAACTTCTTTAGAAATAGTAATCTCCTAGGTGAAATAAATAAGCCTTAACTGAGGTTGTAACTTAACCATGAGTGTATGAGGTATTTTCAAATAGGTGGTAAGCAGTTTTTACAAGATCTAGAATCTTCAAAGGTAACTCACAGAAACGAAAATTCAAGAAGGGAAGCCAGAAGTTGGTCATGGAGGAGCAGAGAATCAACAAATGGAAAAAGCCACAAGAATATCAAATCAGAAAGCATTCATTCCCTGGGCCAAGAATTGAGTCCCAGGCCACCATTGTGAAAAGACAAACTCTTAGCTTCTGAGCTATAGCATTGGATAGTCTTCATTACCTTTCCCAGAAGGATTCCAGTGCAACCGATTTCAAGCTTGCAAAGGCTTTTAACTGCTCGAGATAATTTTTAGAGCTAACTATGACATTAACTACAAAATTCCTGTCCTCTAGATGGCAGAGACCAAGAGTAAGTACTGCCACATAGTTACAAGATCAAGCTCCCACGGACATAAAACAAGATGAGAGGGAAACCTCATCCAGTATAGGTTTCAGGAACACACAGCAAAGTTTGTAACCGACCAGCCCAAGAGGCTGGCTTAAAAAGTAGGCTTATAGGAATCCTAAGCCTACTTTCTACATTCTTTCCTATGACACCCCTCTCCATTACAGAACAACACTAAAAGACAAATTCTTAGCACAAAGTACACCAGATTTGCTAAAGCCTAAGACTAGTCTCAAAAATTCATTTTTCTATTAATCAGACCACACACACACAGAGAGAGAGAGAGAGAGACAGAAAGACAGAGAGACAGAGAGACAGAGAAAGACAGAGACAGAGACAGAGAGACAGAGACCAGAAGCTTGGCTGGTAACAAATTCTTACCCCTTTTGCCAGCATACCACGTTTCTGGGTTCCCTTTCTCTGCAGCTTCCAGAAGAATGAAGTGGCTTTTGATGACCCTGCTCATTGCACCATAGCTTTGGGGGCCAAGCCACTTTACAAAAGAAAATTATCCTTTTCTGTTTTATAAAACTATAGGCAAAAGCTTCTCATTTTTGCAAGATGCTGCCCAATGGGCTGCATGAGGAACCAAATTAACATTTTCCACCCCAGCCTAGCAAAATACACATAACAAAACAGACATTTGTCACCTCATTCAGCACCCAATATTGACCTGGCGAGGCTCAAACTTTCTTTCATTGGTCCCTATCATCTCTGATCCACTCAAGATGTGGAGGGCTAAACTCCAACTGAGAATTCAGGTCTCTGGGCAAGATGAAGAAGTGGACAGTCACCCCGACTCAGGCCTTTTTGAGCTTCCTTCAGGACTCACTGAATGTGACCAGACAAATAATGAGGGTTTTCTGAGTTAGGTGTCCTAGACTTCCATCAGTAGTTCCTTTAGAGGTCTCCTCCACATATACAAATACACACAACAAAGACAAGACAGACAGAAGGCCTTCCAAACCACGACTTCTAACCAAGAATTCCGAGTCTTCCTCCCAAACGAACCTTCTATTCTCCACCTGAGAATTCTCCCTAAAATCTTCTTGATTGAAGAGAAATCTCCTGAACCAAGACTTCCTACTAATTAGAGCTAACCAACACCTCCAAAGGAGCTGAACTGAGACCTCAAAAAAAAAACAAACAAACAAAAAAAAAAAAACAAGAGCCCCAAAGGAGCCAAACCAAGGCCCCTAAAGAAGCCAAATCATGATCCCCAAAGGAGCCAAACCAACTGGGAGAAGAAAGGAGGAGTTGGCAGTGCCTAGAATACTCACCAAATTAGTTTGGAGACAGACATCATTTCCAGGAACTATTTCTCCATTGCAATTAAATCCATGCACATTGGGTCAGCAGCACCCTGCCAGTAGAGACAGTGCCAGAGTCAGCCCACAGTCCAAGAGAACTAGGCAGCCACTTGGGCTGGCCTCTGGATCCATCACCAGAGCAGGGCTACTGAACCATGGGCAGGTAGGCACAAAGGCAATCCCAGATGAGACCCCTAGTGTGTAACCACCTAACGGGTTCACCTTGCCCACTGCCTAGACAGAGCTTATTTATCAAGAAAGATCTTACTTATCAAAACAGAGAAATTGCAATAAAGAGTAATTCATGCAGAGCCAGCTGTGCAGTACACCAGAGTTTTGTTATTATTCAAATCAGTCTCTCTGAGAATTTGAGGACTGGAGTTTTTAAAGATAATTTGGTGGGTAGGGGGGCCAGTGAGTCAAGAGTTCTGATTGGTCAGGTGAGAGATGAAATCATAGGGAGTTGATACTGTCCTCTCGTGCTGAGTCACTTCCTGGGAGGGGGCCACAGGATGAGATAGGCCAGTTTATCAATCTGGGTGGTGTGAGCTCATCTGTGAAGTTCAGGATCTGCAAAATATATCAAGTATTGATCTTAGGTTTTACAATAGTGCTGTTATCCTCAGGAGCAATTTGGTTAGAGTCAGAATCTTGTAGCCTCCAGATGCATTACTCCTAAATCATAATTTCTAATCTTTTGGCTAATTCGTTAGTCCTACAAAGGTAGTCTGTTTCCCAGGCAAGAAGCTGGTTTGTTTTGGGAAAGGACTGTTACTGTCTTGGTTTTAAACTCGAAGCTATAAACTAAATTTCTCCCAGAATTAGTTCGGCTTACACCCAGAAATCAACAAGAACAGCTTGGAGGATAGAAGCAAGATGGAGTTGGTTAGGTCAGCTCTCTTTCAGTCTCGGTTATAGTTTTGCAGTGAAAATTTCATAAGCATTTAGTGCAATAAACTTTCCACTTTATGCTGTTGAAGCTATATCCTAGAGGTTTTAAAATACTTTGTCTCGATTTTCATTTGTTTAAAACAAAAAAATTGTGTTCTGCTCTAATTTTGTTATTTACCCAAAAGTAATTCAGGACCAAGTTATACAGATTTCTTGTAATTGTGTAGTTTCAAGAGTTGCTCTTGATACTGATTTCTATTTTTATTCTGCTGTGGTTCATGAAGATGTTTGTTATAACTCTGATTTTTTAAAAAATTTATTGTGACTTATGACTTAGAATGTGGTTAGTTTTAGAGAATGTTTTATGAACAGATAAAAAATGCATTTTCTCTGATTTTTGGGTGAAGTATTCTCTAGATATCTATTAGATCCACTTGGTAAAGAGTCTACTTCAAGTCGAATTTTTTTTTTTTTTTTTTAGCTTTTGGCCTTGATGATGTGCCTGCCTAGTGCTGTCAGTCTGGTGTCGAAGCTTATTACTCATTGTATTACTTTCTATCTCTTTGCTTAGGTCTGGTAGTATTTATTTTATAAATATGATTGCTTCAGTATTGAGTGTGTATATATTTAGATTAGTTAAATCTTGTTGAATTAAATGCTTTATCATTATGTAATGCACTTACTTGGTTTTTTTTAAACTGTTGTTTGTTTAAGGTCTGTTTTATTTGATACAAAGAGAGGAATTTCAGCTTATTTTTGCTTTCCATTTGAAAGATAGATCTTTCTTCATTCTTTTACTTTAAGTCTATGGGTGTCCTTACATACGAGATGGATTCCTTAAGGGCAGCAGAAGGTTGCCTTTTTTTTTTTAATCCACTTTGCTACTCTATGTCTTTTATATGAAGCATTTAGGCAATTTACATTCAAAGTTAATATTGATATGTGAGATTTTGTACCTCTCATACTGTTGTTAGCTAGTTGCTTTATAGTTGCAATTGTGTAGTTACTTAATAGGATCTGTAGGCTTTGTAATTATGGGTGCTTTTATAGTAGCAAGTATTGGTCTGTTTTTTCCTGTTTTGAACTCCTTTGAGCATTTTTTCTAAAACTGATCTGGTGGTGACATATTTCCTTAGTGTTTACTGGTCTGGGAAATATTTTATTTCTACTTTATTCACAAATCTTCATTTGGGAAGTTATGAAGTTCTTGGCTGTCATTATTATTTTTCTTTTGTAAGTCTAACAATAGGCCCCCAGTCTCTTCTAGCTTGTAATGTATCTGCTGGGAAGTTCACCTTTAGTCTAATGGTATTTCCTTCATAAATAATTTGGCCCTTTTCTCTAGCTGCCGTTAGGATTTGTTTTTTCATGTTGAACTTAGGCAATCTGATGACTATATTCATATAGTATCTGAATGGTTGTTTTGTATAGTATCTCATACTATAGTATGTTTTGTATAGTATCTCATACACTGTTGCACCCACAACAGTGTACAGTGGAGAGAGTGGGAAATTACCCTCTATCCAGATTCATTCCTGAGTGTTGGTACTGCCTCCTTCAGTAATTGGTGCTGTGCCCATGTTCTCTTTGTCCCAGGGGAAGCTATAGTGGGCTACAGTCCCCACTCTTTTAGGGGAAGAACACATTGAGGGTTAGATCTCCAGAGGTCCTGCTGTCTCCCCAAAGTCCACTGACCCCTGTGCCTACCAAAGTCAGAGCAGTTTGTTGGACATGTTTGCCAGGAATTGGGTGGCATGGTGACTCAAAGATGGAGAATCCTCAGGCAGGGCGGTGGCATACCATAGATGCACCAACAGTATGGCACATCTTTCCTTTAGATAGAAAGGTGGTGCAGCTGTACCTGTGCAGGCTGGCCACCTAGTTGTCTATCCCTGGGGAGTTCCCAAATTGCCACCAATAGCATTACCCTGCATCAAGAGGGCAGAGGAAATTCCTAACAATTTGGTGGTCAGCAGATTATCAGAGATGTGAGGGGAGCAGAGAAGCACTTTCAGCTAAATTTTCACAGGGTTCTCTGGGGGTTGATTATTACCAGGCTTTTACCGCTTTTCTTTACTACACCACAGCTGCTTCTTATGGGCACTATAACAGTTCCTGGCTCTCTTTCTCAGTTTTTTATTTGGTACTTCTTTATTCACCAGTAACTTTGATCTTCTTTCTGAGGAGAACTGTAATTTGATGTCCCTGGTCAGCCATCTTGAAAAGAACTTGACTTATTTTTTTATCAGTGGCAGCATGATATATCTTCCTCCATCTAATTACTTTTAATCTATACATCTATAAGTAGATCTCTTAGAGACTACATATAGTTTGTTTCTTCTTTTTAATCCTTTAACAAACTCAGTCTTTTAATTGGTGGATTTAGATCATTGACATTAAAAGTGACTACTGATGTTGTGAGACCAATGTTGATTATAATTTTACTATTGTCTATTTGTTATACTTGTTCTTTGATCCTATTTTTGTCTTCTATTCTTTTTTCTTCTGTTGTGTTCTTAACTAAATAGTCTATATGACTCTGATTTTATATGACTATATAATCATAACTTTTTATGTTACCTTTCTTTATGTATATCAAGTTTCTGACCTATATGAGTCTCTCTAAAAAGCTTCTCTTAACATTTCTTACAAGGAAGATGTACTGGAAAAACATTTCTTCAATTGTTGTTTGTCTGAGAATGTGTTTATTTCTACTTTACTTTTAAAAGAATTTCACAGAGTACAGAATTTTAAGTTGGTGATTTTTTTCTCTTAAGACTTTAAATATTTCACTCCACTCTCTTCTTGCTTGCATGGTTTCTGAAGAGAAGTCTATTTTCTCCCCTATAGATAAAATTTGTTTTTCCTTCTGGTTAGTTTCAGGATAAAGTTTTCTTTATCTTTGACTTTCTGTAATTTGAAAATAACACACCTACACGTAGTTTTTCTGGTCAATAATAACTTATTTGTATATTTAAAAATAACTTAGGAAGTGTAGTTGAATTGTTTGTAACTCAAAGGACAAATCCTTAGCATTTTCTGAGTTTCCTGAATCTGTGATATAGTGTCTGACATTAATTTAAGAGAAATTCTTAGTAATTTTTTTTTTTTTGAGATGGAGTCTCACTCTGTTGCCCAGGCTGGAGTGCAATGGCATGATCTTGGCTCACTGCAACCCCCGCCTCCCGAGTTCAAGTGATTCTCCTGCCTCAGCCTCCTGAGTAGCTGGGATAACAGGCACCCGCCACCACGCCCAGCTAGTTTTTGTATTTTTGGTATAGACGGGGTTTCACCATGTTGGTCAGGCTGGTCTCTAACTCCTGACCTCGTGATCTGCCTGCCTCAGTCTCCCAAAGTGCTGGGATTACAGGCATGATCCACTGCACCTGGCCAGTAATTATTTTTTAAAAATGTTTCTTTTGCTCCTTTTCTCTTTGTTTTCCTTCTAACCTTTCCATTACACCCACTTATATAATTGTCTCAAAATTTTTATATGATTTCAATTGATTTACTTTTTAGTCTTGTTTCTCTTTGCTTTTCAGTTTTGGAGGTTTTCATTGATATATCCTCAAATTAGAGAGTCTTCATCAGTTGTGTTCTATCTACTAATAAGCCCATCAAAGGCATTCTTTATTTCTGCTACAGAATTTTTTATTTTTAGCATTTTCTTGGGTTCTTAAAATTTTTATTTTTATACTTACATTGTCCATCTGTTATTGAATGCTGTCTACCTTATTGATTAGAACACTTAACATATTAATCATAGTTGTTTTAAATTCCATTTTGAAAATTTCCACGTCCCGGACATATCTAGGTCTGGTTTAAAGCTTACTTATTCCTTTCAATCTATGTTTTTTTTTTCACTTTTGGTATGACTGGCAATTTTTTTCATTACAGTTAAGCATAATGCATTAGGTAAAAGGAACTGCTTTGATAAGCCTTTATTAATATGGTGTAAGGTGCTGGAGAAGGGGTAGCATTCTACAGGCCTACATTTAGGTTTTATTATTTTAGTTATAATCCAGTAACCTCTGGATTATAAATTTCAAACATACTTCTCAGTTTCTCCTCCCAGCTGTAGGTGGGGCAGGATGGCTTAACAGGGCTTGAGTTGTATATTTTTCTCGTTTTATGAAGAAGGCCAGAGGCAACTAGAGTATAGTTTCTATGGCTTCATAACCCTATTACAATAATAAAATATCTATCGTTATGCCCCAATAAAAAGAATTATTAGAATTATTGTCTTAATATTTTATTTATAATTTTTTTTCTTTAGGATCTGGATACTGGAGAAAATGTTTTAAGTTATTACACACAATTTAAACTGATTTATTGTTTTATTTTCTCTATTTCTACAGAAGGGTCTACTTGGGCTTGTCTTCAATGTTAAGAGTCTCATCACTTGTTTTATATATTATATTAATTTATGCCATGAAGAAAAAATATCAAGAGAAAGATATCAATGCATCAGAAAATGGAAGTGTCATGGATGAAGCAAACTTAGAATCCTTAAATAAAAATAAACATTTTGTCCCTTCTGCTGGGGCAGATAGTGAAACACATTGTTAAGGGGAGAAAAAAAGCCACTTCTGCTTCTGTGTTTCCAAACAGCATTGCATTGATTCAGTAAGATGTTATTTTTGAGGAGTTCCTGGTCCTTTCACTAAGAATTTCCACATCTTTTATGGTGGAAGTATAAATAAGCCTATGAACTTATAATAAAACAAACTGTAGGTAGAAAAAATGAGAGTACTCATTGTTACATTATAGCTACATATTTGTGGTTAAGGTTAGACTATATGATCCATACAAATTAAAGTGAGAGACATGGTTACTGTGTAATAAAAGAAAAAATACTTGTTCAGGTAATTCTAATTCTTAATAAAACAAATGAGTATCATACAGGTAGAGGTTAAAAAGGAGGAGCTAGATTCATATCCTAAGTAAAGAGAAATGCCTAGTGTCTATTTTATTAAACAAACAAACACAGAGTTTGAACTATAATACTAAGGCCTGAAGTCTAGCTTGGATATATGCTACAATAATATCTGTTACTCACATAAAATTATATATTTCACAGACTTTATCAATGTATAATTAACAATTATCTTGTTTAAGTAAATTTAGAATACATTTAAGTATTGTGGAAGAAATAAAGACATTCCAATATTTGCAAGCTGTGATTGTCAAACAACATATTACATTATGTGTTAAGTTTCCAGTGGGCCCACGGTAATGTATTAGGAAAAATTGACTTTGACTAATGTAGCCACTCTCATACTTATCTTAGCTAGATTTCCTAGATCATTTGCCGCACCTTCTACGTCAGCACTTGCTTCTTCACTTTGTACTTAGATAATGAAACCAGCTTCTTTTTTTAAACCCCGTGAAACAAATTCTACAGCTTTTTTTCTTTTGCAGCTTTCCCACGTCTCTTAGTCATCATAGAATGACAGAGAGTTATGTCCTTGCTCTAGATTAGATTTGGCCTAAGGGAACATTGTGGCTGCTTTGTTCTTCAATCCAGGCTACTGAAGTTTTCTCCATGTTAGCCATAAGTCTGTTTCACTTTGTTATTATTTGTGTGTTCACTGAAGTAGGACTCTTAATTATCTTCAAGTACTTTATTTTTGCATTCACAACTTGGCTAACTGCTGAATGCAAGATGCTTAGTTTTGACTTACCTTGGCTCTTGATATGCCTTCCTCACTAAACTTAATCATTTCTAAAATTTGACTTAAAATGAGAGATATGTGACTCTTTCTTTCACTCAAACACCTAGAGGTCATTGTAAGGTTATTATTTGGCTTAATTTCTATGTTGTTCTGTCTCAGGACATAGGAAGGCCCAAGGGGATGGAGAGAGATGTAGCAATAGCTGGTTGGTGGAGCATTCAGAACACACACAACTTTATTGATTAAGTTCCACGTATTATATGGGTATGGATAGTGGCAAGTCAAATCAATTACAATAGTAACATCAAAGATCACTAACCACAGGTCACTATCACAGATACAATAACAATGAATAAGTCTGAAATATTGTGAGAATTAGTAAAATGTGACACAGAGACATAAAGTGAGCACATATTTTTGAAAAAATGATGTCAATAGACTTGTTTGATGCAGGATTGCCACAAACTTCCAATTTGAAAACAAAAAACAAACAAAAAAAACACCAAAATATGTGAAGTGCAATAAAGTGAAGTTCAATAAAATGAAGTATGCCAGGAATAAAAACTAGCAGGATCACAGGATCAACCTCTACTTAAAAGTATTAGAAATATGGAGGTAAATAGAAGAAATAGCTAAAAAGAGTTGTAAATGCTTGCCTCTGGAAAGCAGTAATAATAAGCAGAGAAAAACTCATTTTCAATATGAGATTTTTGATATAATCTTATTTTTACAACTTTGTGCATAAATGGCTTTGGTAAAAATTAAAAATCAATCATCAGACTGGTATGTCTCTTATTAATCAACAATAAACAATAATATTGATACCCAGGTACTACACTGAGAGCCTTGGGTGAGCCTCCAAGTCTTGCTGGCTTCAGATACCAGAAAGATCACAGGGGTTAATGCACTAAGCAGACTCTTGAGGTCCCTGATTCCAGGACTTGACTCTGGGATAGCATTTCTGAACCTGCCCTCGGCCAGAGGGGAGCCCATTGTTCTGAAGTTTGAATCCCACCTCAGGCAGAATTCAATAGAAGCTGATTAAAGTGCCCTTGGGCCTTAAGGAAACATTGGCAGTAGTCTAGCAGTACTCCCTGTGGGCCTGAAGTGTTGTGGCTATGGGTTGAGGCTCCTTTGTATTTGGAAATGCGAGGGAAGAGTGGGAAAGACGGTCTTGTGGTTTGCGTGCCACCTCAGCCACAATATGATAGAACACCAGGTAGACTTTACGAGTTTTGGCTCTAGTCTCTGACTCCTGGATGGCATCTCTGGACCCACATGGGACCTGGGGGACCTCGCCACCCTGAAAGGAAGGACACAGGCCTTGCTGGCTTTTCTGCCTGCTGATTGTAGAGCCCCATGGCCTTGAGCAAACATTGGCAGTAGTCAGGGAGTAATTACAGCAGACCTTGGGCAAGACTCATAAATGTGCTGGCTTCAGGTGTAACCCAATGTAGTCATAGTTCTGGATGCCACAGAGGTGCTTACGCCACTCCAAACCTAGATTTAGTTGGCTCAGAATAGAGAGAGAGACTGTATGTTTGGGAGAAATTAAGCAAGAGAACAAGAATCTCTGCCTGGAAATCCATAGAATTCTCCTGGATGTTGTTCAAGACCATCAAGACGGTACCTCTACGAGTCTGCAAAAACCTCAGCATTACTGGGCTTGGGATGCTCCCTAAAGCAGACACAGCTTATTTCACAATAATCAAGTTATTTCAAATGCCTGGAAACCCTTCCCAAGAAGGATGGCTGCAAATAAGCCCAAACAGCCAAGGCTACAATAAGTGTTTTGCTCTTCAATGCCCAGACAGACAAATATCTACTAGCATCAACACCATCCTGGAAAACATGACCTCACCAAATGAACTAAATAAGGCACCAGGAACCATTCCTGGAGAAACAGAGATATGTGACCTTTCAGAGAGAGAATTCAAAATAGCTATTTTGAGGAAACTCATAGAAATTCAAGATAACACAAAGAAGGAATTCAGAATTTTATCAGATAAATTTAACAAGGACATTGAAATAATTGAAAAGAATGAAGCAGAAATTCTGTAGCTGAGAAATACAATTGGTATACTGAAGAATGAATAAGAATCCTTTAATAGCAGAATTTATCAAGCAAAACAAAGAATTAATGAACTTGAAGACAGGTTTTTTGAAAATACACAGTCAGAGGAGATGAAAAAAAGAATATAAAACAATAAAACAAGCCTACAGAAAGTGGAAAATAGACCCAAAAGAGCATATCTGTTATGGGCCCTAAAGAGGAGGTAGAGAAAGAGATGGGGTAGAAAGTGTATTCAAAGGGATAATACCAGAGAACTTCTCAAACTTAGAGAGAGATATATCCAAGTACAAGAAGGTTATAGAACACCAAGCAGATTTAATCCAAAGAAGACTACCTCAAAGCATTTAATAATCAAACTCTCAAAGGTCAAAATTTAAAAAATGATCCAAAAAGCAGCAAGATAATAGAAACAATTAAGATAGAGTGGTGCTCCAAAATTCTGGCAACAGAATTTTTACTGGAAACCTTACAGGCACGAATGGCATGACATATTTAAAGTGCTGAAGTAAAAAAACAAAACAAAACAAAACAAACAAACAAACAAAAACGCTTTTACCCTAGAATAGTACATCCAAGAAAAATATCCTTCAAACATGAAGAAGAAATGGAGACTCAGTGAGACAAACAAAAGCTAAGGAATTTCATCAATACCAGACCCATCCTACAAGACATGCTAAAGGAAGTGCTTCAAATGGAAAGAAAAGAACATTATTGAACAATAAATAATCACCTAAAGGTACAAGACTCACTGGTAATAGTAAGCATGCAGCATAACACAATGTCATAACCCCTTAACTGTGGTATGTGAACTATTATTCTAAGTAGAAACACTAAATGATGAACCAATCAAAAATAATAACTTCAACAACTTTTCAAGACATGGTACAGTAAGCTATAAATGGAAACAACAAAAAGTGAAAAAGCATGGAGATAAAGTTAAGGCATAGATTATTTATTACTTTGATTTTTGCTTGTTTGTTCATGTAAGTAGTGTTAAATTATTAGGTTAAAAATAATGAGCTATAAGATAGTATTTGCAAGCCTCATGGTAACCTCAAACCAAAAAGCATACAATAGATACACAAAAAATAAAAAGCAAAAAATAAGTTACATCACCAGAGAAAATCACCTTCACTTGAGAAGACCGGAAGAAAGAAAGAAGGATGAAAAGACCACAGAACAACCAGAAAACAAATAACAAAATGGTGGGAGTATGTCTCTACTAATCAATAATAGCACTAAATGTAAATGGATTAAATTGTCTTTTTTATTCAGTTATCTCACTGCTATAAAAAAGAACCAAAGATGGGGTAATTTATAAAGAAAAGAGGTTTAATTGGTTCATGGTTTCACGGGCTGTATAGGATGATCTATTGTCTTTAAGAAACACACTTCACTTATAAAGACACACATAGACTAAAAATAAAGGGATGGGAAAACATATTCCATGCAAAGGGAAACTAAAAAAGAGCAGGAGTCACTATAATTATATCAGACAAAATAGATTGTAAGACAAACACTGTAAGAAGACAAAAACAAGGTCATTGCATAATGACAAAGCGGCCAACTCAGCAAGAAGATATAAGAATTTTGAAAACATACGCACCCAACACTGGAGCACTCCAATATATAAAGGAACTATTATTAGAGCTAAAGAGAGATATAGGCCCTAATACAATAATAGTTCGAGACTTCAACACCTCACTTTCATTATGGACAAATCTTCCAGACAAAAAATCAACATCAGACTTAATCTCTACTATAGTCCAAATGAATCTAATAGATATTCACAGAAAATTTCATCCCAGAGCTGCAGGATACATTATTTTTCTCAACACATGAATTATTCTCAAGGGTAGACCATATGTTAAGTCATAAAACAAATCTTAAAACATTGAAAGAACATGAAATAATGTCAAGCATCTTCTCTGGACAAAATAAAATAACTAGAAATCAATAACAATGGAAATTTTGGAAACAATACAAATTACATGGAAATTAAACAATATGCTCCTGTATGACCAGTGGGCTTTGAAGGAATTAAAAATAATCTTGAAAAAACTCTTAAACAAATGGTAATGGAAACACAGCATACCAAAATCTATGGGATAGAGGAAAAGCAGTACTAACAGGGAAGTTTATAGTTATAAGTGCCTACGCCACAGGAGAAAAAACTTCAAAGAAACTATCTAACAATGCATCTTAAACAACTAGAAAAACAAGAGTAAACTACACCCAAAATTAGAAGAAAAAAGATAATAAAGGTCAGAGCAGAAATTAATAAAATTGAAATTATAAAAAACTATACAAAAGATAAAAAGTTAATTTTTTGAAAAGTTAAAATTGACAGATGTTCAGACAGACTAAGAGTAAAAAAGAATATCTAAATAAATATAATCAGAAATGAAAAAATATATTAAAACTGATACTGCAGGAATTCCAAGGATCATTATTTGCTACTATGAGCAACTATATGCCAATAAATTGGAAAATTTAGAAGAAATGGACAAATTCCTAGATACATACAAACTACCAAGACTGAACCAAGAAGAAATCCAAAAACTGAACAGGGCAAAAACAAGTAACAAGATCAAAGCCATAACAAAAAGGCTCCCAGTAAAGAAAAGTGCAGGATCCAATGGTTTAACGGCTGAATTCTACCAAATGTTTAAAGAAGAATTAATAGCAATCGTATTCAAATTATTTCATGTAATAGAAGAGAAGAAAATACTTCCAAGCTCACTCTACAAAGCTAGTATTACTGATGTCAAAAATGAGACAAAGACATATCAAAAACAAAAACTGCAGGCCAATATCTCTGATAAATATCAATGCAAAAATTCTCAATTAAATACTAGAACACCAAATTCAACAATAGATTTGAAATAGCCATTTATTATGACCAAGTAGAATGTATCCCTGGGATGTAAGGATGTTTAAACATACACAAATCAATCAATGTATTACATCATATCAACAGAATAAAGGATAAAAAGCATATGATTATTTCACTTGATAATTAAAAAGCATTTGGTAATATTAAACATTTCTTTTATGATTAAAAGCTCTGAAAAAAAGCTTGTTATAGAAGGAACATACTTCAACATAATAAAAGGCATATACAACAGACCCACAGCTAGTATCATACTGAATGGGGAAAACCTGAAAGTCTCTTTTCCTGAGATCTGGAACACAACAAGAACACCCACTTTCCCTTACTGTTGTTCAACATAATAATGGAAGTCCTAGCTAGAGCAATTAAACAAAAGAAAGATATAAAGAACATCCAAATTGGAAAGAAAAAAAGTCAAATTTTACTTGTTTGCAGATAACAAAATCCTATATTTTAAAAAACTTAAAGACTCCACAAGAAAATTGTTAAAAGTGATAAACAAATTCAGTAAAGTTATAGGATAACAAATCAACATATAAAAAATCACTAACATTTCCATATGTCAACAGTAAACAATGTGAAAAAAATTTAAAAAGTAATACCACTTAAAATAGCCACACATATATATAAATAAAATACTAGGAATAACTTAACCATAACAGTAAAAGATCTGTGTACCGAAAAATATAAAATACTGATGAAAGAAATTGAAGTGGATACCAAATAAAGATATTCCATGTTAATGGATTAAAAGAATCAATATTGTTAAATATTTATGCTGCTCAAAGCAATATACACATCCAATGCAATCTCTGTCAAAATCTCAACAATGTTCTTCACAGACATAGAAAAAACAACCCTATAATTTATCTGAAACCACAAAAGACTCAGAAGAGCCAAAGCCATCCTGAGCAAAAAGAACAAACTGGAGAAATCACATTACTTGACTTCAAATTATATTATAGAATGTAGCAGGCAAAACAGCAGGGCACTGGCATAACAATAGGCACATACACAAATGGAATATAAAACAGAATTCAAAAACAAATCTGCACACCTACAGTGAATTGATTTTGACAAAGATGCCAAGAACATACACTGCGGAAAAGACAGTCTCTTCAGGAATTAGGAAAACTAGATATCTATATGCAGAAGAATGAAACTAGATCCCTATTTCTCACAATATCAACTAACTAAAATCAAATCAAAATGAATTAAAGACTTAAATCTATGACATCAAACTATGAAACTTTTTATTTCATGACATGTCATGCAACTTTTTGTAGTTTCATAGTTTGAGGTTCGTAATTTCATAGTTTTGTAGATTCGTAGATTTAAAGTTTCCAGAACATTTGTCTGGGCAAAAATTTCTTGAGAAACACCACACAAGCACAGGTAACCAAAGTAATAGGGGACAAATGAGATCACATCAAGTTAAAAAGCTTCTGCACAGCAAAGGATATAATCAACAAAGCAAAAAGACAATCCACAGAATGGCAGAAAAATATTTGCAAACTACCCACTGACAAAAGATTAATAATCAGAATATATAAAGAGCTCAAACAACTGTAAGAAAAAGTGTAATAATCCAATCCAAAAATGGGCAAAATTTCTGAATAGACATTTCTCAAAAGAAGACATGAAAATGGAAAAGAGACATATGAAAAGGTGTTCAACATCATTGATCATCAGAGAAATGCAAATCAGAATTACAATATTATCTCACCCCAGTTAAAATGGCTTAAATCCAAAAGACAGGCAATAGCAAATGCAGGTGACGATGTGGAGTAAAGGGAACACTTGTACACTATTGGTGAGAAAGTAAATTAGTACCATCACTATGGAGAACAGTTTAGAGGTTCCTCAAAAAATTAAAAATTGAGCTACCATATGATCCAGCAATCTCACTGCTAGGTGTATACCCAAAAGAGTGGAAATCAGTACATCTAAGAGATATCTCCACTTTTATGTTTGTTGTGGCACTGTTTACAATAGCTAAGATTTGAAAGCAAACTAAGTATCCATCAACAGATAATGAATAAAGAAAATGTGGTACATGTACACAATGGATTACTATTTAGCCATAAACAAATGAGATTCAGTAATATGCAACAACATGGATGGAACTGGAGATTATTGTGTTATGTGAAATAGGCCAAGCATAGAAAGAGATATATCACATGTTCTTATTTATTTGTGGTATCTAAAAATCAAAACAGTCGGACACAGACAGTAGACGAATGTTTACCAGAGGCTGGGAAAGGTAGTGGGAGTAGGGGGTGGATGGGGATGGTTAATGAATACAAACAAAAACAGAAAGAATAAATAAGAACTAATATTTTATAGCACAACAGGATGATTATAGTCAATAATAACTTAATTTTACATTTTAAAACAATCGAAAGAGTGTAATTGGATTATTTATAAACCAAAGGACAAACGTTTGAGGGAATAAATAAAACATTCTCCATGATGTGCTTATTTTACATTGCATGCCTGTATCAAAATATTTCATATACCCCATTAATATATATGTCTACTATGTAACCACGAATAAAATAAAATAATTAAAAACAACACAATCTCATTGATTAAAAGTGTCTAAATAATCCTAAGAAGGAAATAATCTCAAATTTTGCCTGGTCCTGAGAATATTTACATGAGACTCAACTCCTTGGAAAGAATGTCCAAAATTCCTATTGAAAAAAATTGACAATAATGACTCTGTGAGTGGAAGTGAGAGAGCCACAAGCACAAAACAGACTGATGGAATAGAACTTGCATCTTCCCATTCCCATTACAGTTGAAATTATTCATTGAAATAACATACTTCAAGTATTAGTGTAATTGCTTTTCTATGAATAAATATCTGACACTACGTAATTTATGAAGAAAAGAGGTTTAATCGGCTCATGGTTCTGCAGACTTTACAGAAAGCATGATAGTGGCGTCTGCTCCTAATGAGGCCTCAGGAAGCTTACAATCATGGTGGAAGGTGACAGAAGAAGCCTGCATGTCACACGGTGAGAGCAGGTGCAAAAGGGAGAGAAGAGGGGAAATCCCATTCTTTTAAGCAACCAGATCTGATGTAAACTAACTGTGTGAGAATTCACTGATTACTAAGTGATGGTGCTAATCTATTTATGACGGATCAAATTCCATGATCTAATCACCTCCAACCAGTCCCTACCTGCAACATTGAAAATCACATTGTTACAGTCTCGCCAATGCACCACAATGTAGCAGTCTCTTGTTGCCTAAGGTAGTACCCAGGAGTTCTTTGTCTCACGACCAGGAAAGTTAAGGAGTGCAGACACCAAGGGTGATGTTGGAGTGCAAGCTTAATAAGCTAAAGCAGAAGGCCCTCCACTGTGGAGAGGGGGCCTGGAAGAGTGTTGCCATTTTTACAGTTGAATGCAAAGGCTTTTATTAAAAAAACAAATGAGGGGTGGGCATCTTATTTGCATAAGGCATAACTTGATGGTAGCTCCACTCCATCCTTTTAGCGTGTATGTGGGCCCTTAGCTTGAGTTGCTCCATCCCAAATCTTGGGATCTTGCTGTTCACAGAGATGTGGGTATCATGTAAGCTTATGACTAACAAAATGTTAATCTTAAATAGTCCTAAAGAGGGCAGTGTTTTAAAACTTTTAAAAATTTACATTTCAATGATCTGGGTCAGCTGTGAAATGACTTAGAGTTTTTGTCCATCTTTTGCAAACAGTAAGACAAGCATTCCCTATCTATACTGCCTATTGATAGGTTTTTATTAGATCTAACTGAAAATCATCTCAAGAAACAGCAGGTCCTGATGGCTTATTGTCATTAGTGAGAACAACAGAGTATCAATTTAAATTACATCTGTTGTATTAAGAATATATCCTTTAGTAATTAAATGAAATAGCACATTTAGCTTCACAGGGTGCTTTAGTGATGAATTCATCCTGTGAGAGTTCTATCAAAATACAGAGCTGCTCAATATCACATGTAAAGCAGGAGTCACATTACAATGATAAACATCTTACATGATAACGATGCATGGGTGTGTGCATGTGAGTGGGCATTTGAGTATTAGCATGAGGAGAATAGTGTGAGTGTACATCCATGTGAATGTAGAAGTGAGTGTGTGATTGTTATTGTATATGTATGTTACTATATCACACACATCCATCATTTCCACTGAATTGTTGAAGATTTTAAGCCAACTTTTAGGAAAATACTATCCCTACCTGCAAGTCCCCCAGTTCTCCTGCATGCTAACCTTTTCCCTGGGTAAAAATAGAAGTTGATAACAAATGTGAGCTTGCCTCTTGTGTGTGTAGTTTGCAGACAGGGTACAACCACCACTGAAAATCAATTACAATGACAAATACATGTCAGGCACTTATCAGAGAACACAACCAGGAATGAACTGCAACCTCTCCCTTCCCAAAATCTCCCTTAGATAAGTTAACTTCCCCTTCCTGATGATTTCCTCTTGACAATCTCCTTATGAAAGAATCTTCTTCCTTAAATAGCAGACATGGCTTCACTGTCCTCAGTGCCCTCTACCGGGCTAACAAATTGTTACTGTCCTTTGCAAAAGCACAGCTAAAAGAGTTTCCTTTTTTTTTTTTTTGGTCTTCTAAAAAATAACTATATGTTTAACTTTTATTATATTAAGGTTAACTTAATTTTTTGCCCCTTTTAGTCTTTTTTTTTTTTTTTTTTTTTTTTGAGACGGAGTCTCGCTCTGTCGCCCAGGCTGGAGTGCAGTGGTGGGATCTCGGCTCACTGCAAGCTCTGCCTCCTGGGTTCACACCATTCTCCTGCCTCAGCCTCCCAAGTAGCTGGGACTACAGGCGCCCACCACCATGCCCGGCTAACTTTTTGTATTTTGTTTAGTAGAAACGGGGTTTCACCGTGTTAGCCAGGATAGTCTCGATCTCCTGACCTCGCGATCTGCCCGTCTCGGCCTCCCAAAGTGCTGGGATTACAGGCGTGAGCCACTGCGCCCAGCCACCCCTTTTAATCTTATAAGTGTTCTTGAATACTTTTGAGAACCTTAATAAATGGTAACTCTCCTACAATCTTTAAAGGGAAACTACGTGTAAATAAAATTGAGGTTTACAGTGCTAGTTCATTGTGTTGAAGATTTTCATAACATATGAGATGAATATTATTATCCTCACTTAGCAAACAAGGAAACTGAGGCTAAGAAAGGTTAAATGACTTACTTCTTCTAGTCACTCAGTTGAGAGGAAGCATCATTTATCTCTTTACGCTGAAGAACATGACTAGAATAGCATCTCCTGGGAGGTGCTTAGTAACTGTTGAATGATGCCAGCTACTTAGCTCTGAAAAAAATACAGTCATCAAACAGTTCAAGGGGAAAAACACCTTTTCATCAGTTACTTCAATATTTCAGTAAAAATGGAATTTTAAATCTTGGTCATCTCCCCTACCCCAAACCATCTCCTCCACTACTGCACTATAATTTCATTTCACTTGGTAGGTGTTATACCAGGGATGGTAGCGACCTTCATTGACCACAGAAAAACAAAATTGTGGAAATAGCTTTCTAAATGCAAGAGTGAGTGAATTTCTAAGCAAGGATATAAATGTGTTCCTGGCCGGGCGCGGTGGCTCATACCTGTAATCCCAGCACTTTCGGAGGCCGAGGTGGGCAGATCACCTGAGGTCAGGAGTTTGAGACCAGCCTGGTTAACATGGTGAAACCCCCTTTCTACTAAAAATACAAAAAAAATGACCGGGTGTGGTGGCTCGTGCCTGTAATCCCAGCTACTCGGGAGGCTGCGGCAGGAGAATTGCTTGAACCCGGAAGGCGGAGGTTGTAGTGAGCCAAGATGGCGCCATTGCACTCCAGCTTGGGCAACAAGAGCGAAATTCAGTCTCAAAATAAATAAATAAATGTGTTCCTTACCTTTAAGATGGCAGTAATACACTAGACACTAGAATACAGAAAACGTTTGTGACTCCTCTGGATATATTGTGTAATTTATGAATCATATTAGTAAGCTTTTACATTAACATTGATAACAGAAATAAGGTGGCAAAAAGAGGTCTGCTGAGATCTACCCTGAGAACAAATATCTGGTCTTTTCATATGAGCTATTGGGACTGAAGAGACCATACAAAATCAGTGTTTTTAATGGACATAAGAAAGTCTGTTCTAAACTTACAGATAAGATTTTCATAAGGAAATGTGAAAATATTCATTCAACTGTCTTGAAATCATAATGCGTTCAATAAAGAAAGAAGTAATAATTGTTATTATTATCATTCTAGTGTTTGCCTTTTAAAACAACTGATAATATAACTTTATGTAATGTGGGCCATTCACTTGAAGGATTGTATTCTATCATGAAGATTAAGGATACTGAGAAATGTTTTGATGCTTAGTTTAATATTTTAATGATGTTTAATGTTTCTTTGACTTTGTATTATTTCAGGATTGTTCAACCTTAATTGAAATCACTTGCAGTGGGTTTCCATTCAATGGTAATACGATCACTAGGTATGATGAATACATAGAATATAAATTTAAGATATAAATATTCATATCAAAGAATAAAGACCAAATGTAATTAATTTTCAATTATGGGAAAGTTAAAAAAGGAATAAGTAAGGTCCATTATTTTTTGCAATCAATGAAAATAAGAAGAGACAGAGGAAAAGTGTTACCTAAAAGAGCATTTTAATTGTTATTTCTAGTTCAAATCTATCTGTTAAGAATAAGGAATTATCATATTTTTATTACAGTCTCACTAACCGAGTCTCTCTCTCTCCTATTCTATGTTAAGAATAAGGAATTATCGTATTTTGGTTACAGTCTAAACCACCGAAAGACAGGTGGTTCTCAAAGTTTCCTTCTTTCAGAAAGTTAAGAATATTTACCCCAGGTAGGCAGAGTGGAGGACCTTCCTTCTAAACTGAAACATTATTTAGGGAAGGCCTAAAGCAGCTTGGGAGGCCTGGGAATCTGGCCAGGCTAAGGTTGTGCAAAACGACAGGAGCTAACATTAACTGTGCCACTTCCCACTGCCTGGTCCTGTAAGGCTGGGCAGCTAAGCTTTAGCAGCAGTTAATGCAAAAAGGAATGAGAACTCAGACTCTAGAACTGGGGATTTTTGATTAAGAGAGGGTTCTGAATAAAGGAAAGCTAAGGAATCGTGTTTCGCTTGGCAAAGAGTAAGAATGTAGACTCCAGAGGCTAAAGGCTTGTTTATAAATATTTAAAGGTGATGAGAAAAATATTTAGGATATTACTATTTTTCTTGTTGCCATTTACCATTTTTAGCACACTGGTGCCTGTTATTGTTAAGTAATATCTAGTCTAATCTTTGTGATTGCACCTTTGTAAGAACGGTAAATGTTATGTGCTTATTCCTGGGAAGTAGAAAAAGGGCATCATTCATCTAGGGATTGGTGCAGAGGACTGATCCTGGCAACCTTTGATAGCAGAAGGAAAAGAAAATGGGAGGGGTTGATTTCTGGAACCTTTGCAAGTAAAGGAAAAAAGTATAACTCTGTGATGGCCAAATTACAAAGGATAAGTTGTCCGAGAAGTATATTTGATGAGAAGGTCACAAATCCTCAAAGGTTAGAAACAAAAAAAAGAAAGAAAGAAACATAAAGGGAATAGGAGGGAGGAGATGGAGATGCTGCAGTGTTCCATTGGTTCTCTTCCTTGTATTCTCTTTTCTGTGTCTCTAATCTAATCTAATCCAGCTTCTGTGTATCCTGGCAGTTCTCTACCTCCATATTCAATGGAAATACCTCACTCCTAGCAGCTGGGCCACAGAAGCTGAATATAGAATCTGGGTAGTTAGCACTCTTTCTGATATGTGGAAATAATAGTAGGAGCAATATTTTTAGCAATATAAAATAGAAAAAAATGAATTTTACCATTCTAATTATGAGCATCCTATTTTGATGTGCTCAGTATATGGCAGAACGGACTCTAAATGCTTCTACGGGAAAAATACACAGAGCACCAAACTTCCAATTCACAAATAATTGTCTTGAATACAATATATGTGTAAATTGTGGAAGGCCTATAGTGTATTAAACTGAAAAAGTTATTTATAAAATGGGTTATGAGAAGTTTTTAAATTGAAGTAATAAATTGTTGGCATATATTTTTCAGTTTTTAAGGATGGCTGTGATTTTTTGATAACTGCAAATTTCTCACCCATTTTCTTAGTACCAGTTTTCTTTATATTCACTGGCCTCAATTCATTGTCATTCTAAGATTTCTCACTCTCAGAAAATTAAAACCATTAAAAGTAAATGGAATTAGTAAAATTGTGATATAAGCAGAGCGATACTCCATCTCAAAAAAAATTGTGATATATGGATCACTATGATTTTTAGGTGACAAAATAAAAGTATTCATCACAACACAAAAAAAAACCAAAATAGTCATGAATACTTCAGTGACACCATCTGAAGGACAGCTCTCCACTGTCATGTCCCTAAAATTTTGGTTAAGATTACCTATGCTAGGCTGGGTGCCGTGACTCACGCCTGTAATCCCAGCACTTTGAGGGGCCAAAGTGGGTGAATCGCCTGAAGTTAGGAGTTCAAGACCCTTCCTATCCATGAGCATGGAAATGTTCTTGCATTTGTTTGTGTTCTCTTTTATTTCGTCGAGCAGTGGTTTGTAGTTCTCCTTGAAGAGGTCCTTCGCATCCCTTGTAAGTTGGATTCCTAGGTATTTTATTCTCTTTGTAGCAATTGTGAATGGGAGTTCACTCATGATTTGGCTCTCTGTTTGTCTGTTATTTGTGTATAGGAATGCTTGTGATTTTTGCATATTGATTTTGTATCCTGAGACTTTGCTAAAGTTGCTTATCAGCTTAAGGAGATTTTGAGCTGAGACAATGGGGTTTTCTAAATGTACAATCATGTCATCTGCAAACAGAGACAATTTGACTTCCTGTTTTCCTAATTTAATACTTTTATTTCTTTCTCTTGCCTGATTGCCCTGGCCAGAACTTCCAACACTATGCTGAATAGGAGTGGTAAGAGGGGGCATCCCTGTCTTGTGCCAGTTTTCAAAGGGAATGCTTCCAGTTTTTGCCCATTCAGTATGATATTGGCTGTGGGTTTGTCATAAATAGCTCTTATTATTTTGAGATATGTTCCATCATTACCTAGTTTATTGAGAATTTTTAGCATGAAAGGCTGTTGAATTTTGTCAAAGGCCTTTTCTGCATCTGTTGAGATAATCATGTGGTTTTTGTTGTTGGATCTGTTTATGTGATGGATTTCATTTATTGATTTGCATATGTTGAACCAGCCTTGCATCCCAGGGATGAAGCTGACTTGGTCGTGGTAGATAAGCTTTTTGATGTGCTTCGGGATTTCGTTTGCCAGTATTTTATTGAGGATTTTCGCATCGATGTTCATCAGGGATATTGGCCTAAAATTCTCTTTTTTTGTTGTGTCTCTGCCAGGCTTTGGTATTAGGATAATGCTGGCCTCATAAAATAAGTTAGGGAAGAATCTCTCTTTTTCTATTGATCGGAATAGTTTCAGAAGGAATGGTACCAGCTCCTCTTTGTACCTCTGGTAGAATTAGGCTGTGAATCTGTCTGGTCTGGACTTTTTTTGGTTGGTAGGCTATTAATTATTGCCTCAATTTCAGAGCCTGTTATTGGTCTATTCAGATATCCAACTTCTTCCTGCTTTAGTCTTGAGACAGTGTATGTGTCCAGGAATTTATATATCTCTTCTAGATTTCCTAGTTTATTTGTGTAGAGGTGTTTATATTCTCTGATGGTGGTTTGTATTTCTGTGCAATCGGTGGTGATATCCCCTTTATCATTTTTTATTACATCTATTTGATTCTTCTTCTCTACTAGTTGGAAGAGTTTAAATACCTTGAATAATCTGTTGTATTTGTATTTCTAAAGAAAAAAGAATCTTATGCTTAATTTAATAACAATAACAATTTAATAAACAATATAATACAAGTCATTCCCAGAAACAAAATTTATTTTTAACATTAACATAAAATGATATGTTAATTCTGAGAAATTAGTAATATAACCTTTAAAATATAGGAGCCTAGAGTGAATTCCTAGAATTAGCTAAATATTCTGTTTTCTGTTTACCTAGTACAACGACCTAATTGGGTAATCATCATTGGACTCAAAAAAAAAATGCTAACTCTTTAAAAAGAGACTTTAACAACAGAAAATGGATAGACTTGCTGCAGTTGCTGTAGGTTCTAAATCCAGGTAGGAACTATGGAGATTGTCTAATGTCAGCATGTCTACATCCAGGTAAGAACCACTGAGATTCTGTAGTATCAATATTTCTTTTATATACAAAATATTTACAAATTTCAGGGAGAAATGTTTTGATGGTCATGATAAATATATATTTTATGTTCTGTGTTTTCTATACACTTGTGTTCTGAGTCCTTAATATTTTATCCTAAGATCTAGAAGAGAGGTGTGGAATAGTTATCTAGAAGACTAGGGGAAATATAGGGAAGAGTTATCAGTTATCACTATACACATATATTCTCCAGTGGTACAGCAGGGTGGGAGAAATTATTTAAAGTGGGGGTATCTGAGAAAATATCAAAATGATATTATTTGGAATAAACCAACTCTTATGACCTAGAGATGAGAGAGAACATTCCAGCTTGAGAAAAATCATAGAGCAGGGCAGAGAGCTTTTTTCTTGGAACACTGGTTCCATAAGTCTGCAGGTACTTATGGGTGAATTGAGAAATTGACTAAAAATAAGGGCTGGGTTTGGCTTGTGAAGACCCTCAAACAGGAAGTTTTTTTTAAGGCTGAATAATATTTTATCGTGTGTGTGTGTGTGTGTGTGTGTGTGTGTGTGTGTGTATGTTGTCTCTATATATATATACACACACCATGTATATTAAAATATATATATACATACATATATATATATAATGTTTTCTTTATTCATTCATCACTAGCCATTTGGGTTTCTTCTACATCTTGCCTATTGTAAATAGTGCTGCAATGAACATGAATGTGCAAATAAATATCTCTTCAAGATCTCATTTTGAATTATTTTGAATATACACTCAGAAGAAGGATTAATGGTGCATATAATAATTCTATTTTTTACATTTTGTTGTTTTGGGATTTTTAAGTTTTATGTAGCCCCATTTGTGTATTTTTTATTTCACTGCCTGTGTTTTTGGTATCATATTTTAAAAGTTATTGCCAAATTCAATGCCCTAAAACTTTCTCCTTCATTTTATTCTGAAGTTTAAGGTCTTACATTTAGGAATTTAATACATTTTGAGTTAATTTTTGCATATAGGATAAGGTAAGGGCCCAACTTCATTGCTTTGCATGTGGGTATTCCATTTTCCTAACACCATTTGTTGAAGAGACTCTCCTTTCCCTATTGTGTAATCTTGGCACCCTTGTTGAAAATCGTTTGTATATTCAAAAGATTGTATCTGAGCTCTCTATTCTGTTTCATTGGTTTATATAAATATATATTCATGCCAGTACAACACCATCTTAATTACAGTTACTTTGCAGTATGTTTTGAAATCAGGGATGTGAAGCATCCAATTGTGTTCTTCAAGATTTTTTTTTTTTTTTTTTAGCCATTCAGGATGTATTAGGATTTTATATAAATTTTAAATGGGGTTTTCCTATCTTTATATAAAATGTCATTGAAATTTTCATAGAAATTGTGTTAAATCTACACATGACTTTGGATAGCATGGATTTTTTTTAACAATATTAAGTCTTTCAATCCATGAACACAGAATGTTTTCCCACTTACTAATGTTTTATTTCTTTTATTAGTGTTTTAAATTTTTAATTTTTATGGATACATAGTAGGTATATATATTTATGCAGTACATGACATATTTTGATACGTTCGTTATTCTTCCTGATGTTCTCACTCCTCCCACCCACAACCCTCCGACAGGCCCCAGTGTGTGTTGTTTCTCCCCATGTGTCCATGTGCTCTCATCATTTAGCTCCCACTTATAAGTGAGGACACGTGGTATTGGTTTTCTGTTCCTGCATTAGTTTGCTGAGAATAATGGGTTGCAACTCCATCCATGTCCCTGCAAAGGATATGATATCATTCCTTTTCCTGGCTGCATAGTATTCCACAGTGTATATGTACCACATTTACTTTATCCAGTCTATCACTGATGGGCATTTAGGTTGATCCCATGTCTTTGCTATTACGAATAGTGCTGCAGTAAACATACACATCTATGTATTTTACAATAGAATGATTTATATTTCTTTGGGTATTTTCCCAATAATGGGATTGCTGGGTCAAATGGTATTTCTGCCTCTAAGTCTTTGAGGAATCACCACAGTGGAACTAATTTACACTTCTGCCAACAGTGTAAAAGTCTCCCTTGTTCTGTACAACCTCACCAGCATTTGTTAGTTTTTGACTTTTTGATAATAGTTATTCTGATGGATGTGAGATGGTATCTCATTGTGGTTTTCATTTGCATTTCTCTAATGATCAGTGATGTTGGGCTTTTTTCGTATCCTTTGTTGGTTGCATGTATATATGCTTTTAAGGAGTGTCTGCTCATGTCTTTTGCTCACTTTTTAATGGTTTCTTTTTTCTTGTAAATTTAAGTTCCTTATAGATGTGGGATATTAGAACATTGTCAGATGGATAGATTGCAAATATTTTCTCCCATTCTGCAGGTTGTGTGTTTACTCTGTTGATAGTTTCTTTTGCTGTGCAGAAGCTCTTTAGTTTAATTAGATCCCATTTGTCAATTTTTGCTTCTGTTGCAATCACTTTTGGCATCTTCATTACGAAATCTTCCCCTGTGCCTATGTCTTGAATGGTATTGCCCAGGTTTTTGTTGAGGGTTTCTATGGTTTTGGGTTTTATATTTAAATATTTAATCCATCTTGACTTAATTTTTGTATAAGGTGTAAGAAAAGATCCAGGTTCAATTTTCTGCATATGGCTAGCCAGTTCTCCCAGCACCATTTATTAAATAGGAAAGCCTTTCCCCATTGCTTATTTTTGTCAGGTTTGTCAAAGATCAGATGGGTGTAGGTGTGCAGTCTTATTTCTTGGTTCTCTATTCTGTTCTGCTGTTCTATGTGCCTATTTTTGTACCAGTATTATTCTATTTTGGTTACTATAGCCTCGTAGTATAATTTGAAGTTGGGAAATGTGATGCCTCTAGCTTTGTTCTTTTTGCTTAGGATGGCCTTGGCTATTTTGGCTCCTTTTGGTTCCATATGAATTTTCCAATTTTTTTTTCTAATTCTGTAAAGAGTGTCAATGGCAGTTTAATGTGAATAGCATTGAATCTATAAATTGCTTTGGGCAGTATGGCCATTTTAACAATATTGATTCTTTCTATCTATGAGCATGGAATGCTTTTCATTAGTTTGTGTCCTCTCTGATTTCTTTGAGCAGTGGTTTGTAGTTCTCCTTGAAGACGTCCTTCACTTCCCTTGTTAGCTGTATTCTTAGGTATTTTATTGTTTTTGTGGCAATTGTGAATGGGAGTTCATTCGTGATTTGACTCTCAGCTTGCCTGTCATTCGTATGTAGGAATGCTAGTGATTTTTGCACATTGATTTTGTATCCTGAGCCTTTGCTGAAGTTGCTTATCAGTTTAAGAAGCTTTTTGGCCTAGACAATGGGGTTTTCTAGATAAAGAACCATGTCACCTGCAAGCGAAGATTATTTGACGTCCTCTCTTCCTATTTGAATACCCTTTATTTCTTTCTCTTGCTTGATTGCCCTGGCCAGAACTTCTAATACTATGTTCAATAGGAGTGGTGAGAGAGGGCATCCTTGTCTTGTGCTGGCTTTCAAGGAGAATGCTTCCAGCTTTTCCCCATTCAATATGATATTGGCTGTATGTTTGTCATAGATGGCTCTTATTATTTTGAGGTATGTTCCTTCAACACCTAGTTTATTGAGAGTTCTTAACATGAAGAGATGTTGAATTTTATCAAAGACCTTTTCTGCATCTATTGAGATAATCATGTGGTTTTTGTCTTTAGTTCTGTTTATATGATGAATCACCTTTGTTGATTTGCATATGTTGAACCAACCTTGCATCCCATGGATGAAGCCAGCTTGATTGTGGTAGATACACTTTTTGATGTGCTGCTGGATTCCGTTTGCAAGTATTTTGTTGAAGATTTTTGCATCCAGAATTCCTATGGTTTTCTACATAAAAGATAATATCATCTGTGAACAGAGATAATTTTACATCTTACTTTCCAACTTAGATGCCCTTTATTTCTTTTTGTTATTTAATTGCTCTGGCTAAAACTTTCAGCACTATGTTGAATAAATGTAGTAAAAGCAGGCATCCTTGCCATGTTCCCAACCTTAGAGAAAAGGATTTCAATATTTCACCATTGAGTATGATGATTGCTATGGGCTTTTCATATATGGCTTTTATTATGTTGAGGTAGTTTCCGTTTTCTCTAGTGTGTTGAATGTCTTTATCGTGAAAGTGTGTTGAATGTTGTCAAATATTTTCTTCTGCATCAATTAAGATGTTCATGTGGTCTTTTTTCCTTCATTCTGTTAATGTGGTGTGGTTTTTTTCCATCAGTTTTCATATGTTGAACTATCTTTGCATTCCAGGAATAACTTCCACTTGGTTATGGTTTCTAATCATTTTAATATTAAATGCTGATAAATTTTGTTCGCTAGTATTTAGTTGAAGATTTTTGCCTCAATGTTCATAAAGGCCGTTGGTCTTTAGTTTTCTTTGCTTGTAGTGTTTTTGTCTGGATTTGGTAGCAGGGTGAGGTTGGTCTCATAGAATGAGTTAGAAAGTATTCTCTCCTTCAAACTTTTTTGAAAAGTTTTGGAAGAATTAATGTTAGTTCTTTAAATGTTTGTTTGGTAAAATTCACCAGTGATGCCATCAGGTCCAGGGTTTTTCTTTATTTAAAAATTTTTGATTACTGATTTAATCTCCTTACTATTTATAGGTTGATTCACATTTTCTATTTCCTCGTAAGTTGGTCCTGATAAGTTTTGTTTTTCTAGGAATTTGTTCATTTCATCTAGAATATCCAATTTGTTGTTGTGCAACTGTTCATAGTACTCTCTTATAATCTTTTTTATTTCTGTGGAATTAGGATTAATAGTAATGTCTCCACCTTCATTTCTGATTTTAGCAATCTGAGTCTGCTCTCTGTTTTTCCTTGTCCATCTAGCTAAAGCATTATTTTTGTTGATATTCTCAAAGAATCAACTTTTGCTGTCATTGATTTTCTCTATTGTGTTTCCATTCTGTATTTCATTTATTGCTGCTCTTATTTTTATTATTTTCTTTTCTTCTAACTATGGGTTTAGTTTCTTTCCTTTTCTTATTTCTTAATTTGAAAAGTTAGATTGTTAATTTAAAATGTTTTCATGTAAGAATTTATAGCTATAAATTTTCCCCTTATCACTGCTTTCACAGCATTGCAAACATTTTTATATATTCTGTTTTTGTTTTCATTTTTCTCTAAGTATTTTCTAATTTTTGTTAAAAAATTTTAGCTTGTCTATTTGTTGTTTAAGAGTATGTTGCTTAATTTCTACAAATTTATACATTTTCCAACCTTTCCTCTGTTGTTGATTTCTAACTTCATCTTGTTTTCATTGGAGAAGATACTTCATATGATGTCAATCATTTTAAATCTGTGGAGACTTAATTTGTGGTATAACATATGTTCTGTCCTGAAAGATGTCTCATGTGCACTTAAGAAGAATATGTATGCTGTTATTAGATATATGTTAGATATAGTTGGTTTATTACATTGTTTAAGTTCTCTATTTTCTTACATAACTTTTGTCTGGTCATTCTATTTATTATTGAGAGTAGGGTATTGAAGTCTCCAACTATTATTGTAGAATAGTCTATTTCTCCATTCAATTCTATCCAAAGTTTTTGTTTCATATATATTGATGATCTGCTATTAGGTGGGTAACAGTTTAAAATTGTTATATCATCTTGCTGTATTGAGCCTTTTATTAATATGAAATGTCTTCATCTTTTTTAACCTTTTTAAAATTAAAAGTCTATTTGTTCTCATATTAGTATAGCCATTCCTGCTCTCTTTTGGTTATTGTTTACCTATCACTCACTTTCAGTCTATTTGTGTCTTTGCATCTTATGTGAGTTTTTTGTAGACAACACGGAGTTGGTTCATTTTTTTTAATCCATTCTGCCAATCTCTGTCTTTTGATTGGGGAGTTTAATCTATTTAAATTTAAAGTAATTACTGATAAGGAAAGACTTATTTCTGTCATCTTCTTACTTGTTTTATATTGTTTTCTATGTTGCTTTTTTTGTCCCTCCTTTTCTGAATTACTGTCTTCTTTTGTGTTTAATTTTTTTAGTAATTAAATATTTATATTTCTTTCTCATTTCTTTTTGTGTATACTGTATAGCTTTTTTGGTGTGGTTACTATGGGGATTACATTTAAAAATCTTAGAATTATAACAGTTTAATTTGAATTTATACCAGTTTAACTTCAATAACATACACAACTCTGCTCTTTTACATCTCCATCCCCAACTCTTTGGTTGTTGACCACAAAATTACATCCTTATTAGGCATTGTGTACACTGTGTGCCCAAAACATAAACTGATAATTTTTTTTTAAGACAAGGTCTGGCTCTATCACCCAGGCTGAAGTGCAGTGGCACAATCTCAGTTCACTGAAACCTCTGCCTCCTGGACTCAAGCCATGCTCCCACCTCAGCCTTCTGAGTAGCTGAGACCACAGGTGTGCACTGACATGCCCAGCTAATTTCTGTATTTTTTTGTAGAGACGGGGTTTTGCCATGTTTCCCAGGCTGGTCTCAAACTCATGAGCTCAAGTGATCTGCCCGCCTCAGCCTCCCAAAGTGCTGGGATTACAGGTGTTAGCCACCCCATCTAGCCAATAATTATTTTGAATACATTAATCTTTTAAATTTCATATAAAACAAAATGTGGAGTTACAAACGAAAGTGTCAATATAATTTTTGTATAATATTAGTCTCTTAAAAAATGTAGAAAGTTAAAAATAGAGTTATAAACCATTGTTATAATAATGCTAGCTTTTATGATTGCCCATATATTTACCTTTATTGAGATCTTTATTTCTTCATACAGCTTCAATTTACTGTCCAGTGTCTTTTTATTTCACCATGCAAGACTCCTGTGAACATTTCTTTCAGGGAAGGTCTAGTGTTAATGAACTTGCTCAGCTTTTGTTTATATAGGAATGTCTTAATTTCTCCTTCACTTTTGAAGGATGATTTTGCCAGATGTAGAATTATCAGTTCACAGATTGATTTTTTTCGATCTCTCAGCATTTTGAATGTACTGGCCCACTGCCTTCTTGCCTCCAAAGTTTCTGGTGAGAATTCTCCTGTTACTCTCATTGAGAATCCCTGATATGTGATGAGTCACTTCTCTCTTGCTGCTCTTAAAATGTTCTCTTTGTCTTTGTCTTTCAAAAGACAAAGTATGGATCTCTTTTAGCTCATCTTACTTGGAGTTTGTTGAGCTTGGATGTTTATATTCATATTATTAATCAAATACAGGGAGTTTTCAGCTACTGTTTCTTCGAATATTCTCTCTTCGTCTTCCTCTCATTCTTCTCCTTCTTGGACTTCCACAATGTGCATGTTGGTCTGATGAATGGTGTCCCACAAGTCCATTAGGATCTCTCTACTTTTTCTCAATCTTCTACTCTTCTGTTCCTCAGACTCAATAATTTCCATTGTCCTGTCTTTAAGTGTACTGATTCTTCTACCTACTTGAACCTGCCTTTGAATCCCTCTAGTATATTTTTCATTCCAGATGTTGTATTTTCAGCTTCAGAAATGTTTCTTTTCAAGTGTTCTATTTCTTTGTTGATATTTCCATTTTGTTTGCACATGATTTTTTTGACTTCCTCCACATCTTTCCTTAGCATATTTAAGAGAGTTGTTTTAAAGTCTTTGTCTAGTAGATCTACCATCAGGTCTTTTCTAGGAACAACTCCTGTTGATTTATTTTCTTCCTTTGAATAGGCCATGCTTTTCTGTTTCTTTATATGCCTTGTGACTTTTTGTTGGAAGCTGGACATTTGAATCTAAAAATATTGTAACTATAAATCAGTTATTTCCCCTTCCATAGGGTTTGCTGTTGTTGTTTTTAATACTTACATGCTGCCTCTGTGCCAGGGATCAGCATAAAGTGTAAACTTGATATCTCTGGTCTTTTCTGAGCTTGTGTCTTTTCCTGGCCATGTGCAGTACCTTTCTAATTTTCCCTATATATAGAGTTGCTATTAAATATCTTAGTCTTTAATGTCTGGCTCCCAAAGGGAGAAAAATTTAAAAAATGGAAGGGGGAACAGTAGTGCTGGCTCTTTAAATCCTCTGGAAATCACTTCAATTGATGAGGGAGGGGATTGCAACAACGAGGGGAGGTGCAAAAACAATGGCTGCCCATTTATGTGTTTGCATCTTTGTGGTTAGAAGCAGCAACCAGCATTCTGAGAACAGCTACCTGAAATTTGAAGAACAGGATGATTTTGCCCACCCTGGCCCCCACACACTGCATGCAAGCTGCTCCTGGAACAAGTGCTCAGCTGCCTGCCATGGAACTGACAGTGGGGGATGGGTAGTTGCTACTCTACTAATGGCTGAAATTGACCAAAATTAACCTCAATTTATGTCTAAGCCTTCCCTTGGAAGTTGTAAGCCTTCAGTAGGCTCCAGAGTTTCAAAATAGTTACATAAGACATAATCTGCCAATGAATTTGTTGTCTAAGTAGGAAGACAGATTTCTGGTGCTCCCTACTCTGCTATCCTCCCAGAATCCTCTAGGACAAATTATTTTTACATAGATAATTGTTTTTGGAAGCTTCATCTGAGTTACAATAAAAAAGAGAAACAAAACCTTGCATTTTTATAATCTTCAAAGTAGTTTATATCTTATTTTATTTTCTCCTCTCCTTTCTTTCTTCCTATATTCTCTCACTCCTCCCTTCTGTTCTTCCTTCAAAACTAATTTAGTGCTTTTCCAGTTTGGGGGCATTTTACATTTGGTGAATTAACCATTTAATTCCTCCAATTCTTTCTTCTTGTCAACCTTTGACCATTTTCCTGTTAACCCTTGCATTGGAAGAAACTGGATGATGAGATTAATTGCTGACTGAGGTTATTATCACTGGATTCATGTTTCCCATGTTCTCTCCAGCCTTTCTCCCCTTTGAAGGAGGGGAGACAACTTAGATAACTGAAAGTGGAGTATATTTTTGTGACCTCTAGGGAAGAGGAGAAAGGAAGGGACATGGAAGAGAGAAGATATGATTAAGCCAATGTAAACATTGTTAAAAAATTTATTTGCAATTTTTTTTGTTCATTTGTTAAGTAACATCATTCCTTAAATATAAAAGCAATCTTACAGGATTATGCAATAGTGTCTCACACAGAAATGACTCCAAAGCTCTCCTGGAAAGGTTGCCCCTTCTGGATTTCATGACCTTTCTTAAGGGTAAGAAGACACTGCCAAAGAGGCCTCTGACCACAGGATCATTTGATCATTACTAACTGTGCAGGAATATTTACAACAGTAAGACTGTGAAGTTGTGGCGTCTAGAGGGGAAGGGGCAGAAGTGTGCAGAGGTGTGGGGAATGGTGACAATGGAGGCACTGCCCATCTTCCCATGACTCTCTGAAACAGGCATGATGCAGATTGGTTTAGGGGCATGAAGGTGGGTCTGAGCAGGAGGACATGAGGAGAGGAGGGATGGCAGAATTTTATCTGGAGCCTTTCACATGGAAGGAAGTTTTGTGTGGTAGCTCTGGTGTATTAAAATAAAACATCAATTGTATGAGTGTAATAGACATTCTAGTTCTTCAGCAGCTGGGGATCTGTCACCTTATTTCCTAATGAATTCATGTGTTTTTCCGTAAGTTGTTTTCACCTGCTACCATTACAGACTGGTCCAGACCTGCTTATCCTTTTGTTTCCCACAGCCTATTTCAGTGCAAGGCCTTATTTCCATGAGACTCTGGGAGAACAGCATGCATTCTGGGCAGGGTGGGACACAGTGAAGGGATGGAAGGTGGTCTGGCTGGGAAGTCAAGAGATGGATTCCAGGTTTGAGGATAGATTGCAGCTGGATGCATTGATGGCATAAGGCCAGAAAGTAGAAGGTGCTCACTGTGTTTGGGTCACAGGGGATGCCTTCTGAAGGAGCCCTCTGCACAGGACTGTGTTAACAAATCATCTGCCCTTGATGCTCAAGTTTGTTCCTCCAACCTAGAAACTTTTAAACACTGGTGTAGTTTCTCCATGTTGGGAAGGCTTAGGGGTTGGGAACTTGGCACAGGACCCAGTTACTCATCCTCTTTTATGCCTCTTGGGATTCTACAGAAAAGCATTTTCTGCTCTCTTCTCTTGGCTAAGGGCTCAGGAGAATTTCCTCAAGGTGTCTTGAAACCTGCACTCTCCAGTTCCTTGGCAAGCAAACAACAGCTTACCCTACTGCCTACTTGCCTCTTTTTCCTTTTCCCCTTGGTAATAAATTTGAGGGATCTAAGAATGCCAGAACAGGAATTCTCCAGGCCCAGTAAATAAGAACCATTCTGTCAATTTCTATATTTTCTTATATAGAAATCATACTCTTTTAACATCTACAACCTCTTCTACCAGGAGCTGTCTCTGATAATCACCTTGGTTCAAGGAGCATGAGTGATTTTTAGATGGTGAACGTTCAGTCAATGTATGATTTATGCCAGGAGAAGTGGGATAGTACCCTTTTTGGAAGGGCTACAAAGCCAAATTATTTACATTCTGAAAATGGGGATGCATGAGAGGACCCACAAAGAGGACGTTCACCTATGAATCAGCCAGTATCTGATCTAACAGCTCTGGTTACATAACATTCTGGTTACATAACATTTCAAGCTTTTGGTTACAAAACATTTCGAGCTTTTCTTTAATTACTTAGTCTTTGTCTTGTCTTTCTTATTGTTAGTACAGACATAAGAGAATTTCCACGGAAAATCCCACTTCAGACTCTACTCCTTGTTGAACTGATTTGTTATTCTTAATATATTTATTCAGCTGCAATCCCTAGTGTCCTTCCAGAGACTGATTAAAAGGCTTTTCTAATATACCAGAAAGACTAAGGGTCTTTACCACTTCGTGTGCTATTACTCAAATTTCTTAAAATCATCTGAGGAAAAGTTAATGATTTTAGGAGGAGTAGTATTTTTTCAATGTAGATAAATAATATTTATTTCATAATAATAAATGATTCTGATGGCACTATTTCCACCCACAGAAGTCATTCTGGTTCTGTCTCCATGTCTATATACACAATGATCGCCCTTCTGGGAGGAGGAAAAGTTCCTTATGGAGAGCTCAACCCCAGCCCTTGAACCTTAAGGGTGTGTATATTCTGAGGTCTTCGAGCATCTCCCCAATAATGTGGAGATCTAGCAGAAACCCATTTACCTGCTGTAATGCTATCTGGCTCCACAAAGCAACATTTCATTGCTTTGCAATAAAAAATTAATTAAAATAAAACCATAGGTGGATTCACAAAGAAACTGTGTAAGCATCTGTAAATATAGGTTAATTTTTGAATTATAAGTAATATATTAAACCACTATTTCTAGTTTCATTAACTTTATGTATTAAGTAAGATCCCCACAATATTAAGTAAGAAAATTACTGACTCTCGACTTCTCACTACCTGTTCTCTTGTTTCTCTTCTCCATGTCTGTCCGCTATGCCATTATCTCTACCCTCATGAGAGTAGTACAAGTGCTCAGAATAAGAACTAAACTCCCAGGCTTCATGTATACCAACAAAAGAGGTCATGAGGGATCCCAAAGCACTCCAACACCCACTTTCTCTGACCTGCTTTCTCCCACCAAGAAGTGTCAAAGGAGAACCCTATGTTTTCAGAGTAAAATGCCATCTCCTCCATGAGGGGATAAAAGTGATGCCAAGGTACTAAGTCCATAGCCATGTCTCTCTGGGCCTATGATGCTCCATTGAGGGAGTTCAAGTGGGTGAATTGTCCACAAAGCAAGACTCAGCTTTCTCAGATCACCTCAAATCTATCAATAGGGATGATGAATGGGCCTCAGGAGCTTGAGTAAGTTTTTGCTTATTCAGTTTTGCTCCACGACAAGAGGTCATCAGGGAGCCCAGTCACCACCTCGCCTAATTTTGACACTCACTGTTTCACCAACACTATCTGCCTTGAATCCGTAAGAACTAACCTCATTATGTCCTCTGCCCCCATTTATGTCAGTCACCTAAATAGCCACAGAATTCCAAACTATCTCTCATTCCCCTTCTTCTAATTTCCATAAGTCTAACTTCCATATATATCCTATTTGCTTCTTTTTAGCTCAGATTCCAGTTCAGAAATGAGCATTCTCTTCACCATCGCACACTCAGCAAAATCTGATTCCCCTGAAACCTTCTCATGCAGTGGCTGTTTACTTTTTCTTGCTGCTCTGTGAATATAGGTAAGTCTCTTCTCCTTGTTTTAGTTTCCAGGCCATTCTCCTCACTTCCTCCCACCACAAAGGAAGTGGCTCCAAATTTCATGTCATCAGATCTTAATACGATATCTCACTGCTGCAGTCATACCTACATCAAAGTTAAACTCCCCCTTTCCAATGATTTTAGTTCCTCTCTCTTGTTTCAAAGCCAGTCTTGGTTTGAACCTTGGTTATTTTTTATATGCCCAGAGTTGAAGTCTCAAACTTCATGAAACTGAAACTTAACTTTTCATCCTTCCCCCTAAACCTGTTCTATACAGCCTTTCTCTTCTCATTTGCTTTCTTTTTTCATATGATGCATCTGATCATTTAGGAAATCATATTAACCTGTAAAGCATCTGTACAAAGTCCTTCAGTTAACTGGCCTGCTTTCTGTCCAGCTACCAACTCACACTTTGAACTGGCAACTCAGTTTCACACTTCCATTCCAGGCTCCTTCTAGGTATATTCTGTATTTCAGCTTCCTCCACTCTGTTGTATCCCTGCAGACACTCTCACTCCATTTATAGTACACATAAATAACCATAGTGTATTGACACCCACTTCTCCCACCCTTCCTTACTCCATTCTCTTCATCCATTAGGGATTTATGTCATTCTTATATATTGACTGTCATTTCAACAGGAAGGAGAGTAAGGAGTAGACAAACAGGTATTTGTCTGTTCATTCTATTCTCTTTTACCAGAAGCCCTATATTAATCAATAAGTCCTCTTCTATGTCTAAAATCCTTCAATTTTTAATTTTATCCATAATTTACAAAATAATAATATAAGTAGATTTAGCTTTTAATATGTACCTTAGCCTTTACTAACCTCTGTTTCATAACAGAAGCTATTGTCTAAGATTATTTTGGGAAAATTAGTGTTTGTGTTCTACCTTAGGACACAATGGGTGATATAAACATCGGTCTAAAGAGTCCTGAATCTTAGAAAGTGGTTCTTTGACAATATCTGACATTACAAACAGCCTTTAAGAACTGGAGTTTTTATAATATTGTCCTTTCATCCTTTGATTCAGACACTTGTTTGTAAGAAAAACTTTAGTCACTGGATTTGAATTACTGAAAAAAAATCCAACAATCTTTGCCTCATGATGTTTAATAACCTGCTTAAGTTTGTCAGTATTCTGTACAAATTGAGCAAATGTATGAGTAATAAAGAAAAGAAAAAATTGAAAGTAGGAGGGTATATTTATGAGTAATCTATTATATAGGAGTCATGCCTAGAATGAATAAGAAGAGTTAAAGAACGATTCCTAAATAGAATAAGAAGATGTAGGCTTCTCTCACATGGAAGCGATAAACTTGAATAAAATATTTAAATCTTCACATAACAGAATGAGAATTTAGGCATCTGAATAATTCCAATATCAAAGAACAAATTTAGTGGAATTAAATAGGTTTTCATAACAGAAAATTTTTAGAAGTATTAGTAGAAGGAGATGTAGGAAGTACACCCTTACTTCGATGAATTAAGGGAAATTGCTGTTTCAACATAAAAATAAAGCTGGCTCTAAGAATCTTCTTTAGGGGGCTGTTATTGATGTCCCTCCTAGGAAAACTCAAGTGTCACTGATACCTTAGAAATATCATTAGTGAACATTTTATTATTTTGAGTTAAGAGGTTTTTTAGGTTCTTAAAGACAAGAAAAAGTTATCTATTATATCTCTACTGATTTTTAAAACAATTAAGTTGTACAGCATGTTCTCTAATTCTGAAAAAAGTAATATAATAGGACAATTACAATTTAGTTTTCAATTCATCATCTTTCAAAACCGTGGACTTTTGGTATATATCTTTGCACTCATTTTCCTTCCCTTTGACTTTTGTCTCTATAAGCTCTGTTCCTGAAGAGGCATTTTCACCAGGTAGATGACACTTCCTCAAAAGAATTAAGATGATTAAGGCTGGAACAAAGCTTGATCCTCTTAGTGCTGCCGGCAATCCGAGGTAGATGTATCTATTTTTTTAAAAGTTAAAACATATTAAATATTACATAGTGTGGTTAGTGCAAACTAAATTTGTATATCTTTGTATTTTATTCTGATAAAAACAGCAGCTGATGGTTTTGCATGCTGATCTTATATAAGCAACTTTGCTAAACTCTCTTATTAATTTCAGTATTTGTTAAAATATTTTATGTTTTTTTAATTTTCCCACTGAGAAAATCCAAATTTATTTTCATCTTTTCTAATGTTTTATTATTGTTGTTATAACTAACTAGTTTTTCATTGAGTAGGATCTTCACCTCAAAATGAATACTGGTAGTGATAGCAGTTTTATTCTAGTATTTAGTAAGAATGCTTCCAAAGAATCATCATGAATTATAATATATACTCTTGTGAGAGTTTCTTTAGATGACCTTGATCAGATTAAGGAAGTTATTTTCTATTGTGAGCTTGCTCAAAGTTTTAATCATGAATGTGCATAATATAACCAAATAACTTTTCTGCTTGTAGTCGGAAGAATATGCAAAGTTTTCTACCTTTATTGTGTTAATAGCATCTATTACACCAATAGATTTTCTGATATTGACCTATCCTTGCATGCTTAAAATAAACTGTAATTTTTATACATTACTAGATTCAATTTATCAATTTTTATGTAGAATTTTTGCATGTATAAGATTAGCCTACAAATTTTTTTCTTGTACTGAACTTGTCCAGTGTGATTATTAAGATAGTACTAGCTTTGTGAAATGAATTACAAAATTTTCCCTTTTTCTGTTTCTGAGAATAACTTGCATAATTTACAAATGAATCATTGGTTCATTGTAGGTTTTTTCAGACTTTCCTGAAAAATATCTGAACTTGGTACCTTGGGAGATGAGCACTTTTGAAAGTTTTACATTTTTAAGTAACTATAAAAATATTCATGTTTCTATAGATTTATAATAAAATCTGGTAATATATAATTAATTGTCTAGAAAAATATCTATTTAATATGTTTCTAAATTGTTATATCTAAAATCCCTATGTAAGTGTTATAATATCTGTACTTATATTAGCTTTTTCATCCTTAATGATGTTTTATTTGTGCCTCCTCTCTTTATTTGCCTTTCCACAGTATTGTTATTAGTAATATCTTTGCACCTTTACAAAAACATAGCTCTTTACTTTCTTATTCCCTCTATGGTATATAGTCTATTTATTAATTTCTTCATCTATTTTTATCTTTCTACTTCTAAAATTTTCTTTTATTATGAAACAGTACTAGGATTCAGAAAAAAATGGACACCAGTGATTGGATTTAAGCCTATGGTAATCCAGTATAACCACATTTAACTTAACTACTCTACTTGTAAATGCTCTATTTGCAAATAAGGTCACATTGTGAAGTTCTGAGTGAATATCACATTTTGAGGAACACTAAATCCTGTAAAAGGTGTTTTACCTCATTAATTGGATTAAAGCATTGAATCTGAATTTAGTCGCTTGACTTAGAAGTACCTTATTCTTCCTTGGAAGCTGATATCAGAAACCACTGCTCATTTTGAGACATAGAGCCTGTGAATTCAGCTTTGTTTACTCCTTTATGTTTCTGTTTAATTTCTGAAAAACCAGATGTTTAGGATGATATTTATATTGTCTTTTAATCAAGAAAAGTCCCTTTTGAATTTTAAAAATATATTGTTTCAATTATTCTTATTTGAGATAGGAAATATATCAATATGTAAATTTTTGAGTCATTTATCAGGTCGTTCTATGTCATTTGTACATATTTCATTGTTCTTTTTCTAAATTCTGAGTTCATTAATTTTCAGCCTTTTATGTGTAAATGTATATATGTATATATTTTTATACATATTATGTTTTAAATGTATAAATATATACATCTTTATATACATATGTGTATATAAACATATATACCTATGTGTATATAAACATATATACCTATGTGTATATACATGTGAATATATGTTGCATATGTATATTTACATATGTAATATAGCTATACATATGTAAATATACATTTATATACATATGTAAATAAATATGTATATATGTACTTATATGTATATATTATATACATATTTATATACATATATTTGTACATATGCAAATATATACATATGTGTATATATATTTATACATTTAAAGCTCTAAAAATCCCTTTGATTACTGGTTGGCTTAGCTTCATCCCACAAGTTTTCTTATTCAGTGCTTTCATTGACATACAGTTCTAATTATTTATGTTTACTATAATTTATTCTTTTAACCATGAGTAATTTAAGACTGCATTCTTTTCCACTTTTCAAACATTTGGGGTTTGGGAATTTTTTATTATAGACTTTCATCTCCATTGCATTGTGAACAGAAAACAGGATTTATGTGGTATCAATACTTTTTTTTAACTTTTTAGTGGCATAGGTGCTCGTATTTTGGTTAACAATTATCCATGTATTCATGTAGAAATAGATATAGATGTATTATAGATTCATACAGATTATATATGTTTATACAGAATATACATTTATCTGTATATTCAATTACTCTTGTACAATTTGAAGTTGAAATATTCTATATTATCACTCATTTTTGTCTGTATTTAATATTCATTTGTGGGACAAGTATATTGAAATTTTCCATTCTGTAGATTTATTCTTATAATTTTATAAATTTTTGTTTTGTATATTTGAGGTTATGTTGATAGATTTACATAGCTTCATAATTTTTCTATATTTTTATAGTGTTTTCCTTTTATTATTAAGTAATATCTCTGGTTAACCCTATTAATTTTTTCCCTTTAACTTACTTATATTTTGTTGAAATCATTAATATAACTACAGAAGTTGATTTAGTATGTGTCTGGTAGATCTTTTCAAAACCTTATCTTCAATCATTTTATATTTTTGATCTATCTATCTCTTACAAACAACATTTAGTTCAAATTTTGAAAAGTCCAATATAAAAATTACTATCTTTTAACCAGCAAGTTTAACCAATTTGCAAAACCACTTAGGCTTATTTTTTAACTTATTTGTGTGGGGTTTTTTCTTATGAATTACCACTACTGCATTTTCTCCCCTTCTATTGGTTGGAATAAATCTAATTAATCATTTTCACATTTTTAGGAAAATGTAAAGGTAATCAGAAGTTTGTTCTCAAGAACTGTAAAAGAGTCTAAGATTTTACTTCATTTGTAAGCTAACAGGCTAGCCTGCCACAGTTTCAAGGATGCTAACAGAAGATACAAGACTCATAGGTCAGGGACAAAGGACTTTTTTTACTCACAACACAGCAGTCAGCACAAGCTTCATGTTCAAGTTGATTTTCCTTACCCTCCAAGTCCCAAAGTGGTGAGACAGAGGGAGAACCCAGGTAAACATTGTACACACAGTGAATTTGGGCTGCAGTTAGAAAGTCCTGAGTTTAGGAAATCCCAATCTTTCTTTTAAATGGGCTTCAAAAAAATCTGCCCAAACTTTGCCCCAAAGGGAGACATTTTCTTATCATCATGGACAACAAGCTACCTGCCCTCTGTCCTTGAGAGAGACACTATTTATATCTTCCAAGGTCATTTACTGTTCCAACATCCTTGAAAATATAGTCCAGAAAAAATGCTCTCAGTGTCCCTGCTAACAAGAAAAGCAGAAATGTAGGGATCCATGGAGAATTGTCTACCAACAATATTTACCCTTATTTCTAGAATATCTTGGCTTCTGGTAGATTTTTCTCATGGATACACCATTTCATTGACCAGTCTAATTGGTCTGACTAACAGAGAATGGAGCCAAGTCCGTTTAATGTGTCTTAAGCACCATTTAATTCAGGAGACTATCAACAAGAATCCAAGTAGCAGGATGAGGCCAACCCTCAATAGTGACCCTTGGGGTTCCTCAACTGTGGTAGAAATCCACCGCATACATAGCATGTAGCTGAGCTTCCCTCAGCATCACTCCTGGGGAGCTCTGGGGGAAAGGGGAATAGATGCAGAGATGAATCTCCTGCGTCTGCTCTCCCCATACTTCTTGATATGTGTCCTTTTGCTGATCAAGACCAATATCTTAGAATGCTTTAAACAATGGTAAATTGTTTTATATTGAATGAAGTAGCTTTATTATTGCCCCATCAAGAGAAGTTAATTCAAATTTAAACAAAACTCAAATTTCCGAATGAAAAAGAACATGAAAATAGAAATAACAAAGAGTTTTATTCAAAATTAGATTTGTATTTACCAAAGAGAAGGCATTAGGAGACATGAAGAAGATTGTTTCAGCAAAATGTAAAGAGGGAGAAAATATATGATTTTGGAGACCAGAGACTGGTGGTGAGAGGAAGTGAGGCTTCAGACTCGTGAGATGATGAAATCATGCAGGATAAAATGAGAGCCTTTAGAGAGCAATATAAATTGGATAGGTATCAGTGTACAACCATTACCTTCAATATTGTGTTGACTGCTAAGAATTTAACGAACAACACTTTGAAAGCCAAGGTTAGGGAAGCCATGTATGCTTATATTTACCAAGCACTTGAGAAATAATGGGAAAATACAATTCTAGTATGCAAATAAGGAATGGAGATATAACATCAGTATCTCTGCTGGAAATAACCACAAAAGTATTCTTTTCACTTGACAAAGAAAAAGTTACGTGTGAATGGTGCTGCGTTATGCACAGTCTATGCTTATAAAACAATTTTAAACAAATTATTATCTTTACCTGAAGGTGGTGGAATCATATATCCTGCATGCCCCTGACTCACCACATTTCAAAGTTCCCCAGTGTAAACATGTGGAATCCATTAAAGCGCCAAAATATATAGGTGCAGGAATGCCAGCTACAATTGACAGGGAAAGAAAAATCTATCAACAAGAATTAAGATACTTGATTTATTTGGAAATATTTCAATTTTCTTTATTTGTACGGCAAAGTTTATCAAAACATAAATCTAATGGTCTAAATTTTATTTTTAGAAATGATGAGTTACTTTTACTGTAAAGTTTCTAAATTATTAAAAGATAAGTAATCTTATGGTCAAATGCAACATAATTATTAGTAGAGTAAAACATTGAATTAAAGATTCTGAACTTTATATATTTTCTTAAATGTTTTGGGCCAGTTATATGTACATTTTATTTGGGCAGAGCATTTTCTTTCATTTTATTTTCAAATCTTCAAACAAAGAATAGTGTAATTAAGGTCAGACAGGGCCTTTTCAAGTAAAAGAGATTCTCTATCTCTTTGTGTGCTGCATTCTCATATTTATAACGTGCTTTTTACATACAGAAGGGACATTTGCTAGACTGCTTTTCTGAAATAATATTACCTTGTTTATCTAGTATTTAATATTGTTCTGCACATGGACACAGGAAGGGGAACATCACACACCAGGGCCTGTTGTGGGGTGGGGGAAGGGGGGAGGGATAGCATTAGGAGATTCACCTAATGTTAAATGATGAGTTAATGGGTGCAGCACACCAACATGGCACATGTATACATATGTAACAAACCTGCACGTTGTGCACATGTACCCTAAAACTTAAAGTGTAATAAAAAATAATAATAATAATATTGTTCTGATAGGATGTGGGAAAAAATAACTATTTTTACCAAATACTCTTGTGCAAAATGTATGTAATCCCACACCAAGGGACTTCTCTTCAGATTTCATACACCTGAAAAGTAAATAAGTTTGTAAATAAAAGAAAAATAAAGATTTAAAACTATCATATTGTCTTGAAAAGGCCAGTTGTAAGCTAGTCACACATAATGAACATTCAAAATTTTACTTTCATGCTCACTTATTGGTTATTCAGGGCTTTATTATCCAGCTGGCAGCCTACACAGGAGCCCATTTCTGGTCACTGGCACTTTACTCATCACTTTTTCTTATTAATACCTATTTTATTGGTCAGGCGCAGTGGCTCACCCCTGTAATCCCAGCACACTGGGAGGCCAAGGCAGACGGATCACCTGAGGTCAGGAGCTCGAGACCAGCCTGGTCAACATGGTGAAACCCTGTCTCTACTAAAAATACAAAAAATTAGCTGGGTGTGGTGGTGGGTGCCTGTAATCCCAGCTACCTGGGAGGCTGAGGCAGGAGAATCACTTGAACCTGGGAGGCAGAGGTTGCAATGAGCTGAAATTGCGCCACTGCACTCCAGCCTGGGTGATAGAGCTACACTCCATCTCAAAAAAAAAAAATTGTTTTTAATAACACAGAAACTAGATACACTAAAAATCTGCAGTAAGAATAACAATAAATAAATTTTATATAGTTCTTACTAAGATTAGAAAAGAACAAGAATACTCACTATCACAACTACAGTTAAATAAATCTTGGAGGTTTTAATTTATGCTATAAGAGAATTTTAGAAGTCTCAGATGTGTAAGGTTTGGAAGTGAAAAGACAAAACTTGTCATATTTGCACATTGAAAAACCTACATAGAAAACCTAACAAAATCAACAAATTATGAGAACAAATAAGAAAGGATGCTGTATAAAAAGTAAATTTTTAAAAACAGCAGCATTCCTCTAAACCAGCAATAACCAACTAGAAAATATAAGAGAACAGTACCACACATATACATATATACCTATCTCTACTTATGCGTAGAGATGATAGAGATAAATATGGACACACACACACACACACACACACACACACACACACAGACCTATCTGTCCAAAATAGTGCAATAATTTATAAGGGAGGGGTAGAGCAAGGAGCTAAATAGAAGTCTCCACCAATCATCCCTCCTGAAGGAACACCAAATTTAACAACTATCTACATACAAAAAAAAACCAAAAAAAACCTTTGTAAGAATGAAAAATCAGGTGAGCACTCACAATACCTGGTTTTAACTTCATATCACAGAAAGAGGCACTGAAGAGAGCAGGAAAAATGGTCTTGAATTGCCAACACCAGCCCTCCCATCCCCCAGCAGTGGCCACATGGCATGGAGAAGGAATCTGAGCACTTGGGAGAGGGAGAATGCAGTGATTCTGAGACTTTATTAAATCCTGTGCTGCCCTGTCACAGTGGAAAGCAAAACCAAGCTAAACTCAGCTGATTCTTACCCATGGAGGGAGCATTTAGACTAGCTATCACCAGAAAGTAATCACCCAGCCCCACAGTTAGAACTTGAGTTCCAGCAAGCCTCGCCACCATGGGCAAACGTGCTCTCCCTAAATAAACTTGAAAGGCAGTCTAGGTTGCAAGGACTACAACTCCTAGGCAAGTTCTAGTGCTGAGCTGGGCTCAGAGCCAATGGACTTGGGAGTCACTTCCCTACTGAGACACCAGCCAGGGAAGCTAAGGAAGTGCTTGTGCCACCCTTCACCCAAGCCCAGGCAGCACAGCTTGTGGCTCCAAAAGAGATTCCTTCCTTCTACTTGAGGAGAGGGGAGAAATGAGTAAAGAGGACTTTGTCTTGCATCTGTGATACCAGCTCAGCCACAGTAGGATAGGGCACTGGTAAGGGTCATGAGGTGCCCATTCCAGGCCCTAGCTCCTGGCTGGCATTTCTAGACATACCCTGGATCAGAAGGGAACCTGCTGTCTTGAAGAGAAGGACTCAGTACTGGCAGGATACATCACATGCTGGCTAAAGAGCCCTTGGGGCCTGAATAACCAACAGCTATACGCAGGTAGTATGTTATGGGCCCCAGGTGAGACTCAGGTGTGCTGTATTGAGATGAGACTCAGCACATTCAGAGCTGTGGCAGCTGTGGTGAGAGACTCTCTGTTTGAGAAAAGCACAGGCACAGGAAGCAAAGGGAATTCTGTCTTGCATCTTAGGTAACAGCTCAGCCACAATGGGGTAGAGCAGCGGTTCCCAAACATTTTGCACCAGGGACTGGTTTCATGGAACACAATTTTTCCACTGACCAGGCAGGAGTTGGGGATGATTTTGGATGAAAATATTCCACCTCAGATCATCAGGCATTAGTTAGATTCCCATAAGGAGTGAGCAGCCTAGATCCCTCACATGTGCAGTTCACAATAGGGTTCACGCTCCTATGAGAATCTAATGCTACAGCTGATCTGACAGGAGGCAGAACTCAGGGGGTAATGCTCGCTGCTCCCTCCTGCTGTGAGGCCAGATTCCTACCAGGCCAGGGTCTGGTAATATTCTGTGGCCCAGTGTGGGTAGGGACCCCAGGGGTAGAGCACCAAGCATGTTTTTGCAGTTCCAGATTCTGGGCCTTGGGTCTTGGATGGCATTTCTGAACCTGCCCTCCTGGGCCAGAGGAGAGCTAACTGCCCTGAAGGGTGAGTCCTGGCGTAGCAGCATTCACACAGGCTGGCTAAAGAACTCTTGTGCCTTAAGTAAACGTCAGTGGTGGCCTGGCAGTATTCCCTGTGGGCCTGTGGTGGTGGTGGTGGCCATGGGGTGGGGCTCCTCTGACTTTGGAAAGGGGAGAGAAGAGTAAAAAGGTGTTTCTCATAGTCTGAGTGCCACCTCAGCCACACTAGCATAGAGCATAAGGTAGATTTGTATGATTTTTTACCCATCCCAGGCTCCTGGATGGCATCTCTGGACCTTCCTGGGGACTGGGAAAACTCACAGCTCTGAAGGGAAAGACAAAAACATGGCTGGATTACCACTGGATGATTGTAGAGTTGGGTCTTGAACAAACATAGGTGGCAGCCAGGTAGAGGTAACAGTGGGCCTTGGGTGAGACTAGTGCTGTGCTGGATTCCAATCTAACCCAGCACAGTCCCAGTGGTGGTGGCCACAGGGGTGCATCACCCTACCCCCACTTCTGGGCAACTTAGCACAGAGAGACTCCACTTGTTTGGAAGAAATTAAGGCAAAAGAACAAGAATCTCTGCCTGGTAATCCAGAGAATTCTTTTGGATCTTATCCAAGACCTCCAAAGTGGTAACTCTGTGAGTCTACATGAACCACAGCATTATTGGGCTTGCGGGCCCAAGTCCTTTTGAATACCTGGAAAGCCTGCTCAAGAAGGATGGCACAAACAAACCCAGACTGTGAAGACTACAATAAATGCCTAACTCTTCAATGCCCAGACATCAACAAACATTGACAAGCATAAAGAACATACAGGAAAACATGACCTCACCAAAGGAACTAAACAAGGCAGCAGGGACCAATCCTGGAGAAAGAGAGATATGTGACTTTTCAGATGGAGAATTCAAAATGGCTATTTTGAGGAAACTCAAAGAAATTCAAGATAATACAGAGAAAAAATGCAGAACACTATTAGATGAATTTTACAAAGAGGTTGACATAAATAAAAAGAATCAAGCAGAAATTCTACAGTTAAAAAAATGCAATGACATACTAAAGAATGCCTCAGAATCTCTTAATAGCAGAATTTATCAAGCAGAAGAGAGATTTAGTGAGCTTGAAGATAGGCTGTTTGAAAATACACAGTAAGGGATACAAAAGAAAAAAAGAATAAAAAAAAGTGAAGTGCACCTACACGATCTACAAAATAGTCTCTAAAGGGCAAATCTAAGAGCTATTTGCCTTAAAGAAAAGGTAGAGAAAGAGATAAGAGTAGAAAGATTATTCAAAGGGATAATAGCAGAGAACTTCCCAAACCTAGAGAAAGGTATTGATTCCAAGTGCAAGAAGGTTATAGAATACCAAGCAGATTTAACCCAAAGATTACCTCAAGGAATTCAATAAACCCCGCAAGGTCATGTATAAATAAACAATTCTAAAAGCAGCAAGAGAAACGAAGTGACTAACATACAATGGAGCGCCAATACAACTGGCAGCAGACTTTTCGGTGGAAACCTTACAGGCCAAGAGAGAGTGGCATGACATACTTAAAGTGCTGAAGGAAAAAAACTTTTACCTTTATATCTGGTGAAAATATCCTCCAAACATAAAGAAGAAATAAAGATTTTCCCAGACAAGCAAACACTGAGGGATTTCATCAATACCAGCCCATGCTATAAGAAATGCTAAAGGGAGTACTTCAATCAGAAAGGAAAGGATGTTGATGAGCAATGAGAATTCATCTGAAGGTACAAAGATCACTGGAAATAGTAAGTAAGCAAAAAAATGCAGAATATTATAACACTGTAACTGTGATGTATAAACTACTCTTAACTAGGAAGACTAAAAGATGAACCAATCAAAAATATTAACAACTTTTCAAGACACAGACAGTAAAATAAAATGGAAATAGAAATAACAAAATGTTAAAAATTAGGAGGACAAAGTTAAAATGTAGAGTTTTTTTTTTAGTTTTCTTTTTGCTTATTAGTTTCTTTATGCAAGCAATTTTAACATATTATCACCTAAAAAAATGGGCTATAAGATAGCATTTGCAAGCCTCATGGTAACCTCAAATCAAAAAACATACAATGGATACACAAAAAATAAAAAAGCAAGAAATTAAAGCATACCACTAGAGATAATCACCTTCACTGAAAGGAAGAAAAAAAGGAAGAGAAAACCAGAAAACAAATAACAAAATGGCAGCAGTAAGACCTTTCTTACGAATAAGATTATTTAATGTAAATAGACTAAGCTCTCCAATACAATGACATAAAGTAGCTGAATGGATTTAAAAAAATACCCAATAATCTGTTGTCTACTAGAAACATATGTCACTCATAAAGACAGACACAGAAAATAAAGGGATGAAAAAGATATTCCATGCCAATAGAAACCAAAAAAGAGCAGGAGTAGCATTACTTATATCAGACAAAATAGATTTTAAGAAAAAAACTGTAAGAAGAGACGAAGAAGATCATTATATAAGGATAAAAGGATTAATTAAGCAAGAGGACATAAAAGTTATAAATATGTATTCACCCAACATTGAAGCACCCAGATATATAAAGCAAATATTATTATAGCTAAAGAGAGAGATAGAGCCTAATACAATAATAGCTGAAGAATTCACACCTCACTTTCAGCATTGGACAGATCTTCCAGACCAAAAAAAAAAATAAATAAATAAACAAAGAAACATTGGATTTCATCCAAATTATAAACCAAATGAACCTAATAAATACTTACAGAACATTTTATCCAATGGCTACAGAATACAAATATGAATCCAGCACATGGATCATTCTCAAGGATAGACCATATGTTAGCTCACAAACCAAGTCTTAAAACATCCAAAAAAAATTGAAATAATATCAAGTATCTTCTCTGACCATAAGGAAATAAAACTACAAATCAATAACAAGAGGAAATTTGAAAACTATACAAACACGTGGAAATTGAGCAATATGCTCCTGAATGACCAGTGGGTCAATGAGAAAATTAAGAAGAAAATTTAAAAATTTCTTAAAACAAATAATAACAGAAACACAACATACCAAAACTCATGGGATACAGTGAAAGCAGTACTAAGAAGGAAGTTTATAACTATAAATGCCTACATCAAAAAAGAAGAAAAACTTCAAATAAACAACCCAATGGGCCAGGCGTGGTGGCTCACACCTGTAATCCCAGCACTTTGGGAGGCTGAGGTGGGTGGATCACAAGGTCAGGAGATCAAGACCATCTTGGCCAACATGGTGAAATCCCGTCTCTACTAAAAATACAAAAATTAGCTGGGTGTGGTGGTGTGAGACTGTAGTCCCAACTTCTCAGGAGGCTGAGGCAGAAGAATTGCTTAAAACCAGGAGGCAGAGGTTGCAGTGAGCCAAGATCGCGCCACTGCACTCTAACTTGAGCGACAGAGTGAGACTCCGTCTCAAAAAAAAAAGAAAAGAAAAAAAACCAATAATGCATATTAAAGAATTAGAAAAGCAAGAGCAAACCAAACACAAAATTAGTAGAAGAAAAGAAATAATAAAGATCGGAGTAGAAATAAATGAAATTGAAATGAAGAAAACAATACAAAAGATCAACAAAACAAAAGAAATAGTTATTTGAAAAGAAAAACAAAACTGATGACCCTTTAGCCAAAATAACTAGGAAAAAAGAGAGAAGACTCAAATAAATAAAATCATATATGAAAAAGAAAACATTACAACTGATACCACAGACATCCAAAGGATTTTAAGACATTATTGTTAAACTATGTTAAACTCAAGGCTATTATGAACAACTATATGCCAATAACTTGGAAAACCTAGAAGAAATGGATGAAATCCTAGACACATACAACCCATCAAGATTAAACTATGAAGAAATCCAAAACCTGAACAGATCAATAAAAAGTAATGAGATTGAAGCTGTAATAAAGTCTCCAGCAAAGAAATGACCCAATGGCTTCACTGCCTAATTCTACCAAACATTTAAAAAGGAAATAATATCAATATACTCAAACTATTCTGAAAAACAGAAGAGGAGAGAAGCCTTCCAAACTCATTCTATGAGGCCAGTATTATCCTGATACCAAAACCAGAAAAAGACACATAAGAAAAAAAAAAAAAAGGAAAACTAAAGGCTAATATCACTGATGAATACTGATGCAAAAATCCTCAACAAAATACTATTAAACCAAATTCAACAACACATTAAGAAGATCATTCATCATGACCAAATGGGATTTATCCCAGAGATGCAAGAATAGTTCAACATATGCAAATCAATCTATATGATACATCATACCAAAAGAACAAACGAATAAAACCATATGATCATTTCAATTAATGTGGAAAAAACATTTGATAAGATTCAGCATCGCTTTATGGTAAAAAAAAAAACTCTCAAAAAACTGGGTATAAAAGGAACATGGCTCAACATAATAAAGGCCATATATGAGAGACCTATAGTAAGTATCATACTGAGTGGGGAAAAACTGAAAGCCCTTATTCTGTAATCTGGGACATAACAAGGATGCCCACTTTCACCATTGTTATTCAAGATACTGCTAGAAGTCTGAGCTAGAGCAATCAGACAAGAAATATAAACAAAGAGCATCCAAACTTGAAATTAAGAAGTCAAATTATCATTGTTCATAGATGATATGATCTTCTATTTTGAAAAGCCTAAAGACTCCACCAAAAAGCCATTCAAAATGATAAACAAATTCAGTAAAGTTGCAGGATACAAAATCAACATAAAAAATCAGTAGTGTTTGTATATGCCAACAGCAAACAGTCTAAAAAAAAGTAATTCTATTTACAATAGCTACAAATGCAATAAAATCACTAAGAATTACCCTAAAGAAGTGAAAGATCTCTACAATAAAAACTGTAAAACATTGGTGCAAGAAATTGAAGAGGATACAAATAAATGAAAATATATTATATGCTCATAAATTGAAAGAAACAATATTGCTAAAACCAAACAAAGGAATCTGCAATCTACAGATTTGATGCTATTTCTATCAATAAACCAATGACATTCCCCACAGAAATAGAAAAGGTAATCCTAATATGGAACCACAAAAGATCCAGGATAGCCAAAGTTATCCAAAGCAAAAAGAACAAAACTGGAGGAATCACATTACTTGACTTCAATTTATATCACAGACCTATAGTAACCAAAACAGCATGGTACTGGCATAAAAACAGACACATAGACCAATGGAGCAGAATAGAGAACTCTGAAAAAAAATCCATTCATCTATGGTGAACTCATTTTTGACAAAGATGCCAAGAATGTACATTGGGGAAAAGACAGTCTCTTCAATAAATGGTGCAGGGAAAATGGAATTTCCATAAGCAGAAGAGTGAAACTAGACCCATATTTCTTGCCATATTCAAAAATCAATCAAAATCGATGAAAGACTTAAATCTAAGACCTCCAACTAACAAACTACTGCAAGAAAACATTCAGGAAACTCTCCAGGACATTGGACTGAACAAAGATTTCTTGAGTAATACACCACAGGCACAGATAACTAATGAAAAAAAAATGGATAAATGGGATCACATCAAGTTAAGAAGCTTCTGCACAGCAAAGGAAACAACAAGATGAAGAGACAACTCACAGAATGAGAGAAATTATTTGCAAGCTACCCATCTGACAAGGGATTAATAACCAGAATATGTAAGGAGCTCAAACAACTCTATAGAAAAAAAATCTAATAATCCAATTAACAAATGAGCAAAATTTGAGACATTTCTCAGAAGAATAAATACAAATGGCAATTTTATGAAAAGGTGCTCAGCATCAATGATCAAGAGAGGAATGCAAATCAAAACTGCAATGAGATATCATCTCACCCCAGCTAAAATGACTTTTATACAAAAACAGGCAATAACAAATACTGGTGAGTATGTAGAGTAAAGGGAACCCTCCTACACTGTTGGTGGGAATGTAAATAAGTACAACTACTATGCAGAACAGTTTGGAGGTTCCTCAAAAAACTCAAAATAGAGCTACCATATGATCCAGCAATCCCACTTCTAGGTATTAATATATACCCAAAAGAAAGGAAGTCAGTGTATCGAAGAGATATCTGCACTCCCATGTTTATTGCAGCACTATTCACAATAGTCAAGATTTGGAAGCAACCTAAGTGTCCAGCAATAGATGAATGGATAAAGAAAATGTGGTACATATACAGGATGGAGTAATATTCAGCCATAAAAAAAAGAATGAGGGGGAGGAGCCAAGATGGCCAAATAGGAACAGCTCCGGTCCACAGCTCCCAGTGTGAGCGATGCAGAAGACGGGTGATTTCTGCATTTCCATCTGAGGTACCGGGTTTATCTCACTAGGGAGTGCCAGACAGTGGGCGCAGGCCAATACTGATGGGAGACTTTAACACCCCACTGTCAACATTAGACAGATCAATGAGACAGAAAGTTAACAAGGATACCCAGGAATTGAACTCAGCTCTGCACCAAGCGAACCTAATAGACATCTACAGAATTCTCCACCCCAAATCAACAGAATATACATTTTTTTCAGCACCACACCACACCTATTCCAAAATTGACCACATACTGGGAAGTAAAACTCTCCTCAGCAAATGTAAAAGAACAGAAATTATAACAAACTATCTCTCAGACCACAGTGCAATCAAACTAGAACTCAGGATTAAGAATCTCACTCAAAACCGCTCAACTACATGGAAACTGAACAACCTGCTCCTGAATGACTACTGGGTACATAACGAAATGAAGGCAGAAATAAAGATGTTCTTTGAAACCAACGAGAACAAAGACACAACATACCAGAATCTCTGGGACGCATTCAAAGCAGTGTGTAGAGGGAAATTTATAGCACTAAATGCCCACAAGAGAAAGCAGGAAAGATCCAAAATTGACACCCTAACATCACAATTAAAAGAACTAGAAAAGCAAGAGCAAACACATTCAAAAGCTAGCAGAAGGCAAGAAATAACTAAAATCAGAGCAGAACTGAAGGAAATAGAGACATAAAAAACCCTTCAAAAAATTAATGAATCCAGGAGCTGGTTTTTTGAAAGGATCAACAAAATTGATAGACCACTAGCAAGACTAATAAAGAAAAAAAGAGAGAAGAATCAAATAGACACAATAAAAAATGATAAAGGGGATATCACCACCGATCCCACAGAAATACAAACTACCATCAGAGAATACTACAAACACCTCTACACAAATAAAACTAGAAAATCTAGAAGAAATGGATACATTCCTTGACACATACACTCTCCCAAGACTAAACAAGGAAGAAGTTGAATCTCTGAATAGACCAATAACAGGAGCTGAAATTGTGGCAATAATCAATAGTTTACCAACAAAAAAGAGTCCAGGACCAGATGGATTCACAGCCGAATTCTACCAGAGGTACAAGGAGGAACTGGTACCATTCCTTCTGAAACTATTCCAATCAATAGAAAAAGAGGGAATCCTCCCTAACTCATTTTATGAGGCCAGCATCATTCTGATACCAAAGCCGGGCAGAGACACAACCAAAAAAGAGAATTTTAGACCAATATCCTTGATGAACATTGATGCAAAAATCCTCAATAAAATACTGGCAAACCGAATCCAGCAGCACATCAAAAAGCTTATCCACCATGATCAAGTGGGCTTCATCCCTGGGATGCAAGGCTGGTTCAATATACGCAAATCAATAAATGTAATCCAGCATATAAACAGAGCCAAAGACAAAAACCACATGATTATCTCAATAGATGCAGAAAAAGCCTTTGACAAAATGCACCAATCCTTCATGCTAAAAACTCTCAATAAATTAGGTATTGATGGGACGTATTTCAAAATAATAAGAGCTGTCTATGACAGACCCACAGCCAATATCATACTGAATGGGCAAAAACTGGAAGCATTCCCTTTGAAAACTGGCACAAGACAGGGATGCCCTCTCTCACCACTCCTATTCAATATAGTGTCGGAAGTTCTGGCCAGGGCAATCAGGCAGGAGAAGGAAATAAAAGGTATTCAATTAGGAAAAGAGGAAGTCAAATTGTCCCTGTTTGCAGATGACATGATTGTTTATCTAGAAAACCCCATTGTCTCAGCCCAAAATCTCCTTAAGCTGATAAGCAACTTCAGCAAAGTCTCAGGATACAAAATCAATGTACAAAAATCACAAGCATTCTTATACACCAACAACAGACAAACAGAGAGCCAAATCATGAGTGAACTCCCATTCACAATTGCTTCAAAGAGAATAAAATACCTAGGAATCCAACTTACAAGGGATGTGAAGGACCTCTTTGAGGAGAACTACAAACCACTGCTCAAGGAAATAAAAGAGGATACAAACAAATGGAAGAACATTCCATGCTCATGGGTAGGAAGAATCAATATCGTGAAAATGGCCATACTGCCCAAGGTAATTTACAGATTCAATGCCATCCCCATCAAGCTACCAATGACTTTCTTCACAGAATTGGAAAAAACTACTTTAAAGTTCATATGGAACCAAAAAAGAGCCCGCATCGCCAAGTCAATCCTAAGCCAAAAGAACAAAGCTGGAGGCATCACACTACCTGACTTCAAACTATACTACAAGGCTACAGTAACCAAAACAGCACGGTACTGGTACCAAAACAGAGATATAGATCAATGGAACAGAACAGAGCCCTCAGAAATAACGCCGCATACCTACAACTATCTGATCTTTGACAAACCTGAGAAAAACAAGCAATGGGGAAAGGATTCCCTATTTAATAAATGGTGCTGGGAAAACTGGCTAGCCATATGTAGAAAGCTGAAACTGGATCCCTTCCTTACACCTTATACAAAAATCAATTCAAGATGGATTAAAGATTTAAACATTAGACTTAAAACCATAAAAACCCTAGAAGAAAACCTAGGCATTACCATTCAGGACATAGGTGTGGGCAAGGACTTCATGTCCAAAACACCAAAAGCAATGGCAACAAAAGCCAAAATTGACAAATGGGATCTAATTAAACTAAAGAGCTTCTGCACAGCAAAAGAAACTACCATCAGAGTGAACAGGCAACCTACAAAATGGGAGAAAATTTTCACAACCTACTCATCTGACAAAGGGCTAATATCCAGAATCTACAATGAACTCAAACAAATTTACAAGAAAAAAACAAACAACCCCATCAAAAAGTGGGCAAAGGACATGAACAGACACTTCTCAAAAGAAGACATTTATGCAGCCAAAAAACACATGAAAAATTGCTCATCATCACTGGCCATCAGAGAAATGCAAATCAAAACCACTATGAGATATCATCTCACACCAGTTAGAATGGCAATCATTAAAAAGTCAGGAAACAACAGGTGCTGGAGAGGATGTGGAGAAATAGGAACACTTTTACACTGTTGGTGGGACTGTAAACTAGTTCAACCATTGTGGAAGTCAGTGTGGCGATTCCTCAGGGATCTAGAACTAGAAATACCATTTGACCCAGCCATCCCATTACTGGGTATATACCCAAACGACTATAAATCATGCTGCTATAAAGACACATGCACACGTATGTTTATTGCGGCTCTATTCACAATAGCAAAGACTTGGAACCAACCCAAATGTTCAACAATGATAGACTGGATTAAGAAAATGTGGCACATATACACCATGGAATACTATGCAGCCATAAAAAATGATGAGTTCATGTCCTTTGTAGGGACATGGATGAAACTGGAAACCATCATTCTCAGTAAACTATCGCAAGAACAAAAAACCAAACACCGCATATTCTCACTCATAGGTGGGAATTGAACAATGAGATCACATGGACACAGGAAGGGGAATATCACACTCTGGGGACTGTGGTGGGGTGGGGGGAGGGGGGAGGGATAGCATTGGGAGATATACCTAATGCTAGATGACGAGTTAGTGGGTGCAGCGCACCAGCATGGCACATGTATACATATGTAACTAACCTGCACAATGTGCACATGTACCCTAAAACTTAAAGTATAATAAAAAAAAAAAAAAAAAAAGAATGAGACCCTTTCATTTGCAACAACATGAATGGAACTGGAGGTCATAACGTTAAGTAAAGTAGGGCAGGCACCAAAAGACAAACTTTGCATGTCCTCACTTACTTGTGGGAGCTAAAAATGAGAACAGGCTGGGCACGATAGCTCATGCCTGTAATCCCAGCACTTTGGGAGGCCAAAGCAGATGGATCATCTGAGATCAGGACTTCAAGACCAGCCGGGCCAACATAATAAAACACTGTTTCTACTAAAAATACAAAAATTAGTGGGTGTGGTGGTGCATGCCTGTAGTCCCCGCTACTCAGGAGGCTGAAGCAGGAGGATCGCTTGAGCCAGGGAGGCGGAGGTTGCAGTGAGCCAAGATTGTGCCACTGCACTCCAGCCTGGACAACAGAATGAGACTCCATCTGAGAAAAAAAAGAAAAAATGAAAGCAATTGAACTCATGGAGATAGAGAGCAGAAGGGTTGTTACCAGAGGCTGGAAAGGGTAGCCTGGGTGTGGTGGGGAAGTAGAGATAGTTAATAGGTACGAAAAAATGGAAAGAATGAATTAAACCTACTATTTGATAGTGTATTAGAGTGACTATAGTGGAAAATAATTTACTCGTACATTTTAAAATAACTAAAAGAGTATAAATGAATTGCTTGTAACACAAAGGATAAATGCTTGAGGGAATGGATACCCCATCTACCCTAATATGGTTATTACACACTGCATGCCTGTATCAGAATATCTCACATAACCCATAAATATATACACCTACTATATACCCATAAAAATTTAAAATTAAAAAAACTATATTTATATATGATTAATTTTTTAAATCTAATTTTTACTTCTGATTTATTTTATGTATAATTTTAATTATATGCTATGTAATTATAATCTAGATATAAAATTTATATTTGTATATGGGGAAATGATACACATATATACATATACATACAAAATACCATGTACAATCACATTGATAATCACAATTATTTACAAGCAATACAAATATAAATTTAAATATATTTAAAATCAATACAAATATAAATCAGTTTAAAATCATATACATATTCATATCTCTATATATTTGCAATCACAAATATTTACATGTAGATGGATATATATGTATATTGTACATTTGTGATGGTAATGGTACCATTCTGTGTGTGTGTGTGTGTGTGTGTGTGTGTGTGTGTGTGTGTATGGCATCACTAGAAATATATTTGGTCTTTGTCCCTAGCTTCTGACACGTGTCCTTGGAGTTCTTAGAATTCCCTTGGAACATCCTGAGTGATAGGAATGTATTTTGTCATTCTTAAGGAGATTGTTTTGATCACACCTGAGTCTATAGTAATGAGACGACAGGGTGGCCTCCCAGACTGATGTTGGGACTGGTCACCAGAAAGACCAAGTTATTAGAAGATTGGAATTCTCAGCCCCACACTCAGACCTCCAGGAGAATGGAGTGGGATGTGTGTGCTGAAGATCAAGCTCCCTAAAAGCTCTTGAACTAGGAGATTTGATGAGCTTCTGAGTTGGTAAACATATCCACATGCCAGGAGAGTGGCACACCCCAACTCCACCCTGGTTTCCATTTGTGTCTTTTATAATAACCTTCATAATAAACCAGTAAATGTAAGAAAAGTGTTTCTTCCCTGAGTTCTGTGAACCATTCTAGAAAATGGAGGCATCAACCTTAATGCATCGTTTGTCAGTCAGAAGCCCAGGGTAAAAAAAAAAAAAAGCAGCCCAGGGTGTCTGGACTTGTGATTTTGTGATTGACATCTAAAGTGGGGGCAGTCTTGTAGGACTGAACCGTTTAACTTTTGCCATCTGATGCAAAGTCTATGCAGATAGCACTAGAATTGCATGGAACAGTAGAACACCCAGTTGGTGTTGCAGAATTGAACAGTGTAGGAAAATAATACACACATCTGGCTATCAGAAGTGTTCTGTTTGAATAGAGAAACCGTTTGTTTTTCTCAGTGTGTGTGTGTGTATGTATGCGTGTGTGTATGTATCTGTGTGGCTGTATGTACATATGTGTGTGTGCATATAGAGACATATATATGTATATATGTGCATATATAATTTATATATTTATATATAGTACTTAAGAAGCAATCTAATGGCACATCACCTTTATGAAAAATTTTTAAGAACTTTAAGGATACAAAGGAATATTTAAGCAAATGACAGGATATTACATGTTCAAAAATATTTGATGTCAGATTTTCTCCAAGTAATCTATGGAATCTACACAAACTCAGTCAAAATTCTTATGAAGATATAAAGATCCACAGACAGCAAAATAAGTTTGAGAAAGAAAGAATAAAGGAAAAGTGAAGATGGCAGGTGGGTGAGGCAAAGTTACCATATGAGATATTAACATTTGCAAGGCCAAAGTAATTAAATCAAGGTGACGCTGGTATGGGAACAGGCAAATAAATCTGTGGAGCAGAATAAGGATGAAAAATAGACTCACTAATTATAAAAACTTGAGATGGTGGCACCACAAATCAAAGGAAAAAGGACGTATTATATACACTATGATTTTGGAAAACAACTTTATTATTCGGAGAAAAATAACACTGGATATCTATGTCCCTTAAACCACATATAAAAATAGATTTGAGATGGCTTAAAAAACTATGCAAAAGGTAAAGCGGGAAAGCCAGGGGGGAATAAAATTTAAGGGAATATTTTTATAAGTTAGAAATGTGGAAGCAATTTTAAAAATGTGACTTCTCTTCCAAATACACAAACACTAAGGTAAGAAACTTGTTAGATTTTAGTACAACAAAATTTAGGATTTCATTTCATAAATGGCACTGTAAAAGTTAAAAGAAAGAAGACAGACTAAGTGAAGATAATTGTATCATATAAACAGTATTACATTAATATCTGTAATTTACATAGTAATCATCAAATTCATCAAGAAAAACATAGGATGCAGGAAATATAATGAGTAAAGTGGGTAAAATAAATTGAATAAGCATCATGAATAACTTTTAGCTACAAAGTTATTTGAAGAGATGCTTAAGCTCAGTGTATCAGGACATCACATATTGACACATCAATGAGCTATCATTAGTATTTTACACCCATTGGATTAGTCAACATCACAAAGTTAGATAATTCTAACTCTCATGCAGTGATGATATAAAAATTACTCTAAATAGGACTGGTGAATTTATCTATGCATCTACCTTATGAATCGGAACAAGACTTAACACCACACCACCATTGTTGTGAATATAAAAACAGATGCACACAAAAAATTCTAATATTTTACAAAGGAAATACATATTTAAGACATCTATCTGTCATACTTAAGTGAGCAGCTATGGTGACTGGAAGTAGGGAATTGAATAGAAATAAATAAATAAATGAAGTAAAATAAGAGAGAATCCTTGCACTGGCCTATGATGATAATGTGTTATGACTTGAGCATTGTGATTAACTGAACTCTACTTTAGAGCTCCAAAAGAAGAAGAAAAAGAGAGAAAAAATGCAAATTATGTTCAGGATTGTTTACTAGGCACAAAGACTGGTGTAGTTGAAAGAAGATTTATTTAATATACCTAAATTTGAAAACTGGCTCTGCAATTTCCTAGTTTTAGAAAGTCTTTCAGCATTGATGTCTCACAGTAGCCTTGTAAGAGAGCCAAGTATTTATTATTATGCCCATTATTATTAAAGAAAAATGGAGCTCAGAAAGATCAAGTGACCTTAGCGAGATGGGGGCTTCTGACAGCTTTGCACTGCTGTCCTATAGGTTGAACCCTAGGAAATGGCTGCTAGGCACCCACTCTTTACCTATCAAAATGGCCATTTTATACGGCCTACCCTAAGATATAAATGTGTCTCTTTTGTCACAAAATGAGAGGTCCACTCATTTAACTCTAAGAAATAAGGAAGAAAAGTAGCGAGGAATAGGAGTGAAATGCCAGCAGATGAACATGTGCATTGCTAACTTTAAAATTTTGTGAAATCCAACAATGCTTAATACAAAACCCTTAATAAATGGTACGTTAGAGCACTGAGTTCTTAGATACTGAGTCCTGAGTGACTTTCTTAGAACAAGCTACCTTAATAAATGACCCCAAAAAAATATAAATAAAGAAAATAATTTTGTACCTCAAGAGAACCATATATCCAGGTATGGCAGCCAAAGAATAAATGAAACTGCTCATCGCTGACAAGATTAGGAAGTACTGGAGCATCAAGGAACAGTCAGGTCCTTTGTCGCACAGCCCAAGAACTGCAGATGAATTTCCTGATGTTTGAATACAGCTGCAATTTTGGAACACCTGCCAAAAAATAACATATTATACTAAGAAGTAAAAATCTTGAACACAAATTTTAAACATTTTCTACACAGCCAGTTGGATCAAGATGGAGACTGCTTGTTCCCTTTACTCCATCTCCATTATGATGTCTCTCAAGATTACACCATATAACAAAACTGGAAGGGTGATTTCAGAAAAACGGTATATTTTTCTAAATATGAATAGTAAATTTGTAATAACTAATAAGTTACCCTAAAGACACACTTTTTTATTATTTTATTTATTTATTTATTTTTTTGAAACAGAGACTCACCCTGTCGCCCAGGCTGGAGTGCAGTGGTGCGATCTCGGCTCACTACAACCTCTGCCTCCCAGGTTCAAGTGATTCTCCTGCCCTAGCCTCTGGGGTAGCTGGGACTACAGGCGCCTGCCACCATTCCCAGCTACATTTTGTATTTTTAGCAGAGATGGATTTCACCATGTTGGCCAACTGGTCTCGAACTCCTGACCTCAGATGATCCACCGGTCTCTGCCTTCCAAAGTGCTGGGATTCCTAGGTGTGAGACACCGCGCCCAGCTAATACACTTTTTAAAACAGTGTTTTGATACAACACTACATTGGACAAACAAAATCTGTTTCAGAGTGCTCAACTGAAATATTTAGATGCTTACAAATAAAGCTTTGCTTCAAAGGAATAGTTTATTTCAGCAGGGCGCAGTGGCTTACGCCTGTAATCCCAGCACTTTGGGGGGCCAAGGCAGGCGGATCACAAGGTCAGGAGTTCGAGACCAGCCTGACCAACATGGTGAAATCCCGTCTCTACTAAAAATACAAAAATTACCCGGGCATGGTGGCATGTGCCTGTCATCCTAGCTACTCAGGAGGCTGAGGCAGGAGAATCGTTTATACCTGGGAGGTGGAGGTTGCAGTGAGCCGAGATCATGCCACTGCACTCCAGCTTAGGCGACAGAGTGAGACTCCATCTCAAAAAAAAGAAAAGAAAAGAAATAGTTTCTTTCAAAAAAAGAATTGTCAACCTTTTTTGAATTGTTACATGTTTCCAGGTCTTAATAAGAATCAAAATTTATAGTTTACTTTGATCACCAACCAACGTTATATTAATATTACAATTGATGTTATATTATATTGTGATATCTTAGAGGCAAGAGAACATTCCTAATTCTAAATTCTCAAAGAACTGTCAGAATGTGAAAAACACAGAAAGCACATCCATACATATACACAGAAAAATATATATATATGTGTGTATATATATATGTATATATATATAGCAAAGCAATTAGCTGGACAATTGAAATCAAAACCACCAACTTTATTTCAATGATAAAATTTTTTTAGTCCAGAGTATTTACAACCCAAATTATTTGAGTAATAATATAAACTTCTTGGAAATTTCAGATCACTGGTCAGATGCTATGGAGGTTTCACATAAGATCTGGGAAATAAAAGGTAATCAAGTGACCATCATAGAGTTATTTTTCCACATACAAAAAAAGTAATATGGTTTTGAGGAAACACTAATTTTACTTTTATTAAATATAGGCCCAGTTCATAGTTGGGAAGTACCAATGCAACTCAAAAAAGTTCTGTCAAATAGGATGTCTTACCATGTTTATTCCCGTTCCAATGGATGTCTCACAACCAGCAAGACAAGCTGACAGATATGACAAGCCATTGTTTCCACACACAGGATCCCATATTTTAGATGGACAGTTGCAATCCACATTGCAATCAGCAAAGATGTCATTTTCCACATATAAATCTTGTGGAATTCTGAAGTGATTTAAAATAATGCCATAGATATTAAAAGAGGATTCAATCCTTTTTTTCTTCTTTTCATCTCAATCCCCAGTTAGATTTCCTCTCCTCCCATGAATAGAAAGAGAAATTTTCCAGTCATCAATGTGTGACCTGTTTACTATAGCTTTGGTATAAAAGAGACCTGCTTTGATGACCACATAGCCACTCCTTCAATGATTTATCTCAGAAGAATATATAGGCAATAAACAAGCATTAATTGAGCACCTACCATGTGGAGTCATGTTTTCACATACTATTAGATCTCGAAAGATGAAGATGAACTAATCTCTGTGATTCATCCATTAGGTAGCAAATAGCAAGACAGGACTAGCATGAAGATAAAAATCTGAAAGTTCCATTTGTAATATAGATAATACATTTAGCTCCAGAAACATAGGTATTTGAATTAAAGAAGTGCATTCTACTAATATAAAAAGTGACCAGTGCTTGTAATATGATTGAAAGAGCACTTGCATAGCAGTTTAGAGACTGCATTCAGACTAGATCACAGTGCGACTTTCTACACATTCTGTCTGGGAATCAGCATCATTGGAGATGGAGGCAATCTTTAAAATTTATTCCAATTTTAAAATCCATTTCTATATTGATGTAGTTGAAGAGATTTGAAATGAACTGCTTTTATCATTAAATTTCTCTGAATCTCAATTTAATCTGTAAAGTGGAGATAATAATGCTTATCTTAGATGAAGCTCATGAGTCTCAAATCAAATAGCATATGTAAAATTATATTACTATTTTACATTTGAAATTATTTCAATCTAATAAACCTTGATAATTTTGAAAAAACATTTTAGGATGTTCTTTATTTCATTTTAACTGATAGCTTGATTGTCAAAATACGCCCTACAGGTGAATTCTTTTAATGTACATCACTATGGAAAACATTTCAGTAAAACCCAGATAACCTTTAAAATACAAAATATGAAATGATTCAATATTTTAGACATAGCAATATAAATGAAATATATGAATTATGTATTAATTAATTTATCATGTATTATGATTTAGTTATGCCAAACTTAAGCCCATTGGGGAAACATATAAAGGCCATTTTGACTGTATAATCAACTCTTAGTTTTACTCAGTTATGGGAGTATAAGATATATGGATAACATATTTTAATACAACCTGAAACTGTAGGTAGTTTCTTTCATAGGATAATGTCTACTCGGATATCACAAAGACAATCATGCACACACACCCACATGCACATACAATCATAAATTCACTCACCCTGTGATATGTTCCCAACCTCATTAATAAGCCTAGAGCTTGGATAGATTGGCTTGATTGACAGATGGAGGAAAGATACAGGAAAAGCATGGATTACTATCATTAACTCCAATAAGAAAATGATCTGATCGTGCATTGCCATTGTAAAAAATATCATATTAACCATTTGTTGAAAGATTCTCACATTCATTAGAAAACAACATACCCTTCATAAGAGGTATTTATTCCAACAACTGAAGAATTTTCACAAGTCATGAGAAAAGATAAAAAATAGAGAAGATACTCAAGTAAGGATAACCAACATCCTATGTGGGCAGCTTGTTTGACAGTAATCTTGAACTTCTTCATAATTAAACCACCAATTATATATCCAATACATATTGGAGGTAAGTTATAAATACCTATAAATGCAAATAAAATATTATTTACAAAATGACTTACCAAAGGAACAAATATGTTATCACTTTTATGTAATATGCCTTATATAAGTAACTATTTAGGTCCAACTCATAGTGAAGAAGAATGATTTAATTTTATCCCCACTTAGTTACACATTACCCACAGGGAGATTTTGAAATGCCCCCATAATGGGGAAGTATATTTTGGGAGACTCTTGTTATTATATTATCATTCATTTAACTCATTGCAGTAGCTTGTGAATTTCTTATAGGCAGAGATCATGATAAAAATCTCTTTTCTTAGGATCCAGGTAGAAGTGGCAAGTCAAAATTGGCCAGTAATTTATTCATTTATTACCCTCTATTCTGTGTAGTGAGAATATATATATACAATTTTTCAGTTACCTATCCTCACTTTGGTTGTGAAGAATTAGACTCCTCTCAAAGTGCTTTTTCTTTTCTTTTTTTAGAGACAGAATCTTGCTTTATTGCCCAGGCTGGAGTGCAGTGATATGATCATAGCTGACTGGAGCCTCAGCTTCCTGGGCTTAAGAGATGCTCCCACCTCAGCCCTCTAAGTAGCTGGGACTACAGGTGCACAACACCACACCTGGCTAATTTAAAAACAAAAATTGCAGAGACAAAGTCTTGCTATGTTGTCCAGGCTGGTCTTGAACTCCTGGCCTCAAGTGATCCTCACTCCTCAGCATCCCAAAGTGCTGGAATTAAAGGCATGAGCCACCACACCCAGTTCAAGGTACTTTAGAGAGTCACTTTGCTGAGCCTGTTGCTGTCAAGTGTATTTACATTTCATGTCTTGCTGCTACTGGCTCTTCCTCTCTGAACCCTTCCCAATAAGTGAAAAAAAAGAATAGAAAAAGGAGAAGATAGCCCTAGGTTCCATCTATACAATGTGAGCATCTGGCTCCCCGAATCATATTATTGAGAGAGCTTGTTAAAAATCCATTCCAGAGCCCCACGCCCTAGAGTCTGATTCAGTGTGTCTGAGGGGGAACCCCAGGTATTTGAAGCTTTCACAAGCACTTTAGGTAGTGTGGATACAAGTAGCCTGGGATATTGACTTTTAAAAACAGTGGAAAGATCCCAGGAAAAACCCAAGTTAGGCTAAAACCACTGAGGTTAGTGTGGTTGCAGGAAAAGCCGAATGTGTGTGGCTGCAGAGACACCTAAAACCACTAGGGGGACCAAAAAATTAAATTAGGAGGAACATAGAATCCTTGAACTGGAACCAAAAAGAGTAAAATTTGGTAGTAAAATGCACAATCCTATCTGAAAATATGTAATTTTTGCACTCCCAAATATTTGCATTCATATTATGAATTCACATTCTGACTTCAGAGAGAAGAAAATCAAGGTATTTCTGACCTCTTCCCTTCCCTACCCTTTCTTTCTTTCCTTCTTTCCTTCCTTCTTTCCTTCCTTCTTTCTTTCTTTCTTTCTCTTTCTTTCTTTCTTTCTTGAGATTAGAAGGAAGAAATCCACCAGAGTCAAAAAATATCCTAAAACACTTCAACTTAGGAGTTTGCTACACCCGCCATCACACTGTTCGTGGGGGGGAAAGTGTGCTAGTAAGGCAGAGAAAAACAAACATACCCATTAGAAAGATTGCATCTGAAGATGATATTCCATATTGCTGTTCTAGGTATTTAGGCATGAAGGAGATCATGTTAACGAATGCATTGAACTGTATCACACTTACAAGTATGAAAAGCATATAAATTGGATTGCAGGAAAGACTTTTCATGAAAGGTAGAAAATCTGAAATGAAAGAATGACAACTGTGTCAAACGAACTTGGCTTTGCATTTTGTGACTGGCTTTTCCTGAAACATCCACCTCCTCAACAAATTATGTTTTTTACTATTTTGTAATATGTATTGTTTGCTAATTCTTTTTTCCCCTTGAAAGCTGAAGTCATAGCAATGTTTTGGTGGCTTCTGGAAGTCAGTGATGTAGCTGACTGGGTAGGGATCAGAACACAACAGTTTTGCCCTCAATAAGTCACTGTTGAGTCTTAAAGATCAGTAAGCAAAACTACAAAGTGACCAAAATATTGTCTACGTCCACAGCATTTTATTACTAACCTTTTGTTCTTCTATTAATATATTCTTTTTTCTACAGCTCATTAGAATGAAAGATGCTTGTTCTGTTCTGTAAAGTCTGGAGGAAAATCGAGTTGATAAAGAAGATTTCACACAAATATTTATTTTATCACTCCCTGAACATTTGAAATAAAGATGTGTGGGAATTAATGAGATATGAATGTTCTCAAGTATCCGGAATTTTTTTTTGCTTCTTCAGAACAACAGTTTCAGTGGTTCTGCCATTGGTTCTCAGCAAGATCTACCTGGAGATATTTTTTAAAATACCAACATCCAGGTCCCATCCTCAGAGATGCTGATTCATTTGGTACATTCTAAGGACTATGTAAATGATTTAATCAAAAATGATTCCTGTTAGAAAAAGCACAGAGCCAAATGTGTGGCCTGCCTCTAGTAATGTTTGGCCTGCTTCTAGTAATGTGTGGCCTGCCTCTAGTAATGTGTGGCCTGCTTCTAGTAAATGTTCTTGGTCACACTGCTACCATTCAGGCTCAAGTTCTCACTTTTAATTTCCTTTCACTTTTCCTGTCCACATGTTCTCTGTCTTGACTTTCTTATGCACAATCTTGGTTTGCTTAATAAACTGCTCACAATTCATTCTGGAACAAAATTTCAATAAATAAACAATTTAGAAGAGGAGGACACACAGATTAATGCAAGTAAATGAGTTATAATTGTAAAATTTATATTTATGAATAGGGTACCTGACAGGAGAGAGAGTTATCTGAAGATTTTTAAGTCACCCATGTTTGTTGACATCCCTGTCCTAATAGATGAGTTTCAGTAGCACAAGTTTCTTTTCTATGTCTTGCAACAAGCTAAGCTCTTTCCTAATTTTGAAAATGGAACTGATCTTGCAGACTGCAAGAGGTCTATCAGTCCATAACAATCCTTTAAGAAGAGTTTTTAATATCATCAGAATGATTCTGAGAATTTGCAAGATTCTGAGTTGGCTCCTAATGACCAAAGATGTATTAAATTATGCTCAATTATGATTTAAGAGAATTTACAATTGTTAAGAAAAATTCTATGCAAATTGACATTGTAACTTATGGGTGATGATAGAAACAACAATGACAACATAAAAGTACTAACACTAGTATCAGTATTAATAATAATGTGTGCTAGAATGTCTTTTACCTTCACACAACAATTCTATAGTAAGTACTATTATTATCCCCATTTGACAGAAAACTGAGACCCTCACCATCCGTCAAATAAACATTTTTAAGTTCCAATAGCCAGGCTGCACATCCACACTAATTAAATCTGACCTTTTGGGAATACTACAGAACTTTCAGGCATCAATCATTTTTAAAATTTCCTAGGTGATTCCAATGTGCAGCCAAGTTTGAGCATCAGTGCTCTTGAGTACTAAATACTTAGGCTATCTTAGTTTAGTTTCCCACAGAAAAACCTTCTGTAAATTATACTTTGAGCTTTTATTGAGGTTCTGTACCAAAAAAAATGTTACATGCAATTTACCCTTTCATTTGCTGGAAAACCACTATGTGGCTCAATATTACCTGTATCATGTATCTTATGATCATTTTTAAATTTTTTTACAATTTCTTCCTTGGAGAACTGCTTCTGTTTAAAAATTATTATTCTTCCCTCTACCAAGTATAGAGAGGTGGGTCACCGATCATGTTTTTTTTTTTCTTTCTGATTTAACTTCCAGGAAGCTCTTCGTTAAACTAACACACTGGTTACAAAACTATACTACCTATTAAGATTAGAGTATACTTTTTCCTACTTTTGTTCTTAGTTTAAATTTGCTTGTTCATTTTGTTTCAATTCAACCTATGTTCTCTGTAAAATCGGTTTTTTGAGCAAATGGGACCATATATATACGTGTGTATATATATATATATATATACACACACACGTATATATATACACACACACATATACACACACATATATGTGTATATATATACGTGTATATATATATACGTGTGTGTATATATATATACGTGTATATATATATATACGTGTGTGTATATATATACATGACCCTCTCTCTCCTCTCTCTCATATATATATGTGTGTGTGTACATATATATGTGTATATATGTGTGTAGATATATGTGTGTGTACATATATATGTGTATATATGTGTGTATATATATATGTGTGTGTACATATATATGTGTGTGTATATATATATGAAAGAGAGAGAGAGAGGAGAGTGCCAAGACTGACATAAAAGTTTACACAAATGCTGATCTGAAATATTTCAGCTTCCAAATTATAATATTTATTTTCAAGTAGTACCATAGGAAGAATCGGACTAGTTAGGTATTCTTGACTGGTGACTGTTGATGACAAATTGTCTCAACACAGCATAGCATATCATAGTGTTAGACTAAAATACAGACATATCTATATGAAATAAAAGGTCAATTTCATAGTATTTAGAATATGTATATTTGCCTTTAGTGATTCCATATTTTTCCTTCTTGACCTCTTCTTTTTGTTTGTCTTCATTTTCATTTTTAATGATGTCAGCATTAGTCTCTAGTCCTTCCTTTGGAAGTGTGTTGGGCAAAAAGAAAAAAGGAATGGCAGTGAGCACGTTAACTCCTGCACAAATCAGAAAGCCAAACCACCATGCACCGACCCAACGAGTGTCAGTGGGAGTTATGATCAGATCATCTGTAAAAAAATACACACACTGTTATTAGCTTAAGTCAGTATTTTCTGTATGAACTATAGAAAATTATTAAAATTAGAATTATCGGGTCCCAACCAACTATAAAATTGGCTTATAATTCAGACACTGATAAAATTTTTCTAATAATATGTGGTGTTGTAATATTGTCTAGTAATAAATTAGGCTGGTTATCTGTCTATCATGTAAGGGATTTAAAAGCAGGTATTAACTAAACAGCTACAAGTTCTATTTCATCATCAACAAATGATTGCTTAAAGTTCTATTTCATCATCAACAAATGATTGCTTAATTGAAATAAATTCAAACCTACATGCTTAAATTTTGTAAAACCAAGAAATATAGTTGAAGTGCACTAGAAATAGCATGTGATTCTGTGTCAGATTAGCATTTTATTTTGCACTACTGCTTTCTGGTTTGGAATATTTTAAAAGTTATTTAAATTCCTCCACTAGAGTTTCTCACTTTTAAAGTAGAGATCATTTATCAAATTGAAGGTCAAGTAAGGCCATGATTATATATGATAACATACCTGAGATGCTTTGTATAGTCTAGACACTGTACAAATAGATTTTATTGAATTACCTGTGTTCACAAATCCAGTGTCAACATAAACATTTGCACAGAATGATGCCAACAAAAGTCCAATCAAAGGACCAATAATAGCTCCTGTTTCTACAAGCCCTAAAAATAAATAAAAGTATAAGGTTATAGTACAGTTATATGCCCACATAAAGAGTTCTAGGTCTATGAAAAGCCTGAAGATTGAATATTTTTGCCTTGGATACTTTTGACTAGATACACAATTTATATGAAGTTAAGCTTGATGTACATATAAATGATGGTTGTTTCTGTAAATGTTGAAAAAGAAGCCTCATAATTTAAAGCCACTTTCCCTGGCCTCCAAATTCCCTTTCATGCTGGGTCACAGGTAGAGATTTGCTGTAACAGCACAGGCAGTCCCAGCTGGGATCATGCCATTGACTAGGTCGTGATATAACCAAGGTCCTGTTAATTCATCCCACAGGCATGTTTTGGGAGGAATTCTAAAGCAATACCATCTTATAGTGGATTTCTCATGGCACATTCCTCAAAAAAGTTTCACTCTCAGATCTGCAACTTGAAACTTCCTTCTGGCTATGTCCTCATTATTATTATATGATACAAGTCTTTGATTTTATCATGTTCTCCTTCCTTTACTTCCACAGTTTTATTTTCCATGTCCATCAGTCCTATCTGTCTTCACTTGAATTCTTATCCATTAAAATTTCATCATCAGCTGTCTCATCACTTGTCTACAATTCAGAACCTATGCTGAACCCTCCCTGATCTCTGAAAATCCAGACACGAGCTTCTTCAACTTTCTTCCTGTTCACTTCAAAATTTGGCTTTGCCTATTATCTCTGCCTTCTCCATGGTTCTTGGAGAACCCGCCCTATACACACCTAACTTCTTGGTTCCAACCCCTTCTATCTTCTCTAAGGTTTTGCTCTACCAAATACTCCCTCTCTTGTGCGCGTTCAATTTCCCCGTAGCCAATGATTCTACAAAATCTCAAATCCACCCTGCTTTCTCTCCTTTCACTATACTCTCTGCCTCTACTTCCTCACCTCTCACTCACTTTACTCAAATCCTTTTACATTCTCCTCCAAATACTCTCAGGTAGCCCCAGTGATCTCTTTGTCACTAATTTAGTGTCTTTTTTTGGTCTTCATCTTCCTAGCTTTCTAGGTTATTTGACATTGCTGGCCAACTCCTCTTTTTACATTTCTTCCTGAGAGTTTCATTAAACTATACATGTATTGTTTCATTGTGTTCTTATGACTATTCCTTCTTTGATTTTCCTTTCTCCTATTCTATTTACTAAGTAAAAGTCTTTCCCAGTATTTTATCCTAATATCTCTCAGTATATATATGTTCTTCCACAGCAACCTTATTTCTCCCTCTTGATTTCATTTATTACCTCTCCATTTTTTTTTTTTTGAGATGGAGTTTCACTCTTATTGCTCAGGCTGGAGTGCTCACTGCAACCTCCACCTCCCGGGTTCAAGTGATCCACCTCCCGGGTTCAAGTGATTCTCCTGTCTCAGCCTACTGAGTAGCTGGGATTATAGGCACATGCCACCACACCTGGCCAATTTTTGTACTTTTAGTAGAGATGGGGTTTTATCATATTGGACAGGCTGGTCTCGAACTCCTGAACTCAGATGATCTGCCTGCCTCAGCCTCCTGAGTAGCTGGGATTACAGGCGCATACCACCACACTCGGCTAATTTTTGTGTTTTTAGTAGAGACGGGGTTTCATCATATTGATCAGGCTGGTCTCGAACTCCTGACTGCAGATGATTTGTCCGCCTCAGCCTCCCAAAGTGCTGGGATTACAGGCATGAGCCACCACACCTGGTCAATTTTCCAACTTTTAACCTAGCTTTTATATTCTCTTCTAAACTCCAGAGCCATATGGAACTGTTTTCTTGGTGTAGAGCTATTTGATTTATAGTTATTTGGTTATGGATACACACATGAACACACACTATATATGTATATACATATATATACACACTACATATATATAGTACTAATAATTATGTAGTTCTTTATTTACTAACCTTGTATGGACCACATCATCCTCATTTTAATATGTATAGAGATTATCACAGCTACATTTACATATAATACACCATAGTATTTGTTGAATAAAGAAACAGATGTCATAGCAAGGTGTTTGTTAATTTATTGTAGGAGAGTGTTTGCATTCTTTTAATATAAGTTTGTGAAGGAAGTTAAAAGGACTGAATAGAAAATCACTGAAAAAGATTATTGCAAAATTAATGAGTTGCCAAAATGTGTGAAAAGTCACTTGGGTTAATGATCCCTCAATATTTTCATCCATCTGGATTATGTGTAATCATTTCCATCTTCTCTCACCCTCTTTGACTTTTTTAGTTTTTAAAAGATATGCCTACATACATTAATGGCAAAATGTCCCTATACTAAACGTTATGAGTTTATGACCAACTATTGATAGAATAACAAAAAATATAAGCAAGTCGTGCATAATAAATTAAGAATATTTCAGAGATTGGAAGGCAGCACAAGAAGGTGGGTCTTAAGTTGGCTATTGTTCCAGGTGACCTACATGGATTTTAAAATGGTAATTTCAAGAAACATAAACAAAAAGATGAAGACGTATTTGTGAAAAATATGAAGAAGCCTGACTATATGGAGAGATCATTAAGAAGAGAAACTGTATAGAAACTAAGTAAGTGAATGTCATGCAGAGCCATGAGTAATAAGTGGACAGATCAGATTTAATAAATGAGGAGCTTATATGTGTCATAAATATAGTAGAGAAGACATGATTAAAACAATGCTTGAGAAAAATTATATTGCAAGAATGTTTCTTAAAAACTGAGAAAATAAAATTCTGAAGAGAAAATAATAAAGAGAAACTACAGACAAAGTAATGAGAACCTCAACAAAAACAGAGGTAGTGAAAATAGCGAGAAAGGTTTTGAATGCACAGAACATTTTAGAGAAAACATTTGCAAATCTCTTAACAGATTGGATGTAGTGTAGTGCCAAGCAGATGAAAGGGTCACCTCCAGGGGCACTAGACTTGTGGTATTTCCAATAGTAGAAAGTAGATTTATTAACCAAGTAGCTCATTGTCATTTAGCATATCTCATCTCCATTCAACAAACTTTTATGGAAGGCCAACTGTGCCAAGATACTCTACTCATCATTGTGGAAATCACTAAGACTACAAAAATATAACTAATTTCTAACCTCAAGGAACATATTGCCCTGAAAAGAAGCTAAGGTAGATTTCCATACTTACCAATATATAAAGGAGAATTTTCAAATTTGGCAAAATCTTCTATATAGGAAATACCCAAAGGCAGGATGGGAGTTTCACCCATTCCACGTACAATATTGCCTACTAGGACGTACACCCACATTAATGATTTAACTTCCTTTGTACACTCTGCATTAAAAAAAAAAGACATGACATTAGTGCTTTGACGATAAAGTGTCAGTAATATTAATTCTATGTTTTCTGTAGGCATTTCACAGTTATATGACCATGGCCCCTTGTCAATGATTTATATTACTATTCCAGCAGTGACTTCTCAGGGCACCCCTAGTGCATTTTCTGACAGTGGACTTGAGTATGGACAAGTGTAAGTGATATGCTGGAGCCAGTCCCTACTGAGTTGGGAGAGATGAGTATACACACCTCCTCCCAACTCAGTGTTCAGTGACACCTCATTGGTAGTTTCATAGCAGTGTTACACCACAGAAATTGGCAAACATTAAAAATCAAAGAGATTCAGTTTCTCCACAACTCCTGGACTCATTCAGCTGCTACAAGTGCTTCCCCATTCCTACCCAACTTTGGGGAGACAAAAATATATTTCTCTAGAATTGGTACTATATTTATAAGATTTAAACAAAAGTTCGCTAAAGTGTGAATTCTCTACAGCTCTAATTATTTCATAGAAACTAAAAATATTTAATTGGGTAATCATCATAGGTTCTCTATAGAGCATGTTGTATACTGTAACCACCAAATAACTTTCAATACAGAAATCCACTCCAATCCTTGGAGCCGCAGCTGCTTAGTAGAGTAACAAAGACTAGACCAAAGGGAATAGAAACTGAGAAAGATAGGGAGATCTCTGAAGGATTCTGTAAATCTCTTTGCCATCTATGTTCTAAGCCAAAATAGCTGGTAAGCTGTGAGGAAGCTCTGTGGAGTCCCGTTTTCAGGGATCTGAAGGACAATGCACTCTCACCTCCTATAAATTTGCCAGGTGAGACTGTGAGGTCCTGACCACAGCTGGGTCCAGGAATTTCTTGTGAGTGCTATCTCTCCATTATTTCCAGTCGGAAAATAATAGTCTCTATTTCTAGGTATTCAGATTTGTTTGTGTGATGCACAAAGTGATTTGTGTCTAGAGATCACAGGCAAACTCTAGGCCTATTCTAGGGCAAAATTGAAAGCATCAATCCACCTTCCTGGAGATGTGCCAGAATGGGAAGGTTTTGCTATATCCACAATGAAGCCGACTAGCACCTGGGTCAGTCTTTGGCAATAGCCCGCTCAGGAAGAGAACACAGGCCACTATTAATGTCATTGTTTTCCTTTGTTTCCCCCATGGGGGTTCTTTGGCTTCTTCTGAGACAGACATTTTTCAAATTTTTGAAACTGTTTTGGTTTCCTGACTCAATGATGGTCATGAAATTCCCACCCTTGTGGACTACTGCAATTTCCACAAACATGAATCCAGAATAAAAATGTCCCCATAAAAATGTTGAGTCATCAGAGTCATCTCCAGACCAAGTATAACCAGAAGATTATACAAGTCTCTTAGCAGAAGGGACAGAAGGGGCAGAAGCCAGTACATTGGTGCCTAGGGCTACCAGAAGCTGAAAGAAGCACTGCTATTGTGTAGAATTTTAAAGCACTATCTCCAGTAGAGGGGGAAAAAAAAAGAGCAGAAAGACAAGTTCCTAAGTCAATAGAAAGGGAATAGAGTAATTCAGAACTATAGCGTACTTGCCTGTTTTCCCCGCTATTAAAGATCAGTGATAGAACACAAATCTCTTGAACTTTGTTTCTGTCTCTAGTTCCTATTTACATAATCATATACACCAAATCATCAGCATAAATCCATCCTTATAAGATGTTTTCCTCTGTGGGATGAACTTAACAGTGGTCCTTGGATAGATGTCTTTGACTCTTTTTTTTTTTGAGACAGAGTCTCACTCTGTTGCCCAGGCTGGAGTGCAATGGCGCAATCTTGGATCACTGCAACCTCTGCCACCTGGGTTTAAGCGATCCTCCAGCCTCGGCCTCCTGAGTAGCTGGGATTACAGGTGCCCGCTACCATGCTTGGCTAATTTTTGTATTTTTTAATAGAGGTGGGGTTTCACCATGTTGGCCAGGCTGGTCTCGAACTCCTGACCTCAGGTGATCCATCCGTCTCAGCCTCCCAAAGTGCTGGGATTACAGGCGTGAGCCACTGCACCCGGCCCTTTGACTCATTTTTAGATAACATGTTAATAAATAAACAAGGAACTCTCAATAAATACATTCAAATATAAGAAAAATAACATTCTTTATTATTAGCTATTCTTATTGCCCATTGTAACTCCTTTGGAAGTTCCTGGAGAGAGAACATATCTTTGTTTATTTATCTAACTCAATCAATATCTCATTCAAGCCCCTCAGCAGAAAGTGTTTAGTTATAAGTTCGCTGAACAAAAATCAATACAATGAAGTAGACAACCTGATGGATCCTGCGTTGGTCTTAAAATCTGGGTTCCATTTTCCATACACAAGAAACTGTTTGAGGACAAGTTGCCTGAAACTGAAACTGTAGATTCATATTCATATCTGTATAAACACAGGGAAAATGAGTTTATTTTAAGAAAGTAATGAGGACAATGTGGGCAATGTGCAGATTGTTACCTTCTGCTTCCCATACAACACAATATCCAAATCCAGTAAAAATGGCTTTTCATCCTTGGCATCCAAGTTATCATAAGTTAATATCATCAAAAAACTTGCCACTTTCTGTAAATGAACAATCTTTTTATACTTAGCTTTCAATAATCTGCCTGTGGATGATCTACCTTTAGATTATCAAATATCAACTTTCTTTGATTTTTAGGTTATCATTTCCTGGATATAATTATTATGAGATAAGGAACACAAACTTTAAAAAATGTGACATTCAATAATGCATAATTAAGAAGATAAATGCTTTGGAAGGAATAACAACAAAACAAGCCTTCAACTTGGCATTCTCTAAAGTTTGCTCAAAAGAAGCGAAACCTCCAGTTTCTGAGAAACCGTACAATAACTCCTCCATGCGTTTCATAAACCCCTAAAAAAACCAAAATATTTGTCCATCATAATGAGAGGCCTTAAGAGAATCTCAATCACCATGACACATAATGTAATGACTTTTTCTCTTCTCATAAGAACAAATGGATTAATAAACTATGACCATTTAATTTAAGCAAATTACCACAAGATCCACATGCTTTTCCTCAGAAAGTAAATTACATGCCGTAAGATGGGAAAAAAAGTATGTTCAAAGTATGTTCAGTGAAGTCTCTGTTTGTTAGAAATAATGCTGGATTGTTTTCTGTATTTCTATTAAATAAGGTAGTCAGAAGAAAACTTGCCCTTCTGAGTTCTACAAAAGCTAGAGTGTTATGCTTGGATGCCACTGATAGTCTTAATTTCTGTGCTATAGGATATAATAAAAAGGCTCAAAATACCTTCCCCTTAGAACAATTGCTCATTGATGCCCAAAGAGTTTGGCTGTGAACTATAGACAAAGGCTTCTGTCTCCATACTCACAATCCTATGAGACATGACAACCTCAAGGAAATAACACCTTTGGCAGGTGGTAGAAAGAAATGTATACAGTGGCTGAATATTACTTGACATTGTTTTGGATAGGCTAGGAAATAAAAGAAAAGGAAAGACTCTGCTTAGAAACTCTGATCCCTTCAAAAATACTTTAAAAGAGAAAATATGTTTTGTTAATTTATCCACTAAAAATCCAGTAACTCAAAGTCTATTCATTCCCAAAGCATCAGCAAAATGACGGTAAATAGATTTTCAAACAGAATGGGGAAAGGCATGATTCCACAAGGATAAAAAAAATAGGGAATTTTACAATAAAAGAGAGCTCAACAAGATTTTCAAAATGGAAAAGCAGGTAACTGAGTGGTCACTGAAATAAAAGATATGAGAAGTGCAACTCTAAGTGCCTGCAAGGAAGCAATGCTGCAAAGCCCAGGAACATTCAGGCAAGATACTTAAATGCAAAAGTGAGTATGATCCAAAACAATAAGAGTGCAAACATTTTGGTTTAAAGTTTGTTTAAGAAACATTCAACTCCCAGAGACATCCCCTGCCACTCCAGCTGAAAATGTTCATTGACTCCAGAGTCTGGAGAGGCACACTGAGCATAGAAAGGCAATACAAAAAAAATGGGGGTATTAAGTTAAAAAAATCTACATATCTACATATTAAACAGTGAGATTCCAACTTCCATTTGGCTGGTAGCTAAGCTTCTACCTCCCAAGGAACAGATTGAAGAATTCCTGTCTAGGATAACAGGTTATCTGCAATTCTGAGCCATGTGCGAAACAGCCAGTCCCTGCGTAATGACTCTACAAAGAAGTCCTCCTTTAACCAAGTCCTACACATATTTACAGAACTTCCAGCTGGCTTCTTGTTGTTGTTATTCCTCCCTCTTAAATGTGAATAGATAACAAACAACCACCAGATATATGAGAGAAGTCTGTAACAGTAAAGACAGTTACAAACAAATAAAAAAACGGTACACTTGGAGGAGCCAGAGACCAAGAAGAAAGATGAACAAAATTTAGATGGGAAGAGATAATGCATTCTTGAAAGAATAGTATGTTCCTTAAAAAGGGACATTCAAAGAATAAGAGCCCTTGAAAATTAAAAATGTGGTAGCATAAGCTAGAAAGCCATTCAAAGGCATGGAAAATAAAGTTAAATCTCCCAGAAAGTAACAAGAAGACAAGAGGACAAAAAAGTAGGGATAAAAGATGAGAAAAACATAAGGTTAATACAGGATGTCCAATATTCAAGTAATAGAGATCTAGAAAGAGAAAACAGTGTTATGAAAGAAGGTATAGGGGAGATATTATCAAAGAAATAACAAAAGTAACTTTTCCAAATGTCCAGATTGAAGGCTCCTGGCACAATGGAGGAGACAGATTTATACCAAGACAATTATCATGAATTTTGGACTTGGAGCTTAAAAGAAAATTCCAATAGTTTCCACTGAAAGAAAACTGATCACAGAGATTAGAACGGCATAGGATTCTGAATAATAACACTTGATTACAAGTGTTAGATAGAGCTAGAAAACATTGGGGGAAATGTCTTCAAAATCCCTAGGGAAAATATTTCCAATCTAGAATTTTATCCAAGCCAAAGTAACAATCAAATATGGGAGTAAAATAGGAGTATTTTCAGATATACAAAGTCTTACATTTTATATTTCTCTTGTATACTTTCTTGGAAAGCTACTAGATTATTTCCTTCACAAAAACAAGTGAAGAGGAAAGAGGAAAGCAGGAGACATGACATCCCAGAAAATGAATAACTGAATGTATGAAACAGGTAAAAAGCAAATTCTCAAGGATAATAATGAGAGAAAATTCCAAGGAAATAGCAATGCAGCAGGCCTAGAGAATTCCAAGTTCAGATTGCAGATGGAGAATTGAAAGTGATATGTGAGGAATCTCCAAGACAAAAATAATACACTGTGATATGGATAAGAATATTGAGGAGACATTTGCCCTACCAGTGGAGAATTTGGTGATGAATTCGTGAACAATACAAAGAAAGCTAACCATATGATATAACGAGGTAATTATTAAATCTAGGGAAAATAAAAAGTTATATAAGTAAAGAATGATAAGCGCATGGTTCAGTGGTAAAAAAGATTTACATAATTATACAAATGTAAATAGTAAAAATGATTTTATAGTAGGAATTCAATACATATTGTGTAACACTAATGTATAGACATATCTCAGAGACATTGCACGTTTGGTTCCAGATTGCCACAATAAAGTGAATAACACAATAAAGCAACTCACATGAATTTTTTTAATTTTCTAATGCATATAAAAGTTATGTTTGCACTATATTGTAGCCTATTAAGTGTGCAATAGCATTATGTCTGAAACACAATGTACACACAGTAATTGAAAATGTTTTATTGCTAAAAGATGCTAACAATCATCTGAGCCTTCAGCGAGTCATCATCTTCTGCTGGTAGAGGCTTTAGCCTCCACGCTGATGGCTGCTGGCTGATCAGGGTAGCGGCTGCTGAAGGTTGTGGGGGCTGTGGAAATTTCTTAAAATAAGACAGTGATGAAGTTTCCTGTGGCAATTGACTCTTCCTTTCACAAAAGTTTTTTCTGTAGCACATAATGCTGTTGTGTTGTTGTTGTTTGTTTTTGAGACGGAGTCTCGCTATGTCGCCCAGGCTGGAGTGCAAGTGGCACGATCTCGGCGCACTGCAAGCTCTGCCTCCCGGGTTCACGCCATTCTCCTGCCTCAGCCTCCTGAGTAGCTGGGACTACAGGTGCCAACCACCACGCCTGGCTCATTTTTTTGTGTTTTTAGTAGAGACGGGGTTTCACCGTGTTAGCCAGGATGGTCTTGATCTCCTGACCTCGTGATCCGCCCGCCTTGGCCTTTCAAAGTGCTAGGATTATAGGCGTGAGCCACCGCGCCCAGCCGCACATAATGCTGTTTGATAGCATTTTACCCACAGTAGAACTTCTTCCAAAATTGGAGTCAATCCTTGCAAGCCCTACTGCTGCCTTATCACCTAACTTTGTGTAATGTTCTAAAACATTAGTTGTCATTTCAACAGTTTTCACAGGCTCTTCATCAGTAGTAGATTCCATCACAGGAAGCCACATTATTTGCTTGTCCATAAACAGAAAGTCTTCATTTATTCAAGTTTTATTATGAGATTGCAGCAATTAAGTCACATCTTCAGGTTCCATCTTAAATTCTAGTTCTCTTTCTCTTTCCACATCTGCAGTGACTTCCTCCACTAAAGTCTTGTGACTTTGTTCACTGAAATCTTGAACCCCTCAGGGTTATCTAAGAGGATTTGAGTCAACTTTTCAAAATTCCTGTTAATGTTGAGATTTTGCCCTCCTCTCCTTTTCCTAGTGGAATGTAGAATAGTGAATTCTTTCGAGAAGGTTTTCAATTTATGTTACTTAGATCCATCAGAAGAATCACTATTTATAACAGCAATATCCTTACAAACTGTGTGTCTTACATAATAAGACTTGAAAGTCCAAGTTACTCCTGATTTGTGGCCACACAATGGATGTTGTGTTAGCAGGCATGAAAACAACATTCATCTCCATGTACATCTCCATCAGAGCTCCTGGGCAACTAGATGCATTGTCAATTAGCAGTAATATTTTGAAAAGACTTCTCCTCCCTATCTCTGAAAGTCCGAGATGGCATCTTCTTTCAAAAGAAGGCTGTTTCCACTTCGGGAGGCCGAGGCAGACAGATCACCTGAGGTCTGAAGTTTGAGACCAGCCTGACCAACATGGTGAAACTCCGTCACTACAAAAAATACAAAAATTAACTGGGCGTGGTGGTAGGTGCCTGTGATCCCAGCTACTTGGGAGGCTGAGGCAGGAGAATTGCTTCAACCCAGGAGTCAAAGGTTGCAGTGAGCTGAGATCACGCCACTGCACTCGAGCCTGAGCAACAGCATGAGACTCCATCTCAAAAAGAAGAAAGAAGAAGGAGAGGGAGAATGAGAAGGAGAAGAAGAAGGAGGAGGAGGAGGAAGAGGAGGAGGAGGAGAAGAAGAGGAGGAGGGAGGAGGAGAAGAAGAAGAGGAAGAAGAAGAGGAGGAGAAGAAGAAGAGGAAGAAGAAGAGGAGGAGGAGGAAGGAGAAGAAGAAGAAGGCTGTTTCATCCACATTGAAAATCTGTTATTTAGTGTAGCCACCTTCATCAATTAACTTAGCTAGATCTTCTGGATAACTTGCTGCAGCTTCTCCATCAGCACTTGCTGCTTCACCTTGCACTTTTATGTTATAAAGACAGCTTCTTTCCTTAAACCTCATGAACCCACCTCTCTTGGCTTAAAAATTTCCTTCTGCAGCTTCCTAATCTCTCTTAACTTTCGTAGAATAGAAGAGAGAGTCTTGCTCTTCTGGCTCAAGGGAATGTTGTGGCTGGCTTAATCTTCTGTTCAGACTACTCAAACTTTCTCCATCTCAGCAATAACACTGTTTCACTTTCTAATCATTTGTGTCTTCCTTGAAATAGCACTTTTTCCTTGTGTTCACAGCTTGGCTATTTGGTGCAAGTGGCTTAGCTTTGGGCCTATTCTGAATTTCAACTTGCCCTCCTCGCTGAGCTTAATGATTTCTAGCTTTTGATTTAAAGTGAGAAATGTGCAACTCTTTCTTTCACTTCAACACCTGAAGGCCACAATAGGGTTATTATAATAATTGGCCTAATTTCAATATTTTTGTATCTAGGGGAATAAGGGGGCCCAAGGAAAGGGCAAAAAATGGGGCAATGGCTGGTCAGTGGAGCAGTCAGAACACACACAACATTTGTTGATTACATTCACCATCTTAAGACCAGCACGGTGGCTCACACCTGTAATCCCAACATTTTGAGAGTCTGAGGCAGGCGCATTGCTTGAACCCAGGAGTTCAGGACCAGCCAGGGCAATATGGTGAAATCCTGTCTCTACCAAAAAAATATATATATATACAAAAATTAGCCAGGCATAGTGGCACATGCCTGTAGTTTCAGCCACTGGAGAGGCTGAAGTGAGAGGATCACCTGAGCCTGTGGAGGTCAAAGCTACAGTGAGTGAGATCGCACCACTACACCCCACCTTGGGCGTCACTGTATCTCTAAAAAGAAATACATAAATAAATAAATCACCATCTTAAATGGGCATAAGTTAGTGGCACATCAAAACAATTACATTAGTAATATCAATGATCACTAATCACAGATCGCCATAACAGATACAAAAATAATGCAAAAGTTTGAAATATTGCAATAATTATCAAATATGACCCAGACACAAAGTGAGCACATGCTGTTGGAAAAATGATTCTAATCTTCAACGTAGGGTTGCAATAAACCTTCAATTTGTGAGAAATGTAATATCTGCAAAGTGCAATAAAGTGAAATGCAGTAAAGCAGGGTATGCCAGGATTCAAAACTAATAGAATAACATTTAGTTAGAAATACAGAGGCAAGGCTTGGCCAGGTGGCTCATGCCTGTAATCCCGCACTTTGAGAGGCCGAGGTGGGCGGATTGCTTGAACCCAGGGGTTCCAGACCAGCCTGGCCAACTTGGGGAAACCCCATCTCTACTAAAAATACAAAAATTAACTGAGTGTAGTGGCATGCACCTATAATCCCAGCTACTCGGGAGGCTGAGGCAGGAGAATCACTTGACCCAGGAGGCAGAGGTTTCAGTGAACCGGGAGATGGCGCCACTGCACTCCAGCCTGGGCGACAGAGTGAGTGAGACTGTCTCAACAAAAATAAAAACAGAGGCCGAGGCGGGCGGGTCACGAGGTTAGGAGATCGAGACCATCCTGGCTAACACAGTGAAACCCCGTCTCTACTAAAAATGCAAAAAATTAGCCAGGCATGGTACCTGTAGTCCCAGCTACTCAGGAGGCTTGAGACAGGAGAGTTGCTTGAACCTGGGAGGTGGAGGTTGCAGTGACCCGAGATCACACCACTGCACTCCAGCCTAGGTGACAGAGCAAGACTGTCTCAAAAAAATAATAATAAATAATAAAAAAAAAAAACAGAAAAAAAAGAAAGAAATTGGTGGCAAATACAAGAAAGAGCTAAAAGTTATAAGCACTTGCCTCTGGAAAGCAGTAATAAGTGACAAGGGAGACCTTTTTGTCAATGTAAGCTTTTTTGTAATAGTTTTTATTTTTATGACTTTGTACATAGTTACTTTGGTAAAAATTAAAAGAAAAATCAGCCTTCAGACTGCTCTGTCTCTTGGTGATCTGCAATTAAGCAGAATCTCATTATTAATTAGAAGTATTTACATGGTCCTGAGAAGGGAATAATCCCAAGTTTCGGCTGGTCCTGAGAATCTTTTCACCAGACTCAACTCCACAAGAAAAGGTCCCAAATCCCCATTGTGTAAATTGACAAAACTGACTGCTTAAGTGGAAGTGAGGCAGCCAAGAGCACCAAATAGACAGATGGAACAGAATGTGCATCTTCCCCTTCCCATTACAGTGCCCTATGCTGTTGGAAAGCATTGCTCCTAGAGAGGAAAGTGCAACTTCATTTCCTGCAAGTGAAATTTGACCACCCAAAATTATCAGACTGGAGTACTTACTGGTTCATGAGGAAATGAGGTAGTGATTTTAAGAAACAGCCTAAGCCCATAACCACACATCCAATGCCAATCATTATAGGTCTATGCAGTTTGGTTCCAAAATAACTCACAAATATAATCAACAAAAGATTTCCTAGGAAAAAATTGAGAATAATCATTTTAAAAAGTATGAACAAAGTCTTAATTAAGAGCCTCACCCAATCATTTACATTCTAGCATTTACTGCATAACAACTATCTTAAATACTTGGATTTGTGCTAGGGTTGCATTAAATAATAAATGAATATAACACAATCCCTGCCCCGAAGAAGGGTTCTGTTTTGCAATGTAGACAGATACAGAAACAGATATCTCTGAAACACCAACATTTACAGAGGGGAGAAGAAGAGAAGCCGGTGAAAGGGACTAAAGAATGGTTCTGGGAAATTTGGAAGGCTCTATTTGTGACTATCTAGACTTGGGAAATGAGGTTCAAAAGAAGGTGTCAGCCTGCATGTGACCTCTGGCCTCTCTCTCAATGCCTACTCCACAGAACATTATCATGTTTTCCTATGCCCAGAAAGAGAAGCAAAAGTCAAATTTAGGTAGCTGAATGTTTTGTAACTCATTGTTTAAAAATATCTTCATTTTGGTCAACATGACCAAGACAGGGATCTATTTTTTTTCTACTTCTTTCCCTAGATCAGACAATGCAGTGAAGTAAAAATTAGTAGACCCCCACTTCTACTCAGTCTTCAGTGAGTCTGGATTTGAGGAATAAAAATGGCAATGAAAAATGTATCCGCATGTCTTAGGACGAAGCTTTAGAATAAAGAAACTAATGGGGGAAGGCCCATCTGATGGACAGATCCTTGAAGAGTGTGGAATAAAGATTTGAAAAAAACAAATATACGAATAAGTTTTTTGCAAACCATACATTTTTAATTCAGTAAATAATATCTACCTTGCCCCCACTATATATAAAGAATGCCTCTGCAATGACTCAAGATTATAAAAATTTCAAAATTTTTTTTCCTCAAGGAGTTAATAATTTTCTAAGTGGTGTATATTTTGAAAAGTTTTCTTTCCACCTGTATTTTTCTCTAGTCTGCCTTGTGTGTAGAAGATATGTCCATTTGTCCATTATTTTATATGGAGAGCGCCCCACCGCAATAACTATATCAGCCACATTGACCTCTCTAGTTTTCTAAAATCTCATCACCAAGCCCATCCGTGTTACAGGTAGTGTCTCCAGAGGCCATTGTTTGAAATCCATATCTGTTTTTTGAAAGGAGAAGAAAGGAAGAACTTTCCTTCTTCACGTAAGAGTGAGTTCATGTTTTAAACTGCCTTGCTCTGTCAGGAAATAATTGCAATGAGAAAGCATGGGAAAAGGTAAGTAATTTTTTTCAAAGGTATGGAGAATGTTGCCTGTAAAACTGACTGGGGAAATATAAGCTAAGTGATATGTTTATTGCCTTTTGTAAATTTCACACTATTTCTAATCATCATTCTCCTCAAGCTACCTATCACCACCCACTAGTGGTAGAAATTGTTAATATATTCTACTTTATCAAGAAATTTGGGGCAATCAAACATGAAGGCATTTGAGTTTTCCACCTGATGGCCTTACCACGTTCCTTCAGTTTGAGAAGTTGTGGTGCCCATCTGACCACCCAACACTAAACACATCACCAGGGCACTGCCATTTTCTTCAGCCACTTACTCTAGTAATTAAAATCTCTCATATGTATTTTAAGCCTCTCTCTCTCAACTAGACTTTAGCCTACACATATTCTCTAGTTTCTCTCCAAACTTCCCAGAACATTCATCCATATTCATAGATTCCGCTTTTCCCCCCTCCCTAATCCCCTATCGTCGCTCCTACCTTCACTGCTTCCTAGCGTCTAAATTTGTTAGTGCCCTGGCAAAGATCATCAGTTATCTCCATATTATGAAACCCAGGGAATAGTTCTTCATCCTTGTCTAACTGGATATTTCTAATGCTTTTCACACTGCTGATACTTTTTTTTTTTTTCAAATTTCTACTCCTTTGTTTTTCATAATACCATTTTCTCCTAGTTCCCCCTCTTGTTTCTCTGACCATTCCTTCTCTTAACATAGACTCCTTTTCTTCTACCTGTGCCTTAAATGTTTGTGCAGCTCAAGATCTATTCTTTGTCCATTGTAATTATCACCCTATATCCTCTCCCTGAATAACCTCATAAATTCTCTCTCTAGTTTTAGCAAACGCCTACTTACTTGCTAATCAATAGCTCCAGCCCAGATAGTTCCCCAGTGCTTCAGACTCACATGACTGCAATGTGAACATATAACTTTGTCACCAATTGTCACCAATAGAAGTTACAGATATGTTCAGATGACAATATGGCTGTTGCAAACAATTCAAAACATTGACACAATAATTACTTTAAAATTAGTAACTTTTTAATTTAATGGGTTGATTAAAAGTACAAATATTACTATATAAAAATTTGTTTTAATATTTTGATAATTCTACTTCAATATAATTGGCTTCCTTTGCACCCATATAGTTTTTTTTATGCAATTAAAATTATTACTCCGGGATCATATGGTGTTAGAATGCTAAAAGGGTCCTGGGCACAGAAAGGTTAATAATCCCTTCCAATCCTCAGTGACACTCCCTCACCTAGAAAATTAAAAAGTAAATGCCATAGCAGGCACACAAAGCTCTCATTAACCCATTTCTCACCCCTGCCCATTTCTGCAGGCTCACATTCCTAATCCTTTCCAACTTTATCTTGGCTAGCCAATATTATCAAGCTGAATGTTGCTTCTCACATAGGCTATTGCACTGCATCCTTCTTAGGCTTTTTCTACTGGAATTTTCTTCACACTTGCTTAACCTCATTTCTTCTCCTAGAAAATTTTAGCTATCCTCCGAGAGTCTGGCTTCCCTAAATGAGTCTGTGTTTCTTCTGTCCCTGTAAGACCTTGTATATATCTATGCTACCAAACTTACTTCATTCAATTAATACTATTATTATCTGCATCTCTACCTTCCGTTAGATTATGAGCTGAGTCAATTCGTGGGCTATACATGGAGTTAGTTCTAACTCTCTCACTGGGATCAGCACACAGGTGATACAGGCTAAGATCTAAAGGAGTTGAACACTAGTAGACAAGATCAAGAATCACTTGTTTCAGTTTTGCTTCTCCTCAATCCTGATTTTTTAAATACATTTATATTAAAGGAAATTATCACCTTGAAGAAAGTGGAAGCTATTATAAAACTAGAAAGGAGTGACACTTATATTTCTATATAACTTTTTTCATGGAAGAAATCTTCCTTTCCCCCATTCTCCCTCTCTATGGTCACATATTCCCAGTCATCCACAAAAATCAGAATCTATGAGTAGACTTTATTTTTCTCTAGAGGCTGCCTCTGAAATGAATTCAGAGAGCTATAAAAGCAGTCTTTTCTTCTCTCTGTACTTAGAAAAAAAAATTGTCAACCTCCCAGACCAAATAGCAGAAAAATATTTGCATTTTCATTTGTAAGGCAATTTCCTTGATCTCCAACAATATCTTCTACATCTTCTAGGTCTTCTACCTTTTCTTTTTTTTTTTTGAGATGGAGTCTCACTCTCACCCAGGCTGGAGTGCAGTGGCAATCTCAGCTCACTGCAAGCTCCGCCTCTCGGGTTCACACCATTCTCCTGCTTCAGCCTCCCAAGTAGCTGGGACTACAGGCGCCCGCCACCATACCCGGCCAATTTGTTTGTATTTCTAGCAGAGACGGGGTTTCACCATGTTAGCCAGGATGGTCTCGATCTCCTGACCTCGTGATCCACCCATCTCCGCCTCCCAAAGTGCTGGGAGTACAGGCATGAGCCACCTCGCCCGGCGGTCTTCTACCTTTGTATCTTCTAAATACAAAGATGGAACCCTTAGTATCCCTTAGGGTTATCAAATGATATTTAAATATAAATACTGTAAATACTCTGCTACTCATGCTACATAACTAAGAAACTATTAGAATAAAAAGAACAATGGTAGGATATGTGGCAATATTTAGGTGTTAATATGAGGTAATATTTAAATGAATTATTTCCAAGCATATTCTAAGCTTAGCTAATCAGTTAGTTTTAGAAAACTTATAACTCGGTCAGATTAAATGACCTAAAACAGCAAATAAGGAGAATAAAATTCAGACTAGCTCCACAGATAAGACAAAATACAAAAAGAAGAAATGCAAAAATAATTCATTACCAATCTCAAAGCTTCCATTAATGAATCCAACTAGAGATGTTGGGATGTTGAATTGTCTCTCTATTTGTGTGAGCATGGAATTCATATAAGATCCAGACAGTGTTTTGGATACAAATGCACATGTTATTGCCAACAGAAACATCTAGGAAAAAAATATAAGAAAACGTAGAAAAAATTATTTTTAAATTGTATACTTGCCGTCTGTTGACAAAATGCCTTCCACCATAAGACTGATTGTCTCCAACTTAAGTAACCTTTGAATTTGCAAGAAACTGTAAAGTGTAGTCTGCTCCTTTTGTCTGTCATACTGTGATTTCTCTCTGAAAACTCAAAGTGAGACTAATTTTGTAGGCAGTTGCAGCCTCAATATTGTATAACATACTGGTACATACATAGAAACAAACAGTCATTCTAAGTAATACATAGCTGATAACTTAAACATGTCTTCAGAGCTACAATGATATCTAAAGTACAAAAGAATTCATACATGTACTGTAATGAAAAGAAAGAATGCAGAATTATACAAAGACATTATTTCGGTAGCAAATATACTTAAGTTCTCTCTGCAGGACAATAGGTCCCCAGATTACCTTGGCCGACTCCACTCTTTCCTGTTCTTGCTTGCAATTCTTGGTCAGAAACATTCTGCATTCTCAGCAATGAGGGAAATATCCAGAACAATCTGAGTTATGTCCTCATTCTTCCCATAGTAGGATGCTCTGCAACCCTTGAGCTCAGCAATCCCAGTTGTGTCTAAGGCATATAAGCCCAGGACAGAGTATTTTCAGGGTTTCTCAGCTGCAGTGTAAATGGAGGACCACACAAAAATGAGACTCCATTTATTTTGGGAAGCTTTCCTGAACCTTGGAGAATCAGCTCACCTGGACCATTGGCTTCTGTTTATCCTTACTGCTTGCCTAATATATATACTATAAATTTCCATAGGTTTTATCAATCATACTTCCTATTATTGGTATAGTTCCAGGAAACAGTGAGGTTGATGCAATCCATAACAACATCAGGGATGAGTTCACAGATAGAACCACTGTGATCACCAGGAGCTACTATGGTTTTACTGAAAATATGAAAAGTTAAAATTCATATTTTAAAATTAAATTTAAAAAGATAGCTTTTAGTAAGAGGTTTTAAAACAGGAGCACTGTATACTGGTAATAGTATAGTTAGGTAGATTAATTACTGCTTCAAAATGAACAAATTATAGATAGATTTACATCAACTTGAATGGTGGTCTTCAGTCACATGCCATAGAGATTTTTGCTTGGTCCTATTGAAGACAGTTTCTGATGACACTTGCAACCTGGGAGACCATTTGACCTACTATTTACCTAGCACACTCAAATTCTTAAAATTCTCACACCTTCCACCTTCCACACCTCCAGTCTTGAGCCAATCACACAACTTATTTTCTACCTCACATATTCCTTTCAAGTTAACTCACAACCTTTTCTGTTTCTCAGTCTCCAACCCAGCCACATTCTCTCTCTTCATGATCAGCAAATGATATCAGCAACTTCACCTGCAAACTTACCTCTATCCCTACCTTCTCTAATTTGCCTATGTCTTTAGAAAGATTGGTGTCCCTTTCCTGTACATAAAATCCCTCCAATCTTGCTCTTGAATCCATTCTTCCCATTTTCGAGATTCTAATTCATCCGTTATTGCTCTTTTCTCTCTCTCTCTTTTTTGTTTTGTTTTGTGTTGTTTTGTTTTGTTTGAGACAGAGTCTTACTCTGTCACCCAGGCTGGAGTGCAGTGGCATAATCTTGGCTCACTGCAACCTCCACCTCCTGGGTTCAAGCAATTTTCCCACCTCAGGCTCCCAAGTAGCTGGGGCTACAAGTGTGTACCACCATGACCGGTTAGCTTTTGTATTTTTAGTACAGACGGGGTTTCACCATGTTGGCCAGGCTGGTCTCGAACTCCTGACCTCAGGTGATCCGCCCACCTTGGCCTCCCAAAGTACTGGAATTAAAAGCATGAGCCACCATGCCCAGGCTTTTCTCTCTATTTTCAACCTCACACCCTTTATTGCTTGTTTCCCCACTAGCTTATTAATATATCCAAGGCATTTCTTGCCTTTTGAGAAAAAAACAAAATGAAACAAAACAAAACACCTTCCCTCAGCCTTGATGGTTAGCTACTCTAGCTACCACAAAGCTGTTTAGAAGAATGGTCTAGACTCTAGACTGTTTAACCTTCCATCCACCCTATAGTCTGCTACAGGCTGGTGTTTCTTGAAACTACCTCCATAAAAGGTCATAAACAACTTCCTGATTCCCAAATATCCCAAATCCACAAGCTATGTCTGAATTACCATCTTACTTCGTGACTCTCAGTCATTTGATACTATTGATCTCTCTTTTCTTCCTGAAATTCCCTCCCCCATGCATACCTATATCTCTGACTAACTGCTCGATTCTTTCTCTCTTCTTTGGTCAACCCTTTCAGGCCTCTGTCTTGTACTCCCTACCCTTTTGCTATGCATGCTGTCTTTAGGAAGTTCATGCTCATCCATGCTTTTAACTACCACACGTATGATGAAACCTCTCATATGTATGAACAGTTTAGCTCAGACAATTGAAATCCTGTTTACTCTCCTCTAGCCTTGTCTACCTCCAACCTCTCTTTCACACGCCACCTCCACTAATTTGGATCATAATTTTTTGTCAAATAAATTAATAAAATACATAGTTAGCAAATTTTACTTCTTAAAACTTTTCAGTAATTCCCATAAACAAAAATCTCTGATTTTTAAGATGGTAAACAAAGCCTCATCTGTATTTCAGTATCATCTCCTGTTGCTTGTCCTTAGACACAGTGTTCTACATGTAGCTGTGTTAATTAACCCTGCCATTTTATAGGTCAGTGCTTTTGTATAATATTCCTCCAGTTTTAATGCCTTTCTTCCCTTTGTTCACCTGGTCAATATATAATTCATTCTCAAGACTCAGGTATTTTATTACTTCCATTGTGAGGCCTCTTTTGCCTCTGTGCTCCCCAGGTAAGCCCTAACCATTCATTCATTCTTTATCTTCCCACCCTACTGTGTGCCTAACTTGATTACAACCTCTATTACAGTGTACTTTATTTATGGATTTAGATGTCTATAAGTTCCTCTCTCATTATTCTGAGAGCAAGTCAGATACAGGAGCCATATGTTATTTACCCCTGTGGCCCTGGTGCCTACTAAGTGCCTGACAAATAGCAGGCACCCAATACAAGTTTATTGAATTAATGACAGAATAAGTATCAAAAACATCTTGAAGAAATCAGAGCTGAAAGTAAAATAAAATCAAATAAGATTAAATATACTGTTTTCATCCATCTGGGCTGCTACAACAAAATACCCTAAGCCGAGTGGCTTATAAACAACAGAAATGTAATTCTCATAGTTCCAAAGACTGGAAAGTCCAAGAGCAAGGCACTAACAAATTTGGGTTGGCTGATGCCTGTGAACCCAAAAGTATCTGAGACAGTTCTCAATCAATTTAGAAAGTTTATTTTGCCAGGGTTAAGGATGTGGCCATAACACAGCCTCAGGAGGTCCTGACAACATGTGCCCAAGATGGTCAGGGCACAGCTTGCTTTTATACATTTTAGAGAGACATAATACGTCAGTCAGTACATGTAAGATTTACATTGGTTTAATCTGGAAGGGCAGGACAACCCGAAGCAGGGGGTTCCCAGTCATAGGTAGTTTTAAAGTTTTAAAATGTGCTGATTGGCAATTGGTTGGAAGAGTTATTATCAATAGAAAATAATATCTGGGTTATAATAAGGGCTTGTGGGGACCAAGGTTCTATCATGCGGATAAAGCCTCTAGGTAGCAGGCTTCAGAAACAACAGATGTAAATGTTTCTTGTCAGACTTAAAGTCTGTGTTGATGTTAGTTCTGGTTGGTTTTTTCCTGAATTCCAAAAGGGAAGAGGGTACAATGAGGCATGTCTGGCCCACCCCTCCTTCCCATCATGGCCTAAACTTGCTTTTCAGGTTAATTTTGGAATGCCTTTGGCTGAGAGGAAGGGTCCATTCAGATGGTTGGGGTCCTCAGAATTTTATTTTTGCTTTACATTCTCCCTCTTCCACCTAAGATTTGCCAGAGGCAACAGCAATGTCTACCAAATTTTTATTTTGTCTCATACCATTGTGGGGGTGGCATGGCTGCCTGCTTGAGATCCACCCTGTCCCTCAGTGGGACCCCCTATGGCCAAGGTACTTAGAGTCAAAAGACTTATAGCAAATTAAATGTTCTAGGCCAGATAGGAATGGACATGGACAAGTATTCATTACCCCTTAAATTTTTTTCAGTAAAAAGTCAACAAACAGAAAGCCAAAGGCCAGGTTACAAAACTGACTTATCTTTAACTTCTATGCATTGAGCTACTATAATCTTGGTTTTAGTTATGGACTTATAGCAATTAGCTACACAAAACATAAGCATTGCTCTGAAAAATAATTTTTTAATATATACTGACCAGGCACCGTGGCTCACATCTATATTCCCAGGATTTTGGAAGGCCAAGGTGTGTTCATGGCTTGAGCCCAGGAGTTTGAGACCAGCCTGGGCAATATGGCAAAACCCTGTCTCTAAAAAAATACAAAAAGACAAAAAGCTAGCCAGGTATGGTGGTGCATGCCTGTAGTGCCAGCTACCTGGGAGGCTGAGGTGTGAAGATCACCTGAGCCCAGAAGGTCAAGGCTGCAGTAAGCCTTGATGGCACCACTACACTCCAGCCTGGGTGACAGAGTAAGACCCTGAGTGAGTCTCAAAAAAAGAAATAAATAAATGAAAATAAACTTTAAAAATACATATCTATCTATCTGCACAGCTCATAACTGGGAGTCTTATATCCAGAAGGCTTTGTCACAAGGTATCTTTATCCTCTCAGTAGTTATTTTCTTTTAATTCTACAAATAGCATGACATTCTTCATGGTTGGGCTGGATGAAAAGATGCCTCATAATAGCTCAGAGGGCAAAAAACTTTGTTTTACCAGCTGTTTAGGCATCGTGTACCCATCCTTGGTTTGGATGATCTGAACTAATTCACTTCCTCAAACCTAGCCCTTACAATCTCACACACCCACCTCTTCCACAACAGTCCTTAGGCCTAGAGGGAGGGTGCTTGTATAGTCTTAACAGAAGGGCATTTGCAGTGAAAAACAGATCGGGCTCAGTGGGATGACAAATGAGAGAGATTTGCATCTCTAGTCTTGAGAATACCATCATTCCAGTTTCCTTGGAAGTAAACCAAGGAGAGATAAATAACATTAATATTTTGACAATCAAAAGAGTATTTGTGTGTCAGAATGGAAAATGGAAGCTATCTCATTAGGGATTCAACTAAAAATGTAAAGAAAAACTATAATCCGCTATCTCTTTAGAGGATTATTATAGCCAAGAAATAATTCATGATTCAATCTGCATTCAAAAACAAAAGTCAGGGCTGAAATCCAGTAACAAGTGTTAAATTTTTCCTTTGAAACAATTTTTCTCTCTCTCTAGCCCTCCTTTTCTATTAAAGAGAAATTATAGTAAGACCAGTTTGTGTGTAAAAATAAGTTTTAGGCTTATTATACTTGGCCTGATTATTTGCATAAAGTGCAGCAAGAAATTGACTGACCATATAGGCTCTTTTTAAGTTGGCTTTGCTGGAAATTTACCTGCAAATATGTTATTCTAGTCAAAGACTTGGTAAAATAATCAGTGTCTCCAATTGTCCTGTTATAAAACAAAAGACTCTTACTAAACTTATGCAAATAACTATATTGTCATAAAACCAGAATACTCACGGTTTCCAAATTTGGGAGAACTTGGAGAGAAAGGTAAATTTGCTCATAAAAACATACTTCACCCAATTGCTCTAAAGAATAAATAATTTAAAAGAAAAAGATTCTCTTGACTCTTTAACCAGAGCATCAGCCTTCCAAACAACATGTCCTTTGTTCACCTTGAATTGCCATTCACATGCTAAGCAGTTCTTGTTATATGAGAGCTGTTTACCAGGCACTGTAGAATCTAGCAGCTCCTTACAGAGTCAGAGTCAGCCCTAGGGGAAAAAGAATGCTCTCTGCTCATAAGTATCTCCTCTGCATCCTCAGGTAGCAAGATCCTATGCAAACAATTTTTACTTTATTATGGAACTCTTTGGGGTACCATTATTTCCTTTAGCAAAGGGGTAGCTTCAGTTAACATTCCATAACAAGGCAGTAAATGTCCCTCAACTGGAAATTCTCTAGTCTAGTATTTGTCATTGGGAAGTGCTCCCAGTCTTTTACCATAAGCCCTAATAAATGCTCCACAAATGGATATGAAGTGGAGAATTTGTCCCTACTAGCCCTTCAGCTTCTACCCTACATTGTGTAGGCTCAGGCAATCTTACTAGTTTCCATTTAGTGTGTCCAATTAACATTCCTCAAAGGGCACATTTACATGACTTCAGTTTCATAGTACTTGATAGGAGAAACATCCCCCAATCAGATACAATACCAATTTTCACAAGATATTTAGGTGAAGAAGTTAAAATTACCTTACATAAAGGCTGTTTAGACATCTCAAATTTCATAATCCTATCAACCTGTACATTTTTATGTTCTGGTTTGAGGAACTTTTCTTTTCTACCCCCAGACCATTTTACTTTTTCTGGTGAAAAATGATTTGAGTTCCCAGCAAGGGATTGAGCCAAGGGACTTGGGCTCTTTTTTCAATCTTCATCTTAATTTGCCTCAGATTTGCCCCAGGCAATTTCAGCTCCCTCATTATAACCTTTGCCTTTTGCTGTTTCTTCAATTTCCCCAATCTGGGGCAAATGCAGAAAACTGATATGGGGCCCTTTAATGTTGGAGGATCAGTAGGGGTTCCCTTTGGTCCACTCAACCCTTGATAGTGTTGTAAAGACCTTTGTTTCAACCCCATCAATTTTCATTTTATTTATTTCATTTCTTATAAAACGTCCAAATATTTTAATCACCCTCTGGGGTGAGTCCTCTGACTCCCTTTTGCCTTTCTCATTATTCTTTGTTAATTACCCCAGTGTTTTATTAAGCATCTGTAAGACCCATGAGGACAGCAAATTTGATCAGTCTGTGATTCTGTGGTAGTAATGTCACCTGGAGTGCCCATGTAGCACTTAACCTCCAAATTTACCATGTGATATGGTTTGGCTGTGTCCCCACCAAAATCTCATCTTGAATAGTAGCTCCCATAATCCCCACATGCTGTGAGAGGGACCCACTGGGAAGTAATTGGATCATAGGGGTGGGTTTTCCCATGCTGTTCTGTGATAGTGAATAAGTCTCACAAGATCTGATGGTTTTATAAAGGGCAGTTCCCTGGCACATGCTCTCTTGCCACCATGTAAGACATGCCTTTGCTCCTCCTGCATCTTCCATCATGACTGTGAGGCTTCCCCAGCCATGTGGAACTGTGAGTTCATTAAACCTCTTTTTCTTTATAAATTACCCAGTCTCAGGTATTTTTTCACAGCAGTATGAAATGGACTAATGCAGTAAATTGGTACAGAGAGTGGAGTGCTGCTGTAAAGATACCCAAAAATGTGGAAATGACTTTGGAACTGGGTAACAGGCAGAGGTTAGAACAGTGTGGAGGGCTCAGAAGAAAATAGGAAAATGTAGGAAAGTTTGGAGCTTCCTACAGGCTTGAAGGGCTCGGAAGACAGGAAGATGTGGGAAAGTTTGAAACTTCCTAGAGACTTGTTGAATGGCTTTGACCAAAATGCTGATAATGATATGGACAATAAAGTCCAGACTGAGGTGTTCTCAGATGGAGATGAGGAACTTATTGGGAACTGGAGCAAAGGTGATTCTTGCTATGCTTTAGTAAAAAGACTGGCAGCATTTTGCCCCTGCACTAGAGATCAGTGGAACTTTGAACTTAAGAGACATAATTTAAGGTATCTGGTGGAAGAAATTTCAAACTAAAGCTTTCAAGAAGTGACTTGGGTGCTCTTAAGAGCATTCAGTTTTATTAATTCACAAAGATATGGTTTGAAATTGGAACTTATGTTTAAAAGGGAAGCAAAGCATGAAAGTTAGGAAAATTTGGAGACTGATGATGTGATAAAAAAGGAAAAACCCATTTTCTGAGGAGAAATTCAAGATGGCTGCAGAAACTTGCGTAAGTAATGAGAAGCCAAATGTTAATCACCCAGACAATGGGGAAAATGTCTCCCGGACATGTCAGAAGTCTCCACAGTAGCCCCTCCCATCACAGGCCCAGAGGCCTAGGAGGAAAAAAAATGGTTTTCTTGTCCAGTCTTTGGACTTGGTGCTCTGGGTCCCAGCCATGGGACCCAGAAGGAGCCAATGTACACTCAGGCCACTGCTTCAGAGGGTGCAAGTCTCAAGCTTTGGTTGGGCCTGCAGGTGCATAAAAGTAAAGAATTGAGGTTTGGGAACCTCTGCCTAGATTTCAGAGGATGTATGGAAACACCTGGATGTCCAGGCAGAGGTATGCTGCAGAGGCAGGACCCTCATGGAGAACCTCTGCTAGGGCAGTGTGGAAGGGAAATGTAGGGTTGAAGCCCCCACACAGAGTCTCCACTGGGGAACTGCCTGGTGGAGCTGTGAGAAGAGGGCCACCATCCTCCAGATCCCAGAATGGTAGATCCATCAACAACTTGAACCATGCACTTGGAAAAGCCACAGAACACTCAACACCATCCCATGAAAGCAGCCAGGAGAGGGGCACTGTACCCTGCAAAGTCCCAGGGGTGGATCTTCCCAAGTCCATGGGAACCCACCTCTTGCATCAGTGTGACCTGGATGTGAGACACGCAGTCAAAGGAGATCATTTTGGAGCTTTAAGGTTTGACTGCTCACTGGATTTCAAACTTGCATGGGGCCTCCATCTTCTTCATTTTGGTTAATTTTTCACATTTGGAATGGGTTTATTTACTCAATGCCTGTATCCCCATTGTATCTAGGAAGTAACTAACTTGCTTTTGATTTTTTTTGATGGCTCCTAAGTTAGGACTTTTGGGTTAATACTGAAATGAGTTAAGACTTTGGGGGACTGTTGCGAAGGCATGATTGGTTTTGAAATGTGCGGACATGAGATTTGGCAGCAGCCATGGGCAGAATTATATGGTTGGGCTGTGTCCCCACCAAAATCTCATCTTTAATTGTAGCTCCCATAATCCCCATGTGTCATGGGAGGGAACTTGTGGGAGGTAATTGAAACATGGGGGTGAGTTTTTCTGTGTTTTTCTCATGATAGTGAATAAGTCTCACAAGCTCTAATGGTTTTATAAAAGGCAGTTCCCCTGCACATGCTCTCTTGCCTGCCACCGTGTAAGATATGCCTTTGCTCCTCCTTTACCTTCCGTCGTAATTGTGAGGCCTCCCCAACCATGTGGAACTGTGAGTCCATTAAACCCCTTTTTCTTTATAAATTACCCAGTCTCAGGGATATCTTCCTTTGAAATAGATACAAAACAGTTTGAAAGGTGGAGGAATCTATGGGAAAGAGAAGAGAAATGGGGAAAGGACTCAGTCTTTTTTTTAAATACCAAATGACTCTGGCCTGAACCAGAAATGCAGTTACAAATGAGAATAACTTAAATTATCTGATAATTATAGTATTTACAACAGAAGGGGAGGGAGTCACCTAGTGCCCCTCTTCCAGGCTGGACAGACATCAATCCTACTGCTAGGCTGGATAGATGCCTATTCACCTTACTACTTGTAGGGGTCTCAGGCCTCTAGGCAGTTATGGATTCTCCTGGCGTGAGCAGGTAGAGGTGGTGGGATTGCCTGTTTTATGCAGTGTCCTAACCTTGGCCCACCACCCTGCCCTACAATACCATGAGGTCTCTGGAGCTCTTTCTGACTTGGAGGCCTTCCCTCTTTCTGTGCTGAACTACCATTGGCCTTTGGAGTATTCTGTACAGTCCAACTGCACTTAGGGCAGGAGGGATTTCCCCCACCCAGTTTCCCCTGAACTAGTCCCAAGACCAAAAAAGAATTACTTCAGAGGCCAGTGCCACTCCAGGACAGTGAGCAAAGGGGAGGGGAGAGGTTACAGGGCACTGAACTGGATACTAGTCATATTCAATGGGAGAATATCCCAGTTATAAAGACAGTTTCACATGGCTTGCATATGAAGCATATCAACTACATTATCTGGGGTGCTCCACTTGGCATTTTATAGGGATGGTTGGGAAGTCCCATTTCCAGAGTAAACAGACCTTACAGTAGCAATTATCCAGTCAGTTAGGCAGGTTGTTCTCTTATGAATAACCTCGTATACATTTGGATCACATATACTCATCAGCAATTTAATAGTGATTTGTGAATCCTGCATCAACCCAAACAAGCTCTTTCATTTTGTAGCCTTCAAAATAAAGGATTCTTTCCTTAAAGTAGTTAAGGTTTCTCAAGAAGCTGATTATATTGATCTACAAAATGGAACAATTACTTTGCATTATACCCTCTGGTTTTAATAGTTACTTGGTTTTGCCCTTCCCACATATTGACTATCTTCTTGGTAACCACAGCTCTCAGAGGTAACTTTTGTTGCTCTGGTTTAATTTTTCTTTCTGTGGGTAGCTTGGAGTCTAGTGGCTTGAGCTGGGACAGACCCACCTCTGGGCCTGATCCAGCCTTAAGGATCAACCCAGCATTCTTGTACATTCATTTAGCAATTACAGATAACAATAACCAAGGGATTGAATATTTTTGCTTTTTTTTTTTTTATTAGTTTGCATCTCCTTATGCATTTAGAGAGCTAACTCCTCGGGAGCATAATCCATCTCTAAATTCTAATGAATTTTATCTTTTGTAATTGAATGTAGCTCAGCTGCATCTCCCTACCATAGGTAACCACATGGCCACCCTGGAGTCAAGGTTTCTCCTCACTCATCTTTTAATTTCTCTCTTTATCCATTTAGTTTTATCTATATAATATTTTTATCTTTACTTAAAATAACTCTTAGAAAAAAAAATTCTTTAGCAAAAGCTACATCATTGTATTTTTATAAATTTTACCAAAAACACTATTTACTCTCCTACTATTTTAACTCTTAGTAACCCAGATTCCCATTGAAAAAAATAGGAGTTATTTAATTTAACATAACATGACTTTAAGATGTTAAACTACTGGAGGTAATTTTGAGATTAAATTTACCAGATTAGTCTTACCCAAAACTACTAAGGTCATATGAATTAAAAGGCATCTTTGGTAGCTTCCTTCAGTCTGAAAAGCACTTATTTTTCTTTTAGCCAAGTGATTAGAGGTCTTTAATATAATTTGGTAGTGAAATATTACTTCTACATGACACATATAAACATATAGCTATAACAGACATACAGACAAAAGCAGATCCAAAATATTTTTCATTTGCCTATTTTCAAAAATTCTGTTTCTTAGTTTCAACTATTAACTTAAAAAGGCCAGACACCATGGCTCATGCCTGTAATCCTAGCACTTTGGGAGACTAAGGCAGACAGATCATTTTAGTCTAGGTGTTCGAGACCAGCCTGGGCAACATGTGACACTCCATCTCTATAAATAATACAAAATAAATAAATAAATAAATAAAAAAGCTTGGCTTTGTGGTGCACACTTGTAGTTCCAGCTACTCAGAAGGCTGAGGGGAGGATTTCTTGAGCCTGGGAGGTTGAGGGTGCAGTGAACTGAGATTGTGCCACTGCACTCCAGCCTGGGTGACAGAGTGAGGCCCTGCCTCAAAAAAAATAAAATAAAAGTAAAAAGTTACAGGAGCCAAACAAAGTTGAAGGAGAGAGTTACCATTCCAGGCCTTCTCAAAAGAGAAAAAAACTGAAGCAGTAGGGCACAGGTTCTGAGATATCAATCTAAATAATTTTAAAAAGAAAAAGATTATAGAATTCAAAAATTTTAAAGTCCTTGCATTAAGAGTAACTCAACATTTTTAATAAATCTTGTTCTAACCAGTTCTTTAGTGTTGCATGAGTGTACTTTTAATATCAAAGTTCAATTTTTAGAAAAACTATTATAATTTCCTTTAATTGTAGCCAACTGAATCACATAACATTTTAACAAATTCCTGTTTTACTAACCTTATTACAACTTACACAGACCATTTACAACATGCTTGGACTTTCTGGTTTGACATAAATATTTCTCTTTCTTGAACGAGTCATTTTATCTTAGGACAAAAATTCATCATGCAAGATTCTTTCTCATATAAAATTACTTTTCTTTTAAGCTTTCTTACCAAAAATACCTCTTTATAACTTTCTTTACATCTCTTATTTCCTGGTCCTTTTTACCTCATTTTATATATAATCCTTAAATAACCTCTGAATTAGACAAAAATAATTTACCTTTGAATAAGAACACTTTAGACCTTAAGAAGAATCTGCCCATGACTCTTGAAACTCCACAGAGAAAGAAAGGGTGAGTGATGCCTTTGTTCTGAGTGTTTTAAGGGGTTCAAGTCATTTGATGGCTTCTCTAGATTTTTTTTGGTACCAGACAGTGAAGGGGGAAGGAGAAATAGTGTGGAAGAAAAGAAAATGAAAGAACAATTGTGTTTTTAAGACAGGAAGCTGCAACAGAAACCAAGCGCATAATTTGTTTGTTTTCTTTTTTTCAGTTATGAGGAATTTTAGCAGCTTCAGAGGTCTGGCTGCTCATAATTTGGAATTCTCATTTGAATTTGGCCAAGTTGGGTACAGTTGGTCAAATCTGATGGGAGAAACACCAGAACAACAAAAAACCCCAACAATATGATTACTGAGCACTCTAATGCTAAGGAGAAATTAAGACTAGCCGGCTGTCAATTCTAATTTTTAGTCATTAAGGAGAATCGCTGAGATAAAAAAAAAAACCCAACTCAGCTACTTATCTAGGAATGAGACCCTGGCTCAAGACTGCTGTTTACCATCTTACAGGCAGGAAAAAAAAAGCTCAAACTTGCCTTCCCTGTTGGAAATTAGCTGAAACTCCAGAAAGGAGTTGCCCACGCTCCATTGTCATGGAAGCAGGAAAACTTGCCTTCTTTGTTGGACACAAGTAAAACTAAAAAATAGGAGTTGTAGAGAAAAATAAATTTTAGATCTTAACCAAATTTAGGGGATTGGGGATTCTCTGGAGTGGGTGGGGGCTCCCAGGCCTCAGCAAATTGTCCTATCAGTTTGAGCCATAAGGATAGCTCAGGCTGGTACCAAGTACCCACAGGAGATTCATCAAAGGTCAGGGGCACCTCCACTCAGAATCCTTTCATGGCTGCTAATTTGTGAACCCAAAAGTATCTGAGACAGGTCTCAATCAATTTAGAAAGTTTATTTTGCCAAAGTTAAGGCATGCCTACAGTATAGCCTCAGAGAAGTCCTAAAAACATGTGTTCAAGGTGGAGTACAGCTTGCTCTTATATATTTTAGGAAGACATAATGCATCAATCAATACATGTAAGATTTACATTGGTTCAATTGGGAAGGTCAAGATAACTCAAAGCAGGAACTTGCAGGTCACAGGTAGATTTTAAAATGTTCTGATTGGCAATTGGTTGGAAGAGTTATTATCAATAATAAAAAATTATTTCCTGTTTACAATCAGGGCTTGTGGAGACCAAGGTTTTATCATGCAGATAAAGCCTCTAGATACGCAGGCTTCATAGAGAATGGATATAAATGTTTCTTATCAGACTTAAGGTCTGTGTTGATGTTAATGATGGTTGGTTATTCCTGAATTCCAAAAGAGAGGAGGGTATAAAGAGGCATGTCCAACACCTCCTTCCCATAACAGCCTAAACTTGTTTTTTAGACTAACTTTGGAAGGCTCTTGACCAAGAGGAGGTCCATTCAGTGCTGGGAGCAGGGGGTGGGAGGGTTGAATTTTATTTGTGGCTTAGAGGCTGTATATACTGATTCATAAACTACCATCTTTCTCACTGTGTCTTCACATGGCAGAAAATGCAGTGAATCTCTCTTAGTCCTCTATTATAAAGCCACTGAACCCATTCATAAAGGCTTTACCTTTGTGACCTAATCACCTCTCGAAGGCCCCACTTCCTACTGCCATCACCTTAGAAATTAGGATTTCAACATGGGAATTTGGATGGGACACATTCACACCACACAATACATCTAAGCCAAAATTTATCAATTATTTTTGTGAGACCTAAATAGAAATTTATGTGAAAAGGACCTAGAAATTTGAATAGCATTCTTAATATGAATCAAAACTGATTGACTACAGCATAGTATGGCCATATCTCTAGCTATTTTTTATATTGAATACCATTTGTGGATATTCTCTCTTCCCACTATAAACCTTCTCAGAGTGTATTCTTAAGAGCAAACTATTTTCACCTAGTTTTATAAATCAGATTTTATATTTAAAAGCAAGTCCTACTAAATCAAGTACAAATCAAATTTGGAAAAATAATTTATTCTACTTTACATGTTAAGAAAAGAAATTAGATGGATCATGACCTCATTGCTTTTCCCCTAAAACACATGGGTTGCCTAACTAGTTTGGTTTTATTCGCAGAGTGAAAGAAATCAGTGGCTATTCTGACTCATGTCTAGTGCTAAATAATCTCTGTATTTATAAAGCTGGTCCTACTAGCTTCTAGCAATAATGCCCTTTCAACTTATTTCAACAACAAAGTTTAAAGCAAATTTGTTAAAAATAGTTCTTTCATGCTTCCTAATGAATTTTGCTTAATGAGTATATTTCTAAGTTCAGAGAAACAGAGAAACCTAACTTGCTATTAAGCAATTGCCTCTCACTTTTACCTGATAAACTTGTGCTTACAGCATTTTGTCTTAACATCCACATTAATATCTAACCTTGCTAAACTCCAAAGCAATCAAAAATTAAAGACCTCTTGTTTATAAATACCACTTGACTTTTCTCCACAAATGCTTTTAATATTAATAGCTAATATTTATTGAAAGTTTACAATATTCCAGTCATTGTTTCAAACATAAAAGAATCCTATAAGGTGGGAATGTTGCTATTACCCTTTTCAGATGAGAAAACTGAAGCACAAAAAGTTTTTCTTAATTAACATACCATTTCAGGCAAGTCTATTTTTTTTAGATTTATATCATAATTCTCCAATTTTGTATACATGTTTAAATTTCCCCAACACACATATAAATGGAAAACAAACTTCTGATAGGGAGAAAATGAGTGACAGTGTCTTAGTTTTGAAACCACTTGCAGGCACTAGCTATAGAATCAGGACAAATGTCCAGATCCCTTGGTTTATCATAAATTCAAATTTGTTTGAATATAAATGACTTTGAAGCTAGAAAACAGAATTTTCTCTGAAATAGAAAAAAAAATCAGAACAGCTGACAAAATGGCCATTTTTCTTACAGGAAATTATTGTTATGTTGCCAAAGCTTAAAGAAAACATTTGTTTTGCTGGGTAATTGCATACAAATCAACAAAGCATTTCTGTGCAATGAGCCATTTTCGGAGAGTGACTCCCACATTTCTCTGGGTTAGAAACCCTGCAAGAGTGAGCATGGCCTTTGATCCAGAAAAATAAATCCTGCCACAGTATGTGTGCCTGGAAATTTTTAGGATCCTGTCTTCCATTTAAGTCTCTCAAAGCCATTTAGGACTAACTTGCCTGAATCAATAATCCTGTGTAGACACACCCTCAGTTATAAAACCAACTTCTTTAAAGCAAGAAATTATCAATAGAACAGGCAATATGGCATTAATATTAGATCACTTCATGCAGATAGGAGCAATTTTACCAGGACTGTCGTATTTTAAAAACTAGTGTACATGCACATATATCCACATACAAAAATTCCATACCTTCAACTTGGAAAGACATCTTATTCTATGGGTTTCAATTCTTTTCTCAGTTTCTCCCATGTTGCTCTTCAGGGTGTTCCAAGCTATTTATGTTTTAAATCTTGATATGTCTTACTTCTACCCTTTCAAGCAAACAAAAAAATATGTTAAATTAACTACAAAATTGTAAAGCATCATTCTTTTGAAGTAAGTGCTGAAAATGAACAACATAATTGAAATCCATTGCATTACAAAAATACCTGGAACGCTTTAATACAGATTAGAAAATCATGGTGTTAGAGAAGATTTAGTTGTTGGTTTTCTATTTCAAAAGGTACATCAAATAACTTTAGTGACTCTTTAGTGAGATTAAAGATATTAGAATTGTTTGTTATGATCTTGCAAAATAATGGTCACATGGTTAAAAGAAAGCTTTTCACTTCTCTAGCCAAAACAAATAGTACCAAAAGACTTCCATGAAAATAGCTACTTTTAATAACACACATACTTTGAGTTGTGTTTGTACTAAAAACCTGCTTCACTAACCCTACCAAGGCTCAAAAATCTTTTTTTGGCCAGGCTCTCTTTTCAAGTTATTTGCATTCCAAGGCTTCCCTAGAGTCTCAGGAAGGGAAACACTTTCTGGGGCACTGCTGATACATGGAAACCTGGGGAGACACGGAATTTTAATCATGAAAACAACCTAGTAAAAATAACAAACAATTCTATGATCTGGAAAATAATCCCACGATTGCAAACTAAGATGTAAGACTTAGGAGATTAAACATATAAATGGGTATCTATATGTAGCTATACGTAATAGGTATAGATATATGTGGAAATATATGTACAGATGTATAACATACAGGCACACATTTTTATATGTAAAACAAAAAGTTGAATTAAACTCAAATAAATTCTACTAATCCCATCAAAGATTTTGTTTGTTTTACATCTTGAAACTAAGGCAATAATTTGTATCAAAACCAAAGTGTTTCACTTTGGCAATATTTATTCTAGTTTCTAGAATGATTTCTTAACAGTATCCCCAGCATTAATTAATTAAGTCCTTTAAACAATATCCATTTAACAAGTGATCCTGAATGGCACTAATTTTTTAAAAAACCAACTGCTTTACCTCTACAAATGTGCTGAATCCCAAACACACACACATCAAGGCATAGTCGCTGCACTATTATGTTTGAGTTTTGTTATTTTAACACATTCTCTCACAGATACAACAAATACTTATTGAACATCTACTCTGTGCCAGTCATGGTGCTACGCACCAGCATTCAGCAGTGAGCAAGAAAGCCAAGTACGTGCCTACAGAGAGTATAAACTAGCGAGAGAAGTATGTTTCTGTGGAAGATACTTGGACCCAGATTCCAAGGAACTTAAACTTTCATTGGGAAAGATAAAACTTTTAAATAAAACACATTGGAATAGAACCAGACAGTGTAGAAGGAAATGCAATTTGCTTGGTATGTAAGTGGTGAAAAAATTCACAGGTTATTGTTCTGAACTGCCCTCATTTCTTTCTTCTCGTGCATTTAGAACCCAATCTCTCTCCCCTTTTCTCTTCTCTCTCTCCTAACCATTATCTTAGCCCAATATAGTCACCGTATCAAACACTAAGGGAGAGAACTTATTCTTCTCCCACGTCAAAATTGCCTTCACTCTTCTTTGTGGCTAAAAACATTACTATATTAAATGTCTATTTTTTCATATATAGCCAGAGGGCATAAAAGCTGGAGGTAGTGCCACAGAAAATCACCATATAGGGGAATTCTATATAGTTCCCTCCATGAATTGTGACACTAAGTAACCATCTAGAGCAGGTTTTTTCACTATGTCTGGAAGATTTGCTTCAAAATGTTTTAACATATTGAAAAAAGGGGTTAAAAAACTATTATCTTAACTGAAGTAAGAGGTAATATTTAAGGCTAAGCACTTGAAAAGAATTACATGGGATTAAATTAACCCTAAACTTTCCCTAGTTTTCCAACTTATATGATGAAAATATTTTATATTTTCAGATACATTTCAAACATCTTCATGGAGGAAAATAAACAAATTAACAAAATCTATTCCATTTATTCAATAAAAATCCATAAAATCCAACGGTTAATATCATAGTCATTGTTGTCCATCTTGGCCCCAAATCAGGAAATTCCGTGTGCCGTCTTTTCATCTTCTCGAGGCTGTGCTAGTGCCAGCCATGTGAACAGTCCTCTTTTGTTAGCACAGTGTTGTTTACACAGTGACTTCTGCTCCCAGGACCACACAGTGTCACCAACAAATCCCTGTCAATCATCACTTCTAATGAAAAAGACATGCTGAAGTTTTATTAAGTGGAGAATCATGTTATTTCCCTAACTCTTTCTCAGCATTCAAATGGGAACAGGTAATGCTTCAGTATGCTTTCTCACACAAACGTTGGATTTCTTCCATGCCTGCTGGTCATAGCTCTGTGTTGTGTTGTTTTTCTGTTTGATTGGGATTTTAAAAAACACACAAATAAGAGGAACTCTACTCTCTTACATTTTTAAGTGCACAGTACAGAATTGTTAACTATATACACATTGTTATGTAGTAGATCTCTGGAACTTGTTCATCTTGCATGACTGTAATTCTATATCCATTGAACAGCAACACTGGGGCTTTTGACACCTGTTGGCTTCCAGCCCCTAATGATGTGTCTCAATCACAAGATAATACAAAGTTTTATAAAACAATAATACAAAGTTTTATGAAACAAATATAAAACAAATCTTGTTTGTGCTCTTGCAGTATTAAACAAATTAATATAGTTTGTGATTGTTAGAAATCAACTGGGAAAAAATGCTTGTGTTTAATTTTACATTATTCTCTACTCTCAAATTAATGAAATAAAGGCCTTACTTTACAGCAAAGCTAGTAGTACATACATGAAGAAGACTTAGGAGATCATCCTTTCCCTAGGGAAAAAAAAAATTTACACTAGCAAAAATCTTATGAAAATCACTTATTTCCAGGATCTTGAAATGGCTCCTAGCTCTGTGAGACAAGAACAGCCTCTTGGGTGGTATCCAGCTGAAACAATTTCAACCAATACTAATCCAAGCAAGTATGTGCCAATGAATTACATGTAGAATCAACAATGGCTTTTTGTATTTTGTCTACCAAATTATTTTACTTCTATTGGTTCATTTTCACCAGAAACTAAAGAATAAAATAATAAATTCTGCAATTCAGTCTTATAAATATAAGTATTATTTTACTTTCTAGATTCAGAGGAGGTACTAAGAATGTATTGCTTGGAAAAACTATGGCAGAAACTTAACTGAGCCATAAAATGTTATCCATACATGTGATTTCACCATGCAAAGCAAAGACTGGAACTCACAAAAACACAAGTAAACACTTTCATCAACAATCCATCAGTAAAAATACCTACCCTATCACTTTAGATAATGTACTAACTCTAGATAATAGACCAAGCAACAGAAAAGTAAAGTTGAAACCTGAATTCTGTGTTTAGGGGAATTGGTTGTAAATATCATCAATGTCACACACCATACCAAGTAATTCTAGAGAATGAGTAGATAATCATGTGGCTAACCAGCATTTTCCACACTTGATAACAGGATGAACTCCTTTACCTAAGTCTAGTTCTGACTCCTCTATGTGCTCTAGGCCTCAGTCTTGGTGTCCAACCCTCTACTGCCTAATTGTAGTGAGAATCTTGCTAAGTCTGTTTGGAGAGAATCCCTCACTCTTGATATCTGATCATCTTGATAGTTGATCAAATTCTACATCCCCCGGAACCCCCCAGGCGATATCTGATCATCCTGGCCTTCAGTCAGTAAAAATCCTGTCACATTGGTTTAGCCACAATCCCTCCTTACTCCCGATGTTTCCTCTTAGTAATTTTCCATCCCCTGGCCCCCACCCTGCTGCTTGGCTAAAAATCTCCATCTGTCCAAGCTATATTCGGAATTGAGCCCAGTACTACACTGAGGTCTCTTTTCTCCTATCGCAGTAGTCCCTTAATGAAATCTTTTACCACTTTACTGTCCAGCTCTGATTTTAGTTTGGCAGCAATATCAACTATGTCATTTCTTCAGATTATTATCCCAATTCTTATTTTCCTTTTATCTGCGTAGACTAGGTAAGTACAAACATATGTATTTCCATTACGTGCCAATATATGGCATGTAAACACTGAGCTGCTCCTTTTTCTCATAGAGACAAGACTTTATCTGTTTATAAGGCTCAAAAAAAAACCTGAAAATTCAATAAAATGATTTGAGTTTTTTCCAACACATTTATTTATGTATTTTTCACATAAATTTATGTAGGGAGGCAGCTAGACATAGTCAAAATAGCAGACCTTGTAATCCACTTAGCCTAGCATTAATAGCAGATTAATTGTGAGCTGTTTAAACTCTTTGAGCCTATTCCTCATCTCTGATATTGAAATATTTATGACTACTTTGCAAGATTGTCATGAAGATTGAGTTATAAAATTTACATAAGACTCCTTGCAGGGCTGCTGAAATAAAATAGTCACTCTGTCAATGACAGTGATTACTACTCATTTATTCTACAAATATTTATTAAGAATCCACTACATTCCAAGCACAGTAGTAGGTACTGGGGATACAAAGATGAATAAAATGTGCCTGCTCTCAAGTGACCTTATAAACAATTGGGAGAGATAGATAGTTAAGTGATGATGATAGCTAGTTAGTGCCATAATGCAGACAATTTGAGCTAAGTAATAGAAAGAGGTGATTAATGAAAACTATTCATTTGGGTATTCATTTGAACGATCACTTGATTGCAGCATAGTAGTTCAAATACTTGGGCTTTGAAATTAGGTACAACTGGTTTGAAAGCCTGTTTTTAAACTAGCCGTGTGTTTTTGTACAAGTTACTTAATATTTCTACAAAATGAAGACAGTCTCTATCTTTGTCAAGGTCCTGATAGGAAAATAGAACTCATAATAGATAATTTAATAGAGGGATATTATATGGAAAACTAGTTATAATGATATAAGAAGAGCTAAAAAAAATTGTGGGATTGTGGGCAACTCAGAGATTTACAGCAGTGGAAAGTCACTCCCACTCCAAAGGCTATATCAGAAAAGGGAAGGGCTGACATGCAGGAAGCTGTGAGAGGCAGAAATACCTTGCTTTCCCCTTCTCCACAACCCCAGTCTCACACCAGTACTTCCCACTGACATACATAAAAGGAAGTCAGGTGGCATTGGAGTGGAAAACTTAGTTTGCAGGAGTTATTCTCTTGGGATACAGAGAGGATCAGAGGATAGGAGAGAATGGGTGTGAGGCCAGATAAACAAATGACCAACACAACCATAATCATTGCAATAGAGTTAGATGAAAGATGTATGGTATATAAACATATAATATAAAATTAGCATGCAATCAACATTGAATGAAGGGTCGCTATTCATATTTAACAACATAATTTCAGTCCTCAATGCTCTTCTGATTCTCAGTAAGAAAAAAATTCAGGAGATTTACAATGTGCATAATTGGTCAGCTCCCCACTTTACATATGCAGGCATTGCAATTTCTATGTCATACCAAATAAAACAAAATGTTGTTGTCAAATCAACTGATTTTTAACCAACCTGCATACATTAACTAATCACTGTTGCATCATGTAAACACAGTCATAGTCACCAAGTCTTCACATAGCAAAATATATACAGTTTGCTTATTTAGGTTATGTGTGTGGGGAAAATGTCCAAGGACTGACTTGATGATACATACACCGTATTTGTTACCATTGCTTTGTTACCAATGCTTCAGCAGCCAGATTACAAACAGTACATAATTTTGTAAGGCATATAAAAATGAATAGTAAAATGTTTCCACGTTGGAAGAAGAAAAAGAGAAAAGGAAAAGATTAATATTGTTTCTCATTTTTAGTATTTGCCTCCGCATATATTTAGCTCCATTAGCACAGCACGCCTTTCCTCTCCATACCCCAGTCACTCATGTGGGTAACACTGACGTAATCCAGTGACCACATGGAAAGTCCTTCTATTTGGAGTTTCACTATGAGGAAATCCACTTGCCATTGGATCCTCTAATTTAAGCCACATTTCCTACTATGAGCTTGCCTAGTGGTAAAATTGACACTTTGGACTCCACGTGCAATACTTGTCTGTCTCGGGTTTAAAATGATTTACAATTAAGATGGAGAAAGAAAGGTGGTATTTACTAAGCACTTTCAAAGACCCCAACATATAAGAAAAGGATGAAGAGGCAGCTAAAGGGCTAGCACCAAGTTGGAAAGACACAAGCTTTAATATAACATACAATGTGATGTTGCTTTTTGTAAAACTATATACAATTAGAGATAATAATAAAAATATAAACAATATATACTGCTTTCCATATTCCAAGCACTGTTCTAGGGGCATTGCAGATATCAACCCATTTAATTCTCCTAAAATCTTATGACATAAGTATTATTCCCAACTTTAAAGATGTAAAAATTAAAGCACAGAGAGGTCAAGTAACTTGTACAAAGTCACACACCTTATAAGTGGCAGAGCCAGGATTCAGACTCAGGAAGTCTGGCCCTAGAGAATCGTAACTACCCTAAGCTACCTCTCCACAGGTGTGTGTGGGTGTGGGTATGCCTATTGATGTATTCATTTAGATAAAACACTGGAGGACCTAAACCAGAATTTTAAAAGTGGTTATTTCTGTATAATCTATAGTTATCCAGAAAGTGGATAATCCTGTGGTTGATTTTATTTTTCCTTTAGGAATTTCTATGCTGTTTTCCACAAGGATCATTATGTTTTCACCAATTAAAAAGTCATTAAAAATCATTGGAATTGATTCTTTAAAAATGTAATAAGAATATAGAACACTTTGATCCATGTTAATGCTGTGTTCTTGACTACTTCAGGTTTTGGTATGTTTTCTTGTTTCTCTAATTATTGTATTTTGTGTTGTCCAAGAACCTCTGTCAGTCTCCAATTTTTCTGCCTTTTTTTATTACTTAGAGTGTAATTTAGAAAACTGGCCTGAGGCAGCCATAATGTTCCTGACTGGAGTCACGAAATATTAGTTAGAGCTAGGACGCATCCAGCGTTGATTCCCAGAACTTCTCAAACTGGCTGCATGTAGTTCAAGGTCAGGATAGTATCCATTCAGATTTCTACTTTGGGACGAGCCAATAATCATTTAAATCATATAAAGGAAACAGTTTGGAGCTCTATGTATGTATAAAATGGTTCAAGGTCGGGATAGTGTCCATTCAGATTTCTACTTTGGGACGAGTAAATAAAATGATGATTTAAATCATGTAAAGGGAACAGTTTGGAGCTCTGTGTATGTATAAATGAGGCATGGGATGAGGATTAATCGATGAGCATGTGCATATGACTCACCTATCCTTCCCTTTGCCACTCAGCTGAATACCGTTTGTCAGCATGGTGGTTTGGATCATTAGACAATTTTAAATGATCTATATTTGTGGTTATATGCTGTTTTATTTCTACCTCTAATGGACCATGGCTAAAGGCAGGAAGCATAAAGAGCACTGGTCTCAAAATATAACCTAATGAGGAGCATAAAATGATAATGTTATACATTTCTCTCAAGATTGCCTTCATCTGATCAGTAAATTTCATTCACCTATTCAAAATATTTACCTACTACCTCATGTTATTTTTCCACTGCTTCAAGACCTATTTTTGAAAAAAGAGTAATAGGATGGAGAATTTTACATAAGCAGGCTTTTCATATTTAGAGAAATATGCTTATACAAAACCTACTCTTATTTCTTCCATTTTAAACTCCAACATTATTAAACAAGTGTATTAATATATTACACTTTTAAAATATTTTAAGTATAAAAATTCCAAACATAAAAAATCAGCTTCCTCTTATTTTAACAAATTAAAACATATAGTAAACTCCAATCTACAAATATGACATAATGTCATCTATAAATTTATTTCTTAACAGGCCACGCTTTTTCTCTCAACATTAATTTAACATAAGGGGTGTATGTCACAAATTAAATAGCACGATATATAAGACAAAGAATATTGTCTTCATGTTTAATATTACCAAATGTAATAAATAAGTAAATTTTATAATTATCTACAAGCATATCGATCTAAAATTAAACATTTTAGATAGAATCATCTATTCATAAAAAATAAAACCTTTTTTGAGAATTAATTAATATTTGTAACTAACATCTTTGGTGATTACTGAATATATGGGATGAAAGAGGAGGAGGAAGTATCAAAGATGATTCCTAGGTTTCTAGCTTGATAGTACCAGTACTTGCGATAAAAAATTAGGACAGAGAGCAGCTCTAGGGGGAAAAGTACACTCAATTTCAACATGAACATACGCTCATACTTACGCTGACATGACCTGTGCGTCACATCCAGGTGGGTATGTCCTGTGGGCAGTAGGACATGAGTCTGAAGCTCAGGCAAAAGGCTAGAGTTACACATTTTGGAATCTTCAGTTTAGCAGAGGACTGTGGCACCAGATGTGGAAAGGCAGGGAGAGAGACTTACTTAATTGACCTGTTGCTTTGGGACTCTGTAGATACAAACTTGTCATGCCATTAGGTTCATATTTTCTTGGGCCATGGAGACATGGTTGCCCATTTTCTCTGACATCTCCTTAGAACATTTTCAGAACTAAATATTCCCAGTCCTATGATCATTTCTACTTGTGCTGAGAACTAATTACAAATGAGACTTAATATCTCTTCACATATAGCACTCATGGCAAGGTCTTGTACGCAGTAGGTGATCAATAAATGTTTGTTCTTATTGCTTATATTCATCTGGCTCTTCATGTACAAAATTGGCCCCTTTTTTCTTGCAGGACCTTCTTTCTTGCTTCTCAAGTGTAACTTCTTACAGCTTTCTAAGACAACTTCAAGGTTAAATGCAAGTGGGCTGTTCTTAGTAGGTAGTTGTCTTCCATTCATCAAGATTGAATGTTTGCCTTATCACCACAAATTGCTTATTGCAGGATTTGTGAACATCTATTTCTTATCTTAGATATCCCTTGAGTACCTCATTTTGCTACTTTTCAGCATGACATCAGCTAACCAAAGAACATTCTGATTAAGGGATAACTAATCCTCATCCTCCTTTCCAGAAAAAAAAATATGTATGTTTATAAAACACAGGAGAAGACTCTCCCCTAGCTTACCTCATGCAAAGGGAAAATGTTAATAATGGACATTTGCATTGGAATGGAAATAGGGCAGAGCAGAACAAAATTTTGCAATACCTTTCAAATCACACCCACTAGATGGACACTTACTGTGTCTACCCTCAAGACCAGTTGTTATGCAGAAAGTATGAAGAATGCCTATTAATGGCTGAAGAAAAGCAAAGGAATCATATGGGTCCAACATATTCCTTTTGCCTGATAAATAGTGTCCTTTAAATATGATAAAATTACTGATGAGCGGTAAAAACTTGAACTTTCATAAGTGAATTCATGAATCTTCAAAAATTAGATAAATCTTGTTTACTGAGTGACCATTTGCATGTAGCATTGATGTTACAGGTACATTAAGCAACTTTATGAGCTATCAGTTGTATCTATTAAAAAACTATATTTCCTGCCTTTCGGGAACTTCTACAATGACAGAATCATAAAATTTTAGCATAATAAGAAGCTGAGAGACAATATAATCCAAGGAAGAGCCCTCTCTCCTTAATCCATCATACCAGAAACCTATGTTTCTGATACTCGGCTTCATGGAGGCCTAAGTTACAGTAGTTCACCTGACTCACTTTCCATAGTGTTCCATACCTTGGTTCTATTCTAGTTGCCAGAAAGCTAATCCAATTAATAAATTCATAACAATAAATTACCCCTTCTTACTTTTGAATTTGATATGCCCCTCCCAGTTAGATATATATTTTAATAGGGGCCTTTTGTTAGTTTTTTAATTAAGGAGACTGGCTCACATGTTAGAAATTTTAGCACACTTGAAGCCAAAGAGGCACATATATGTAGTCTGGGAGACGTTTTAGGACTCTTCATATAATGCTGTGAATTTCTTATCTGAATGAATGCAGCAGAAAATTATATGCATAAGAGAAAGACAAGATAAAGGAAACATATGAATTAAAGTCCTGCTCTATTCAATGTTAACAATGCATTTGATTCATCAAGTTACAGACAAATGAGATTTTAAAAAAAGAAAAGGTAACAGTTTGGGATTTTAGATTTAGAATGGGTTTTTTTCTTTACATTGAACTCAAATGTTAGTAAATCCTAGCCCTATTTCTTAAATAACTAATTGCAATATTGCTTCTACCTTTTCTTGATAAAATCACTGTTAATAATAAAGGTTCTTTCCCCAAAATCTCCTATTCCATATTTATATAAACCCAAGGAGTTTATTCATATAAACTCCATAAGAAAGGGTGGGTAAATGTTACTTTTCGTTATCATAAAAATACTAAAAGCCATAATAACACAATAAAAGAAGCTGGTTAATTTTTAATCTTCAAGCATTGGAGGGCTTTGTTTTGATTTTGATCTCTTTTTGTTTCCTGCTTGGTTTTGCTAAGTAAAATTGCAGATTTTTTTTACACTTCTGACGTTTATGGTGCAAATTCAGTTCATTCTTCTGTAAATCTCAGAAAATAAGGGCTAAATACATGTGAAAGTAGCATGTTCAGATGGAATCTGCTTTCTCCTTGCAGTAGAAACAGTAAATCATTATAAATCTGTGACTCAATTCTTATGATGTAAGCAAAGTAGTCTTGAACTAAGAATGGTCCAGGCTATTCTAAAATGTTAGAACCAGAGAAAGAGTGATGGGTTCGTTGGCATGCAGGGTTACATCTTTTGTTTTTCCTTTGGGCAAAGACAGTAACTCTGCTCATTCATCTTAGATAAATAACTAATCCTAAAAAATCAAATCATTATCAGTTCTAGGAATAGGATTACAGTATCTTGTTGAAAATTATAATTGATTTTAAATTGGTTTTTATTACATCATCATAGAAGCCAAGTTGAAACGGCTGAATGAAAGCTATGAAACAAAAATGTATTTTTTCCATTTTAAGTCTTGAAAAACAATCACAAATTATGCTTTCTTAAGTAAGTAAATTGATAACAGAATTAAACCCGAGGTCAGTAACAGCATCAATTCACCAAGTGACAAACTTGCCAAATTCACCAAATTTGCAAATTTACTAAAATTTAGTATAAGAAATATTATTTTTAAATATACACATTCTCATTAAATACATTTTAAATAATGTTCAGTTTGCCAGAAGCTGGATCCTAGGCTTATTGCTTTTTTGTGAATATTGTTAACAAATATATAGAATATATAACATGTATATATCTTAATATAGTCGAGTATAAATATGTTAATAAAGAGCATGTTCCAATAAAGCAGTTCTACAAACATAATCAAGAAGAATAAATTAATGAATATATTCTTATATGTGAAAAATATACTCTAAACACTACAATTAGGAAGAATGCATTTATGAAGAATATATTCATGCTGAATATGTTCTTCAGTAGATTATTAAATATATTCAAGAAAAAAACCATACTCATTTAATATAGTAAATAACGTATGTTTAAGAGAAGCCATATACAAAATCACTCAATATGATTATGCAGATTAATCCGTAAAACAATATTCTTGGTAAACTAGTAAATTTACTTAATTCACTATTCCAGAGGTGGCTTTCAGTGTCTTGATCTTCGAAGAACTCACCCACTTCTGCAGAACTGTCGGTGAGAGAGCTGTGCTGAAGAGCAAACACGGATATATTTTTACTGAGCACGGGATACAGATCCATGATGGATTTTTGTGTTCAGAAAAATGTCCATTGGTAGCGTGTACAGTTCAAATCAAGCCATAATTGTGAACTATGTGACTTTATTTTTAGAAGATATGTTAGCAAAAAAAAAAAACATATGTGGAACAATGACTAGGAAAATGACTTTTGTTCTTGCTTCAGCAAAAGCCCCTGGCATAGCCACCTTCCCAGCAATGATAAGTACCAAGTTACAGATTCCCAAGTAATTTTCCTTTGATTGGAGTTTGACATGTTGTGTGACCCAACCTCCAACATCATCAGATACTACATATCTTGAATTTGCAGACATAACTGAGACTGTCTGCTCTACTCCCCCATAAAAGTAACACTCACACTTCCCATGTACTTCATTTGGAAACAAGATGAATTACAAGCCATACATACACCATTGGTGCCATTAATAGTAGGCTCATTTGTATTTAACAGTAATTTCCAATGAAAATCCACCTACATAAAGAAGAACATTTCCTTCACTCCTTGTGAAAGCTCTTAGTAACATGACTGAGTCTATGTTCGGATTTGTTTCAAACATCCAAAAAAAAAAAAAGCCACTATTTATAGCCCATCTGTCAAGACTGCATTGTTTTGTAAGATGAAGTGTGTTTTAACATATAGAGGAGTCATTCTTTTGATAAGTTGAATTAAAAAGAAACTTATTGTTTAAAGTGAAACAACTTTAAAGAAAACTTGCTGAGAAAAAATTAGAAAAAAAATTAAATTTCTACTTCCTTCCATACCCCAAAGGAAATTCCAAAAAAGTTCTGGACAAAAATGTTGTAACTATTTATAGGCTATGATGGAGGCCTATTTATAAGCCTTTCTAAACACAAAACCAGAGGCAGAATGCCTATATCAAAAAGTTAAAATTTAGAGAAACAACAACCAAGAAAATAAAGTCTATTAATAGTAAATTAAGAATCTGGGGGCCAGGTGCGGTGGCTTATGCCTGTAATCCCAGCACTTTGGGACGCCAAAGGGGGTGGATCACCTGAGGTCAGGAGTTCAAGACCAGCCTAGCCAACATGGTGAAACCCCCTCTCTACTAAAAATACAAAAATTAGCCAGGCATGGTGGCGCACGTCTGTAATCCCAGCTACTCAGAGGCTGAGACAGGAGAATTTCTTGAACCCAGGAGGCGGAGGTTGCAGTGAGCGGATATCGTGCCACTGCACTGCAGCCTGGGTGAAAGAGCAATTCCAACTCTGGAAAGAAGGAAAGAAGAAAGAAAGAAAGGAAGGAAGGAAGGAAGGAAGGAAGGAAGAAGGAAAAAAGGAAGGAAGAGGGAAGCTGGGGAAAACTGAATCATATAGAACAAATTTAATAGCATTATATAAATAGCACTTATATGTCAAAAAGTAAAAGATACCACCAATGGAAATATGGACAAAAAATAGAAACAGATTTACAAAGAATAAATAGCAAACCAATTAATGTATTTTAAAATAATAAACTTCAAAGAACTTTTAATAGAAATGCCTGTAATTGCCATCTTTAATTCTTCATCTCATTACTCAACCCCTGTGACTTCCAGCCAAACCATTGTGCTATGCTTTCTTCATCAGGAAGTCCAATGAACTTTAGTGTTGCTAAATTCAACATCCACCTTTTAGTCTTTCTCTTTTTCCATATTTTAGCAATAGTGGACAATAAGGACCATTCCCTTTTTTAAAACATTTTTGTGAGTACATAGTAGGTATATGTTTATGGGGTACATGAGAAGGGGTACAGGCATGTAACCTAAAATAAGCACATCATGAAGAATGGGGTATCCATCCCCTCAAGCATTTAACCATTGAGTTGCAAACCATCCAGTTACACTCTTTAAGTTATTTTAAAATGTATGGTTAAGTCATTTTTGACTATAGTCACCCTGTTGTACTATCAAATAGTGGATCTTATTCATTCTGTCTATTTTTGTAACCATTAACCATCCTCACCTCTCCCTCACAGCCCCCCATGACACTTAACAGCCTCTGGTAACCATCCTTCTACTATCTATGTCCATGAGTTCTACTGTTTCGATTTTTAGATCCCACAAATAAGTGGAAGAATATGTGATGTTTGCCATTCTGTGACAGGCTTATTTCACTTAACATAATAATCTTCAGTTCCATTCATGTTGCAAATGACTGGATCTCATTCTTTTTTTACTCCCTTTTTTAAAAAGGGTTCTCTTCCCTTGGCTTCTATAACACCACATTCTGTATCATCCTCACCCTCATTTTCCATTGCACTTTGAGCCATTTATCAACCACAAGGAATCAAAGCCAGAAGACATCTTTATCATTTAAATTTAATATCTATTCAATTCAGCCATTTGTTATTAATAGTCATACTATCTTCCATGGAGCACAGGGGATTTTTAGGGCAGTGCAGCTACTCTGAATAATACAATAGCGGGCACATGTCATTATACATTTGTCCAAACCCACAGACTATACAACACCAAAATGAACAACTTATGTAAACTACGGCCTTCGGGTGGTAATGATGGGTCAGTGTGGGTTCACCAGTCACAACAAATGTACTACTCTGGTAGAGTATGTTAATGGAGGAGTATATACAGCTGTGGGGGTAGGAGGCATATGGGAAATCTGTGTACTCCAGTCTATTTGATGTAAACCTAAAATTCCTGTAAAAATTAAGATCTATTTTTTAAAAGGGGAGGAGAGAAGATCTGTCCCTTTCCAGATGGTGAGGCAATAATATTTGTATTACAAGAGTCACCTCTGGCCTTGTTTTCAGCCATGTGGAGGAAGTCAGTCTGAGATAATTAGCTTGAGATATAAAGAGAAGGATAGAAAAAAGATGAATAAGAGAAGAGAACAGGAAAGTTGGGGAGGGGGAAAGATAGAGACTCTTAAGAGCATTGGAGTCCTGGGTTTCTATTCTGCTGAGAGGCCCAGATGAAACTTCTACTTTTCATGTTTTGGTTATAAGAATCAACAAATTCTCCATTTTCCTCAAGCTGGCTTGAGTTAAATTTCTATCACTTGCAACCAAGGAGTTCTGAATAACATACACTGCAAGCCGTTGTGGGCCACACTGTTGCCTTCCATCTGGGCTCCCCATACGTATCCTTGCTCTCTTGTACTCAATTCTCAAACTTCAATCAGAATTATCTTCTTAAAATGAAACATCTAACCCTCAAAATGAAGTCCTCAATCTTAACATACCTTCCAAGGCCTTATGGGATCTGACCCCTAACTACCTCTCAAACTTCATTTTGAATCATTCTGTTATACTCCACGCACTAACCAAACTGTTTTCTTCTGTTTCTCCAGCATCGGCCAGTCCAGAAAGATTTTACTTCTGTGCCTCCCTGCATTGCCCTCCTTTCCCACCTTGGCTAACTTCAATTCATCTGTAAGTGCCACTTTAGGAGGCTTAATCTAACACCCTGAACCTGGAACATAACCTTAAATGCTCCTTATCATCACCCCTTTAATTGCTACTTGTTTAAAGTTGTTAGACTTTAAGTTCCATCAAAGTAGAAACTTGATCTGCCTTGCTCACCTCTCAATCACTTCCCCTTCCCAACATTCAGTGACTGGAACAGAGGAGATGCATATTAGTATTTGCTGAATTAAAAATAAATTTTGAAATACAAATTAGTTGCCGTTTTCCAATTATCAAATTGTCAAAGTGTTCTTTATTATGATAGGTAACATTGGTAGAGATCTTTCATTCACTGATGATGAAAGTATAAATATTTCAATGGCAATTAAGTAGTAAGCATAAAATCTTTAAAAATGTATATAGTCTTAAGACTTATGTATATAGTCTTAAGACTATAAAGTCTTAAGTTATTCTTTTTAGAATAACAAGAAAAAAATTGACAAGAGATTGTACAAAGGAATATTCACCACAGCTTTGTTTTAGTAAAGTACAAAAAAAAAGAGAGAAAAAATTAAATGTCCAATATTATGGAATTATTTTATACAAATACAATAAGAATAAAATATGGTTATTTAAAGTTACAAGGTAAAACATTATTAATATGGAAAAGTATTCATAGCATGTTCTTTAAAAAAAGGCACACACAAAAATGATCTGAATGGCACATTACTTTAAATTGACATGCAAATAAATACAAATTAAAAAGTAATGTTTCAGGCCGGGCACAGTGGCTCACGCCTGTAATCCCAGCACTTTGGGAGGCCGAGGCGGGTGGATCATGAGGTCAGAAGATCGAGACCATCCTGGCCAACATGGTGAAACCCCGTCTCTACTAAAATACAAAAAAAATTAGCCGGGCGTGGTGGCACGCACCTGTAGTCCCAGCTACTCAGAAGGCCGAGGCAGGGGAATCACTTGAACCCAGGAGGCAGGGGTTGTAGTGAGCCGAGATGGTGCCACTGTACTCCAGCCTGGTGACAGAGCAAGACTCTGTCTCAAAAAAAAAAAAAAAAAAAAAAAAAAAAAGTCATGTTTCTCTGGGAGGTGAAATTAGATTGATTTTTATTTTAATAGTTTTCTTACATATATTTCTGGGTTTTTTTAATAAGCATATACTGCGTAACTTAAAATCTCTTGTTACTTAGTGTTATAAATGAGGAACTAGAGATTCAGATATATTAATTTGCTCACAGCAACAACACAGCCTGTATTCCAACCCAGTTTGTCAGTCTCTAAAGCCCTGGCTCTTAACCATCACACTGTAATAACATGGTGCCTAAATGTGTACAAGGCACTATGGGGAGGCACTGAGTAAATAAGAAGTTAGCAGCTTGGAAGCCAATAGATAAGAAATATAGACAAATACGTGACATGGCAAAATGTGTTTTGTAACCTGAGAGGTACAAGCATGGAGGTCACAAAGTTCAATGTTTGCTTGGAATAAAAAACAAGTCAGTTGTCCTGTTTTACTAGTGCAGTTTCTCCAAGTGTGGTCTATAGTCCACCTGCAACATATTCCTAAACAGACCTGTTAAAGAAAAATCTCCATGCAGCTCAAGAAAGTTCAAATTACCTCCAGGAGCATCATACATTTGGTGCCTTGCATTTTTTTTAGATGCCTTATAATACTTATAAATACTACTAGTAAAATTTTAGGACAGGCGCAGTGGCTTGTGCCTGTAATCCCAACACTTTGGGAGGCCAAGGCGGGTGGATCACCTGAGGTCAGGAGTTCGAGACAAGCCTGGCCAAAATGGTGAAACTCCATCTCTACTAAAAAATACAAAAAATTAGCCGGGCATGGTGGTGGGCGCCTGTAATCCCAGTGACTCAGGAGGCTGAGGCAGGAGAATCTCTTGAACCCAGGAGGCAGAGGTTGCAGTGAGCCGAGATCACGCCATTGCACTCCAGCCTGGGCAACAAGAGCAAAATTCCGTCTCAAAAAAAAAAAAATCATAAAAATAAAAATGAAAGTTTAGGAATAGACCATTATTGAAGGGAATATACAGTGTGCCAAGACCAGGCTTTGTTACGTTTCTAAATATCTGAGGTCAGATAAATACTACACAAGCTCACCAACATCCCCTAATCCTTTGGGTCCCAGTTTAGATTGACTTTGAAATTGCCCTTAGGAGGACTTTTCCTGAATTTCAAAGAAGGTTAACAGTGTGTGGCATAAACGAAATCTCGGAATAAAATCTGAAGGACAGATTGAAAGGAATTCAAGATGCCTCCAGGGTCTCATACTCTCATGGAAAATATCAAACACCCAATTGCATCACCCCCATACTCACTCAAAAGGTCTACTATTTTATTTCATAGGTTGAAAGGTTAGAATTGGATCTCACCAAGCATTTCACTACAGACCAACATCCCCTAAACTGAACTGATCTCTGGAAATGCGAAGAGAGGAAAAACTAGGACAGGTGGACGGCAGCAGTTAGACAAAATTCTATGAGGTTTGAGCCATTAAAAGCCCTATAGGGCTTTAGTCTTACAACTCCAATGTCATAGTGTCTGTAAAATCTCAATTAATCTCATTCTATTTTTGCAGTAACTGGCTTATTACCATAGTTCCTCCCTTCACCTGATTTCAATAAGATCATCTGATCGAGGAATCCTCTAATTGAACATTTATTTGAATCTTCCTATTAATAGTGCTACTACAGCTATGTGTGGTTGTGTCTGAAAATACCAGCCATGAATCAAGAGTCCGTCAAGGCTGCCTACATATGAACACACTCTTTATTAATTAATACCTGTCATCTGTTGTTTATAGACAAAACTTTGTTGCTCTGGGCCTCTGAAACTCAAAATATTTGTTCAGAATACACAAGTGTTGGCTCTTCCATCCACAGCCAAAAGCATAATGCGAGAAATATCTTCAATCCATTTATGCTGAAACATTAAACTAAAAAATGTTTTTTCCTTGTTGCTTTACATGTTTGTTTAGTTCATTGTTTGGTTGATTGTTCTTGTAGGAACTGGGGGAAGTACATAAGGTGTATGCAAAAATATCTCAGTAAGCTTGGCCAGTTTGTCCCACTCAATTTACATTTAAAGTGAAACCACTGATCTTCAAAGACACTTTTGGCACAAGTTATTAAACTTTCGAACAGTGGTTATAAAATAGTTAGATTTCAACTTTAATTATATGCTACCTCTCTGAGCAGTGCTACAACAAAATAACAGAATATTCCCCCTTAAATAATTATAAGGTCTGTTTAAACATTCAAATTCGAATCAGAATTCCTTTGACTATACACATTACTGCTTAAAACCCCTATTATAATTTTAATCAAACACAGTATTCATTACCAAGAATTTATAACTAAGAGAAATAAATATTTGGAGCCTGTTAATTTTATCATATCTACTTAAGTTGGAAGTTACTTAGCAGGAGATCAAATTGCAATACAATTCAAACATAAACAACAGAAAGTAATAGTATTTTTAAAATGTTCCTAAATATGGAGCAAAACAAAATATATAAAAACAGAGTTTCAAAGAGCTAAAGATCTTCTGAACCAACATGAACAGTAATATTGCATAGAGGGAAAAAATGCTTAATCCTAAGACTTCTACTATATGGAAGGTTCGTAGCCTCTTTCTTTATTTTTGGGATGGTGCTCAGAAAAAAAAAAAAGAAAGAAAGAAAAGAAAAGAAACAAAAAGGCAAAGCTCAGTGGCTTTGGTAGGAGATAGCAGATTGCTGTGATGCACCTGATTATATCCCGTTTGTTCTCCCTTTTGGTTTAGCTCACATGTGAAAATCTCCTGTGGACAACTTGGTTTTTTTCCCAGAAGCTTGGTCCAATCCCTGTTTCCAATGCTGTCAGCATGAAAGGGACCAGGCAGCAGGGCCAAGCAGTTGCAGATCTGTGTGGATACTGCTTCAGGTGATGAAAGGGACATTGCTGACAAGTCAGTAGAGAGGAGAAAGCCAGGCTAATGGCTATTCTCAAGTGGTCATTCACAGCTATTTGCCAGTGAAAATTGAAACTTAAATTTCCCTAATTTACCTTCCCTAGAACTTCAATATTTCTTACAGTAAGTAATTTTTTAACTTCTTTATAACTCTCCCAGCAGTGTGGCAGCTTTGGTGTGTGACAAATGGAGGTTAGATTCTCCTGCTTACCACTTTCGAACATGAATTTGAAAAAGTTACTTAACCTCTCTAAACACTCAAATGCTCACTGTAAAAGGTAACATTAGGGTTGTTTGAAGATTATGGGAGACATTGCATAAGAATGTTCTAACACAATTCATGACATAAAACAGATTCTGAATAAACTGATATTTCCAAAGTCCACGTCCCTCCTCCCTAAAACACTAATGTCTCCACTACACTCATGATCCCAGTACCTCTCAGTCCTCTGCGGACACTGTGCCGACAATTATATTTTTCCTCTTCTTTCCTGGTGGCTACTGAAAAATCAACAAGCATTCAATGAACATGTGTTTAGTAAAAGCCAGGTATTTTTTTACATGTTACCTTAACCTACCCCTATCCTCTCCTGAAGGTATTGGTATTTCTCCTTTCTGCTGTGATGAAACTTCTTAAATTAGGTGACAATAAGTAAAGCCAGATAAAGATAGTTGTCAGAGGAAATGTGAATATCTAGATATTGCATTCAATATTTAGATTGTGTGTGCATGTGAGCATTTTCCAGAAAAAAAAATCAATTTTTTCCGTCATAGTCTCAAAAGATCCCTGACTCTCAATATGTTATGATACATTGAATCTATATTAGTAGTTGTTCAGGACTGTCCTGCTATTCCATTGTATCTGTTTCTGTCCTTACCTGAAAGCAGTGTAGCTATGGTCGTAGGGAAACTTTTACTTTTAAATTCAAATTTCTGTTTTTTAGCCTTCATCCTATGTTATTTATCTTTATCATGTAACACTCATAACAACCTTTCTTTCTTTGAATTTTTTCTTCATTTGATTGCTGACACTACTCATATCTCCCAATAAGTCATCTTTGAGCACTTCCATATCTTTCTTTGGCTCCTACTTCTCAGTATGACTCATGAATTCTGATGTTTCCTGGGATACTCTTTGTCTTAATTTACTGTTGTTGCACATGCACTCCTTGGATTATATACTCTATGGGCAAAGCTTTGCACATCTCCAGGTCAGACCTATCCTAATATCTACATCTACATTTCCAGGTAACTAGAAAGTAAATGGCACATATGTTCAAAAATACACTAAATCACTACTATAAAAAAATCAACTTAACACAAAGATACAAAGATACTACTTTTCTTTATCATATGATCCATGTATATTATTTTATTATAATTTCCCGTGTTGGCAATTTTAAGAAGACCAGAGCCACTAAATCATTTCTAGAGGAGTATGGATTATTACGACCTTTATAGAGTAGAATTTGTCTATATAGCTCAGAAGTCTTTAAAATGTGCATACACATCACTATTTCCTGAAGTATGGCTTTATCCTGAAGAGTCCTCCCACTAAAAGACAACTAGAACTTAGATAAGTTAAGACAAACATATTTTTATGGCTAAGCTCACAGAAAGGAAAAGAAATCTCGAAGTGTGAGGGGGTAGGCAATGAGCTAAAATCTGAGCAGAGAGCCATGAGTAATCAATAAGTGACAGGAAGTTGTTCTGGGAGAAAATACTGATACAAGGCCTAGGATCTGGGAGACCTAAACTTTGAGTCTGTCTCAAGGTTAGGGAGCTGATGTGAGTTTCCTATATTACCCTTAATCCCCCATGGAGCTAAAGTGATCCTAGATGTTAGGGAATTCTGTATAGTGGCAATGCAACCAAATCTTTTCTCAGGGAATATTTCCAACATAAACACTTAGGATTCTTACAGATTAAGTTAAAAAACAGATGATCTTATAAACAAAAATCAAACTACTGTAACTGAGAGTTCTCAGAAACAAAATACAGATTAAGTTTAAAAGAAAATTTGTATGCTGAAATTATCAGATACACAGTATAAACCAACCATATATAAAATGGTTAAAAGATTTTAAAACTGATTATTTCTAATTAACCAAAAAAGGCTACTTAAAATGGCCAAGAAGTATTTAGAACTAAACTAACTTAATCTTTGATATTAAAATAGTATTGAATGAGTAACAGCATATCAGATACAGATGAAAGGGATGATTTGTGAACTTGAAAATAGATTTTAAGAAATTATACAGGATTATCACAAAAGGCATCAAATAAAGACCCTGTATAATGTAGTGATAGAGAAAAAAATTCAAGAATCAGAATAAATTTGAATCACAGCTCTATAAGTAACTAGCGCTGTGACTTTGAGTATGTTACTACCGTCTCTGTACCTCAGTTTCACCATATATTTTTAAATGATGGTTTATGTAAGAATTAAATTTAAAATATTTATATATAATTCTTGAATAAAGTCTGGTAATATTAAGCACTATGGAATAATTATCATTATTAATATGACAGAAGTAAGCCCAAACATACCTATGATATTAAGAAATATGCAGGCTTAATTTACCTCCTAAAAGAAAGAACTTTTCAGATTAACTCCCAAAACATATCTCTATTATATGCTGTGTATGACAGGGACACACTAAATACAAATTTATACCTAAAGATAACAATAGAAGAACGGGCACAGTGGGATACAAAAGAAAAAAAGGGAGAGAGAAAAAGGAAGGAGAGAGGTAAGAAAAAAATGAGTCATGATCATAATATTTGAAAAGGTAACATTCAGAGCTTTTGAAAAAGCATTAAATGTGACATAGAAAAGTAGTTTAAATATACTAAAGGGAACAATTCACAGTAAAGATATGAGTGTTATACATTTCTATGCACCCAATGAGTAAAACAACTTCATGAAGCAGAAAACACAGGAGATGCAAAGACAAACAGGCAGAAACATTTAAATAATAGTAGCTTAATTCTCATGCAGTCCAAGTTCTAGTAAGGTAAAAAGTATAAAGAAGGATTTGTAAGACTTAAATTACATTTTTAATAAAGTAGATTGTATGGAGATCTATAGAGTAGTGAGAACTTTTGTATCTTAAACAGAAAATATGCCTTTTCCAGTGCTCGTGGAAACTTTACTGAAATAGATTATATACTAGATTACAAATATAAATATAATAAAGTCTCAAATAGCAATAATACAGAAAATATTGACCACAAAATAGTAAAAGAAATAATTTCACTGAGAAAGATTTACGAACAAAATCTACTGAGCTAAAGAAAGGATAAAAACAAACAAACACTATAGAATGTCCAGAAAACCTTTATGGGTTGAACTGTGTCCCTGCAAAATGCATCTGTTGAAGTCCAAATAGTACCTCAGAATGAAACCACATTTGTAAACAGAGTTATTTCCAAAGTAATTGTTAAGATGAAGTCATACTGAGATACTTTGAGACCCTAGTATAATATAACTGGTGGACGTATAAAAAGGGGAAGTTTGGTCACAGAGACACACACACAGGGATAATGCCTCATGGGAATGAAGACAAAAATCAGGTGATGCTGCTTCTCCAAACCAACAAGATTGCCAGCAAACTACCAGAAGCTAGAAAGAGGCATGGAACAGCCCTCAGATAGAACCAACCCTGCTGACACCTAATCTTAGACTTCTTGCCTCCAGAACTGTGAAACTATAAATTTCTGTTGTTTAAGCCACATGGTGTTGCAGCACTTTTTGTCCCAACTGGTTGGAAATGTCATTGTTATTTTCCCATTTGTTGACCAAATCTCCAACTGGACTATATGTAAGGATTTAGCGTCCAATAGATGCTCTAAGTATTATTGAATGAATAATTCAAGCATTATGGGAGAGTTAAATTATTCTTAAGGTTTCTTCTAACTCAGCGATTATTTTTCATTTGTTTCTGTGTTTATTTTTTTTGTTTTTATCTGGAGGAATCATCAAGCCTTTCTAAAGCTCCTAATCTGTATGTCTGAAACAAGATCTCAGGAGTCCTTAAAAAATGCATTTTCTTTTAAAATATGAAAACAGTATTAGAAAACACATGTTCTTGCTTAAGAAAATTTATTGAGAAGTTTTTAAAATATAAACATGCAAACCATTAAATACCGAATTCTCCATAAAAGCACACAAAGAAAATTAAGCTCTAAGTGAGAGGGCACTGCTCACTCTTACTCAGACTTTGGTGGGTGGGTGGCGTGAGGTGGGGCAGGGTGGAGTGAGTTGGTCTCCTGTCTCTTTTCAAAACTTTACTCACATGTTTTGAATCTGGTAAAAGGAGATATGAAAAGAGTGTTGGAATAGGCATTTTTCACTTAATAAACTTAAAAATGTCTGTGCTACATTTTAAAGGATGGTAGAAAGAATAATTTTTTAAAAGACAACTCTAGATTGTTCTCTGGCAAAGTGAATCTGTGATACAAAGAGATGAAAGTATGCTGGAAAAAATCATTAAGCTTGCTAATTTGCAGCTTTTTACATAGAAAATAGTGTTCTTTAAGCATTCTTAGTGGAATGAAATAGAAAAAGTATTGTTTGATACCAACCAGCACAGATTTTAAAACACATATTTTTCCTCTCCAAAAAATGTTTCGAGCAATACTACTTTTAAACTATGTGGCAATCCACTAACGAGATGGTTTTAAAACTATGTAGCAACATTAAAAATGCCTAGAGAAATGTCATCCATGGCTTAGTACTAACACAAAAAGTATTATAATATTTTTGTTTTATTTTATTGTATGCAAATATTGTGTATAGTTCTATCATCATATATAGATAATTTTGTGTCTTATATTTTATCACTAGTTAATACTTTTCAATTTTTAGTTCCTTTTTAATTTTTTATAATTAAAAATTAACTTTGAAACATGAAAAGAAGTCTACAAACAATAAATGAACAATATTGAAAAAATTAAAAGAAAAATAAAAAGCGGTTTGTTGGAGATACTTTTAAAATATAAAGATGCAAACCATTAAATACTGAATTCTAATACATAAGTCTAAATACCTACCAAAGCCACAAAGAGATTCCTGAAGGAATAAACATGTAATCTATACTTCATTTAACCATGGCAATATTAAAATGAAAACAAATAAATAAAAAGAACACATGAGAGAGGAAACAATAACAGGCTGAAGATATTCACATATATTTGGAAGGTGGCAAAAGACTGAGGAGAGATAATGACTTATCTTCAGAATCCTATGCTTAGCTAAGACAGCAATGTTAACAGGAAGCAAGCTGCTACTCCAGTGTCCCTGCAAGTCTAGGGATTTTTAGACCCCAGAAAACTCAGAAGCAAGGCCATGGGATAAGACTAAAAACTAGAAGATTTTTATATACTTTAAGACTATGGACTTTAAGAAAGACCATCCCCGCATACTTCCTTCCAAGCATCCAGGTAACAACCTTCTCTAACCCTAACAACAGTTTAATTTCTGGATAAATTAAACTTGATAGACTCTAGGTCTGTGGAAACCAATCACCATAAAGGGAAGAAGAAAAACACTAGTTTAAAAACAGGGAAAATCAACTAAATTATAAACCCTCTTCCTCAACTTGACTATTCACTCCTTGTGTAAAACATTAGTGAAAAAAAAAACACAAACCTGAAATCGCCTGGCTAAAAGAACCACAAATACTGATATTTGGGAGTCTCCCAGATAAATGGCCTTCTTCCTACCCAATAACCTTGCAATGAAATCCACCATTTGGCAAGCCATGTCCATGCATGTAACACCCAATCAACATTGTAGTGTCTCACTAATAAATGTCAATGGACTTCTAATTAGCCAGGCATGGTGGTGGGCACCTGTGGTCCCAGCTACTCGGGAGGCTGAGGCAGGAGAATGGCATGAACCCAGGAGGCAGAGCTTGCAGTGAGCCGAGATCGTGCCACTGCACTCCAGCCTGGGCGACAGAGCGAGACTCCGTCTTAAAAAAAAAAAAAAAATCAATGGACTTCTTACCTCTCCTTACATACTTAAACAAGAGAAAAGAAGAAGCATGTGTCAACACAAAGACTTGTACATGAATATTTGTTGCAGCTTTATTTGTAATAGCCTCAAACTAGAAACAACCCGAAGTCCATTAACAAAATGGCTAAACATTTTGTAATATATTCACACAATGAAACACTACTCCACAATTTAAAATATGCACATGGATACGGAATGCAGATAAATTTCAAAATCATTATGCTATGTAAAAAAAAAAAGTCAGGCAAAAAGGAATACATGCTATACTATCTCATCTGTATAGAATTCTGGAAAATGCAAACAAATCCATAGGAACAAAACACACAGCAGCAGTTACCTGAGGAGTGGGTTGGGGAGTAGAAGGAAATGAGGAAGTGTAACGAGATAAACTAAAAAAGGTTACAAGACAACATTTTAGAAGGATGGAAATGTCTGTTACATTGATTGTGGTGATGGTTTCAGGAGTGTGTGCATTGGCCAAAACCAGTCAAATTATACATTTTAAATATGTGCAGTTTATTGAATTTTGATAATCCCTAAATGAAGGTGTAAAACGACACCAATATAAAAATAAATAAATGGGCCAATAAGGATCATCAGATATTTAAAGAAAGCTCCAATAAGAAATATAAACATCAGAGGGTGGCACCAAGATGGCCGAATAGGAACAGCTCCAGTCTGCAGCTCCCAGTGTGAAGGACGCAGAAGACTGGTGATTTCTGCATTTCCAACTGAGGTACCAGGTTCATCTCACTGGGGCTTGCCAGACAAGTGGGTGCAGCCCACAGAGCTGGGCAGGGCATTGCCTCACCCAGGAAGCACAAGGGGTGGGGGAATTCCCTTTCCTAGCAAAGGGAAGCCATGACAGACAGCACCTGGAAAATCGGGACACTCCCACCCTAATACTGCTCTTTTCCAACAGCCTTAGCAAATGGCACACCAGGAGATTATATCCCGCGGCTGGCTTGGAGGCTCCCACACCCACGGAGGCTCGCTCACTGCTAGCACAGCAGTCTGAGATGGAACTGCAAGGCAGCAGCAAGGCTGGGGGAGGGGCGTCCGCCATTGCTGAGGCTTGAGAAGGTAAACAAAGCAGCTAGGAACTCGAACTCGGTGGAGCCCACCGCAGCTCAAGGAGGCCTGCCTGCCTCTGTAGACTCCACCTCTAGGGGCAGGGCATAGCTGAATAAAAGGCAGCAGAAACTTCTGCAGACTTAAACATCCCTGTCTGACAGCTTTGAAGAGAGTTGTGGTTCTCCCAGCACGGAGTTTGAGATCTGAGAAAGGAAAGACTGCCTCCTCAAGTGGGTCCCTGACCCCTGAGTAGCCTAACTGGGAGGCACCTCCCAGTAGGGGCCGACAGACACCTCATACGGGGGATGCCCCTCTAAGACAAAGCTTCCAGAGGAAGGATCAGACAGCAACATCTGCTGTTCTGCAATATTAGCTGTTCTTCAGCCTCCGCTGGTGATACCCAGGCAAACAGGGTCTGGAGTGGACCTCCAGCAAACTCCAACAGACCTGCAGTTGAGGGTCCTGACTGTTAGAAGGAAAACTAACAAACAGAAAGGACATCCACACCAAAACCCCATCTGTAGGTCACCATGATCAGAGACGAAATGTAGATAAAACCACAAAGATGGGGAGAAACCAGAGCAGAAAAGCTGAAAATTCTAAAAATTAGCGCACCTCTTCTCCTCCAAAGGAACAGAGCTCCTTGCCAGTAATGGAACAAAGCTGGACAGAGAATGACTTTGACGAGTTGACAGAAGAAGGCTTCAGAAGATTGGTAATAACAAACTTCTCCGAGCTAAAGGAGGATGTTTGAACCTATCACAAAGAAGCTAAAAACCTTGAAAAAAGAGTAGACGAATGGCAGTGTAGAGAAAAGACAGTGTAGAGAAGTCCTTAAATGACCTGATGGAGCTGAAAATCATGGCACAAGGACTACGTGACGCATGTACAAGCTTCAGTAGCCGATTTGATCAAATAGAAGAAAGGGTATCAGTGATTGAAGATCAAATGAATGAAATGCAGGGAGAAGAGAAGTTTAGAGAAAAAAGAGTAAAAAGAAATGAACAAAGCCTCCAAGAAATATGGGACTATGTGAAAAGACCAAATCTACGTCTGATTGGTGTACCTGAAAATGACGGGGAGAATGGAACCAAGTTGGAAAACACTCTTCAGGATATCATGCCGGAGAACTTCCCCAACCTAGCGGGGAAGGCCAACATTCAAATTCAGAAAATACAGAGAATGCCACAAAGATACTCCTCGAGAAGAGAAACTCCAAGACACATAATTGTCAGATTCACCAAAGTTGAAATGAAGGAAAAAATGTTAAGGGCAGCCAGAGAGAAAGGTCAGGTTACCCACAAAGGGAAGCCCATTAGACTAACAGTGAGCGGGTCTCTCGGCAGAAACTCTACAAGCCAGTAGAGAGTGGGGGCCAATATTCAACATTCTTAAAGAAAAGAATTTTCAACCCAGAATTTCATACCCAGTCAAACTAAGCTTCATACGTGATGGAGAAATAAAATGCTTTACAGACAAACAAATGCTGAGAGATTTTGTCACCACCATGCCTGACTTACAAGAGCTCCTTAAGGAAGCACTAAACATGGAAAGGAACAACCGGTACGAGCCACTGCAAAAACATGCCAAATTGTAAAGACCATTGGTACTAGGAGGAAACTGCATCAACTAATGAGCAAAATAACCAGCTAACATCATAATGACAGGATAAAATTCACACATAACAATATTAACCTTAAATGTAAATGGGCTAAATGCTCCAATTAGAAGACACAGACTGGCAAATTGGATAAAGAGTCAAGACGCATCAGTGTGTGGTATTCAGGAGACCCATCTCACACGCAGAGACACGCATAGGCTCAAAATAAAGGGATGGAGGAAGATCTACCAAGCAAATGGAAAACAAAAAAAGGCAGGGTTGCAATCCTAGTCTCTGATAAAACAGACTTTAAACCAATAAAGATCAAAAGAGACAAGGCCATTACATAATGGTAACAGGATCAATTCAACAAGAAGAGCTAACTATCCTAAATATATATGCATCCAATACAGGAGCACCCAGATTCATAAAGCAAGTCATTAGAGACCTACAAAGAGACTTAGACTCCCACACAATAATAATGGGAGACATTAACACCCCACTGTGAACATTAGACAGATCAACAAGACAGAAAGTTAACAAGGATATCCAGGAATTAAACTCAGCTCTGCACCAAGCGGACCTAATAGACATCTACAGAACTCTCCACCCCAAAACAACAGAATATACATTCTTCTCAGCAACACATCACACTTATTCCAAAATGGACCACATAGTTGGAAGTAAAGCACTCCTCAGCAAATGTAAAAGAACAGAAATTATAACAAACTGTCTCTCAGACCACAGTGCAATCAAACTAGAACTCAGGATTAAGAAACTCACTCAAAACCGCTCAACTACATGGAAACTGAACAACCTGCTCCTGAATGACTACTGGGTACATAACGAAATGAAGGCAGAAATAAAGATGTTCTTTGAAACGAATGAGAACAAAGACACAACATACCAGAATCTCTGGGACACATTTAAAGCTGTATGTAGAGGGAAATTTATAGCACTAAATGCCCACAAGACAAAGCAGGAGAGATCTTAAATTGACACCCTAACATCACAATTAAAAGAACTACAGAAGCAAGAGCAAACACATTCAAAAGCTAGCAGAAGGCAAGAAATAACTAAGATCAGAGCAGAACTGAAGTAGATAGAGACACAAAAAAACCCTTCAAAAAATAAATTAAGCCAGGAGCTGGTTTTTGGAAAAGATGAACAAAATTGATAGACTGCTAGCAAGACTAATAAAGAAGAAAAGAGAGAAGTGTCAAACAGAAGCAATAAAAAATGATAAAGGGGATATCACCATCGATCCTACAGAAATACAAACTACTATCAGAGAATACTATAAACACCTCTGTGCAAATCAGCTAGAAAATCTAGAAGAAATGGATAAATTCCTGGACTTATACACCCTCCTAAGACTAAACCAGGAAGAAGCTGAATCCCTGAATAGACCAATAACAGGTTCTGAAATTGAGGCAATAATTAATAGCCTACCAACCAAAAAAAGTCCAGGACCAGATGGATTCACAGCCGAATTCTACCAGAGGTAAAAAGAGGAGCTGGTACCATTCCTTCTGAAACTATTCCAATCAATAGAAAAAGAGGGAATCCTCCCTCAGTCATTTTATGAGGCCAGCATCATCCTGATACCAAAGCCTGGCAGAAACACAACAAAAAAAGAGAATTTTAGACCAATATCCCTGATGAACATCGATGCAAAAATCCTCAATAAAATACTGGCAAACCGAATCCAGCAACACATCAAAAAGCTTATCCACCATGATCAAGTTGGCTTCATCCCTGGGATGCAAGGCTGGTTCAACATATGCAAATCAATAAACATAATCCATCATATAAACAGAACCAAAGACAAAAACCACATGATTATCTCAATAGATGAAGAAAAGGCCTTTGACAAAATTTAACAGCTCTTCATGCTGAAAACTCTCAATAAACTAGGTATTGATGGGATGTATCTCAAAATAATATGATCTATTTATGACAAACCCACAGGCAATATCATACTGAATGGGCAAAAACTGGAAGCATTCCCTTTGAAAATGGGCACAAGATAGGGATGCCCTCTCTCACCACTCCTATTCAACATAGTGTTGGAAGTTCTGGCCAGGGCAATCAGGGAAGAGAAAGAAATAAAGGGTATTCAATTAGGAAAAGAGGAAGTCAAATTGTCCCTGTTGCAGAGGACATGATTGTATATTTAGAAAACCCCAACATCTCAGCCCAAAATCTCCTTAAGCTGATAAGCAACTTCAGCAAAATCTCAGGATACAAACTCAGTGTGCAAAATTCACAAGCATTCCTATACACCAATAACAGACAAACGGAGAGACAAATCATGAGTGAACTCCATTCACAGTTGCTTCAAAGAGAATAAAATACCTAGGAATCCAACTTACAAGGGATGTGAAGTACCTCTTCAAGGAGAACTACAAACCACTGCTCAGCAAAATAAAACAGGACACAAACAAATGGAAGAACATTTCATGCTCGTGGATAGGAAGAATCAATGTTGTGAAAATGGCCATACTGCCTGAGGTAATTTATAGATTCAATGCCATCCCCATCAAGCTACCAATGACTTTCTTCACAGAATTGGAAAAAACTACTTTAAAGTTCATATGGAACCAAAAAAGAGCTCTCATTGCCAATACGATCCTAAGCCAAAAGAACAAAGCTGGAGGCATCACACTACCTGACTTCAAACTATACTACAAGGCTACAGTAACCAAAACAGCATGGTACTGGTACCAAAACAGAGATATAGACCAATGGAACAGAATAGAGCCCTCAGAAATAATACCACACATCTACAACCATCTGATCTTTGACAAACCTGACAAAAACAAGAAATGGGGAAAGGATTCCCTATTTAATAAACGGTGCTGGGAAAACTGGCTAGCCATATGTAGAAAGCTGAAACTGGATCCCTTCCTTACACCTTATACAAAAATCAGTTCAAGTGGGATTAAAGACTTAAATGTTATACCTAAAACCATAAAAACCCTAGAAGAAAACCTAGGCCATACCATTCAGGACATAGGCATTGGCAAGGACTTTATGACTAAAACACCAAAAGCAATGGCAACAAAAGCCAAAATTGACAAATGGGAACTAATTGAACTAAAGAGCTTCTGCACATCAAAAGAAACTACCATCAGAGTGAACAGGCAACCTACAGAATGGGAGAAAATTTTTACAATCTACCCATCTGACAAAGGGCTAATATCCAGAATCTACAAAGAACTTAAACAAATTTACAAGAAAAAAAACAAACAACCCCATTAAAAAGTGGGTGAAGGATATGAACAGACACTTCTCAAAAGAAGACATTTATGCAGCCAACAGACACATGAAAAAATGCTCATCATCACTGGCCATCAGAGAAATGCACATCAAAACCACAATGAGATACCATCTCATGCCAGTTAGACTGGCAATCATTAAAAAGTCAGGAAACAACAGGTGCTGGAGAGGATGTGGAGAAATAGGAACACTTTTACACTGTTGGTGGGACTGTAAAGTAGTTCAACCATTGTGGAAGACAGTGGGGCAATTCCTCAAGTATCTTGAACTAGAAATACCATTTGACCCAGCCATCCCATTACTGGGCATATACCCAAAGGAGTATAAATCATGCTGCTATAAAGACACATGCATACGTATGTTTATTGCAGCACTATTCACAACAGCAAAGACTTGGAACCAACCCAAATGTCCATCAGTGATAGACTGGATTAAGAAAATGTGGCACATATACACCATGGAACATTATGCAGCCATAAAAAAGGATGAGTTCATATCCTTTATAGAGACATGGAGGAAGCTGGAAACCATCATTCTGAGCAAAGTATCACAAGGACAAAAAACCAAACACCACATGTTCTCACTCATAGGTGAGAATTGAACAATGAGAACACAGGGACACAGGGTGGGGAACATCACACACACGGGCCTGCCGGGGGGTGGGCGGGGGAGGGATAGCATTAGGAGATATACCTAATGTAAATGACGAGTTGACGGGTGCAGCACACCAACATGGCGCACGTATTCCTATGTAACAAACCTGCACATTGTGCACATGTACCCTAGAACCTTAAGTAAAATAATAAAATAAAAATAAAAAAGAAATATAAACATTAAAAGATATTTTTTAACAAAAGGGATCTGAAGGAAATGAAGACCACAACAGAAGGAGAATTTTGAAAAGAAACCAGAAAAGAGAAAGCTGTAAATAGCATCCTCAGAGATAACGATGGATATTACATCAATGAAACAAAAGCAGGATGCTATAAAAGAAGATTCAGAAAGCAAGATCTCTTGAAAATTAAAAATATGATTGTAGAAGTTGTTTTTTTATGGAAAAGTTGGTAGATTAGGAAACTTCATAGAAGTTAAATAATTAAAGAGATTAAAAATAGTGAAAATATATATAAACACAAGATTAATAAAAGCGTTTTGGGAGAGGAAAGCAGAGAAAATGGAGAGGAGACAAATATCAAGAAAAAATTCAAAAGTACTTTTCAGAACTAAATAACACAAATTTATATATTAAAAGATACACTGAGTTTCCAGCTCAGTCAATAGAAAAAGATCCACACCAAAGCATATCAGCCTGAATTTAAATATATCAGGAATACAGAAAAGATCCTAAGGACTTCTACAGAGAGGTTTTAAACAATGAAATATAAAAAATCAAAAACTGCTTTTCTTTTAGCCACATTAGTGGTTAGAATACAATGAAATAATGCCTTTATAATTCTGAATAAAAATAATGTGTTTAGAACTATGCTCAGAAACAAAAGGTCTCAGTCTTTCATGTGTCCATTCTCAGGAAGCTACTGCAGTATATGTTCCATCAAAATAAGGACATAAATCAAGAAAACTAGAACAGTATTTTTAAAATGGAAGAATGATGGGAGTATTTCTCAATATGAAAGCAAAAGGATAAAAACAACTACGTAGCAATCCTAGAAAGCAGTCAGTTTGGAGAAAAGCAGAAGGTCAGAGGCTATAGGAGAAAGATTTCCATGAGAATGGGCAGTGAGAGGGGAAGTTGGAAATAAGAAGGAAATATTATCATATGAAGAGTGGTCATATCATATTTTATCATTCTCTGAGACAATTTGCAAGCCTAAAACTGAACAATCGAAAAAGAGGCAAATGTTAATTAGAAGAAAAACAAAAGGTTAAATAAAAAAGGAAAATACTCACAGCATATTACTCAGTTCAATAGTAATCAGCATTTAGGTTGTTATAAAATCACGCCATTCATCAGAAATTAATAAAGCTATCAAAGTACCGAGACTACAAGACATAGAAGGCAACTGGAAGGGATTCCTGTTGATCCAACATGGGATAATTTTAATATGAAAAAGACAAAGGAAATCAAAATACATATAAAGTATATTTCAAAAAAATGAAAAAGAAAAATCATATATCTTGCCTTTCATTTAAAACTACCTCAAGGTAATCAAATAGTTAACAAGAGATGTTCTCTTTCATTGAAGAATTTCAACTAATAAATGACAAATGAATGACAGAATTAGACTAGCACTATTTTTCAACCCCTAATAAAAAGGATTTCAGGCAATTATCAGCAAAGATTGCTAAAACCAGTAAATGAAAGGCTGATAGAGAACTCAGAATGAACAACTTGCCTGCTATCTGAACCCACTGATCATTTTTAACCTCATAAAAGATATTATGTACCCCTTGATATAATGCAATAGGAAATAAACAGCATCACGTGAGACATATTCTTACCAAAATAATGGAAGCCGAATCATATCAAGCCTCTAGACCAAACTACAAGTATAGAGGAAATGCAAATGAGAAAGGAACGTGTTAAATGATACCACACGTATGCCATCAGCAAAATCCAGGATGTGGGAAATTCTACACAACAAATGCCCCCATTTTTTAAATATCAGTAATGTGAAAAATAACGGACAGAAAATTGTAAATTAAAGAGTCACACAGAGCAACCAAATGCAATCTTGTTTAGATCCTGAATCCAACAAACCAGTTAAATTTTTTTTTTTGTAGACAACTGGAAAACGTGAATGCTGAATGAATATTTATATTAAGGAATTCCCATAAATTGTATGTTTAGATGGGATAATGGTTTCAGAGCTATGTTCTATAAAATGTCCTTATCTTTTATAGCACTAAAAAATGTACAGTTAAAATTATGTGATCTCTAGGATTTGTTTTAAATAATACAGTGGGAGGTGGGAGGAAAGTAGGTAGGAATATAGAGTGAGCAAGATAGATCATTTGTTGATAATTGTTCTAATTTTATATACATTTGAAAGTTCCCAAAAGAAACACTTTAAAATGTAAATAGAAAAAAGATGTACACCTAATATTGATATAATTCAAAAAATTTATTAAACTATTTTACGATAGTGATAGAGAAGAAAAGTGAGGAGAGCTGAATCTTCTTCTTCTAATATGGGATATCAACATATAAAATGTAAATTTAATAAATCAAGAGTGTCCAGAGAAGTAAATATTTTTGAAATGTAGAAACAGCTAAAATAAAGAAATGTAGAAACACCTAAAATAGTTAAAACTGTGTGGAGAGCAAAATTTATGGGTGGGCAGAATTAAGGCAAGGAACTACTGTGTTTATTATTAGTCTTCTAATACCATTTGAACACATACAAATTTGATAAAATGTAAAAATTATTTTTAAAATGATATATAAAACATCTTTTACTTTTAAAATGTGATAGGAAGAAGATTAATACATATTATGAATTATATCCTGACACTCATGTTTATCTTCAATCTCTTCTCATTTCTTCCCTTTATTCATGTCATTGTCAAAGCATGTTATGATTATGAATATGACTTGGAGTCATTTACTTCTCTAACTCCTCAGCAACCACCCTGGTCTAAGGCCTCATGATCTCACTGACATCGTCTGCTAATAGATTTCCTGTTTTTACTCTTGCCACCCTCTAATTCATTCCACAAATATCCTGGGACAGGCAGATGAGAATTTGTCTTTCACTCTGCACTTAATAGCTCTTTCACCTTAAGCAAGTCACTTATGTTCTTTGAATCTCAGTTTCACTATCTATAAATTAGAGCAGATGATAACCACCGTAGAGGTGTGAAGATGAAGTGAGATATCACATATTATTCCACATCCAGACTGATGTTTTAAAGTTGCGGGACAGTTTTTCTCCAACTGTAGTGTGTATGCAATTGCTAAGGAAAGATCATTTTTGAAATGCAGATTTTGATAGAGTGGATCCAAGGTGGGGCCTGAGATTCTGCATTTCTAATAAGCTCCCAGGTGATGCAAAAGCTGCCAGCACCTCATTCACACTTTGACTTAGCAAGGCTAGAGGGGATACCAAGATAAGTGACAGTGATGCTTGTCCTTTAGAAAGGAGATTATGCCCTTGTAAAGATAATCTAAATATCCACATACCTTCACTTTCATTAGTGCTACAGGGAGCATGTAAACTCTGAAGCTATTTGAGATTGGGATAGATGTTGATTTTACTAAACATTATACGAGACAGACCAGCATAAGGTCACATCTGGCTATAACAAAATCATTCAAGGTGTTGTAACAAGATATACAACTTAGAGAAAGCAATTAGCAATTTAGAATATGAAAATATAGATCATTTTTAACAAAAAAACAAATATCCTGGATCAGACAGATAAGAATTTGTCTTTCATTCTGCTCCTGAGTAGCTCTGTAACCTTAAGCAAGTCACTTATATTCTTTGAATCTCATTTTCATTATCTATAAATTAGGGCAAATAATAACCACCGAAGAGGTGCAAAGATGAAGTGGGATATCGCATATCAATTTTATGACTGTGCCTGACATATGATAGTCCTTATAAAATACCAGGTCTTCCTTTTCTTTTTTTTTTATTATACTTTAAGTTTTAGGGTACATGTGCATAACGTGCAGGTTTGTTACATATATATACATGTGCCATGTTGGTGTGCTGCACCCATCAACTCGTCATTTAACATTAGGTATATCTCCTAATGCTATCCCTCCCCCCTCCCCCGACCCCACAACAGGCCCTGGTGTGTGATGTTCCCCTTCCTGTGTCCATGTGTTCTCATTGTTCAATTCCCACCTATGAGTGAGAACGTGCAGTGTTTCGATAGAAGATTTTCCTTATAACATTAGGGTAAGAGAGGATCCATTTTGAATGTTATGTTTGGCACCCTTAACATCTTAGAGAAACAAAAAAGGTTATGAAAATAGAATAAATAACAATGTAGGTAATAAGCAAGTATTTTTGTCTAAATGAACACTAGACCATGAGTCATAAAGCTAAGCTTTGGTCCAGGATTCAGCATTAACTAGATGTTTGATGTTGAACTTTATTTAATGTCACTGGCCCTGGTATGCTTTCTACATCACTGTATTTAACGCAGAACAGGTGAGACCCAAACTGGGGCTTAGCCCTCAAGGGTTCTTGGCTTTGTTCATGAAAGAGTTCAGGGGCAAGTTGGAGGTAGAAGAAAACAGCTTTATTGAAGAGGCGGTGTTACAGCTCTGGCATTTATAACTCTGTGACTGCTCCTGCAGGGCAGGGCTAACCCATATGCAGAGAGTAGCAGCTTACGGCGGTTTTGCAGTCATATTTATACCCACTTTTAACTACATGCAGATTAAGGGATGGTTTATGCGGAAATTTCAAGGGAAGTGGTAGTAATTTTTGGGTCATCTGGTCATTGCCCTGGAAAGAGGCAGTAACTCCTGGGTGTTGTTATAGCAATGGTAAACTGACATGGCACACTAGGGGGCGTGTCTTATGGAAAGCTGCTTTCCATTGGCCCTGTTTTAGCTAGTTCTCAATTTGGTCTGGTGTTCAAGCCCTGCCTCTGGAGTCTAGTCCTGCCTCCTACCTCATATTCACCTTGTTAAGTACATTATCTTCTTACGGAAATGCATTATCCTTCCATTTCTTTTGATTTTTTTTCTTTTGGAATATCAGTAAATTTCACAGAAATATTAAAATTGTAGAATCATTGAATAATTAGAACAAGGATTCTAAACAAGTTTCTTTCCTCCTGAAATCTCTACCAAACACCTTCAAACAATGTTACAAAGCTTTTAAGAAGTATATGAAATCAATGAACTAATGTTTCTAGTTAGAGAACTTCAATTTTTTTAAGATTACACAGGCATGCACATTTTCACTGACAATTGAAATTTATTTGCTTTACATGACACTAAGTTGTTCTATTAATAACTAAGATACCAAATATAATTTAGAAATACAAAAAAAGAGGATGGGTGCGGTGGCTGACGCCTGTAATCCCAGCACTTTGGGAGGCAGAAGTGGGCGGATCACCTGAGGTTGGGAGTTCGAGACCAGCCTGACCAACATAGAGAATCCCCGTCTCCACTAAAAATACAAAATTAGCCATACATGGTGATGCATGCCTGTAATCCCAGCTACTCTGTAGGCTGAGGCAGGAGAATCACTTGAACCCGGGAGGCACAGGTTACAGTGAGCCGAGATCGCACCCTTGTACTCCAGCCTGGGCAACAAAGAGTGAAACTTCATCTCAAAAAAAAAGAAAAAAAAAGAAAGAGAGAAAGAAATACAAGAAAAAGAAAAAGCAATTTGGAGAAAATTTTAAAAAGCAAATCATTTTAAAAGACAAACTACAAAGTACTGTGTGAGCTAAGCCATTCATAATGTTCTCATGGAGCTAATGGGAAACAAATCTGTTCTTTCAAAATAATTGTAAAATTTCTGTGTAAGAATGAATGGAAAAGGTCATCCAAAAACTACTTGACTACATATACCTATGGATCTCTATCTAAGTGCTGAAAAATGAATTTTTTTATTCATTTGGTTATGTAGCATTTGTTCATTCTAATTTTGTTTTGTTCCCTGTCATATCTCTGGTACCTAGAATAATCCCTACCACAGAGTAGGTCTTCCATTACTCTTATGCTTTTAAATCTCCCCTCACCTCATTGTAAATGACTTTTGATTTCTCTTTTATGCCCTTTTTATACACCTTTCCCTTATATCTCCATTTATTCCTGAAGCTTCATGGGATTCAGCCATTGAGGTCACTTGGGTTTAGATATACCAAAAGTCTGTGATTTCTCTGTTTGCATATATGCACATTTGTTGTTATCCTTACCCTTTTCTATCAGTTCCTTACCATAACATACACTTAATTCTTGGAAATTCACTCATGTCTTACAAAGATGGCAAATTCAAACTTCTGCTGTGTATGACACACCATTAACTGCACAAGGACACTGTGTATTTGCTACGTTAATATTTACTGATGAGTTAATGTAATAATGACCCATCCGCTTCTGCTGCCTGTGAGGTACTTTCTATCTATAGGGATGGAAATTAATGACAGAGGCTCTCTGAGCTGCCTGATGTCAGAGCTGAGAAAGGTGTGAGGGGTATATAAGAGCTGGATTACTAGTTAGCAAATGAGGGGGTAAATATTCCAGTGGATACAAGCTTGGACTCTTTTCTTGAAGCTTTCTTTCTATCAGAAGCATTTGCTGATATTGCTGACATTGAAACATTAAAAGGTAAAGAATTTCCTATTTCTGGGAAAGTTTTATTTATTTAGAGAAATGCACACTTGGTGTTAAATTCATGGTTTATTTCAAAGAAAGGCTAAAGGGAGAATGTATTACAATATAAATGTTCAGATTGCTTAGAGAAGGAAATTGGGAAAGTAAAAATCTCGAAATTACTTGAAAAGTGGACAATATTAAGGGACTGTATCAATAAAAATTTTGATCCTTGTAAATTACGTTTTAAAAAGATGTTTCTTTTAAAAACTAAGCTCTAATTTAAAATTACATCAATTAGAACTGTAAGAAATCTCTTGATTTCAGTGCTGGATTATTCTTTGCAGAAAATTTGAGAAGCAATGGGCATCCTGAAGCTGCAAGTATTTCTCATTGTGCTCTCTGTTGCATTGAACCATCTGAAAGCTACACCCATTGAAAGGTTGGTAACTTTAAAATCCTGTTTCTTTGTAACTTTTGTAAAGTGTGAGAAAATTAGAATTAAATACTGTCAAATAACTACAGCCTTAGATTTCTGACTATATCATACTTAAGAACAGTACCTTCAGCTATTCCATTGTTCCTTGAATTCTGTGTTCTTTAAAGAATAACACCAGTGGCAAATAAATATCTTTGATGGAACTTCTGACAGACAGGAATGGATAATTCCAGTTTTGTCAAGAAATATACTCTTGGAACTTAGAGGGGCAAAGCCAGAACATGAAGCGGGAAAAAAATCAAAAGGTAGTAATTTCTTCTATATTAACCTGATACTGAAACAAACCAGAGAAACTTAACTAAAGCATATATTTTTATACCAAGTGGATTCTTTTTGTATATATTACTTAGATTTTTGTTTTCCTCAGATGTCTCTGGAAATGTTAAAAACTTTTACATCTTGTGGAAATGGAAATGTATAGAAATAATCAGGAGCAAATTAATGTTTTTAAGAAATGAAATCTAAAAGAAGTAGTTAAAAAGCCATTTGCTGTTGGGGGATTTATTCTATATTGCTAGCTAGCTATTCTGTGAGTGAAACAGATTTATAAAAAGTTATTCTTCTTATTACTTCTAAGCTGCTATAAACTTAATACTTTTTAAAATTACTTTCAGTAGGTAGCATGTATGTCAGGATTTCCTGGGAAGTCTTATTACGAAAGGTTTCATGTCATTTAAATGGTAATTAAGGACATCTAACAACTATGTCACGTAAAACTCTTAGAGTAGTTAAAATTTTCAAACTGAGATTTTAAAACTGTAATTTATTTAAAGGGTTATTAAGTTCAAATATGTGCATAAGTCATAAATAACATAGTGAGGATTTGTTTGTGCCTAAATTAGTTTTGCTCCATATAGTCTTATGGGACTGAACTTACACACTCTTTAACACCAAGGAGAATTAAGTTTACCTTTGTAAAGAGTGTGCATGTCATATTATAATTCTTCTCATTAGAATGATCGTCATCTTGTCTTTGTTTTCCTTCGAGGTAGTTTTTCTTGGAAGCCCATAGCAATATGCAAAGATTTCTACAGCACCTACGTATAATAAATAGCAAGAATCATTATCAGAGGCTTTTTGTCATTTCAAGGCTTATTTAGTTTACAGGGTGTTCTTCTCAGAACTGACTGTAATTTTCTATTTGCTTTTTCATAAAAATAACTTTTAAAATGACATGAAGTTTCTGATAAGCAGAATATCTGAATGATGACAGGAAAATCAGTAGTATTTCCTAGTATATCTGTTTATATCTTGATACTTTCTTTCAATAGATATAGAAATTTACTAAGCACTTTTACCCTCTCTTTTTTTTATTTTATTTTGAGACAGGGTCTCTCTCTCTCTCTCTCTCTGTCTCTGTCACCCAGGCTGCTGGAGCACAGTGGTACAATCATGGCTCACTGTAGCCTTGACATTCTAGGCTCAGGTGATCCTCCCACCTCAGCCTCCCAAGTAGCTGGGACCACAGGCACCTGCCACCATACCCAGCTAATTGTTTTATCTTTATTTTATAGGGAAAGGGTCTCCCTATGATGCCCAGGCTGGTGTCAAACTCCTGGGCTCAAGCCTTCCTCCTGCCTCAGTCTTCCAAAATTCTGGGATTATAAGAGTGAGCCACTGAACCCAGACCATTATGTTTTTATAGATGTTTGTTTATTATGAGAGAAACTTCACTTAGAAATAGAGCAATATGTAATATAATATTACTTGTTATAAAATTATTTTGATGTTAGTCTCACAATCTTTAACTTTGAATTATTAGAAATCTTGTAAAACATTCTTCAAATTGCTTTTTAATATGTTGCCTGAAATGAGTATGTTTGAACATTTGTTAAAGGGAGTATGATTTGTCATGCTGAGATGTTAAATCATGTACTATTCTACATATCTCACAGAAAGCTAGGAAAATCTATGGGGAAAATGTGTCAAATTTTAAACTCTTTTTAAAAAATAAAACTAACATTATTCAATGTCATTTTCCTCACAAAATTTAATCATCTCATTTGAGATTTTTTCAATTTGTAAATGTATGAAATAGGATAAAAGGATCACATACTTTCCCACCAACTTTTTTACACTCCCTTGTAAATATCTGCCTGGCAGGTAATCAAAGGATAGTTAAAAATATAATTACATAGATGCCAAGATGCAATCACTAGGATCTCCCTGCAGGAGCTCACATACTTCCACAGATGAATGTTAAGGCTGAGAGCAGGGACTCACTTTAAAGTCATTTTGAAAACTCTGGAGAGACAATTTAAAAGAGAGGCAATTTAAGAGTTATACTTTGGCTTATTGTCATCTCTGTTTAAACTCTCTTAAAGTCAAGAATTTCCATGTGTGTATGTGCCTGTAAGTGGTCTACAGCTTTAATGTTTGTTACTAGCTCGTATGTTACCTGTCCAGGTAGTCAATGAGAAAAAAATGCCTGAAACCAGGGAGGTAATGCCTTTTATTAACCATTTCAGACAACTTTTTCCATCCTAAAGATTGCTTTAGATAGAATCTTATATATACTGAATAGTATATTTAGATGAAAAGTCTTTTTTAGAAAAGCAATTTCACAAATATGATAAAAACATAAATGCTTTTACTATTTCTTCTAAGTGGAATGATGGCCCATCTAGCTAACTCAAATAAGGTAACATTTTATTTAGAACAATTTTAAATTATATTATTGACCTTCCAACCAATTATCAAAATACCACTCAGCATTTAGCATATAAAGTATTTCACACTGTGCTTCAGTCATATGCTAAACATATCTTGGAACAGATATTACCTTTGAATCTTCTCAATTTGACCCATAATTTTCCTTTATTACTTTTTTTGAGATGTTTGGACCAAATTCCAATTTTTACTGTTTTTCAAGAAAAGTAAGTATTTTAGAATTCAATGCAAATGTATGAAATTACTAGTTCAATCCTTAAAGCATAAATCACTCTTTTGAAATGTACATTGGTCATATTTATGGTACCTTCAAAAATAAATAATTGAACAGATAGTGTGAATGAGATTGATATAGGTTAAATAATTAGATCCCAAAGTGGTTTTCTTTGCCCAGATAATTTGTTCAAACATTTGTCAGCATACACTTACATTCAACAAGTATCCAGTTCACCTAATGCTGTAAGAAGTTTTCTGTACTTAGGAAGAAATATGGGAGTAAAATTTAAAAAAAAAACAGTTTCACATGAGATTATTAAATATTTACTCTTAGGCTATCTCTACTTAGAGATAGAGATAATGAAATACTCCCCACACAAGGTAAACACAATGAGATAAATCCATTGCATTTGAGTCCCAGATTATGCATATCCACTGGCTCCTGGACATTGAGTTTTTAGCCCTATAACTATTTCATTTTCCATTTACCCTAAGTTTCACCAATATTTTGATTTCTATGGAGCTGAAAACTAAAACATTTCTCTAACTTTCCTAATAATCAGCAAAGAGGAAGCAATGTTATTATTCTGCATCCATTTCCGATATCGTTTTAAAAGCACATTGAAACAAAAGGCTGTCAAAAAAATAGAGTTGGTATACAAATAAATGTCTTAAATAAAAACATAAGTTAAAATTAAATGAATTATTTAATGTGTGGTTATGATTTCTGAGTTTATAAGTATTATTATGCACTTCTTCCAGGTGGCTAGAAAAATGTGATGAATATTAATACCATTGACATAAAAAGTCTTTTGGTTTTAACATTTAACCTAGTCTTATCATTAAAATTCTTGAAAGCATAAGATCCAAGCAGGAAAATGTATTTATGCTAAAAGTAATAAAACTCTCACACTGCAATAGAGTACCTGAACAGGTGATAGATTTGATTCTTTTGGAGACTTTATGATATTCTCTTTTTTTGACATACTTTTTATGACATTATTTTTTACTTTATTATATTTCATTTTATTGTTTTAAGAACAAAGCATGATATCTACCCTTTTAACAAATTTTTAAGCATGCAATACATTATTCTGGATTATGTGCAAAATGTTGGGCAGCAGATCTCTAGAGCTTAGTCATCTTGCTTGACTGAAGCTGTACACCCAATGGTTAGTAACTCCCTATTTCCCCCTCTCCCTTGCCCCTGATAACCACCATTCCACTCTTTAACTCATGAATTTGACTATTTTAAATACTTCATATACATGGAACCAAGTGGTATTTATCTTTCTATGACTAGCTTCTTTCACTCAACCTAATGTCCTCAAGGTTCATCCGTGTGTTGCATATTGCAGAATTCCCTTATGACATTTCTTGCATAACACTCCTGATTCAATTATCTCAAGGAACTTAAAGACTAAGTAATGCTGCTTTATTCTTATTGGAAAGATGTAGAAATAATTATTTTTAAATTTCTTCATATTTCAGATTACATATAAATTTTACCTTCTAAATTCTTTTTATATATTAAAAATAAATTCTTCAAGATTTTTAAAAATGTAAGACAAAGACACTGTTATTTTGATTATATGTAATATATTCTGAATTTCCAAAGGAAGACTTTTAACTGAGAAATGCAACATTGACTGTAATGAAAGATGTTGTATGATTTTCAATTGTTATTTCAAGGTGTCAAAAAAAAATCTCAGCCATCTAGGTGTTTGCAAACCAAAACACTGAGTTACTTATGTGAAAATTGTTTCTTTGGTTTTCATCAATACAAGATATTTGATGTCACATGGCTGGATCCAGCTAAAATTCTAAGGCTCTAACTTTTCACATTTGTTCCATGTTACCAGTCATCAGGTGGAAAAGCGGAAATGCAACACTGCCACATGTGCAACGCAGCGCCTGGCAAATTTTTTAGTTCATTCCAGCAACAACTTTGGTGCCATTCTCTCATCTACCAACGTGGGATCCAATACATATGGCAAGAGGAATGCAGTAGAGGTTTTAAAGAGAGAGCCACTGAATTACTTGCCCCTTTAGAGGACAATGTAACTCTATAGTTATTGTTTTATGTTCTAGTGATTTCCTGTATAATTTAACAGTGCCCTTTTCATCTCCAGTGTGAATATATGGTCTGTGTGTCTGATGTTTGTTGCTAGGACATATACCTTCTCAAAAGATTGTTTTATATGTAGTACTAACTAAGGTCCCATAATAAAAAGATAGTATCTTTTAAAATGAAATGTTTTTGCTATAGATTTGTATTTTAAAACATAAGAACGTCATTTTGGGACCTATATCTCAGTGGCACAGGTTTAAGAACGAAGGAGAAAAAGGTAGTTTGAACCTTGGTAAATTGTAAACAGCTAATAATGAAGTTATTCTTGACATGAGAAAATCAGTAATTGGACCAGGCGCGGTGGCTCTTGCCTGTAATCCCAGCACTTTGGGAGGCCGAGGCAGGCAGATCACAAGGTCAGGAGTTCGAGACCAGCCTGACCAACATGGTGAAACCCTGTCTCTACTAAAAATACAAAAATTAGCCGGGGGTGGTGACATGTGCCTGTAATCCCAGCTACTCAGGAGGCTAAGGCAGGAGAATCGCTTAAACCCAGGAGGCGGAGGTTGCAGTGAGCCGAGATTGCACCACTGCACTCCAGCCTGGGTGGCAGAGTGAGACTCGTCTCAAAAAAAAGAAAGAAAATTAGTAATTGTAAGTACCCCTGATAAGCAAATTAGTAATTGTCAATACCCCTGTTAAGCAATTCCTTTTTGCAGTATATTTCTGAAATGACAGAATGCTGTTTTAAAAACAAAGAAATAAAATCCTGCTCCTGACTCGGTCAAAATATTTTTTAAAGTCTATTGTTTGTTGTGCTTGCTGGTACTAAGAGGCTATTTAAAAGTATAAAACTGCTTTGTATCCATGAGGGTTTCATTGTGTGTTAGCAGCAGTGAGCTTCTATTAAATGTATATGTCATTTATTTTGTTTAAGTGGCTTTCAGCAAACCTCAGTCATATTCTTATGCAGGGTATTGCGAAACAACTTGTGTTCTATTAATCGTGTCTTCAATTAAAAGACCACAGACTTCTGGAAACTCTTTGCTGTATAAGAATTATTTCTTTTGTTTAACAAATTAGACATTTCTGGCAGAGGTTATGTATATGATACACTTTTTTTGATAGCAGCTGCAATGTTGGACAGAAGATGAAATGCTTTGCTTTGAGTCAGATTCTTATGAATATCTGCTTTTCCCTGACTTTGAGTTAGGTAGCTTTGGAAGTAGCATTAATTCAGATAAACTGCCATCATGCTGCGTTATGCCATTTCTAAAGACACTCAACTTGTACTTTTAAAAAAATAGAAAAAATAAGCATTTCAATCTAAGTGGAAATTTGACTCATTGACTTACATTTCTAAGTTAAAATTTCCCTTTATGAAGTGTGCCTTAGGTTACCAAATTGTAGAGGCTTTCGTTGGTGGTGGTAAGTGGTAGCGGTAGTGAGTGTATAGAGGCAGGGAAATATATTTATAATAAATTCTATGTCATGAATTACATATTGAAATAAATAGGTGAATATACAAATTTATATTTGTGATGCTCAATTGTTGGTCCTTCTTTCAAAGTGGCCTCAAACCCAATATTTCAAATTGAATAAGGTACAATTAAATTATAATCTCTCAAACTTATTTGAAAAATTTCCCACAATAGTCTACAGTTTTATTGCATATCACACCTATATATGATATAAATAGGTATAACAAAATATGTAATTTATAATATGTCAAGTTATAATATCAACATTATATTTAGGTTTATAAATATTACATATATGGATTTGTTATTTAACATTATAATTTATTTCAATTCCCCCATCTCTCTTTCTAGTGTTAACAAAATTTTAATGAGTGCATATCATGTTCAAGGACATTGCCTATGGTAGCATACAATTCCCAGGAATTAAACAAGAAGAATTATGAATAGTAACCCAACAACCTCTGGTGCTAGAGATTAAAACATAGTTAGAGTGACTCTATAACACAAAGGTTATTATATGGATACAGCAGATATTAATCGAAGATTTTATTCTGAAGTTTATTCATTCAATTTCTTACGAAAGTGAAACATTTAAACAAATTCAGCATTATTTCCTTAGTTAGGTTGGTATTTGCAGCTCAGTAAGGAATCAAATACATAAAGACTGAGAATACATTACTGCCAGGGAGCTTACTGAGTGTATTCTCTGGTTTCTCACAACTACTTTGGGAAAAAAATAATGAGAATAACTAAATTATTGTAATTGGAGGTACCAACAGTAAAATTTTGGTGACTACGTTTATCTTAACCTTTCTCATTGTGTCTAGGTACATGAAATCATAGGTACCCTTGAGTAACCTGAGTGAGTTAGGCTTCCAAGTGCTAGAATGGGTAGCTAGGCAACCATGAGCAGGGAAGAGAGGGCCCCCCAACCCAACCCACACCCCCATGCCCCCACTGCCCCAGCCCCCGACCAAGAATTATCAGGCGACTATCAGCTGATGGTCAGGTGATTGTTAAATTGTCTCTCTAAAATAATAACTGGTCGTAGCCAGCACCAGAGAAAGGTAGACTCCCAATAGGTAGAAAACACCTAAAACTGATGATCGGCAGCTTCCAGATAAGATCTCAGAAGTTGGGTGAGTGGGCTTAAGTATGTACACTATGAGAAAAAATGACAGAGTTTAACTGGTATATGATCCCAAAAATAAATGCAACAAAAACAAAAATAAATAAATGGGATGTAATTAAACTAAAAAGCTTCTGCACAGCAGGAGAAATAATAAACAGAGTAAACAGACAACCCACAGAATCGGAGAAAATATTTGCAAACTACCCATCCGATAAAGAACTAGTATCCAGAATCTAAAAGGAACTCGAACAAATCAGCAAGAAAAAAATAAATAATCCCATTGAAAAGTGGGCAAAGGACATGAATAGACATTTACTTAAAAAAAGATATACAAATGGCCAACAAACATGAAAAAAATGCGCAACATCACTAATCATCAGGGAAATGCAAATCAAAACCACAGTGAGATACCACCTTACTCCTGCAAGAATGTCCATTATTAAAAAGTCAAAAAACAGGCTGGGCGTGGTGGCTCACAGCTGTAATCCCGGCACTTTGGGAGGCTGAGGCAGGCAGATCATGAGGTCAGGAGATGGAGACCATTCCGGCCAACATGGTGAAATCCCATCTCTACTAAAATACAAAAAATTAGCCGGGCATGGTGGCATGTGCCTGTAGTCCCAGCTACTTGGGAGGCTGAGGAAAGAGAATCACTTGAACCCGGGAGGCAGAGGTTGCAGTGAGCCAAGATCATGCCACTGCACTCCAGCCTGGCTACAGAGCGAGACTCCGTCTCAAAAAGAAAAAAAAGAAAAAAGTAGAAAAACAATAGATATTCGTGTAAATGTGGGGAAAAAGAAATGCTTACACAATGCTAGTGAGAATGTAAATTAGTACAACCTCTCTGGAAAAGAATATGGAGATTCCTTAAAGAGATAAAAGTACATCTACAATTTGATACAGTAATCCCAGTATTGAGTATCTAACCAAAGGAAGAGCAGTGATTATATGAAAAACACACTTGCACACATATGTTTATAGCAGTACAATTCACAGTTGCAAAGGTGTGAAGCCAACCTAAGTGCCCATCAACTAATGAGTGGATAAAGAAAATATGGTATTTACCCACTATGGGATACTACTCAGCCATTAAAAGGAATGAAATAATGTCTTTTGCAGCAACTTGGATGGAGCTGGAGACCATTATTCTAAGCGAAGTAACAACAAGAGTGGAAAACCAAAAACTGTATGTTCTCACTTACAAGGGGGAGCTAAGCTATCAGTTATGCAAAGGCACACAGAGTGATATAATGGACTTTAGAGATTCAGAAGCGGGAGGGTGAGAGGGGGCCAGGAATAAAGAACCATCAGTCAGATATAATGTACGCTTCTTGGGTGACAGGTACACTAAAATGTTAAAATTCACCACTATATAATTCATCGGTGTAACCAAAAACCACTTGTACCCCAAAAGCTATTGAAATAAAGAAATGATAATAAATTTTTAAGAAAGAAAATGGCTGATGCGGTGGTTCACACCTGTAATCCCAGCACTTTGGGAGGCCGAGGTGGGCGGATCACAAGGTCAGGAGTTCAAGACAAGCCTGGACAACATGGTGAAACCCCGTCTCTACAAAAATACAAAAATTAGCCGGGAATGATGGTGGAAGTCTCTAATCCCAGATACTTGGGAGGCTGAGACGGGAGAGTCGCTTGAACCTGGGAGGCAGAGGTTGCAGTGAGCCAAGATCATGCCACTACACTCCAGCCTGGGCGACAGAAGAAACTCCGTCTCAAAAAAAAAAAAAAAAGAAAGAAAAGAAACGAAAAAAGAAAGAAAGAAAATGAGCTGACTTATCTAAGATCACATAGTCAGGATGGATTCAGGATTGAAACTCAGGTATATTGACTCTGAAGTGCAGACAATTTCTCTACATCATGTCCAAATAAAAATATTTTTCTTTTACTCCCACTTTGCACTGTGTTTTATTAAATGTCAGACCATGCCAAATCAGTCTGTCTTGAAACTGGACACACAGGTCAGGCAAAAGAAGAATGGGACTAAAATAGTTATTCACTTTGTCTGATATTGAGAATAACAATCTTTACCCTACCCATTATGAGATACTTTTGCTTTGTTTTATTTTGTTTTTTAAGGTTTTAACTGGAAGAAAGTTAAAAAAAATTCAATACACTTACTAAATATTTCCAACACTGAAAGATTGCTGGTAGCACATCTTTTTTTTCTTCCAAAATCCAAATGGGATTGTCCTATTTTCTTTGTTCCGTATACAACTAAGAACATTTTCTTCTATGGTTCAATAAAACCTTTGCCGACTAAGTAGACCCACATCCTATAGCTGGTCCCTTAACGTCCTCCCCATGGAATTTTGGTCTATATTTTCATCTGCCTCATTACTGCTTCCCTTGTGCATTAACCATCCCATACCCCACACTCACCTGCCTCCACGTTCTTGCTTTATACAACTTGCTGCCTTGAAATATCCTTTCCTCACCTCTGGGATCTACACTGTACCCTGGTTCTGCTCAAAGACCACACTGTCCATGGAGCCTATCATGATTCTTTCCGTCATACATAGATAAGAGTCTCACACAGATAAGAGTCTATGTAAATACAGGTCCTGAATTTACATAGACATTCCCTCAGTCACTGAACATGTTTAGTGAGCTTATTTTTATATTTGATATGATATTAGTGGTTGGGATTTTGAGACCACCTAGAAGAAGTTCACGGGTTCTACCTTATTTTTTGGTTATGTATGCTCAAGTGTTATTTCCCCATCCAGCCTGTAAACTAACTGAGGTGAAGGATGTATGAGTCATCTCTGTAATCCCCACAACATTTAAGCCCATTATGTGCCTATAACAGATGCACAATACATATTGGTTGAATACATTTACTCTAGGAATAATGAAAAAACAAATTATTTTAATATAAATTTATAATACAGTGTGATTAAGTTGATAGAGTGTGGCATCTTATACTCCCTTTGTAAAACGGATAGTAATATCTATCTTGAATAGTTTTCTTGAAGATTAGAAATAAAATATGCAAAGTATCTGGTATATTTTTAATGTCCAATCAGTGATAACTGAATTAACAATGATAACTACACAAACCAAAGAACAGTATGGTATTACAGTGGGTACTTTCTAAATTCATTTTATTAAGAATTTTAAAAGAGACAGAGAAGAAAAAAAAGTCAGTCACAAAAGCGGGTACAAAACAATGCAGAGAAAGCTTCAAAGATGAACAAAAAGGAAAATAGAATAATGAAATTAATCTACCCAAATCCTAAATGAGATTTGCATAAGTAGATACCTTCCCTGCTCCAATAACAAAATGACACAAAGAAACTTGTACCGCACAACCACATCTAGAATTACGAAATGCTTAAAGAACCATAAAGATACTGGCTCTGAAAATCCACCACTTCTCTGTGGGAACATTCCTTATGGTATTTAGAACAAAGGTTATCATCAGTAGGAAGTGGCACACAAACCCTTAAAAGGATATCACAGACAATATAGAAACAGCATATCTGGTAAGTTTATCAGGGTTGTAAGTAGATTAGAATAGCAGGAAGAAAATCTAAAATACTAAAAAGATATAATTTAAGTAGTTAGAAATCTTACCACATAGATAACAAACTGCATTAATAAACTTTTTAAAACTTGAAATCATGGAAAGGCATTATAAAAAGAAAAATTAAATATATCAAAAAAATATGTCCACTTAGTTTTTTTTTCTTTTTTTTTTTTTTGAGTCGGAGTCTCGTTCTGTCACTCAGGCTGGAGAGCGGTGGCGCGATCTCGGCTCACTTCAAGCTCCGCCTTCCAGGTTCACGCCATTCTCCAGCCTCGGCTTCCCGAGTAGCTGGGACTACAGGCTCCCGCCACCATGCCGAGCTAATTTTTTGTATTTTTAGTAGAGACGGGGTTTCACCTTGTTAGCCAGGATGGTCTCGATCTCCTGACCTCGTCATCCGTCCGTCTCGGCCTCCCAAAGTGCTGGGATTACAGGCGTGAACCACTTCGCCCGGCCAGATTTTTTTTAAAAACTCTTTTTTACCTTCATGGACATAATGCCCTGATTATCATATAAATATATAAATATGAAACCTCTGCAATTGAAATGCTGAAAATTTAGTATAAGTTTACGTGAAAGCTAGGAGGCTGTGGTCCCACATACAGCTATAACTGTTATAAAACTCTCTTCTGGTTTCTGATCACTCACTTCTTTGTATTGACTCCATGCCTCCACTTTGTAAATACAAATAACCTGATCAAGCAACAGATCTTGAGCAGAAACTCTGTCCAGAATTTACTCCATAACCTTCTATAATTTGAAATTCATTCTTGTGCATAAGTGCTTTTCAGTTGAAGAATCTCTCATTAAAAGACAAATCCTTCTTGAAATAAAAACTCTCATCAATATCAACTAACAGTTGAAGTTAGCTAACAGCTGGTTAAGAGCAAAGCTCTAAGAGAACAGGATAGGCACCTTAAGCAAGAACATTGGTAGAGGACTGGTAGGGGTAAACTGTGAGGAAAGCAAAACGGAAAAAGAGCAAAAGAGAAGGGCATGAAGGAGTCCTATTACCGTACAATGTCTCTGGTTGGGCTTTGAGACCCATATACATTTGCAATCACTTTTCTTCACACAGCTGGGTGTGATAAGGATTTAAAGCATCTATTCCACTCTGGTTTTGAAATCCTAATATGTTAACCTGGAGGATGGGTAGAGGAGGCTGGCATGACAAGACAGGGAAAGGAGCAAGACAACAGAAACAGATTTGTTTTTCTGAAGCTTCATCAGCCTTCTGAAAACAGTATTTGATCCTTACGAGGTGCTTAGAAACCATATTTTTCCAGAACCCCTCCTGCAGAAAAGCCACTGGAAAATAAAAGAGGATATGAACCAGAACCAAGCCCTTGGAGTACCCAGATATTCAAACTCAGTTTTCAGAGCTTTATTTGATTTCAAGTTTATGATTATTATCTGGCTATGCCAAGAGATATTGTCTAAGTGTTTTCAACTTTCATATTGAAGTAAAATTTAAAATGTAAAGAATGTCCTGCTGTGATGCCAAAGAGCAAAAAGTCAATAGGATACTGAAAGATACTATAGTAGGGTCATTGGTGCAATGGGAAAGACAGGATTTTTGGAATCAGGCAGACCTTTGTTAGGATACTTTTTTAAAACTTTGAATACATTTCTTGGCTTATTTTTGCTTCAGTTTTCTTATTTATATATTAAAAAAACAATATCTGCCTTGCAAAGATATGAGGATGAAATAATGTATAAAAAGCCCTTAGCATATAACAATCCCTAGTGATATGGTTTGGCTGTGTCCCCACCAAAATCTCATCTTGAATTGTCACTCCCATAACCCCCACATATTGCGGGAGGGGCCAGGTGGGAGGTAATTGAATCATGGAGGTGGGTTATTCCCACACTGTTCTCATGATAGTGAATAAGTCTCACGAGATCTGATGGTTTTATAAAGGGCAATTACCCTGCACTTCTCTCTTGCCTTTTGCCATGTAAGACGTGTGTTTGCTTCTCCTTCACCTTCTGCCATGATTGTGTGGCCCCCCCAGCCATGTGGAACTGTGAGTCCATTAAATCTCTTTTTCTTTATAAATTACCCAGTCTCAGGTATTTCTTCACAGCAGTATGAAAATGGACTAAAGCAGTAAATTGGTACCGGGATTAGTGGGGCACTGCTGTAAATATACCTAAAAATGTGGAAGCAACTTTGGAACTGGGTAACAAGCAGAGGTTGGAATAGTTTGATGGGTTGAAGAGAAGACAGGAAAATGTGAGAATGTTTGGAACTTCCTAGAGACTTGCAGGGCTTTGGAGACAGGAAAATGTTGGAAAGTTTGGAACTTCCTAGAGACTTGTTGAATGGCTTTGATCAAAACACCGATAGTGATATGGACAATGAAGTCCAGGCTGAGGTGGTCTCAGATGGAGATGAGGAACTTCTTGGGAACTAGAGCAAAGGTGACTCTTGCTATGCTTTAGCAAAGAGACTGCTGGCTTTTTGCCCCGGCCCTAGAGAATTTTGAACTTGAGAGAGATGATTTAGGGTTTCTGGTGGAAAAAATTTCTAAGCAGCAAAGCATTCAAGAGATGACAGAGCATAAAAGTTTGGAAAACTTGCAGCCTGACATTGCAGTAGAAAAGAAAAACCCATTTTCTGGGGACAAATTCAAGCCAGCTGCAGAAATTTGCGTAAGTAACAAGAAGCCAAATGCTAATCACCAAGATGATGGAGAAAATGTCTCCAGGACATGTCAGAGACCTTCACAGCAGCCCCTCCCATCCCAGGCCCTGAGGCCTAGGGAGGAAAAATGATTTCCTGGGCCAGGTCCAGGGCCCTCCTGCTGTGTACACCCTTGGAACTTGATGCCCTACATCCCAGGCACTCCAATCATGGCTAAAAGGGGCCAAGGTACAGCTCAAGCTTGGCTTCAGAGGATGCAAACTCCAAGCCTTGGCAGCTTCCGTATGGTATTGACCCTACGGGGCACAGAAGTCAAGAATTGAGGTTTGGGAACCTCCACCTAGATTTCAGAAGATGTGTGGAAACACCTGGATGTCCAGGCAGAGGTTTGTTGTAAGGGCAGGGCCCTCATGGACCCCTGCTAGCGCAGTGCAGAAGGGACATGCGGGGTTGGAGCGCCCCCACAGAGTCCCCAATGGAATACTGCCTAGTGGAGCTGTGAGAAGAGGGCCACTGTCCTCCAGACCCCAGAATGGTAGATCCACCGACAGCTTGCACCGTGCACCTGGAAAAGCCACAGACACGCAACACCAGCCCATAAAATCAGCCAGAAAGAGCACTGTATCCTACAAAACCACAGAGGTGAAGATGCCCAAGGCCATGGAAGCCCACCTCTTGCATCAGCACGACCTGTATGTGAGACATGGAGTCAAAGGAGATCATTTTGGAATGTTAAGGTTTAATGACTGCCCATTGGATTTTAGACTTATGTTGGGCCTGTAGCCCCTTTGTTTTGGCCAATTTCTCCCATTTGGAATGGGTATATTTACCCAATGTCTGTACCCCTATTGTATCTAGGAAGTAACTTGCTTTTGATTTTGCAGGCTCATAGACAAAAGGGATTTGCCTTATCTCTGATAAGACTTTGGACTTGGACTTTTGAGTTAATGCTGAAATGAGTTAAGACTTTGGGGGACTGTTGGAAGGGCACATTGTGTTTTGAAATGTGAGGACATAAGATTTGGGAGGGACCAGGGGCAGAATGATATGATTTGGCTGTGTCTCCACCCAAATCTCATTTTGAATTGTAGCTCCCATAATCCCCATGTGTCATGGAAGGGACCCAGTGGGAGGTAATTGAATCATGGGGGCGGTTTTTCCCATGCCGTTCTTGTGATAGTGACATTTCACAAGATCTGATGATTGTATAAAGGGCAGTTCCTTTGTACTTTTCTCTTGCCTGCCACCATGTAAGATGTCCTTTGCTCCTCCTTCTTCTGCCATGATTGTGAGGCCTCCCCAGCCATGTGGAACTATGAGTCCCTTAAATCTCTCTTTATTTATAAATTGCCCAGTCTTGGGTATTTCTTTATAGCAGTATGAAAATGGACTAATACATCTAGCAATACAACACTAATTTTTAACTGTAATCATTACTAAAATTCTAGGGTACTGTGGCATTGACCAAAGCATGAAATATTAAAAAATATTATGCCACTTCACTACTTTCATATATGGCCCTTTCTTGATTCTAAGACTTCTGAAAAAAAAATAAGAAAATATGTAAGCCCACAGGTTAAGATATTTAGGAGATTCTAATAGCTGCAACTGGTAAAATGCTGCAAATGTAGGATTTGTCTTCCAGAGTATATGCAAACATAGACCTAGACCCTTTTGTACCTCATCATTGTAAATACCATAATACAGCAATCCAATGGATGCTTAAATGTGACTATTTTTAAGACACAATGTACTGAGCCTCTTCAATAGCTTTAAAATCTCACACATCTGTGGTACATGTTGCCCTGTCAATATTTGCGAGCTTAGGAGCTGAATAACCTAAAATGGGTAATGTACTACCTTACAACCAAATATGAGTTAGGGTCACTGTGACCAGTAATCTGAGGTAAACTGTTTTTTCATCTATAATAAAGGAAGGCAACAAGATATCAATTTACTTGTCAAAAATAGTTATAATTATTACAGGTACATTGTACTATATGTTTGTATCTGGAAATTAGCCTCTGCAAAGCTTATGTTATTACTGCCTACACGTTTTTCTTTCTCACTTTTCTTAGAAATATATATTTAAAACTTAACTTAGTCTGTAGAAATACCCACAAATATGGTCAAAATGTTATGCAGATAAGACATATTAACAAGCTAAGATCCAGATGCAGATAAGACTTATTAAGTCTTATCCAATGCAGATAAGACTTATTCACAAGCTAAGATCTTAAGTTAACAAATGATCAATGTCCCAACTGGAAACCAGAAACTCAAAATACAGTCTAACCTCTGCACTCTTATGTATCCATATGAAGAACTTATTTTTTCATGTAAATGGAACAAAATATAGCAAAATCAAAGATTTTTTGACATGACATTATAGTTCATATTGAATTTAGATATTAGACAGACCAACCAATGGGTCCCATCTAGGATGGATTTTAACACCAAGATTTACAGCATAAAGAGTAGGCACACACATACAAATCACAAATGGCATAAGTGCCACTAAGAAATGAAGAAAAAGACTCATGCACCCACAGAGATACAAGAAAGAAAATGAGTAGGAAAAATAAACTATCTGGTTTCTTCTTCAAAATAAAATGCTTCCTATGGGTTTTTATTATATAATTCTATTATATTACTAATTATATTATATAATTATAGTATATTACTAATATACTTTTATGTTAAAATTAAATTGCTTTTAATGGCAAAAAGACACAATTACTTTTGCACTAGCCTAATATTTACATACTGCTTCTTCATTTTAAAATGCAAATAAATGTATACTGTTACGCTAGATCACCATGTTATATTCTTATAAAAATAGATGGAATTATACAGTTACTATCAAAAATGTGTAACTTGTAAGACAAAAATGTTGGTGAACTATGTTCACATTACCAACTATTTACTGCTAGAGTTTTATAGAAAATTTTAAATAACAGAAAGATATTTGTAGTGTCAGGAGGCATCTGACCATATGGCCAAACTTAAATAAACTTACATAGATATGAGTTTCTAAATTACTGTTGCATACTTTATTTTACTCAACGAACATTGTCATATGGACCTTAAACAGTGTCTAATGTCCACAAAAAGGAAAAGAAGGTAAACTTTTGAAAGATAGCCTTTTAAAAATCTGAAATACAAATATATTTATAGTTAAAATGATGATAAGGTTTGTAAAATGTGGTTGTGGAAGAATAAAGATACTATTTTCTTGTCCTTCAACTTCTCAATTCCCCCAACACATTTCCTAGTCTACATTTTCCTATTTTTTTTCCTGTCTTGCAAACATTTACATCATATACTGTACTTGGATGACATTTTGGAACACCCAAGCTGCTACTGCAACAATGGAATTGATACTAACTTTTAAACCCAAATAACAGAAATATTTCTGATGCTTTGGTGATTGCCAAGGGGCCATCTTGGTAGATCTCTTAGGCTTCCTAGAATTGACTCAAATAGGAGATATCTAAATCTTCTTTTGCTGAATCCTAAAAAGATTAGATATCCACATAGCATATAAAAAAATGAGATAAATTATGTAAAGTCCCTCTTAGAGAGCCTGAAATGTTATAAATTTCAATAATTGGTAGCTCCTGCTGCTAGACAAATTCACTGAAAAGTTGTCAGCCTTCAGCTCTGTCTTGTCTTTGTTCTGCCTCTGAGTAGCTGTATTAAGTAACCCCTAAGCCACATTCTATTTTCTGTCCTCATTTCAAAGGTGGGACATGTCTTTGAACACTTACTTGTTTTCTGTCTTACAAGAAACAACTATTTTGAGAGATTTAAAATGTGTAAATTTCTGAAATTTTCCATGTAAATGTAACAACATATCACAGCAAAATCAAAGATTTTTCTGACATTATAGTTCATACTGAATTTAGATATTAGACAGCCCTACCAATGAGTCCCATTTAGCATGGATTTTAACACCAAGATTTACAGCATTACTATAAGTGATGAATTCTCCTTTAAAAATACCCATTTATAGAGGAGCCCAAATTTGATTCAAATGCTTTGACTGTCCTTATCAATTTCAGTCTCGTGGAGCTGATGACATGCCTCTGAAACAAAATCTATTGTATGATTCATGAAGTTGTCTGTTAGTTAAATGGCAAAATATATATATAAGCTGAAAAACTAGTAACAGCATGCTGAAGTGAAAGAAGAGTTGCAGGAAGGAAAAATTATAATCCTGGTGTCTTTCTGAGCATAATGTATTATTGAAAAATACTCAAAAGTTGCGATAATGTACTGTTGTACTCCCAAGGAATATTTACATTTGAAAAGGATAGTAAGTGCAGGTACCTTGAACAAATGGGATTTATGTGGTGACATCAGAAAAGAAGCTAGTTCTTCCTCCACTGCCTATCAAATTCATTTTATAGGTCCATTTTTTTTAAATTCCACTGACACTGTAATCTCAAACAGGCTGCACTACTTTCCGTTGACATTCAAAAGAAAAAAAAAAAAGCAAAACACCCTCTGGTCACTTTTAGTTCCCCCAAAAGGTGCAGTTCTGGATTAATATGTCTAGTTCACTTTGCACTTTACGTAAACCAAATCTCCTTCCCTCCCACTACATCAGGTCCAAAGCCTACATTTGAGAAAGAAGGTCTAGGTTATTTCTCTATTTTTCATCCTAGTTTCTCTCCTTCTGCCTTCCTTTTTCTCCCACAATTGAACAAAGCTGCTCTATCTCCTCTAGAGTTGAAATTTAAAGGGGAAGAGTTAATGAAGGAAGAAATGTCTTCCTTGATTCCTTTGCCCAGAGCAGTATTTAAAACTGACTCTTTCTCTTAAGGCCACTTTCTTGGATTCTTTGGAGATTCCACCCCTCATTCATGGTCTGACATCTGCAGTATCTTTGGTGGGGTAAATGCATCGCCTCTGACTAATCACATACAATTTCTCCCTGCAACTTTAGATATTCAACATACACTTTTAGCCTCTTTCTACTAAACTCTCATCACCACTCCATATGATCCAATCATTCTAGATGTAAGAGCCCCAAAGTAGCTCTGGGTAACCCATCGCTGGCTGGGGTGAAGCTCCTTTTCAAATGTAGCCCTCTCTTCAATTCACCTCCTGGCAGGTGGATCCAGCCACAGCCTTTTTGCCTTTTAGGCTTCTTAAATTTCCTAAGTATGAATTGGACACCAGTCCCCTGTGTCTCCCAAACTGCAGAGGACAAATATAAAGCACTCTGAGCAAACTTAAAGTCATGCTCACTAGGCTTTAAATCAGAAGAAAGAATAGCTTACCTCCCCCTAACAGAAGTGAAAGTGGGACACACAGCACAACTCTCTCTACAGAAACGACTTTTATTTTTATCTCTACCCTTTGATCTCTAGTGCACCTCTCTACCTCTACAACCTGTTACACATGCTGGCAATGAGAGTTTTCATAAAACCTCTTCTTGTACATTTCTTTTACAAGTTCCCTAGGTGGTCTAAAATAGGTTCTCCAAACCAAGGTATATGAATATTTAGAATGCATAAAATTTTCCAATGGGTACATGAACATGAATAGTTTTAAGAGAAGTCACTTTCAATTCTTCATTTTCCATGTAGACCCTTTTGAAAAGCCAACCTCTCTGAAAATGTATCTTAAGTTTAGTCATCATGCTAGTCCTTCTTTCCCAACCCTTGACCCCTGCATAATTTCCTTTCCAAATGTTACAAAAGGAAGGACTTATCTCTCACCTATTCTAAATCTTACTGTGGCACATTTCATCCTCCTCTCCTATTATCAATAATTCATGCCTCCTGGAGCAGAATCACATGAGACCATATTTCTCTAAGTCTCTTGTTTAGCACTGGCCAAATACCTTAGGTTTTGTAGTTAATTTTCTAACAGAAGATTTCATTGTACATTTAAAATCAGAATATATATATATGTATATGCAGATAAAGATCAAGATCACATAATAAGAACAGAACCGATAATAAACCTTCTATCAATCTAGCAATAAGTAGAACACAGCCATGGTTCACACTGCACAGTGATTTTCATTGCATCCCCAAAAGCAATCTAGGTAACAATGCACTAAACCTTAGAAAACCAGTTTCCTTTATTTAAGATTAATTACTCCTGTTCAGAGAATGATATACACTGATTCTATTAGATGCATAATAAGAAACAACCATTTTCAATTGTGAAAGAAATTCTAATCAATATAGATATAAAATTCTCAAAAATATTTATTTCTGTTGCTCTGTCAAGATTTTTGAAGCTGCTTAGAGACCAGCCGGATTAAAAATTTTTAATTTGGCAAAGATAAATAAATCTTTGCTCAGCTTATCAAAGAAAATTCTGCAATAGACAATGCCCAATTTAATTTTTTTAGGCTGATATAATCTACTTGTAGCTTCAAAAACCAGGTGACTGTAAGAGATAAACAGATACGGTTACTAATCCTTTTTTCAATCTAGATAAAATTGTAAGGTATATATCTCAGAAATTGGCAAAATGAAAGATTCTAATAACTAACATATTCTTCTGTAAAAATTTTGATTGTTTTCAACAAACTTGAAAGAAAACCAACTTATCAATTGACAGTAATTTTTGATATTGCAACACAATTTGAATTTTGACATGTAACTACAGAGGGTTCAAATAACCAAGCGACATTACTGTAGTAAAATGCCTTCCTTCAACAACATCTTCATGTAAACATATTTCCTAGTGCTTACCTCTATAAAACAATAACAGAACTGATAATAAACCTTGTATCAATCTAGCAATAAGCAGAGCACAGCCATGGTTCAATATTGCACAGTGACCTTCATAGAGACAAGATAAAACTAGGGTTTCTGTAAGTGAAAACTGCCTTTCCAGATCAGGTGCTAATAGATTTCAAGAAAGAAACACGGGCCCATGAACAAGACAGTGCTTCAAAAGACACTGTCTATGTATGTCTTTCTTCCCATTCTGGTCAGCTTGCCTTAGTGGCTCAGCAACAATATGAAATGTTGGGTCAGTGCAGTGGGCTGTGATCCCAGCACTTTGGTAGGCCAAGGTGGGCAGATTATTTAAGTCCAGGAGTTTGAGACCAGCCTTGGCAACATGATGAAACCACATCTTTACACACACACACACACACACACACATTAGCCAGAAGTGGTAGTGCATGCCTGTAGTCCCAGCTACTGGGGAGGCTGAGATGGGAGGATCTCTTTAGCTCAGGAGGTAGAGGCTGCAAGTGAGCTGTGATCGTACCACCACACTCCAGCCTGGGTGACAGAGAGAGACACTGTCTCAAAAATAACACACGCACACACACACACACACACACACACAACAAAAAACAAAAAAAAAAGAAAAAGAAAAGTGCAGGGAGACATACTGCAGTTAGAGCAAGCTATTCCTGAACAAGGTGATACGGCCACCTCCACAAAATCTACTGTGCACAGAGAAGAAAAAGTGCTTAGAATGCTGGTCCTGGGGAATAGTAAATTATCCCATCGAGAGGCTTGTATAACAGTTTTTTTCTTCAGATATTTAGATATTTCTCAACACCTGGGAGTGGGTGGTACACTCAAGCCAATAATATCAATTGCTAAAAAGATTAATTCACATAAAATAACAGATCCTTCCACTACTATTTCACTAACAATTGCTTACCATCTTGTCAGGAAGATGATGATAGTAACATAGCAGGCACTTCACAAAGCACCGTAAGTGTGCTGTGAAATAACCAAGGTAGTCCCATTAAAATCAGGAACAAGGGGAGAGGAGCCAAGATGGCCAAATAGGAACAGCTCCGGTGCACAGCTCCCAGCGTGAGCGACGCAGAAGACGGGTGATTTCTGCATTTCCATCTGAGGTACCGGGTTCATCTCACTAGGGAGTGCCAGACAATGGGCGCAGGTCAGTGGGTGCGCGCACCGTGCGCAAGCCAAAGCAGGGTGAGGCATTGCCTCACTTGGGAAGCTCAAGGGGTCAGGGAGTTCCCTTTCTGAGTCAAAGAAAGGGGTGACGGACGCACCTGGAAAATCGGGTCACTCCCACCCGAATACTGCGCTCTTCCAACAGGCTTAAAAAACGGCGCGCCACAAGATTATATCCCGCACCTGGCTCGGAGGGTCCTACGCCCATGGAGTCTCGCTGATTGCTAGCACAGCAGTCTGAGATCAAACTGCAAGGCAGCAGCGAGACTGGGGGAGGGGCGCCCGCCATTGCCCAGGCTTGATTAGGTAAACAAAGCAGCTGTGAAGCTCGAACTGGGTGGAGCCCACCACAGCTCAAGAAGGCCTGCCTGCCTCTGTAGGCTCCACCTCTGGGGGCAGGGCACAGACAAACAAAAAGACAGCAGTAACCTCTGCAGACTTAAATGTCCCTGTCTGACAGCTTTGAAGAGAGCAGTGGGTCTCCCAGCACGCAGCTGGACATCTGAGAACGGGCAGACTGCCTCCTCAAGTGGGTCCCTGACCCCTGACCCCCGAGCAGCCTAACTGGGAGGCACCCCCCAGCAGGGGCACACTGACACCTCAAACGGCAGGGTACTCCAACAGACCTGCAGCTGAGGGTCCTCTCTGTTGGAAGGAAAACTAACAAACAGAAAGGACATCCACACCAAAAACCCATCTGTACATCACCATCATCAAAGACCAAAAGTAGATAAAACCACAAAGATGGGGAAAAAACAGAACAGAAAAACTGGAAACTCTAAAAAGCAGAGCGCCTCTCCTCCTCCAAAGGAACGCAGTTCCTCACCAGCAACGGAACAAAGCTGGATGGAGAATGACTTTGACGAGCTGAGAGAAGAAGGCTTCAGACGATCAAATTACTCTGAGCTACGGGAGGACATTCAAACCAAAGGCAAAGAAGTTGAAAACTCTGAAAAAATTTAGAAGAATGTATAACTAGAATAACCAATACAGAGAAGTGCTTAAAGGAGCTGATGGAGCTGAAAACCAAGGCTCGAGAACTACGTGAAGAATGCAGAAGCCTCAGGAGCCGATGCGATCAACTGGAAGAAACGGTATCAGCGATGGAAGATGAAATGAATGAAATGAAGTGAGAAGGGAAGTTTAGAGAAAAAAGAATAAAAAGAAATGAGCAAAGCCTCCAAGAAATATGGGACTATGTGAAAAGACCAAATCTACGTCTGATTGGTGTACCTGAAAGTGATGGGGAGAATGGAACCAAGTTGGAAAACACTCTGCAGGATATTATCCAGGACAACTTCCCCAGTCTAGCAAGGCAGGCCAACGTTCAGATTCAGGAAATACAGAGAACGCCACAAAGATACTCCTCGAGAAGAGCAACTCCAAGACACATAATTGTCAGATTCACCAAAGGTGAAATGAAGGAAAAAATGTTAAGGGCAGCCAGAGAGAAAGGTCGGGTTACCCTCAAAGGGAAGCCCATCAGACTAAAAGTGGATCTCTCAGCAGAAACCCTACAAGCCAGAAGAGAGTGGGGGCTAATATTCAAATTTCTTAAAGAAAAGAATTTTCAACCCAGAATTTCATATCCAGCCAAACTAAGCTTCATAAGTGAAGGAGAAATAAAATACTTTACAGACAAACAAATGCTGAGAGATTTTGTCACCACCAGGCCTGCCTTACAAGAGCTCCTGAAGGAAGCACTAAACATGGAAAGGAACGACTGGTACCAGCTGCTGCAAAATCATGGCAAAATGTAAAGACCATCGAGACTAGGAAGAAACTGCATCAACTAACGAGCAAAATAACCAGCTAACATCATAATGACAGGATCAAATTCACACATAACAATATTAACTTTAAATGTAAATGGACTAAATGCTCCAATTAAAAGACACAGACTGGCAAATTGGATAAAGAGTCAAGACCCATCAGTGTGCAGTATTCGGGAGACCCATCTCACGTGCAGAGACACACATAGGCTCAAAATAAAAGGATGGAGGAAGATCTACCAAGCAAATGGAAAACAAAAAAAGGCAGGGGTTGCAATCCTAGTCTCTGATAAAACAGACTTTAAACCAACAAAGATCAAAAGAGACAAAGAAGGCCATTACATAATGGTAAAGGGATCAATTCAACAAGAAGAGCTAACTATCCTAAATATATGTGCACCCAATACAGGAGCACCAAGATTCATAAAGCAAGTCCTGAGTGACCTACAAAGAGATTTAGACTCCCACACATTAATAATGGGAGACTTTAACACCCCACTGTCAACATTAGACAGATCAACGAGACAGAAAGTCAACAAGGATACCCAGGAACTGAACTCAGCTCTGCACCAAGCGGACCTAATAGACATCTACAGAACCCTCCACCCCAAATCAACAGAATATACATTTTTTTCAGCACCACACCACACCTATTCCTAAATTGACCACATACTGGGAAGTAAAGCTCTCCTCAGCAAATGGAAAAGAACAGAAATTATAACAAACTATCTCTCAGACCACAGTGCAATCAAACTAGAACTCAGGATTAAGAATCTCACTCAAAACCGCTCAACTACATGGAAACTGAACAACCTGCTCCTGAATGACTACTGGGTACATAACGAAATGAAGGCAGAAATAAAGATGTTCTTTGAAACCAACGAGAACAAAGACACAACATACCAGAATCTCTGGGACGCATTCAAAGCAGTGTGTAGAGGGAAATTTATAGCACTAAATGCCCACAAGAGAAAGCAGGAAAGATCCAAAATTGACACCCTAACATCACAATTAAAAGAACTAGAAAAGCAAGAGCAAACACATTCAAAAGCTAGCAGAAGGCAAGAAATAACTAAAATCAGAGCAGAACTGAAGGAAATAGAGACACAAAAAACCCTTCAAAAAATTAATGAATCCAGGAGCTGGTTTTTTGAAAGGATCAACAAAATTGATAGACCACTAGCAAGACTAATAAAGAAAAAAAGAGAGAAGAATCAAATAGATGCAATAAAAAATGATAAAGGGGATGTCACCACCGATCCCACAGAAACACAAACTACCATCAGAGAATACTACAAACACCTCTACGCAAATAAACTAGAAAATCTAGAAGAAATGGATAAATTCCTGGACACATACACTCTCCCAAGACTAAACAAGGAAGAAGTTGAATCTCTGAATAGACCAATAACAGGAGCTGAAATTGTGGCAATAATCAATAGCTTACCAACAAAAAAAGAGTCCAGGACCAGATGGATTCACAGCTGAATTCTACCAGAGGTACAAGGAGGAACTGGTACCATTCCTTCTGAAACTATTCCAATCAATAGAAAAAGACGGAATCCTCCCTAACTCATTTTATGAGGCCAGCATCATTCTGATACCAAAGCCAGGCAGAGACACAACAAAAAAAGAGATTCTTAGACCAATATCCTTGATGAACATTGATGCAAAAATCCTCAATAAAATACTGGCAAAACGAATCCAGCAGCACATCAAAAAGCTTATCCACCATGATCAAGTGGGCTTCATCCCTGGGATGCAAGGCTGGTTCAATATACGCAAATCAATAAATGTAATCCACATATAAACAGAGCCAAAGACAAAAACCACATGATTATCTCAATAGATGCAGAAAAGGCCTTTGACAAAATTCAACAACCCTTCATGCTAAAAACTCTCAATAAATTAGGTATTGATGGGATGTATTTCAAAATAATAAGAGCTATCTATGACAAACCCACAGCCAATGTCATACTGAATGGACAAAAACTGGAAGCATTCCCTTTGAAAACTGGCACAAGACAGGGATGCCCTCTCTCACCACTCCTATTCAACAGAGTGTTGGAAGTTCTGGCCAGGGCAATTAGGCAGGAGAAGGAAATAAAGGGTATTCAATTAGGAAAAGAGGAAGTCAAATTGTCCCTGTTTGCAGATGACATGATTGTATATCTAGAAAACCCCATCATCTCAGCCCAAAATCTCCTTAAGCTGATAAGCAACTTCAGCAAAGTCTCAGGATACAAAATCAATGTACAAAAATCACAAGCATTCTTATACACCAACAACAGACAAACAGAGAGCCAAATCATGAGTGAACTCCCATTCACAATTGCTTCAAAGAGAATAAAATACCTAGGAATCCAACTTACAAGGGATGTGAAGGACCTCTTCAAGGAGAACTACAAACCACTGCTCAAGGAAATAAAAGAGGATACAAACAAATGGAAGAACATTCCATGCTCATGGGTAGGAAGAATCAATATCGTGAAAATGGCCATACTGCCCAAGGTAATTTACAGATTCAATGCCATCCCCATCAAGCTACCAATGACTTTCTTCACAGAATTGGAAAAAACTACTTTAAAGTTCATATGGAACCAAAAAAGAGCCCGCATCGCCAAGTCAATCCTAAGCCAAAAGAACAAAGCTGGAGGCATCACACTACCTGACTTCAAACTATACTACAAGGCTACAGTAACCAAAACAGCATGGTACTGGTACCAAAACAGAGATATAGATCAATGGAACAAAACAGAGCCCTCAGAAATAACGCCACATATCTACAACTATCTGATCTTTGACAAACCTGAGGAAAACAAGCAATGGGGAAAGGATTCCCTATTTAATAAATGGTGCTGGGAAAACTGGCTAGCCATATGTAGAAAGCTGAAACTGGATCCCTTCCTTACACCTTATACAAAAATCAATTCAAGATGGATTAAAGACTTAAACGTTAGACCTAAAACCATAAAAACCCTAGAAGAAAAGCTAGGCATTACCATTCAGGACATAGGCATTGGCAAGGACTTCATGTCTAAAACACCAAAAGCAATGGCAACAAAAGACAAAATTGACAAATGGGATCTAATTAAACTAAAGAGCTTCTGCACAGCGAAAGAAACTACCATCAGAGTGAACAGGCAACCTACAAAATGGGAGGAAATTTTCGCAACCTACTCATCTGACAAAGGGCTAATATCCAGAATCTACAATGGGCTCAAACAAATTTACAAGAAAAAAACAAACAACCCCATCAAAAAGTGGGCGAAGGACATGAACAGACACTTCTCAAAAGAAGACATTTATGCAGCTAAAAAACACGTGAAAAAATGCTCATCATCACTGGCCATCAGAGAAATGCAAATCAAAACCACAATGAGATACCATCTCACACCAGTTAGAATGGCAATCATTAAAAAGTCAGGAAGCAACAGATGCTGGAGAGGATGTGGAGAAATAGGAACACTTTTACACTGTTGGTGGGACTGTAAACTAGTTCAACCATTGTGGAAGTCAGTGTGGCGATTCCTCAGGGATCTAGAACTAGAAATACCATTTGACCCAGCCATCCCATTACTGGGTATATACCCAAACGACTATAAATCATGCTGCTATAAAGACACATGCACATGTATGTTTATTGCGGCTCTATTCACAATAGCAAAGACTTGGAACCAACCCAAATGTCCAACAATGATAGACTGGATTAAGAAAATGTGGCACATATACACCATGGAATACTATGCAGCCATAAAAAATGATGAGTTCATGTCCTTTGTAGGGACATGGATGAAATTGGAAATCATCATTCTCAGTAAACTATCGCAAGAACAAAAAACCAAACACCGTATATTCTCACTCATAGGTGGGAATTGAACAATGAGATCACATGGACACAGGAAGGGGAATATCACACTCTGGGGACTGTTGTGGGGTGGGGGGAGGGGGGAGGGATAGCATCGGGAGATATACCTAATGCTAGATGACAAGTTAGTGGGTGCAGCTCACCAGCATGGCACATGTATACATATGTAACTAACCTGCACAATGTGCACATGTACCCTAAAACTTAAAGTATAATAATAAAAAAAAAGACAAAAAAAAAATCAGGAACAAATAAAGGTTCCCAGCTAATATCATTATTATTCATCACTGTTGTGGTATTTCTTGCATTAGCTAATACAAGAAAATGAGAAAATGAAAATAATACATAAATACAGTAAATTAAAAACAAAATATATTTAATTATAGACAATTACTAATACTTGTAAATCACAAAAAAGTTCCTATATTGTAATTAATAAAAGAATTTGATACAGCAACATGATACAAAATATATAAAACCAAAGGCTTTTCTTTATGCTGGCAGTATAATACAAAAATTAAAATAAAAATAAAATATCATTCACAATAACAATCGAACAATAAAGTACCCCAGAAAACTTTAACAAAAATGTGCAACTGTATGAAGAAGAATACAAAATTTTATATTGAAGGTCATCTTGCATGAATTAAGAAAAATTATCATGCTTACTGGACCAAAAAACCTCCATAATATTATTAAAACCTTTATCTTTCCTAAATAAGTATAAATATGTAATGCAATTTTAATCATAATTTTATTGAGATACTAATTTTTATTTGGATTTTCCTTTATAATTTTAAATGATTTTTAATTTTAATCATTTTATATTTTGTTTATTTCTACTTTTTTGTTTGACTTAAAATTTTATATGGAAGAATAAATATGTAAGATTTACCTAAAAATATTGAAAAAGATGATCGGTACCTGACATAGGATACTAAAGCCTTCTGTGATATTAATTGGATTACAATAACATGTTATGACCACAAAAAATGTACTAGTTACTGTACAAAACTGAGTTTATAACTGTATCCAATATAAATATAAATGAAAATGTATTATATGATAAACACTTCAGCAGAAATATACATATACATAATAAATATATAATAGCTCAGCAGAGAAAGTATAGCTTCTTTAGTAAATGATTTTATAATTATAATTAGATCTTCATTCAGCAAGAAAATAGTAATATTCCTGCATAATCCATGTTTAAAGATGAAAAAGAGCAATGGATTAGGGATTTTAATGTTAAAATAAAATGTAAAAATTATGTGAAAAATAAGAGTAATGTTAGGTTAAAGAAAAACTTTTTTAAAAAAGACAAAAAAAAAAAACCAAGAAACTATAATGGAAAAAAATTGTGGAGTCTACTTCTTTAATAGTACAGATTTATACAAAGGCAAAAAGTACCATAAATAAGTTTTTAAAAAATAGAGAACATGTTTGAAACGTATATGAGAGGTGAGCTTTATAACCCTAATGTAAAATAGAGAACTTCTGCAAATTGAAAAGAAAAAGCAAACATGGGTAAATTGTATGAACTGGGGTTTATAAGAGAGGAAAATGCAAATAGACAAAAATTATTATAATCTTTTTATAAAAGATGCTAAATCTCACTGGTATTTAAGGAAATGCGATTGAAAAGTAGCACAATACCCTTATTTTTGCATACAGTTAATTAAAAATTTTTTGAAAGATTTATCACATACAATGGAATGGGGTGGAGAAGTGATGGGATTGCATATTGCAGTACACAATGTTTCTGGCATTCCACTTTTGGAAATCCATTCTGCAGAAATAGATATTCTTATCTAAGGATTTAGGGACTAACCATGATTTAGATATACATGCTGACCTAGAGGGATGTCCATAGTTCATAGTTAAATGATTACAGCAACAAGTCCACATATGTAGGTAATGATGATCCTGTATTTGTGACTAAGGGTTGTGGGGGAGCATATGTGTATAATTACATAAATCATGTATGTTTTACATGAGCATAGAAAGAAATGTAAAAAGATACGCCCAAAATTGACTTTTTTATATACTCTTCTGTTACTTAGCTTTGAAAAAATAATGTTCTCATTTTTGAATTTTAAAAGAAAACTCCAGTAGAATGTGTATATGTGAGTGTTAAGTGTGTAGATATGTATGTTATAGACAACTAATGTTCTGAGATTTCCAGAGAGAGAGAGACATGTGAAGAACACGGGGCTTGATCAGAATTTGAACGATGGTTGTGGAAGAACTGGATAAACAAAAAGGGACTTTCCAGGCCAATGACAAGGCAGGAGGAAAACAACATTATCCGGAATCATTTAAATGTACTTCTAACGCTCCAAGCCACTTGTAACTACATATTTGAAAACTCAAAATGTAAATCTGTATCTGTGCATGCATAAACAAACAATATTATTACTACCGCACAAAACAAATCCTGCATTAAATACAATTGTCATTGCTGTCAGGAATGTATAAACAAGATAATTAGAAAACCCAAAGAATCTTATACTTATAACTAAGCATTAAATCTCCTTATATTTTTCCAAGTACAAATGACTAAATTGCAACCCACAACAACCCAAATAAATGAAGGACTTTTACCTTAGCATTCACCAACATCACCATTCATTTTTGCTTCCATACTGTAAGACCAACAGATTTTTTAAAAAATTACATATTGAGTAGCCAGTATGAATAAGGCACCTCAAACGTGTAAGCTGCAGCTTCTTGTTCATCAGAGAAGCAGAGTTGTAAATAAAAGAATCTTTGTTTATGTAAGTTTTAAACCTTTGGTTAAGTTTCTTTGGCTCTGATGGTTGCATAAAGCAGGTTATAATCTTGGGAACAGGTTCTAAGATTACTGTACTCACTTGGAACCAGAGGCTCCTCCTTGCTTTTTTTTTTTTTTTTTTTTTTTGGTGGTTGTTTTTTCAAACAGTTAACTCTTACGTGGCTTTGGCTCCAATACCCTGTTGAAAAACCTCAGTTAATGGCACTAAACTTTGCTGAGCCTCAATTTTCTCAGATTTTTTCTTTCGTGATTAAGGCACCTTTAACAAGTGTCTTGTAAATCAAATATAATATGTTAATGTACTCATTGAGTAAACTGACACACATATATTTGAGCATGAGTTCAACTTTCAGTGTAGCTGGATATCTAAGAAAAAATGACACCAAAACGGGAATAAGCTTGAAAACAGAGTTGATGCGGACAAGGATATTCATTTCTATGGGATGCCACTGACATTTTTGAACAGTAGACTGAGATGCGAAAACCAGTGTCTACAGATTATTGTATCAGTAACTTTCTAGCTGGATGGGATGAGTAAAAGATTAGGGGCTATGTAAAGTAATTAGGTGGTCATATCCAGGTGTAATTTGTAATGGAGTGGATAAGATAGTTGGATTTATTTATTTTATTTTATTTTATTTTCTATTCCAGGATACATGTGCAGGGCATGCAGGTTTGTTACATAGGTAAAAATGTGCCATGATGATTTGCTGCACCTATCAACCCGTCACCTAGGTATTAAGCCCCACGTGCATTAGCTATTTATCCTGATGCTCTCCCTCCCTGCTCCCTGACAGGCTCAAGTTTGTGTTGGTCCCCTCCCTGTGTCCATGTATTCTCATTGTTCAGCTCCCACTATTAGTGAGAAACATGTGGTGTTTAGTTTTCTGTTCCTGCATTAGTTTGCTGAGGATAATGGCTTCCAGCTCCATCCATGTCCCTGCAAAGGACATGATCTCATTCCTTTTCATGGCTGTGTAGTATTACATGGTGTATATATACCACATTTTCTTTATCCAGTCTATCACTGATGGGCATTTGGGTTGATTCCATGTCTTTGCTATTGTGAATAGTGCTGCAATGAACACACACATGCATATATCTTTATAACAGAATGATTTATGTTTGTTTGGATATATACCCACTAAAGGGATTGCTGGCTCAAATAGTATTTCTGGTTCTAGATCTTTGAGGAATTATCACCGTGTCTTCTACAATAATTGAACCAATTTACATTCCCACCAACAGTGTAAAAGCATTCCTATTTGTCCACAACCTCTCCAGCATCTGTTGTTTCTTGACTTTTTAATAATCACCATTATGACTGGCATGAGATGATATCTCAATGTGGTTTTGATTTGCATTTCTCTAATGATCAGCGATGTTGAACTTTTTAAAATGTTTGTTGGCCGCATAAACATCTTCTTTCGAGAAGTGTCTGTTCATGTCCTTGGGTCACTTTTTAATGGCTTTTTTTTTTTTGTAAATTTAAGTTCCTTGTAGAGTCTGGATATTAGACCTTTGTAAGATGCATAGATTGCAAAAATTTTCTCCCATTCTGTAGGTTGTCTGTTCACTCGGATGATAGTTTCTTTTGCTGTGCAGAAGCTCTTTAGTTTAATTAGATCTCATTTGTCAATTTTTGCTTTTGTTGCAATTTCTTATGACATTTTAATCATGAAATCTTTACCCTTGCCTATCTCCTGAATAATATTGCCTAGATTTTCCCCTAGGGTTTTTATAGTTTTGGGTTTTACATTTGAGTCTTAAACTATCATTAACATTTTTCACAGAATTTGAAAAAAAACTACTTCAAAATTCATATGGAACCAAAAAGACAAGTATAGACACATATAGCCAAGATAATCCTAAGCAAAAAGAACAAAGCTTCAGGCATCATGATACCCAAACTTCAAACTATGCTACAAGGCTACAGTAACCAAAACAGCATGGTACTGGTACAAAAACAGACACATCGACCAAGGAACAGAAAAGAGATCTCAGAAACAAGACCGCACATCTACAACCATCTGACCTTTGACAAACCTGAAATGATTTCCTATTTAATAAATGGTGCTGGGAGAACTGGCTAGCCATATGCAGAAAATTGAAACTGGACCCCTTCCTTACACCTTATACAAAAATTAACTCCAGATGGACTAAAGACTTAAGTGGATTGATATTTTAAAGGGAGAAACAAGATGCAATGCTATGGAATGTTTAAAAGCACTAGCTGAACCCAGCACTAGCATGAGTAGCTGTTACCTTGGACAAGTTAATTAACCTCATTTTTAAACATATACCACAGGATAATCATAGCACCTACCTCAAAGAGTTGCTGATGTTGTTATTTCATTCAAGAAATATTTATTGAGCACCTACTCCATGCCAAATATTTCTAGGTCCTAGAGATATTGTTATAAGCAAAAGAGTCTAAATTACTACTCATGGATTTTGTCTGGTTGAAGGAAGAAAGAAAATAAGTCAACAATTAAGATTAAGAGGGAATCCTTTTCTTTTGCTAGGTTGAATGAGTAGATATATTTAAAATGTGTGTGTGTCTGTGTGTCTGTGTGTCTGTGTGTGTGTGTATGCGTGCATGCACGCGCAACACTTGGTAACCAAGTCAGAACATTTTTTTCTAAAATCCCTTTTAGAATTTCTCAGATGTTACTTGTACTGCTTCTCAGTTGCTGATGATGAGACTTCTTTCACTATTTCCAACTATTTAAGTAGTTTGAAGGACAGACAGAAAAACATCTGCCAGTAGTGAAGCTCTATGGACAAAACCTGGGAATGGCTTCAAAAGTAAGGGGAGGAGCCCTGATCACTCCTGCCACCTCATCTGGAGTGGAAATGGAAATTTCAATCTTTCATTTCTCTTGAGAAGCTTCAAGCGGCAGGATTGTTTTCTATTCTCTGGTAAAAATTAGAGTTAACAGTTGTTGAATATTTATGATGTGCCACAGGTCATTCTAGGAACACAGGGCTGTTAACTAATGTAATCCTCTCAACAAATGTTTAAGATAAGTACTATTGTTATCCCACTTTTACAGATAGGACACAGGTACAGATAGGCTTTATCATCCCCAAGATTTCACAGCTGGTAAGCAGAAGAATGGGGATTCAGTCAGCTTCAGACCACTACACTATACTGCCTCTCAGTAGTTGATATTAGGTTAGCAAATAGATGTGAAAGAGACTTAAAATAATTTTGGAGACAGATGCATGTTCTTTCTCTTTCTTTTGTTGAAATATGTATAAACTGTTAGAATGTTCAAAGCAGTGAAGAACCAAACCACAGAAAACATATGGTAGTTTATATATCCCATCTTTTCTCAAAAGAAAACATAGACACATTGCGTATGTTCAAAAGCACCCTGGCCCCATGCCTGGCTCCCACCCATACCTACCTCCTTGTTTCACTTTTTCATCTTCTGTCAAGATCATCCAAGGCTTTTACGAAACAATTTAACAAAATAATTTCAGGAAGGCAAAAGTGCTCTGAAGAAAATCAAACAGAATGATGGGCTTGGGAGTGGACTGGAAAGATCCTTGATGAAATAATGCTTGAAATGAAATTCAAAGCATAAGAAGGAAAAAATACGTGAATATCTAGAGACAGAGCCCTTCAAGCGTGGGGATCAGCAAATGCAAAAGCCTTAGGATGGAAGGAAACAAGCTTGGCATATTTGATAAGAAGGTTGGTGTAGTTGGAGAAAGAGAGTTATCCTCACCGAGGGGAAAGAGGAACAAGATGCAGTTGGAGCGTTGAGCAGAGGCCAGGTCATGTACTGCACTATGCCCAGCAAGGAGTTAGGATTATATTCTATTGGAAATGGGAATCCATAGGAGGGTGTGAAGCAGAAAAATTACTTGATCAAATTTGTGTTTTCAAAAGGCCTATTTGGGCCAGGTGCAGTGGCATATGCCTATAATCCAAGCACTTTGGGAGGCCAAGGCAGACGAATCACTTGAGCTCAGGAGTTCAAGACTAGCCTGAGCAACATGGCGAAATCCTGTGTCTACAAAAAACACAAAAATTAGCCAGGCATGGTAGTGAGTGCCTGTAGTCCCAGCTACTCCCTACTCAGGAGGCTGAGCTGGAGGATCACTTGAGCCTGGGAAGTCAAGACTGCAGTGAGCCAAGATTGTGCTACTGTACCCCAACCTGGGTGACAGAGACCCTGTCTAATGAAAATAAAAATAAATGAAAAAAAAAAAAAAAAGCCTTTGGCTGCTCTGTGGAGACAGGACTGGCCAGGGGAAGGAAGAGTAGAGCCAAATCGCTACTGCAAAAGCCCAGGCAAGATATGGTCAATGGGTATAAGTTTGGTGCAACTGACAGTAAAAATCTGCACACATTCAGAACATATTTGGGAGAGAGCCTGAAAGGTTTACTGACTGAGCTTTTCTGGAAGTCTTTCTATAGGGGGAATGTTTAGAAAATTCTGTGGCAACTCCTCAGATAAGGAGTTGTTAAGGCACCAAACTATTTTCCCTAGTACCTTAGTTACTCTGGTAAATTTTTACACAAAATAATGTTCCTGTGACTTAGATGGGCCTGTCCAAAATACACAAAAATGCCTGTTTTATATGACAAACGAATTTATTAACCATGCATAAAGTGTTTCTAAAACACTGATAATGTCCCTTAGTCATAAAAACACATTCTTTCCTTGCTTCTTTGTGTCTATCAACCTCCCTCTTTTTTTTAATCAGAAACAATACTCTTCTTTGAATAAATATCTACCCAAGGTCATCATTCCTCCCTCAGCAACAGTGAAACATAGAGTCCTTTAAGTTGTCACTGTTGACCCTCACTCTACTCCCAATATTCAATGCGATTTCTTAACTTTCAGTACTACTTTACCACACATAATGTTGTACTTAAAGACCTGTGCTCATACTCCTCTTCAATTTGCCAGTGAGTCTACCAGAAATCCGCAACTGCCCAACGAAAAGTGTCCCAGTCCCCTTCTCTGTTGATGAAACTCAGTATCATGTTGAAGATACTAGTCCTGTAAGCTGGCAAGTAAAAGTTCTAGGCAAGCATATACATCAGGGAAGCAGCTATGAAGATGTTTGGCTGCCTCAGCGCATGCGTGTGTGTGTGTGTGTGTGTGTGTGTGTGTGTGTGTACGTGCTCCCGCACACACGCACTTATAGATAAGACAGAGAATAGTCACGGCAAAAAGTGAGCTTGTTGTCCATCCTAACAAATAGGATGGAGAAACTTATGTCCAAAGACCACCAAACATCCCCAACGCTCTTCTAAAACAACTTCCAAATAACTGGTAGAATAAAACTTTTTAAAGGCTGGTAGAATAAAACTTTCAAATTGTGCCAAACTTATAAAAAGGCGGCAGAGGTAGACAGAGTTTGTGGATCACCCTCAGAAAGGTATCCTGGGTTCTAAAAGCAACCAAGTTTTAGTTCCCAAAGAAAACTGAGAATCTTCTTTTCAAATTCTGTTACTGTTTGCTTCTCATCTCAAATTCGTAACTCTGGAGATAGTGTCACTTGATGATAATTCTGTTGGAGGGACTCCTGTAGGGTGGATCCTGAGGTTTTGCTTCTTTTCATATTGGAAGATGAAGCAACTGTTGTGGTATAACTCATTAAACTCTAAGACATGGGATAAAGACCATCTCATCATATTGGCAACATGTCGTATTCATATTCCGCCTCTATAAGATACAAAGACCAACTATTGGATAGATAGTATAAAACTAGGGTCAGCCTGTGGGTAGAATCTGGCCTGCCACCTGATTTTGTAATTAGAGTTTTTACTGGAACACAGCCACGTTCAATCATTCAAATTTTATCTATGGCTCCTTTCACAAATACAAGGTAGATTTGGATATTTGAAACAGTGATATTACATCTAACAAAGCCTAAAATATTTGTAATATAATAATATTATATTTAGACCTTTATGGAAAAATTTGCTGATCTCTGGTGCAAAACAATGCTTCTGGTAGCAGTAGTGGCCAGTTTGTGGTAGTGACTGCAGAAGCTCTAGTCAAAATTGGGACCTATGGCTAAATGGATAAATCCCAATGCAAAGTATTAAGATGAATTCACATGTCTATGGTGACACATCTACCATTCTTGTCTTTGAAAACAACCTCTGAGATCACAGTCGTATATTTGAGCTGTATGGTACACAGTCTTCCTTCAGAGTCTGCACATCCTGCTATATCACTCTAAACATCAAACACATTATGTGTGTTCTCTTCACCCCATTACACAAGTTCTTTCATCTCAATGAGCATTAATTTGTCAGGTGTGGTGTCCCATACATTTTTTCCTGTGCTCTATTTTTTTGTGCTCTATTTTTAAAATGTGGAAAGTAAGCTCTCCAGGAAATCCTTCATTTGGAGAATATTTTATTTAATGGCTCTCAGGAGCATAACATTGAATTAATCATAATCCTTGGATCACCCCCTTGTTCTTTTTCAGGCATGGTATACTTTTATTTATGAAATCTAAAACTTTGTCAATAAACCAAATCTAAGAGTCTGGCTTCCCCCACTAACCCACCACCTATCTCCTCCAGTCTGAGGAAATCTCTAGATCAATCTTGAGTCCATCACTAGTCTTCCGCTTATCATTCCCTTACTTTCAATTTTATATAGTTTTGCAATTGCATTTATGCATATTCCTAAAGAGAGAGAGAGAGAGACAGAATGCATGTGTGCCTGTGTGTATGTGTGTTTAATTGCTTTAAACTTTATATATAGAGAGATCGAGGCTATATATAACTTGAGGGAACATTTTTCTCACTCATTGCTATCATTCATCCACATTGTAACTATCCATTCATCCACATTATTATATAATTCTCATTAATTTATTGATATAGCTGTAGAATAGTATACTGGGCAAATGCACCACAATGTAGTCATCTAATTTTCCCTTTAATGAGCTTTTGGATTGTTCTTTGGGTTTTGCTATTTAGAACAGCTCCTACTATGTAAGTGCAAAAGTTTCTTCTGGGAATAGACTTGCCTGTGAAATGGTGCATCAAATGGTGTGTTAATGCTCAACTCTAAGAGGCAAATCCAAACTGTATTCTAGTAGTGATACCAATTTATGCTCTCAGCAGTAATGTGTCGGTGTTATTTAAATATACTGATATTTTCAAGGTTTTTATTTTTGTCAAATGGTTAGGTATAAAATTACATCTCATTATTTCAATGTGTATTTCTCTGATCATTAAAGAGAGTAAACATTTTCTTCATATGTTTATTGGCTATTTGCATTTCTTCTCTCTGATGTGCCTGTTCATTTATCTTGTCTGTTATTCTATTGGGTTATTTGTCCTCTTTTTATTAACGAGTAAAGATTCTTTGTGTATTATTAATTGTAACCTGTTAGTTTTGTGCATTGTAAATACTTGCTCCCACTGTGTTATTTGTAATTTCATTCTTTATGTTGGCTTTTGATAAACAAAAATTCTTGCTTTTTCAGTAGCCATCTTGGGCCTGAGGAAGAAAAAAAAATCCTTGCTTTTAGTACAGTCAAAATTTTAAATTTTTTCTCTTGTAGCCAATGTTTATTTGTTACTGGTTTAAGAAATCTTACCCTGCCTAAAGTTGTTAAAAAACAGAACTCTAAATTTTTAAAAGATGTTTGGAAATTTTTTTTGATATGTAAATCTTTAATCTACCTGGAGTTTATTTTTTGTATATGATATGAAATAGAAATTCAATATTATCTTTTTCCATATAGATATGCTTCTTCCAGCTCCAATCTCTTTTCCTCCTTGATCTCTCATGCGACTGTGATCATATACCAAAATCCCAAACATATTTCGACCTGTTTCTGGGCTCATTCTATTACACTGTGTCAATTTATCTATCCTCACACTGTGTTAATTGTTATGGCTTTATCATAAGCATTAGAATCCAGTAGATATAATCCCAATCCACCCCTCACAGACTTCCCTTTAGAAGTGTTCTGTTTGTGACCTTTTACTTGACTGTGTAAAGTGGGAATAATCTTATCAAATTTTATGACCGTTACTTACATTGAAGCTACAGATCAATTTGGGAAGAAATGTCATCAGTATAATTTTTTTTTTTTTGAGACAAGGTTTCACTCCATTGCCCAGGCTAGAGTGCAGTGGCACAATCAGCTCACTGCAGCTTTGAGAACCTCCTGGGCTCAGGTGATCCTCTCACCTCAGCCACCCAAGTAGCTGGGACTACAGGCACACTCCACCACGCCCAGCTAATTTTTTGCATTTTTTTGTAGAGACGGGGTTTTGCCATATTGCCTGAGCTCAAGAGATCAGCCCACCTTAGCCTCCCAAAGTGCTGGGACTGTAGGTGTGAGCCACTGTGCCTGGCCATCAGTATGATACTAAGTTTCATCCATGAACATGATATATCTATTTAGGATTTAGTATTTTCTTAATATGTTTTAAAAAGTATTATAATGTTACCTATAGAGATATCAAATATGTTTTGTAATATCTATGAAGACTGGGCGCGGTGGCTTATGCCTGTAATCCCAGCACTTTGGGAGGCCAAGGCGGGCGGATCACCTGAGGTCAGGAGTTTGAGACCAGCCTAACCAACATGGAGAAACCCCATCCCTACTAAAAATACAAAAATTAGCTGGGCATGGTGGCGGGCGCCTGTAGTCCCTGCTACTTGGGAGGCTGAGGTGGGAGAATCGCTTGAACCTGGGAGGCAGAGGTTGCAGTGAGCCGAGATTGCACCACTACACTCCAGCCTGGTGATAGAGTGAGACTCCATCTCAAGAAAAAAAAAGGTATATCTATGAAGTATCATTTCATAGAGACTTCTCAGGTCAAGATCCTTTTCCTTCTAAGTTACTTTGAATGTTTATCATGATTAGTTATTAAATTGTATCAAATGTTTATGAAATGATATTTGTAGTCTATTAATGTGATTAATTGCACTTATGAATTTGTCTATTTTGTTAGGTTTTTAAAAGACCAAATATTTGCCTTTCTTCACCTTTGAAAGGTAAGAGTAAATTTGTCCAAGACTGATTCCCTGCAAGGTACCTCCCACAATGCTCCACTGGAAACTAGCTACTGTTTAGTACTTAAGGCAATCAATCTTGTAGAGTGTTAAAGTGAAGGCCTCAGGTTCTAGAAGGTTTGAATCTTAGCCCCTCACCATGACAAAGGAAGTACTGGTGTTCCCTCATTAATAAATGCCATGATCAAGGAATAAGGATATAGATAAAAATGCTGCCAGGTCACGGTGCTATGACCTGTACACTTAGACTCCATCACTTCAATAAATCAGGAAAGGGACTTGTGCTTCCTTGGCAGTCCAAAGCCAGAAGTCCTCTCCCCAAATCTGGTACCCAGTTCTGCCAGATATGTGTAGAATGCCTAGACGATAGGGGACCTGCTCATCTGTTAGAATTTCTATCCACCAAAGTATACTCCAATAAATGATGTTCCAGAAATATTTGTGTGCCTCTTAATTTTATTTTTGTATTATTTTTTTTGATTTTGGTATATATGTGCACATATTCCTTTCTTCCTATATTATTTGTGCTATCGTTTTGTGTTTATGACTTCTTAAGATAGATACCTAGTTAACTGATTGTAATACTTTCTTCTTTTCTTTTTCTTTTTCTTTTTTTTTTTTTTTTTTTGAGAAGGACCCTCCCTCTATCTCCCAGGCTGGAAAGCAGTGGCACATTCTCTGTTCACTGCAACCTCCACCTCCTCCTGGGTTCAAGTAATTCTCCTGCCTCAGCCTCCTGAGTAGGTGGGACTACAGGCGCGCGCCACCATGCCTGGCTAATTTTTGTATTTTTAGTAGAGACAGGGTTTCTCCATGTTGGCCAGGCTGGTCTCCAACTCCTGGCCTCAAGCAATCCACCTGCCTCGGCCTCCCAAAGCGTGGCAGTCCAATTCTCCCTGACAATCCCACAGACAGGTCTGCATGACAGTCACACAGACAGGCCTGCATAGCACTCCAGTTACATAGACAAATTTCCACAGAGCTGCCTTAACATTGAGCAAATAGTTAAACCTAGGGAAATCAGTGCCCAGACATCAAAGCTAGAAATGAAAACATGGTCATCAGGAGCCTCGCATAGCCTTCTCCCTTGCTGGAGCAAGTCAAAATAATAGAGACAGCCTTACATTCCTAGCGCCAGGACCCATCTCGGGTCGACAATATTTGAGATGAGTCACGGTAACAGAGGCGGCTGTTTGAATAGATTTACTGGAGAGTCTAAGACAGCTCTCCAGATCAAGCTGTAAAGAAGATAAGCTAGAAATAATCACTCCGGTACCACAGCAGACAGGCCTTGAAAGTACTGGAGCCCTCACAGCTTCACTGGACTTAGCAAGCTTTTTGTTTGTTTGTTTGTTTCCCTCTGACCTTCTAGTTGAAACAAAATTAGTTACCTATAGATTTAGGCGAATGCTGTACTGCACATAGGCACATATCCCCAACCTATATAAGCACTAAGAAAACTAACACTTTGAGTTGGTCTGGCGGAACTATCTCCAACCTTCCCCCTGTATCCAGCAATAGCAATAAATTCCCTTATTTCCTAGTTTGTCTGCTTTTCGTTATTGGGCCAGGAGAGAATGCAGCCAGACCCAGCTCTGTTCTGGGAACAAAAGTGCTGGAATTAAAGGATTGAGCCACTGCGTCCAGCCTCTTTTTTTTTTTTTAATTTCTTCTTTTCCAATGTAAGCTCTTAAAGTTATAAGTTTCTCTCGAAGTACATGTTGCTAAGTAGTGTTTTCTTATAATTTAGTTCTAGATAATTTTTAATTTTCATATCATGTTTTCCTTAACCTGTGAGTTATTTACTAATTTTTTTTAATTTCCAAATATGTGGAATTTCGTATTTATGTTTTGCCATTAACCAACTTAATCGCATTGTGTTCAAAGACTGGGATCTGAATGATGCTTGATTTTTTTTAATTTATCAAACTTATTTTATTGCCTGGATTCTGATCAGCTTTTGTAAATGTCTCACACTTTCTTCAGAGAAATGTGCCATCTCTAAATGTTAGGTGCAGAAAAATGCTATACCTGTCTATCACATCAAGTTCATTGCATGTATTGTTTAGATATTTTAGTGTTTAGATATTTTCAATATTTCCAAACTTTTACATATTTAACTTACCAATAATGAAAGGATGTACTGAAATTTTAGTATAATCCTGGATTTATAAACATTTCTCTCATATTATTAATTTGCATTCAAGTATTTTAAGGCTTAAAATTCCTACACCTCCATAGTGCATTGAATCCTTATTATTATTTGATGATATATTGTATTCCTAATCATTATTTTGTACCTTAAAGTCTATTTTATTGGATATGAATAACTACACTAATTTTCACTTGGCTAACATTTGCCTGATGTATCTTTTCTTCATATTTTTACTTTTGATCTTTAAATGTTCTTATCTTTTTGGTACACATTTGGATTATTTACTTATCAAACCGTATCTTTTAACTGGTGAGTTCAGTCTAATCTTATTTTCTTTAATTATTGATATACTTAGACCTGCTGTTATTATCTTAATTCATTATTTCAGTTTGTCCCACTTTTTGTTTTATATTCTTTCTTACTTTATTTTAAAATTTACATCTCTATTTCCCCTTAATGAGACCAGAACTATCCTCTTGATTCCTACCATACTACCATTATCTAGACTTTCAACTTTGCATCTGGGTTTTTGTGAATATATTTGGGGAGAAGGGCAGTTAGCAATTTTTAAAGCAGCAACAAATGTTTATTCTTTTAATCGTCTTTACCTCATATATTTCATATATTTCCTGGATTTTTCTTCCTTTTTATTTAAGTATTTTATCTAAAACTGTTTTTAGTAGGAGCTTTTGTGTGGCAAACCTGAGATCTTGTCTGCCTGAGAATATTATTTTTATATTATACTCTCATTTCTGAAGAACAATTTGGCTCACATTAAATTTAAGATGTTTTTCTGTGATGGTTTTAAAATATTGCTTCATTTATTGTGGACCCCAGTGTTGCAATTGAGGAACCTGAGATTGATATTTTCTTATCCTTTTGCATGTCAATTTTTTTATTCTCTTGGGAAGTTTTTATATTTTTTCTTTGTCTTTGTTAGTCTTGAATTTCACTATAGTATATGTGTATGTGCTTTTCATATTTCTCTTTTTTAACATTCTGTAAGCTCTTTCAATACAAAGACTTGTAAAATATTTTAATTCTAGAAAGTTAGCACTTTTCCATTACCCTCCTCATCTCTTGGCTCCTCTTTTATATTTTCCTACTTTTTGTCCTTGGCTTCTTCCATCTGGAGGATTTTCTCCATCTGATATTCTCTTTCAATACCTCATTCTCAAGCTTCATCCATTCTGCTACTGATCCCATCTGCTGTGTTCATTATGCAATTACTTTTTATACATAGTATCCTCTGTTCTTTTGGTGTTTTATTGTTCTTATCTCATATTGTTAGTAACTATACTTTTTCTTTTTTATTATGTTTATTACTTTAATTTTTTATAACTTCTAACATTCTGATTCTGTTTGTATCTGTAACCTAATCTGTTATTTTTTAATTCAAATGGCTGTGCTCTCAAATGTCTTATTATTTGAGTCTGGGAGCTCATTTTACCTTGGAAATATTGGCTAATCTGTCAGGCAATGCTGGGAAGGAAGACCAGACTTCATTTTCTGTCAGTCACAATTAAATCAGGAAAGGGAAATAATGAATGAAGATTCACTATAGAATCTCGGGCACACACACACACACACACACACACACACAAAAGACAATAAATCACTCGCTCTCCCAAATAACTCCACAGATCAAGTTTATATTTCAATTATTTGTTCCCAAGTATAAACATTATATCATTAGGAGGATTTTTTTTTTAACATTGTAATTCCCCAAACTTGAGAACCGAGCTAGCTTCGTGGGTATGTGTGACCTGCTCATGCTCACTGAGGGTGTCATGCTTGGTTTAATTGTCTGCAGGCTGGTCTTGTTTAACTTTTTTTTTTTAAGAGACAGGGTCTCATGACATCGGACAGGCTAAAGGGCACTGACTATTCACAGGAGCAATTCCACTACTGATTAACACAGGAGTTTTGAACAAAGGGCCCCACATTTTTATTTGGCTGAGCATCCTCATCACAAATGAAGGAGTCAACCAAGAAAAAAAATACATCATTGAATTCAGGAAACAAAGGATCTTACTCAAATGAATAGAATTTCTGGAATGAGAATGAAAAGAAATTACTGTGCAGCAAAAATGGGGAGCAACAGTTTAATTGGATCAGGAGGATAAATGTCTCTCAAAAGGAAATTTCCAAGGAAAAATCAAACCTAGTATTTGTTGAATGTATTAAGCTGGAATGTTAAGTATTTGAACTCAGTGATTGAGAATGTTGAGTCTTTGAACCTACTGATCTAGAACGTAAGCTCCATGAATGCAGTAAGTAGCACACAGTGGTACTCAATGTATTCTTTTTCAATATTCCTGATATGACTTCACTTTTTCTAGAAGATTTGGGAAGAAACTAGTGAAAGAAACAAAGAAAACTAAGCAAAGAAAAAAAGCAAGGCAATTTTAATTACAAGAAAAACAAAAAGTTGTACAAGAAATGTAATTATACCACAATATATGAATCAGCTAAGAATAATATTTACATAGTCATAATTATATAAACATTGAATACTGATTTAATCAAAATTATAAGGGACTATATTAAGATGTTTTCAAAAGGAGTAATGAATAGATGGGGAAGTATGTTATTTAAGAAAGCTATTTTTTTAAGTTACATCTTTCATAGTAGATTTTTTAAATTACATATTTCATACTAGATAAAAAGCAGAAGGCCGTTACTTAGATTTTCTTTTAAAAAGAGGCAATACCAGAAGAAATGAAAAATATTGAAAATAATTGCCTTAAAAGAGGGGAATTTGGAAATGGGAAAAAGTGACAAAGGGGATTATTATTTTTGTTGTAAATCTTATAAAATTATTTGCAGGCAATTTATACATGAATAATTTATTAAAAGTCAATTTAAAATAAAACATAAAAAATTAAACCTATATGGAACTAATAGACTCGATGACAAAAATTATGTAGAAGATGGGATTTGGTGGATGTCAAAAAGTTAAATCACGAAGTTTCCTAAACTGTTTGGGAGAATGGTCAAAACACTGACAAACTTTAGATCCCATTAGAAAAATATAATGTACATATATATTAAAATGTAAGGAGAGTCAAATAGAATTGTAGAAATGGAACACTGACCTTTGCTTCCAGTATTAGTTCAGAGGGGAGTTCTGCAAGACTTTCCCACTAAAGAACACAGCTTCTGTAAAGAAAACACACTTTTACAACACACCATGGGTCTCTATTGAGGTAGGGGAGGTCTAAAAATATCCTAAAACTTTATATCCTCATCCCCACACCTGACCTGCACCTGGGTTGCTCTGAAGGATGAAGACAAAAGAGCAATACTAGGATTTGGATACTACACCTTAGGCCAGAGGCAACAAAGGGAAGCTAAACATGAGACTTGCGCACTGAGCCAAAATCTAGAGAAAAGATTCCATGTTAGTGGTGCCCCTGGATATCAATAGAAGCAGAAGAAAATTCTTCCTGTCTGCAGAAAAATGTTCCTCAATTTACATATATGATTAAGATCAAATAATCAGCTCCAACACAATGGAAAGACAAATCTTTTGAGAGAAGTAAATAACAAACAGAATCAGATTACTGAGAACTGCAGGTGTTAGAAACCTCAGGCACAGAGTATTGAACAGTCATTGTATTAGTTCATTTTCACACTGCTGATAATGACATACCTGAGACTGGGTAGGTTATAAAGAAAAAGAGGTTTAGTGAATTCACAGTTACATGTGGCTAGGGAGGCCTCATAATCATGATGGAAGGCAAAAGGCATGTCTTAGATTGCGGCAGACAAGAGAGAATGAGAGCCAAGTGAAAGGGAAAACCCCTTATAAAACCATCAGATCTCATGAGACTTATTCACTACCACGAGAACAGTATGATGGAAACTGCCCCGTGATTCAATTATCTCCCACCGGGTCCCTCCAACAACGTGTGGGAATTATGGGAGCTACAACTCAAGATGAGATTTGGATGCAGACACAGCCAAACCATATCAGTCATGTATACAAACTTAAAGAAGTAAGGGGGTTTCTACTATTAGTAGTGATGGTCTAGAACAGGGGATTAGCAAACTACCACCTGTAGGCAAAATTTGGCTTATGATCTATTTTTGTATGGCCTGTGAACTAAGAATAGTTTTTATATTTTTAAATTATTGAAAAAAATTAAGAATAATATTTAGTAGCACACAAAAATTGTATAAAATACAATGTGTTCCAGCTCTGGGAAGATGAAATAGATATACTTTTCCCTATTTCTCCCACTATGTGAGGCTAATAATTCAGGATATTACATATAAAATTAAACATAGGAAGACTCTGGTTACTATTTAACCCAGAAATACCAATAGGCACAGACAAATAAAGCCTCTTTGGTTTCTTCAGCCAAAGGACCAGGAAAGAGCAGCTTACTTGGACAGGAAATTTTTTGGTTAATAATCTCGAGCTCCCCCAAGATGGCCGAATAGGAACAGCTCCGGTCTACAGCTCCCAGCGTGAGCGACGCAGAAGACGGGTGATTTCTGCATTTCCATCTGAGGTACCGGGTTCATCTCACTAGGGAGTGTCAGATAGTGGGCGCAGGTCAGTGGGTGCGTGCACCGTGCGCGAGCCGAAGCAGGGCGAGGCATTGCCTCACTTGGGAAGCACAAGGGGTCAGCGAGTTCCCTTTCTGAGTCAAAGAAAGGGGTGACGGACGGCACCTGGAAAATCGGGTCACTCCCACCCGAATACCCTGCTTTTCTGACGGGCTTAAAAAATGGTGCAGCACGAGACTATATCCCGCACCTGGCTCTGAGGGTCCTACGCCCACGGAGTCTCGCTGATTGCTAGTACAGCAGTCTGAGATCAATCTGCAAGGCGGCAATGAGGCTGGGGGAGGGGCGCCCGCCATTGCCCAGGCTTGATTAGGTAAACAAAGCAGCTGGGAAGCTCGAATTGGGTGGAGCCCACCACAGCTCAAGGAGGCCTGCCTGCCTCTGTAGGCTCCACCTCTGGGGGCAGGGCACAGACAAACAAAAAGACAGCAGTAACCTCTGCAGACTTAAATGTCCCTGTCTGACAGCTTTGAAGAGAGCAGTGGTTCTCCCAGCACGCAGCTGGAGATCTGAGAACGGGCAGACTGCCTCCTCAAGTGGGTCCCTGACCCCTGACCCCCGGGCAGCCTAACTGGGCTGCAGCCCCCCAGCAGGGGCACACTGACACCTCACATGGCAGGGTACTCCAACAGACCTGCAGCTGAGGGTCCTGTCTGTTAGAAGGAAAACTAACAAACAGAAAGGACATCCACACCAAAAACCCATCTGTACATCACCATCATCAAAGACCAAAAGTAGATAAAACCACAAAGATGGGGAAAAAACAGAACAGAAAAACTGGAAACTCTAAAAAGCAGAGCGCCTCTCCTCCTCCAAAGGAACGCAGTTCCTCACCAGCAATGCAACAAAGCTGGACGGAGAATGACTTTGACGAGCTGAGAGAAGAAGGCTTCAGACGATCAAATTACTCTGAGCTACGGGAGGACATTCAAACCAAAGGCAAAGAAGTTGAAAACTTTGAAAAAAATTTAGAAGAATGTATAACTAGAATAACCAATACAGAGAAGTGCTTAAAGGAGCTGATGGAGCTGAAAACCAAGGCTTGAGAACTACGTGAAGAATGCAGAAGCCTCAGGAGCCGATGCGATCAACTGGAAGAAACGGTATCAGCGATGGAAGATGAAATGAATGAAACGAAGTGAGAAGGGAAGTTTAGAGAAAAAAGAATAAAAAGAAATGAGCAAAGCCTCCAAGAAATATGGGACTATGTGAAAAGACCAAATCTACGTCTCATTGGTGTACCTGAAAGTAATGGGGAGAATGGAACCAAGTTGGAAAACACTCTGCAGGATATTATCCAGGAGAACTTCCCCAATCTAGCAAGGCAGGCCAACGTTCAGATTCAGGAAATACAGAGAATGCCACAAAGATACTCCTCGAGAAGAGCAACTCCAAGACACATAATTGTCAGATTCACCAAAGTTGAAATGAAGGAAAAAATGCTAAGGGCAGCCAGAGAGAAAGGTCAGGTTACCCTCAAAGGGAAGCCCATCAGACTAACAGCTGATCTCTCAGCAGAAACCCTACAAGCCAGAAGAGAGTGGGGGCCAATATTCAACATTCTTAAAGAAAAGAATTTTCAACCCAGAATTTCATATCCAGCCAAACTAAGCTTCATAAGTGAAGGAGAAATAAAATCCTTTACAGACAAGCAAATGCTGAGAGATTTTGTCACCACCAGGCCAGCCTTACAAGAGCTCCTGAAGGAAGCACTAAACATGGAAAGGAACAACCGGTACCAGCTGCTGCAAAATCATGGCAAAATGTAAAGACCATCGAGACTAGGAAGAAACTGCATCAACTAACGAGCAAAATAACCAGCTAACATCATAATGACAGGATCAAATTCACACATAACAATATTAACTTTAAATGTAAATGGACTAAATGCTCCAATTAAAAGACACAGACTGGCAAATTGGATAAAGAGTCAAGACCCATCAGTGTGCTGTATTCAGGAAACCCATCTCACGTGCAGAGACACACATAGGCTCAAAATAAAAGGATGAAGGAAGATCTACCAAGCAAATGGAAAACAAAAAAAGGCAGGGGTTGCAATCCTAGTCTCTGATAAAACAGACTTTAAACCAACAAAGATCAAAAGAGACAAAGAAGGCCATTACATAATGGTAAAGGGATCAATTCAACAAGAAGAGCTAACTATCCTAAATATATATGCACCCAATACAGGAGCACCCAGATTCATAAAGCAAGTCCTGAGTGACCTACAAAGAGACTTAGACTCCCACACATTAATAAGGGAGACTTTAACACCCCACTGTCAACATTAGACAGATCAACGAGACAGAAAGTCAACAATACCCAGGAATTGAACTCAGCTCTGCACCAAGCGGACCTAATAGACATCTACAGAACCCTCCACCCCAAATCAACAGAATATACATTTTTTTCAGCACCACACCACACCTATTCCAAAATTGACCACATACTGGGAAGTAAAGCTCTCCTCAACAAATGTAAAAGAACAGAAATTATAACAAACTATCTCTCAGACCACAGTGCAATCAAACTAGAACTCAGGATTAAGAATCTCACTCAAAACTGCTCAACTACATGGAAACTGAACAACCTGCTCCTGAATGACTACTGGGTACATAACGAAATGAAGGCAGAAATAAAGATGTTCTTTGAAACCAACGAGAACAAAGACACAACATACCAGAATCTCTGGGACACATTCAAAGCAGTGTGTAGAGGGAAATTTATAGCACTAAATGCTCACAAAAGAAAGCAGGAAAGATCCAAAATTGACACGCTAACATCACCATTAAAAGAACTAGAAAAGCAAGAGCAAACACATTCAAAAGCTAGCAGAAGGCAAGAAATAACTAAAATCAGAGCAGAACTGAAGGAAATAGAGACACAAAAAACCCTTCAAAAAATTAATGAATCCAGGAGCTGGATTTTTGAAAGCATCAACAAAATTGATAGACCGCTAGCAAGACTAATAAAGAAAAAAAGAGAGAAGAATCAAATAGACGCAATAAAAAATGATAAAGGGGATATCATCACCGATCCCACAGAAATACAAACTACCATCAGAGAATACTACAAACATCTCTACGCAAATAAACTAGAAAATCTAGAAGAAATGGATAAATTCCTGGACACATACACTCTCCCAAGACTAAACAAGGAAGAAGTTGAATCTCTGAATAGACCAATAACAGGAGCTGAAATTGTGGCAATAATCAATAGCTTACCAACAAAAAAGAGTCCAGGACCAGATGGATTCACAGCCGAATTCTACCAGAGGTACAAGGAGGAACTGGTACCATTCCTTCTGAAACTATTCCAATCAATAGAAAAAGACGGAATCCTCCCTAACTCATTTTATGAGGCCAGCATCATTCTGATACCAAAGCCAGGCAGAGACACAACAAAAAAAGAGAATTTTAGACCAATATCCTTGATGAACATTGATGCAAAAATCCTCAATAAAATACTGGCAAACCGAATCCAGCAGCACATCAAAAAGCTTATCCACCATGATCAAGTGGGCTTCATCCCTGGGATGCAAGGCTGGTTCAATATACGCAAATCGATAAATGTAATCCAGCATATAAACAGAGCCAAAGACAAAAACCACATGATTATCTCAATAGATGCAGAAAAGGCCTTTGACAAAATTCAACAACCCTTCATGCTAAAAACTCTCAATAAATTAGGTATTGATGGGACGTATTTCAAAATAATAAGAGCTATCTATGACAAACCCACAGCCAGTGTCATACTGAATGGACAAAAACTGGAAGCATTCCCTTTGAAAACTGGCACAAGACAGGGATGCCCTCTCTCACCACTCCTATTCAACAGAGTGTTGGAAGTTCTGGCCAGGGCAATTAGGCAGGAGAAGGAAATAAAGGGTATTCAATTAGGAAAAGAGGAAGTCAAATTGTCCCTGTTTGCAGATGACATGATTGTATATCTAGAAAACCCCATCATCTCAGCCCAAAATCTCCTTAAGCTGATAAGCAACTTCAGCAAAGTCTCAGGATACAAAATAAATGTGCAAAAATCACAAGCATTCTTATACACCAACAACAGACAAACAGAGAGCCAAATCATGAGTGAACTCCCATTCACAATTGCTTCAAAGAGAATAAAATACCTAGGAATCCAACTTACAAGGGATGTGAAGGACCTCTTCAAGGAGAACTACAAACCACTGCTCAAGGAAATAAAAGAGGATGCAAACAAATGGAAGAACATTCCATGCTCATGGGTAGGAAGAATCAATATCGTGAAAATGACCATACTGCCCAAGGTAATTTACAGATTCAATGCCATCCCCATCAAGCTACCAATGACTTTCTTCACAGAATTGGAAAAAACTACTTTAAAGTTCATATGGAACCAAAAAAGAGCCCGCATCGCCAAGTCAATCCTAAGCCAAAAGAACAAAGCTGGAGGCATCACACTACCTGACTTCAAACTATACTACAAGGCTACAGTAACCAAAACAGCATGGTACTGGTACCAAAACAGAGATATAGATCAATGGAACAGAACAGAGCCCTCAGAAATAATGCCTCATATCTACAACTATCTGATCTTTGACAAACCTGAGAAAAACAAGCAATGGGGAAAGGATTCCCTATTTAATAAATGGTGCTGGGAAAACTGGCTAGCCATATGTAGAAAGCTGAAACTGGATCCCTTCCTTATACCTTATAAAAAATCAATTCAAGATGGATTAAAGACTTAAACATTAGACCTAAAGCCATAAAAACCCTAGAAGAAAACCTAGGCATTACCATTCAGGACATAGGCATGGGCAAGGACTTCATGTCTAAAACACCAAAAGCAATGGCAACAAAAGACAAAATTGACAAATGGGATCTAATTAAACTAAAGAGCTTCTGCACAGCAAAAGAAACTACCATCAGAGTGAACAGGCAACCTACAAAATGGGAGGAAATTTTCGCAACCTACTCATCTGACAAAGGGCTAATATCCAGAATCTACAATGAACTCAAACAAATTTACAAGAAAAAAACAAACAACCCCATCAAAAAGTGGGCAAAGGACATGAACAGACACTTCTCAAAAGAAGACATTTATGCAGCTAAAAAACACTTGAAAAAATGCTCATCATCACTGGCCATCAGAGAAATGCAAATCAAAACCACAATGAGATACCATCTCACACCAGTTAGAATGGCAATCATTAAAAAGTCAGGAAACAACAGGTGCTGGAGAGGATGTGGAGAAATAGGAACACTTTTACACTGTTGGTGGGACTGTAAACTAGTTCAACCATTGTGGAAGTCAGTGTGGTGATTTCTTGGGGATCTAGAACTGGAAATACCATTTGACCCAGCCATCCCATTACTGGGTATATACCCAAAGGACTATAAATCATGCTGCTATAAAGACACATGCACACGTATGTTTATTGCGGCATTATTCACAATAGCAAAGACTTGGAACCAACCCAAATGTCCAACAATGATAGACTGGATTAAGAAAATGTGGCACATATACACCATGGAATACTATGCAGCCATAAAAAATGATGAGTTCATGTCCTTTGTAGGGACATGGATGAAATTGGAAATCATCATTCTCAGTAAACTATTGCAAGAACAAAAAACCAAACACCGCATATTCTCACTCATAGGTGAGAATTGAACAATGAGATCACATGGAAACAGGAAGGGGAATATTACACTCTGGGGATTGTTGTGGGGTGGGGGGAGGGGGGAGGGATAGCATTGGGAGATATACCTAATGCTAGATGACGAGTTAGTGGGTCCAGCGCACCAGCATGGCACATGTATACATATTTAACTAACCTGCACAATGTGCACATGTACCCTAAAACTTAAAGTTTAATAAAAAAAAAAAAAAAACTCTCTACTCCTCCTGAAGGGTCTTTTGGTGGACCCTTCTCTTCCACAAAATCTTCGAACACTGGAATACTTCAGGGGTCACTTCTTGGTCCTTTTCTCTACTCCATCTATATTTATTTCTTCAGTGATCTCATCCAGTCTAATGACATTTGAATATGTCCTATAGGGTGACCATTCCCAAATCAATAAATCCAGTCCAGACATTATTACGGAACTTCAATCACATGCTTACTCAATAGCTCCACGAGATCTCTAATGAATATATCAAACTCAATATACATAAAACAAGGCTGTTTTCCCCCTTCTTCCCTCTCCCCACTGACCCTTTCCCCCAAAAAGAAGACCCTGTTCCCTGTTCAACTTGCAGTTTTCCTTATCTCACTAGATGGCATATTATCTCTCTGCCTTCTTAACCAGAAACATTGGGACAATACTTACTTTTCTTTATCTCTCAGCATTTTTTCTCCCAGAATGCAATGCTTCATTTGACCAGAGGACATTTTTCTGCCCTAGTACAAATAACTGCAAAACAATCTATTTATATGCCTTGTGGAGGCAAAGCCTGACAGAAATGGATTTAAGAGAGAAGGATACTAGAAGTTGTTTTGCAAAGAGGAAAAAATGCTCTTTTCAAGGGCACAAATGAATACAATGGGTTTATGTCCAGGACAATTCTGGTTTATGTCTCCTCTCTTGGCATAATACTTAATAGCATCCCTAGATAGTTTTAGAACTATCTAGTACGGATGATAAAAATTGTATTGTCAACCTCCTCAAATCTTGTTGATTGATTTTTTCTTCAAAACAGATTCAGAATCTAAGTGCTTGTCACTTGGCCAAGCCACCATCTCGTCTCACCTGCTGCATCTTGTCTCTCTTTTTTTTGTTGTTTTACACTCTTCTGAGCATGTCACTCTTCCACTCAAAGTCCTACAGTGACTCCTTGTTTCACCCAATAAGTGCCAAAATTCTTACATGGCCTAGAAATGTCTATTTAATCTGTCCACTCCTTCCCTGATCTCTGACGTCGTATCATACTTCTTTCCCCGTCATACATTCTGGTCCAACAAGATTGGCCTCCTCCATGTGAGAAATGCTATCATTTTTTTAACTATTTGCCCACCACCCCACTCCTACTCACCATCTATAAAGCTCTTCCCCCAGACTCCACATGGCTTTCTCACCTCCATCATGTCATAGCTCAAATATCATCTTTTCATTAAAATCTACCTATTGACCTTACTTAAAATTTTCAACTCTGCACATATTGATCCCACTTTCCTTTTTAAAATTGTTTTCCATACTCTTAGCACTTTTTGACATACAACCCTGTGTATTCATTAATTTTTTTTAATCGACTGCCTTTCCCTTGTACAGCAGAAATTTCTTTGTTTTATTCACTGATATATCCTAGGTGCACGTAGCAGGTACTCAATAAATATATGCTGAATGAATTAATGAGTGAAAAGGTAACAATTTTAAAACTTTCAAATAACATTAGAATAGCCTTACTGATTTGCATTTGCACTGCCCAAATATAATTCTCTTAATTCATTTTATTAGTTTTATATTACAAAATTAAAACATGCTTATTGAGCATATTTGATTAATTTTCATTAATACAAACTTCTAAGAAACTGAGAAATATATTCAGACTTAGACATTTACCATATTAAATCATTAAATAGAAATCCATGGTGGTTGGGAATAAAACAAAGCTATTGCCTTGGAAAAAGTTACGTTCATGTAACTATCTGATATCTCAATCACATACATAGATATAAATGCAGATGTAGACATAGATGTATATATGCCTATAAATACACACAGGTAGTTAAATATAAGTTAATTTGCACAGTGGCCTGCTTCCTGCTCTCTGCTAAGCAACCTCAATAGAGAAAAGGTGGCAAATTGGAATCTACATCTGATGAAATATATCATGCCTAAATTTAAAAAAAAATTAATTTGGACCAAGTTTGTAGGAACAATTAACATGAATTGACACTAATGTGGTCAAGTAATGGTACAAGGAAATCAAACTGTCGTCAAGGTTCCCAAGTTATAAATCACATCATGCCAACAGCAAAAGTTTGCAGATAAATCACACTGAGAAATGTCAGAATAAATAATTGAACTCTTTTGAACCAAAAGTAATTTATTTGACTTTGCAAATGATACAGAATGTAGCCTTCAGTTTTTCATATTTTCAAATAGTACATTGAAGAGAAAGCAGAGATGAGCAATAGAAATAAATATGGCTTGATCAAGTGTAGGTGTCCTTAGGCAATTAAATAAAAGCAGACTCAGTATTATGTTCAGTGATCACAACAGACAAGGAAGAGTGGATTAAACACATAGCAATTTGTCTCAGGGAACAAGAGTCCTGGAGGTAGACAATCCAGATTTGTAAAAGTGGTTCAGTGAAGCCTTTAGAGAAGGATCGCTCTATCTCTTTTCTTGACATCATTAGCATATGTGCCTTTATCTTCATGCTTGCCATCTCCTGGTTGTAAGATGACTGCTCTACCTTAACCTCACATCCACATTCCAGACAGGAAGAAGGAGGAAGAGAAGAGGTAGAACTAAAAGCCTCAAAAGAGCAAAAGCTTTCCCCAAATCCCTGGCTGACCATCCGTTATTCATTGGCTAGAACTGTGTACCATGGCTACCTTAGCTAAAAGAGTCTAGAAAAACAAGTGTTTTTGGATGGCACATTGTCAATTCAAACAAAATTGGGGTTCCTTTAGTAAGAAAGCAGGGAATAATGAATATTTGATAGGCAAGTAGGAGTAAATGTACTGATAAAGGACATATAGAAAGAGAAGAAAATTTGGTAAAGAAGATGGCTTTGAGAAACAACTACATTTAGGGGCAGGTAAAAAAAAAAAGAATAATCACAGGAAAGAGAAAAAAAGTAACCAAAGAAGTAAAACAAAAATAGGAATATTGTCAAAAAGTAATTCATGTTTTTGCAATATAATTAGATCTGTAAAATGTTTTGACTTATTTCTCAATTACCTTTGAATATAAGGAAGGTAATTACATTATGAATCCATAAGTCATGACCATCTGACAATTGACATTAACATTCCTCTTCAACAGGTTACATTAATAAATACAGAAAAGCATAGTGTCCGTTCCTGAGGCAGACGGCTGGGGCAAAAGAAAGTTCTTTACAGACATCTGATGCTGTAACTATTAGTCAACTGACAAAAATTTAGATAATTTCAAATCACAACACAGCCAGCTGATGTGTCCATTTAAATAAATATTTCTTCTTATTGAGAAAAAAAAAGCTTTTTCCTTTGTGAATGCAATTTCACGGCCAAAAGAATAACTATTTTTGTTGTTATATCAAATATGTTTTCTTAACTGCTCTTTTGCTAAATGTAATCTACGCACTAAATGGCCTGACTTGAATCAAGCCAGAAATTTTTTAGACTTGTATCTCCAAAGTTTGAAGATGAAATGAGAATGTTTCTTTTCCTTTGTAGCTTGCTGCTTTTGGTCAAGCATTCTCAATGTCCACCATTGTTAGCATAAATAAACTGAGTAAAGATATTTTGACAGCTAAAACTTTAAAATCTCATGTAAACTTGAATATATTTTCAAAATTAAAAGGGAAAATTTACTTAAATGTTCATATACATATGTTTGGGGTTAGTTTAAACTTAAAAAAATTAATGTGTACTGCAATAATATTTGAAACAACAAATGTGTTTCATTTTTCTTTCTAAAAGAAGTAAAATTAAGAGATAAAAAATCTTTAATTTCGGTACTGTCCGTCAACTGAAATAAATTAGCCACATTCGATACCATAATTTAACATTTTACTCATTACGAATAAATTATGCTGTACTTTCTTTGCATCTTAATTTATTTTTTAGAAATCACAAGTTATTTTAATCAACAAAAATAGGAGTAGAAAGTGTTGCTTCTTCCTTTTTCTTTAGTATAATAACTAGCCTGAAAACAGTTTTTTTTTTTTTTAATTTTTTTTGAGACAGGGTCTCACTCTGTCACCTAAGCTGGAGTGAAATGGTACAATCATAGCTCACTGCAGCCTTGCCCTCCTGGGCTAAGGTGATCCTCCCATCTCAGCTTCTGGAGTAGCTGAGACCACAGGCATGCACCACCATGCCTGGCTAATTTTGTGTTTTTTATAGAGACGAACTTTTGCCATATTGCCGAGTTTGGTCTCAAACTCCTGGACTCAAGCGATCCACCAGTCTCAGCCTCCCTCCCAAAGTGTTGAAATTACAGGTGTGAACCACCATATCTGGCCTGATTTTATTTAATTATGAAAAAAAAATCTGAATTTCCCTGATCTTCAATGTAACTGATGTTAAAATGTTACCTGATGTATTAAATAGAAAATAATTAAGCCTCAGATCATTAAATAATAATTCTTTCAACTGCTGTCACAATTATTTTATATATGGAAATCATAGCAATTAATGAATGAATGCCATGAAACATAAGTACTAATGTTTTATTCAAAAACAGCATGAAAGTTATAAATCTATTTCTTTATAAAGGATACAGAAAAGTACATGCAAATTATACTATTTCGTACTATGAAGGACATCTTTTAGAAGTTTTCATCATGATTCAAAAGTTATAGAAACGAGGTGCGGATAATAAAAAAGGTTTTATATTTGGCTTTGGAATTTGTGTACTTACAACTTAATAAGAGTATTTCCTGTTGATATGGTTTGAAACTTAAATTGAAATATGAAGCTCCATGGTACCGCTTGTGAAGAGCTTAGAAATTTTATAAACCGAGTAAACAGCATTGGAAACCCAGCAGGAAAGCCTCTTATTGTAATAAAGAGCCTGATTCCATTGTTGATGTTTGACTGCTGGAAGCTTTCAGGCCTCACGACTCCCCTGTCCCTTGCTGCCCCACATCTGGGCAGTCTGAGAAGGTTTCAGTATGCCCCTCCCTTGGTGCCCACGTGATTTTCAAGCCATACAAGGACTGGCCTGTATGTGCCAGAACTCTCACCCCAGCTCGATCACCTAATCTCATTAAAAACAGGGCCTGTCACCCTTCTCTGCTCTCCAAGCTATTTTTGGATCAGCTTATAATCCTGTCCTATTCTCCCCAGAAAGCCTCATTATGTAAGTAATAAGCCTTTTCATTCCCTCATGGGGTGAGTGTGTGTGTGTGTGTGTGTGTGTGTGTGTATGTGTGTGTGATCATTAATCTTCACATCCAAATCAAATTTTGGATGGGGGTTCCTTCCTGATACTGTGAGTTCCTTCCTGATACTGTGGGGTGACTGTAACATTTATCTACCTAGAACAACAGAACAACCTGGTCTCAAAATATCATATCAAACTATTGAGAAAGGAACAGCAGTATCTCATAAGGCAAATTCATGTTTCACAATTGTAGATTCAGCCATACTATGAAGCCTCGGTCTTTATAAGATTGTGCTTACTATGTTAATTATAAAGACTTAAGAAACATTTATTGAATAAATATTACTTAAATTGCTGTGCTAAGTGCTGGGATTAGGGCCACAAGCAAGAAAATCAAAGGTGAATAAAATACATTCCCTTTCTCAAAGAAGCCTAATAAGGACACACCAACTTTAACACAAGAAACACTGCTCAATGCAGTAAAGTACTACAGATTTGGCCATTTCTCCCTGAGAATGGTGGGTGGCATCTGAGCTTACCATTCTTAGACCCATAGATTTCTATAGGCAGAGCAAGAAAGCCTGTAATGAAGGAAACCAAAATTCTTTTTTTTTTTTTTTTTTTGAGACAAGGTTTTACCCTTTCTCTCAGGCTGGAGAGCAGTGGTGCGATCAAGGCTCACTGCAGCCTCAACCTCCCCAGTCCCAGGTGATCCTTCTACCTCAGCCTCTGGAGTAGCTAGGACCACAGGTACTTGCCACCATGCCCAGCTAATTTTTGTATTTTTTGTAGAGATGAGGTTTGGTCATGTGGCCCAGGCTGGTCTTGAACTTCTGGGCTCAGGCGATCTGTCCACCTCAGCCTCTCAAAGTCCCGGGATTACAGGCGTGAGCAACCAAGCCCTGCCTGAGACAAGAATTTTTGATGCATTCAGGGAACTGGGAATGTTCCAGAAGCAGAAGTGGTAGAAAGGCAGAGGAACCACATCTCCCTTTTATAAGATAACTCTTACGGCAGCATGGAGGATAAGTTTAAAGACAGTGAATGGAGGAACAAAGACCAATCAGGAACTCATTTTAATAGTCTAAGTGGGCGAAGAAGACCAAAAATAGCGCAGTAACAGTCAAAACTGAAATGAAGGAACTGGGAAACACTTTAGAATTGGTAGGACTTGAGAAACTACACTTTGAAGTTGAGGGAATATGGTGTAAGAAATGCATTCAGTTTTCTAAATGGTATAAGTTTAATATTTATAAAACAAACATGGTATATCATGGGGTTAAATGTGATTTTTCTGGTTAATTCAGCTCCAAAAGCTTAAGAACAGTATAATAGGCGTCAAGTTGACCAATGCCTTCAACGCAAGGTACTAGACCACACAGGCAACGCGTGCTAAAAGACTATAAAATTGGTTTTGCCAGCATTAGTGCATCACATTCACTCCCTGCTCCAACATGCTCACGAAGCATATGGGGAAGAGGAAGGGAAAGTGTTTCACCCCACCACCACCAATGCCCTGTCCGCAGCACAAGTGAGGAGGACGTTAAGGGAACCATTTAGAGAGCTTTACAGGTAGCCCCTGGAGTCCGAATGATGCAGAAACTGATACTTCATTCCACTGAAGACACAGAGGTGTGACTAGGTAGACATTCGGACAGCAGAAAAGAGAGATGCTCTGTTGGCTTGATGTGCACTTTCAGAGTCTAGTGGGGACAAAGGATGAGTGAGTTTCCCAGAAGCCCATTGTGGACCCTGTTTCATCTTAAAAGGGACTGAATCTGGAGAAGGAAAGGCCCAGAACCTGTAGGTGAGAGATCCCCAGTGATGTGGAGATTCTGATGTACCCATAAAAGCACCCCAGCAGAGAATCAACATTTGGAATCAGCCACACCATGAAAACAGCGATGCTAGATTATAACTAATGTTTGTGCCGGCAAATGTTGAACAACTGGCTGTCTGAAAAAACTGCATGTATAAATATATGTGTGTGTGTGTATGTATATATACATAGGTTTATTATAAATTTTATTGAAAGGTGTATAGCAAATATTTTACAAATAATAATATGCAATACTCTTTATTGTAAATTCCATATAGCCAGCTGATTCTACAGAATCCTTTCATTGATTTTTGCTTGTATTACCCAAACTATGACAGCAATTGATGAGTGTAGTTTGAATGTTGATTGACTTTTCTATTTACATTAACTAGTAAGATGGAAGTGAAACAAAGGAACAATAGGTTGCAATTTCACTTGTTTGTCTGATATTAGTGAGTTCTTTGCTAAATTGAATAGCAGCTCTCTGAAAAAAGAATTTCTTCAGTTTTTTTGTGCTATTCACAGTGTACTACAATCTACCACAACAGACATGACACTCTTTTAATTTCATTATTAACATTCTCTCCATCAGTTTTTTTAAATGAGTCTCCATCTATTTTGTGTTTCTTTAACTTTTAAGTTCAGGGGTACATGTACAGGATGTGAAGGTTTGTTACATAGGTAAACATGTGTCATGGGGGGTTTGTTGTACTGATTATTTCATCACCCAGGTATTAAGCCCAGTATCCATTAATTACTTTTCCTGATCCTCTCCCTCCTCCTACCTCCACCCTCAGACAGGCCCAGTGTGTGATGTTTCCCTCTGTGTGTCCATGCTGTTCTCATCATTTAGCTCCCACTTATAAGTGAGAACATACGGTATTTGGTTTTCTGTTCCTGTGTTAGTTTGCTAAGGATAATGGCCTCCAGCTCCATCCATGTCAGTGTAAAGGGCATAATTTGATTCCTTTTTATGGCTGCATAGTATTCCATGGTGTATATGTACCACATTGTCTTTATCCAGTCTATCATTGATGGGCATTTGGGTTGATCCCATGTCTTTGCTATTGTCCACCACCTTTTTAACTCTAAAAAATCAACAATAAAATAAATCAAACTCTGGTTTGTATAATCTGCCATTTTCCATGGTGTAAATACTCCTATTACGGCCAATTTCAAGATCAACATGACGTCGCTGAATGAGGCAGTAGGAAGAAATGTATAGTAGCCCACCATTATATTTTTACCTGTAGATACAATAGATGTAAATAACCTCAAGAGTAGAGATAATAGCAAAAGAGTTAGGAAATAAGAAGTTTTGAATATTTATTACCTTTGTCTTAATATAACTTATTTGATTATGTTTATACAATTTAGTGTTTAACAATAGCTGTGTTAACAATCAGCTCACACAAATCCTAAAATTTTAACAATCAGCTCTCACAGATTCACAGTTGTACCACACCACTGATTCATAGATATAGGAAGACAGCCTGCGGTATGGCAAGAATGACACCACGGCCATGATGACTGATGTTGGATTCCTGCATACTAAGGTGTTCTGCAGCAAGGTCCTTAAACAATGCCCATAGCATAGATAACCCTTCAAAAGAAACAAAGCTTGTAACTTAGATAATTCTCTCATTAAGATTCTTATCTAGACTCCCCAGTGTTCATGAGTTTTGCAAGAAAGTCTGAGACATGATCAGCTGTACATCTTTTATCCTAAAAGCTTACATAATTTCTGGAGGGCAGGTGTGGGGATGCACTGTAACAGAATCATCATTTCTGTGTGTAAGTCCCTATTAAATACCTCTTTCTGAGAAACTGGATTTGTCAGTTTTTCTTTGGCCTCTCAGCTCTCTCAGCCTTTGGGGGTAGGTTTGCATATATATGCTCATACAGGAACAACAGTGAGGCTCTTTCCTCTCCTTACTCCTTACCCACCCTCCAATCTTAAAGCCCCTGAAAACATCAGCTCTTAGTTAGGAGAAGAGCTGGAGCAAAAAAGCAACAAGAAATCAATTTGCGTTGCCTGTAGTTAGGTGAGGCTTTAATTGGATGCGTGTCTGGAGTTTTGATAATAGGTAGTACCAGACTTTTTATTACCTGAGAATGATCAGATAAGCTAAATTAATAAGAATTTAGAGGAGAAAAATACATTCACAGGAAAAGCGTTGAGAAATAAAAATGTTTGCTTTAATTTCTTCCCTATAAAGTCCAGCTTGTTCAGTAAATCAGTTATATGAACTAACAAAACAAAGAAGAGGTTTCGAGTGCAAGATGAATCCAGGCTGTACTTACAGCGAATTGGCAAAAACCAAGATAAAAATGAGAAGATATCCAAGATGTTTCAGAAATTTCAGGCTTGAAGATTCAGAGTAGATTGCATGAGAGATAGACATTTGGGAGTTAAAAGCATAATAGGCTTGTTAAGGTTATGATCATAGATAAAATCCTTTAGACAGAGAAACATAGTCTATTCAACAGGGCACAGGCAGGCAACTTAACCATTAATCCTACTAAGAGGCACGCACTATGCTAGGAAGTTTAAATATGTTGCCTCACACATGCATCAAAACAACTCTACAAAGTAGATCTTATACCCGTCTTGCCAATGAGGAAACTAGGGTTCAGATGAGGTAAATAACTCACTGAATGGTCACACAACAAAGAAATGCTGGTGCCACATTTGAACCTAGGTCATCTGACTCAAAAGCTATTAATCACCAACTATGAAATGTCATTATTCATTCCCAATTTTTGCAGTTGAAAATTAACCTCAATACTCCTATTCTAGGCATTTCTGATATCAACTTGAAGAAGAATGGAAGACTAGATTTTGATGGTAGTTTGAAAGTTGGGGATGGCCTTCAAGAGATTAGGTGGGTATGGGAATCAGATGTAACAACATTATGGAGAGAAATAGAAGAAGATAGCTTTATCTCCTTCAGTTTTTCCACATGAATCTTGAACTCCCCAACCACTTTTCTTTCTTTCTTCCCTTTTACCATCTCCTGTATTTCCCATGCTCATTCCTGCTGCTAAGCCTTTGGTTCTTGGGATATTTCCCACATGACTTGCCACATCTTCTTCTGAACCTATCCAAATGCTATGGGCCTTTGAGATTCAATATAAATTCCACTTCTTCTCTGAACCTTTCTTTGCCAAGTCCTGCTTTTCTTTTCCACCCATAAACATACACCATAATATTTAGCAATACACTGGTATTTCTTTGACTCCTCAGAAACAGTCACCAGGTCACTCCTAAGCTTGCTGACCAGAGCTAAAGGGGAGCTGAAGTTCTGTCTTTTCTGCTTCTCTGCTGCTTCCTGGCATTGGGCCTCCCTTATTTCTAGGTGCCCAGTTTTCTTTGCAGTTGCCCTTTCTCCTAACCTGTACCTATTGCTGCCCTCCCTGTGGATAACATGTTTCAAGTTACCTACATCTTACTTTTAACCCACTTTACATCCAGTATATGTATCTAATTTAATCAACATTAAGGTGAGATGCACTGAAAGTTCTTTAACCCTTAGACATTTCTAAAAGTTGGATATTCATGCCAGTGTGGCAGGCAGCTAGGTCTTATCCCTACATCACCTTTGACAAAAAAGCCAGCCTTCACAAGGGGAAGAAAAAAGGAGAGTGTGGAGTCATTACCCCTTTACATTTGAGGAGCCTCCTACTACTTTGCTTCCCCTCCCACAGACGATGATCTCCTTCCGTTTCCCCTGGGAGCTTAAATTCCACTCCATTCTTCCTTCCGACTTCCATAAAGAGGAAACCCCTGTCACAATATACAAGAGGATCCTGACCCTGGACAATGAATCTAAAAATCTTTAGAAGGACTTCAGGGGAGTTTCATGCTCCACCAACTTCCTATTTCGTTGAGCACATTTTTGTTGAATACATACTCCCTACTAAACATTGGAGATACAAAGGGAGACAAAAATAATCCCTGAGATTATGTAAGCAGTTTATGGTGGTGGTGGGGTCAGGCAGTAAGAATTTACAATAAAGTGGGATAAGTCTAAATTTAGAGGATGACAAAGTGCTATAAGAACACACGGAGAGGACACCTAGCTGTCTTGAGGATGTTAGATAAAGTATCTTAAAGGGGAAGCAATGGCTTGATGAAACCAAAGGTTGATGAGTTAGCCAGGGAAAAGTAGTTGGGAAAAAGATATGTGCAAATGCTCAGAAAGAAAATGGCATATCCTGGGATCTGGAAGTGTAGTGTGGCCTGAATGGAACACAGTGTGAGTGAGATAATGTGAAAATAAGCTGAAGCAAGATGAGATCTAAATGGGCTTAAGGAATGTATTTCCTCCTCCTAGAAATGAATGCTTTGTTTGGTTGCTATACTAGTAACAGGAATTAGACACGTTTATTAAACCGCTTACCATTTAACTTGGTAAATCAAAGAACAATGATTTTTACAGGTATCAGTAAATGCCTGTAATTAGATACGTGGTAGGCTTTCCTGTTAATATATAATGGTTATTCTCAGTGTTTAAAGAATTAAAGGGACTCGGGTAATTACCAGTTTTAGAGTGAACCATTTGAGAGATAATACCTTACCATTACAAAACAACTCCTAGGGAAAGTTATATGAGACAGCAAAGGTAATAGTAAATAGTAAAATAATATGAATAGTGAATAATATAGTAAAAACAGTTAAAAATGATTTAGCAATTTCTTAAAAACAATTGACCACGAAAAAAATTCACAGTAAAACCGAGACTGGGAATATTTCATTCAACCCTCACACATGCTGCTATTGACTGGAAATTTAAGAAATGTTCATTTGTTTTGACAAAATGGAAAGCAACTGTACATTCTTCCTGGAAACTTTAGCTGAGGTCAAAGTTGTAAATGAAAAGGATGATTTTTTAGAGAACAATTCAGTAGTATTGTTTTGCCTTGTCATGAAGAATTTTTGTGCTTCCACAAACAAAAATCTTGGATTGTTAGGTGAACGGTGGCAATCAAGTGGTTTTCAGAAGACTCAAGTTTCTTCATCTACAAAAATGACAGGAGTGGGGTCAGGATGTTCCCGAAGGCTCCTTCTACTCATAAGAGCATAAAATCTGTGCCTCTAATTTCTCGCAGAAACAAATAATGAGAACTTCACACCAATTCATTTATTATATGAATGTTTTGTCCCGTGAGAACACTGGTCTATCTTTAGATATGTAATTTATCAAACTTCTTTGGGCAACCCATCTTCTTTACTTTTTTATTTTTAATTTTTTGGTTTTCTCTTTGTCAAATTTTCATGGAATAACTACATTCAGGTGTAGTAATAGTAACGCAAAGCTCTGAACACCACGAGACAATTCGTTGCTTCCGAAACGCAGCCGGCAGCAGGTACTCGAGATGAGTAGTGTGAGCTCCCGAGCACCCGTAGGTCGGATTATCTGGTAAGGCACCGGAAGTGACCGCCTCGCGGCTGCTTCCTCTCCTGGAGTCCAGAGTCCCGTTGCTCCGCCGCGATATTCAGTAAACCACTGGGAGTCCGGCAGCATGGAGGCAGCGCGCCCTCCCCCGACGGCAGGGAAGTTCGTGGTGGTCGGCGGCGGCATCGCGGGCGTCACTTGTGCGGAGCAGGTAGGGCGGTGCTCAGGCGGTTCCGCCTCTTTCCCCGACCCCAAAGGGGATAGCACTGGAGGCCTTCCTCCCACCCCCTCCCTTTTTCTTCTTCCGGGTTCCTTTTTTGCTGCGCCCTTTTCCGCACTTATTGCTCCCAGATTTTAGAAACTGCTTGGTGGTCCTCAGATGACCTCACTAGCTTTCTCTTAGGCGCAGGGAGGAGTGGGAGGCAAATTATAGCCGAGAAACCAAAGCTGGCTGATCCGTGCTCAGATCCTTGTAATGTCAGAGCAGACATGAGGACTTTGTATTTAGACAAAAAATTCAGCCCCCTTTCTTTTTATTTTTTTTTCTTTTTCTTTGAGACGGAGTCTCACTCTGTCGCCCAGACTGGAGGGCAGTGGTGCGATCTTGGCTTAATGCAAGCTTTGCCTCCCGGGTTCAAGCGATTCTTCTGTTGCGTCAGCCTGTAGCTGGGATTACAGGCGCCAGCCACCACGCCCCGCTAATGTTTGTATTTTTAGTAGAGACGGGCTTTCACCATGTTGGCCAGGCTGGTCTCGAACTCCTGGGCTCAAGCAGTCTGCCCGCTTCCGCCTACCGAAGTGCTGGCATTACAGGCCTGAGCCACAGCACCCGGCCCTCAGCCCCCTTTGTTAATTATCGTAGGTGATTGAGTTTAGTTTCCAGATAGTTGCCAAGTCTTTAGTGCATCTTAACTAATTAATAAAGAATCCCATATGTAAGTTTTCTATACTTCGAACTCCCAAGATAGAAGAAACTTTATTTCTAGTAAAGTTTTGTAAAATAATCAGCGAAGGATTAAATGCATGTAGGGCTTGCTTTCTTGATTATACTGAATAGCCAGACCATATATATTCAGATACATGTGTGTATTCCAAAAAGTTCTACATTATTTTGTTGATATAAAGTAAACATGAGCAATCACTGAAGTCATAAGAAATAGTGGAAGAAACTCAAGTGTTTCCATCGTTGGATGCGTATTTTCCGTTTATTCACTAAGTAAACATATATGATGCAGGCACCGTATTAAGGGCTGAGTGTTCAACTATGAACAGCATGGTATATACCATGCTGGGGACTCACAGCCTGCTGGAAGAGACAATATTACAATATTGTATGTCTATGCAAGAGATATCAACGGTTATCTTAGAGGTGCCTGTGGAGTATGTAGGGAGTGAATTAGGGAAGAGGAAATTTTTTTAATCAAAGAAGGTATTTTTAAAATCTCATTATGAAAGAATGAGTGAAAGTTTACCAAGTATTCAAGAAAAGAATGTCATCTCCAGTGGAAAAGCATGGATCATCAGGGAGCAGTAAAGCTTAAAGCATAGATCATAAGGAGTCTTAGCATGCTGAGAACTTAACAAGAATTTACAAGTAGTCAAATGTTTTTGAGCAGTGGAGTAACTTGATCATATGAAAAGGCTTGAAAGATGATTAGTTACAATGTATTTGTGGCAGAGGCAGCTGGTTTATACGTGAAACTGGAGAGCCAATTCGAAGGTGATTTCAGTAGTATAAAGAAGTTTTGAGGACCTCATCTAGCAATGGAAACAGCAGAGATATAAATTACAGAATATACAGAGGAAAGAAAGATGGAGAGAGTAATGATATTGTCAAATATAGAAAGTTCAAATAAAATGAGACTGAGAAGAATCGCATGGGTGTTGGGCACGATAGCTCACACTTGTAATCTTAGAACTTTGGGAGGCCAAGGTGGGAGGATTGCATGAGTCCAGGAGTTTGAAGCCAGACTGGGCAACATGGCAAGATCCCATCTCCATTAAAAAAAAAATAAATAATCCCTTGGATTTTAAGGATTCATAGATCCCTCAAACATGCTGTTTTAGTGATGGAGTAGGAATAGAAGCCAGATTATTGAGGGTGGTGGTGTCGAGGAACCAGACTTTGAGATAAGAAAATGCTTTCAGGTACAGAGTGAAGAAGACCGAGGTTGTAGCTAAAGGAAAATAATGAAACATTAACAAGTTATACCTCTAAATTTTGTGGAAGCAATTATTAAAATGGCTTTATCGTCCCACAATATGTACTGACTGGAAGAGGCAGAATAGGAGTGCCAGAGCACCTGGGGAAAGTTAGACCAATATTCTAAGTGTTTAATATTGAGGGTTTGCTTTAATTTCATCCCATTGAAGACAAATGAAATATTATTTTAAGATAAATAGAAGTTGGTTTAACTGGTAATTAGGAAGATAGTTTATTCTCATCCTCTGCATTATAACTCTAAATTGGTATAAAAAATAGTTGAAGTAAATAAAGGATATTTCTTTATATCACTTTTCTTGTTCAGGAGTTCTTTGTTAGTGTTTACTGTAAATATTATTTTCTCAGTATCAGAGTTTAATATTATTCACCATTGCCCCATCAAGACCAAGGATAATGGAGACCTTTAGATGAGGAACAGTGGGTTTTTAATTTTCTAGATTAATTACATTATTAAAATTGCATTATTCTCAACCCCAAACCATATATACCAGTACTTAAAGTAATTTGTCCTAATTTTTTTTCTCTCTTTTTAAAAATAAGTTGGCTACTCACTTTCCATCGGAAGATATTCTCTTGGTAACAGCTTCTCCTGTTATTAAAGCAGTTACAAATTTCAAGCAGGTAAGAACCTTTGTATAACTTGTTAATATTAATTTGAAAAAATTGCAATAACTTGCATAGCAGTTAGGGTAATTGTGTATTTTTTTCTTTCTTAAAAATTGACAAGTACAGTTATATGCTGTACAACATGATGTTTTGATACATGTATACATTGTGGAATGGCTAAGTCAAGCTATTTAAAATCTTTCCAATTTGGATGCCTTTTATTTCTTTCTGTCACCTAATTTAATTGCTCTAGCTAGGACTTTAGTACTGTGTTGAATAGAAGTTGTGAGAGTGGGCATCCTTGTGTTGTTCTTGATCTTGGAAAAGCTTTCAGCTTTTCTCCATTCAATATATTATTAGCTATAGGCTTGTATATGACCATTTTTTTGTTGTGGTACTTTCCTTCCATACCTAATTGTTGGGTTTTTATTATGAAAAGACGTTTAATTTTGTTGAATATTTTTTCTATATCTGTAGAGATGGTCATGATTTTTGTCCTTTGTTCTGTTAATGTGGTATATCACATTTACCGATTTGCATATTTTAAGCCATCTTTGCATCCCTGAATAAATCCCACTTGATTATGGTGAATTGATTGCTTTTTTTTGAGATGGAGTCTCACCCTGTTGCCCAGACTGGAGTGCAGTGGCACGATCTTGGCTCACTGCAAGCTCCGCCTCCTGGGTTCACGCCATTCTCCTGCCTCAGCCTCCCAAGTAGCTAGGACTACAGGCGCCCGCAACCATGCCCAGCTAATTTTTTGTATTTTTTAGTAGAGACGGGGTTTCACCATATTGGCCAGGCTGGTCTGGAACTCCTGACCTCGTGATCCATCCACCTCGGCCTCCCAAATTGCTGGGATTACAGGTGTGAGCCACCGCGCCCAGCCTGGAAAGTTTTCTGTTGTTATTTCTTTAAATACATGTTCTACTCCTTTGTCTTTCTTGTCTCCTTCTATAACGCCTATAATTCAAAGATTTGCTCATTTGATGCCATCCTTTAATTCCCTACTTCTATGTTCTTTTTCATTCTTTTTTCTTCTTCTTCCCTTCTGACTGTATATTTTCAAATAATCTGTCTTCAGATTCACAGATGTTTTCTTCTGTGTGATCAGTTCTCTTGTTGACATAGTCTGTTGCATTTTTTTTTGTTTCATTCATTGCATCTTTCATCGTCAGAATTTCTGCTTTAGTTTTTAAATAACTTTTTAAATTTTTTGTTTTGGTTGCTTATTGTTTTTCTGATTTAATTGAATTGTTTGTAACTTCTTGAAGTTCCTTCAGCTTCTTTAAACAATTATTTTGAATTCTTAGGCAGTTCTGACATTTGTGTTCTTTTGGTGGCATATCTTCTTGGTTTATCATGTTTCTTACTGCCTTATGTTGATGTTTGCACATTTGATGACACACTTGCTGTTTTCAGAAGTATGGGCTAGTTTTGCTGTGGAAAGACCTTCCCCTATGGGGAGGGCTGCTTGCTAGATGGGATGTAGCAGTTCTGGCACCAGTGAGGGTGCCCACTTTGTAGTCTGTGCAGCTCCGTCAGCTGAGTTAATTGTTGTTGAAGATTGCAGGGATCCTCAGCATCCAACTCTGGATGTCTGCAGTGGTAGTGAGGGTTGTTGGGGTTTTCAATGTCAATGGCTGCTAATAGCCTCCCAATCTTTTCTTCTCCCACAAAGGAAGTTGTGGCTTAGGGGATCCCTGTTGGCACTGAGTCTGCCTTCTGGGTTCAGTGGCAGCAGCGCTGGTGTCTGATAAGTGGTGCCTATGGAGCAGATAGAGCTGAGGCCCAAAACACAGGCATACACGGAGGAATTAAAGTTCTGGGATCTGGGACTGTAATGATATTGGTGCCTAGGGTGCAGGTACCCGTACTGCTATATTGGTAATAGAATATGAGGTGAGGATGCTTGTGAGGCAGCCAGGGAAACCAAGAATGGGAACACATGTGTGCTCAGAGTTACAGCAGCTTCAGTGTCAGGGCAGGGCCTAGCTTTCAATGGCAGCTGAGCCAGTGCCTAGATTGCAGACATGTGCAGTGAGGATTGGTTGCAGGCCCCAAAGTGCAAACTAGCTTACTATGGTGATGGCTCTGGTGTCTGAGATGTAGGTGGGCCCAGTATGGGCCGTAGAACCTGGGTCTGAGGTGTAGGCATTCTCAGAGTGACCATGGCCCTGGGGTTGGAACACTCACAGGGTTGAGGACAAAGTGACTCCTTTGCCAAAGCATCTTGACATTGGCCACTTCTTTGTGGAGACAAGATATGCCGCCATGTCTCCCACTCTAGGGTTCCCTGGCAGGAATGGTTGTTGGTCCCCTCACAGTAGCAAGGGATGCCAGTTTCCTCTGCAGTGCAGGCCACCATTTACCACAGTGGTCCCCACCATGTGGCTGATACTGATAGCCTCTGCCTTTCTTTGCTCCTAGCTATCTCCTAGTTTCTCAGGTATGCCAGGGTCATTATTGATTCTTTTATGTGGTTATTCTCCATTTTCATGCTCCACTGTGTTGCTGCAGATTGTTTAATGGGCCGTTGAGCCCTCTTTGGGCTATTTTGGCTTGTGAAGATTTGTCTATATTTGTTTTTTTTAATGGGGGAATGAAGGCTGGTATCTCCTACTTAGCCATCTTGATGACAATACCTCCATGTATTCTGGAGTGTTTTAATTGTTTAAAATTACAAATATTCTTTTGAGAGTTATTTTAAAAAAGCTCGAGTTGAGAATTATTCAGATAGAATACCAGAAGCTCCCAGAATGATACTAAATTTTTAATCTTCTATTCTTTTTCTCCATTTTCCTTCCACTTAGAATTACTTTTGAGAAAGTTTCCAATAAAAAATTTTCAGGAAAGATGCTCTGCAAATCTAAAATGGGTACAAATATACATGATATTTATTATCAATATGGGTAGGGGTGTGTGTGTGTGTTTACACATCAGAAAAGTGCTTCCAAGCCAAGTTTATACTTATAGATAATTAGTGTCTCAGAATACTTTGTATTCCATTAATTTATATTCACATTATAGTAGGAGTCTAAGAACAGTTGGGTAATAGTATCATAGAAAAGTCATCTCCAAACTTTTTTTTTCCTGTAGCTCAACTGTTAAAAAGTTTTGCCCTGACATCCCAATATATGTATACTAATAAGTTATGTGTATGAGCTACAGAACTACAATTATAAATGTTATAAAGCCTATGCAAAATAAAATTTCTAAAATGTCGAAAAACGTACATTCTGATCTTTCTTCCCACCCTTCAGTGAAGACTACTACCATAGCCCTTCATTTAATACGATGTCTCTGGTAATATCCTGATAATGGAATATAATTTTCTCATGTTGTAAACCCATAAGACCAAGGGTAGTTTAGTGGCATATACCATGTTGTCCCTTTATAACCTAAATAGAGATACATATGATAGCTTAGTACTTAGGTATAGCCAAAGAGTTATGGAGTTTGGGAGAAATAGAGGAAAAATTATAGCTATTAATCTTTAAAAGGTAAAAGTACATATTTAATGACAAGCTAAGACTGTATACATAAGAGAAGGATGTATAGCTGGGTCTCATAAGTATCTTTCCAGAAGACCTAATTCAGTATAATAATCCAAGAGTTGTGAGACTTGAATTCAGTTTTTGCCGGTTTTGTAAGTTATATACAACAGAAGGAAAAAGCTTGGTTTCTAGGCCTCTTATTTACTGGTCGGGTAGCCTTGGAAGATCTCTGTAAGCTGCTTCACCTGTAGTATTAGGTTAATACTTTCCTTGCTTACTTCACAGGGTTGTGAACTTAAATGTGCCAATAACAAATATACAAATATCAGCTATTCTGTGTACAGCAGTAGGAAATGGCATTATCTTTATGATTTATTGAGTACCTATATTATATATTAACCAATGTGCTAGGCACATAAGATAAGGAGATTAAAAGTATAGAACATAACACCAAAAAGTCACTAGTGCTTATCCTGAGGGATTAAGGATGAGATATGAAGAGTGATAGAGACTTTAACATTTACTCTGTATTATGTATTGTTTGTTTAGTGTTACAAAGAGCATGATTCATGACTTGTATAATTTTTAAAGGAGAAAAAAGATTACTGCTAATAATTCACATTTATTAAGTGCTTACCATGCATCAAGTGGCCTTCTAAAGGTTTCAGATCTATTCTATGATCCTTAAATAACCCTAGAAGTAGGTTCTTACATAATTTGTAAGACTGTAAAGGGGTCATGAGACCAAAAGGTTTGAGAACTGTCAGGGCCATGCAGTAAGATTTCCATGCAGTTTTTAAGGAGCAGCTGAGGTTGAATATCAATCTGTAAGGCTGTGTGGTCTTTCTGCAGCAAACTGGGCTTAGGACTAGAGCAAGCAGATAGTTTATAGGGTTGAGGGTTTTCAGGTTAACAGTTTAGGATAAGAGAGCAAGGAAGTAAAGGATTTAGGGAAAAGGTGAAATGATTCACAATTGAACTTTAGCTGGACAGAAAGGAAAGTGAGTCTAGAATACTGATGGTTTTATAGAACAGGAAAGAAGAGTGCAAAGACTAGATGACCATAAGGTCTGCTAGTAAATAGAGAAAGCTTGAAGGATAAGGAAATAAATAAGCTGTTTGGCTAAACTGTAGAAATGTAAGTGGTGTTACCCCTCATTTTACAGGTCAGCTCTCATTTTATTAGCCAGGAAACTATGGCTTGTAGCACCTGACTTGCCCAGGAGCGGCCAAGCAAATATTTAAGTCTCTAAATGCTGAGTCTAGTCCTCTTTCCACTCTATATAGTGCAGTTGGCTAACTTGTTTGTTTTATAAACACAAAATAGTGTGTAAAAGCAAAGTATTTTTATTATTTAAGATTCTTGAAAGAAAATACTTTAAAAATATACATTTTTAATCTCTTGGATCTATACAGATTTCTAAAATATTGGAAGAATTCGATGTTGAAGAACAATCAAGTACCATGTTAGGAAAACGCTTTCCCAACATTAAGGTTATAGAATCTGGCGTAAAGCAACTGAAGAGTGAAGAACACGTAAGATAATTGTTTTCTTAATAACATTTTCCATTGTTGAATCTTGATGAAGTTTTGCCTGCCTCTTTTCACTCCAGCTCTACTACCACCACCATTTAAGTTTTTAACATGTAAAGTTTAGTGACATTGATTTCCAGTATTATTAGAAAAAATACAGTTTTTGTAAGTTTATTGGAATTATATAATTAGATTTGGGATTTTAGTCTTCACATTTCAAATTACATTAATGTTTATAAAGTGTCCACTGTGTTCTGGATACTGCATTAGGTGCTGGGATGCAGTAGGGTTAATACGAGGTGTTGGCTCCTAGGAACTGTCAGTGTCAAAGGGAATATGAACATGCATACTATAATTATATTGACATATAAAAAACACAGTCACTGAAATACTATCAAAGCTCTGATATCAGGGCTTAAGGAAGACTTTACAGAGAGAGTAAAATGAGGGGGGTATTAACAGATGAGTGAAATTAAGAGTTCCCCAGGTGGAAAGAGGCATTCCAGGAAGGGGAGATTGAATGTTCAAAGACCCAAAGAAAGGAAAAGAAATATGAAGAATAGAGATGTCAAAGGGATTAGGGTGTGGTTAAGTAAAGGAGATTGGCAATCAAGGCTAGAAGATAAGTAAGTGAGAACCTGAAGGGTTTTTAATGTCACACTATAAGAAGTTGAGTTTGGGCCGGTGCGTTGGCTCACGCCTGTAATCCCAGCACTTTGGGAGGCTGAGGCAGGCGGATCATGAGGTCAGGAGATTGAGACCATCCTGGCTAACATGGTGAAACCCTGTCTCTACTAAAAATACAAAAAATTAGCCGGGTGTGGTGGCGTGCACCTGTTAGTCCCAGCTACTCGGGAGACTTGAGGCAGGAGAATGGCGTGAACCCGGGAGGCGGAGCTTGCAGTGAGCCCAGATCGCACCACTGCACTCCAGCCTGGGCGACAGAGCGAGACTCCTTCTCAAAAAAAAGAGAGAAGTTGAGTTTGTTTTATATTTGGGAGAAATTGTAAGGTGATTTTAAGAGCTGGGGCATCAATGATAAAATAGATTTTTTTTTTTTTTTAAGGAAGATACATCTGATAGGAGTGTTGAGCATGAACAAGTGGCTAGTAGCCAACCAAACTAGAAGGTGGTTATGATAGTCAAAAATTATGTGAAGAGTCAGGAAATTATGTACAGGCTCATGCCTATAATCCCCAGCACTTTGTGAGGCCAAGGCAGACGGATGGCTTTAGCCTAGAAGTTCGACTCTAGCCTGGGCAACATAGCAAAACCCCATATCTACAAAAAATATACAAAAAGTTAATCAGGCATGGTGGCGTGCACTTGTAGTCCCAGCTACTTTGGTGACTGAGGTGGGAAGATCACCTGAGCCTGGGAGTTCAAGGCTGCAGTTAGCTGTGATTGCGCCACTGCACTCCAGCCTGGGCAACAGAGTGAGACCCTGTCTCAAAAAGGATAATAATAATTTTTAAAAAATTGATTTGAAAAATGATGTAAGGTCTGAACTGAGACAGGGACAATGTAGTTGTAAAAAATATCCCAGATTTGAGTGAGATTTCTGCTATAAATTTGGCAGGACTCAATAACCCTTTACATGAGAATGAAGAAGGCAGTCTCAGGAAAGGATGTTGTTAGATGATTTACAGTATCCTCAGATGAGCTTCAGGTAAGATGAGAAGTAGATTTGTAGTTGTTTCTATAAGCAGTTCTAATTTATGAGTTCTAGCTCATAAATTAGAGATGTGTTTTATCTCCTTTAGGGATAAAACACATATATACCACATTTGAAACACAAGTAATTTGAGAGAAAAAAGTACTGAATTTTATCAGGAAAAAATAAAAAATCTGAATCCCCAAACCAGATAAGTTTCTAATACTTATAGTGGTATTACATATTCCAAGTAATATATTTGTCAATTTATTTGTAAATTGAGGTGGGCTCTCAAAATATGCTAAATGGATTGTCAGGGAATTTATGTGTTAGGGCATTTGAATGAATCAGAGTGCTTCCCGTTACCATTTGAAAAATATCCCACATGCAGTGCATGTCTGCCTTCTCTTATCCATTGTCCTTTACATTTTTGTTTTTTTAACAGTTTATTATAATTTCTTTTATTTAACAATCTAGGAAGTTGGCAGCCATCAGCAGTTCTAGTGCTATTTCAGGTGCAGTTGGGAATTCGGGAACTCAGTGGAGCTGTTAGTGTAGCGAACTTTGTATGTAAAATACATGCATACTGCCAGGCGCGGTGGCTCACACCTGTAATCCCAGCACTTTGGGAGGCCTTGGCGGGTGGATCACGAGGTCAGGAGGTCGAGACCGTCCTGGCTAACACGGTGAAATCCCGTCTCTACTAAAAATACAAAAAAAAATTAGCCAGGCGTGGGGGCGGGCGCCTGTAGTCCCAGCTACTTGGGAGGCTGAGGCAGGAGAATGACATGAACCCGGGAGATTGCAGTGAGCTGAGATCACGCCGCTGCACTCCAGCCTGGGCGACAGAGCGAGACTCCATCTAAAAAAAAAAAAAACACATGCGTACTTTTGATAGCACGTGTGAAGGTATCTCTCTAAAATTGACCTCATTGGTTTCATTCTCAGCAAACTGAGCTGGGCCACTCAACATGGCTTTTATCATGTCTGATGTTAATGCATGTTCTCTTTTTACAGTAAATTCATGGCCATCAGATGATATCAATTTCACATACCTGGCATCAGGGCCTTCACAGCCACCATAGGTTTTCTCTTCCCCATCCATTTTGTTCTTATGAAATGCTACTGTGCTTCCCCAGGAACTTCAGTAGTTTCCTAGTGAGGCGAGGACGCAGAGTGTGTGGCTCACTTCCGTCTGGAGAAGTGTCCTTTACATTTTTTAGTGAATTAGAGATAGTATGTTTTACTTTCACGTCTCTTGCCAAAAATTTAGCAGTAGCTAATGGAAAGAGTTTTTGTGTTTGTTTGTGCTATTTGTTTTTACAGCAGCTAAATGCAAATTATTTTTAAAGTTTTGTCAGTGCCTATAATTAACTTTTGTTCTTGTCAGTTGAAATTCTAACCAGATTATTTAAAAGAAGACTTGTATAAAATTTCTACATGGATTATGCTATGCTGGATTACTGGTTTTATGTATTTGTTATGGAACTGAAGAATTAATTTGAGTTATAAATGTCTCATTGGATGTTAAGTGCTATGATACAGTTTAACAAGGTTTGTAAGTCAAACACTTGGCACAAACATTAACCCCTAAATCATTCGAACAAAGTTGAGCATCTCTCATAGTAGCATGCATTTATGTTTAAATGTTTTCTAAAGGCTACTATTTATATGTGGTTTTTCATTCAGTATTAAAGAACAAAAGCAATATATCTCTGATATGTAGTTTTAGACCCATTTATGTTATTAATTAATATAAATTTAAAGCCAATACATGCTAGGATTAAAGATTATCATATTTTTTACTTATACTAAAATATACCCCAAAAGCATTTGGTTTGCTCGTAAAGTCATTATTTGTACTTAAGAATATAAGTACTATTTTTTTTAAGCACTTCTAGTCTTTTTAGATTAAGAAGACATACCATAACCTCTTGTTCCACTCACTGCTTTTCTGTACTCATAATAGATATGAAGGTAGGATATGGTTAGAATTACTAGGTCTTCTTACAGTAACTTCCCTTGAGATCAGAAATCTTCATCAAGGCCTGTCACAGGTATAATGAGAATGCTTAAATTTAAAAATTTCTTGAAGTTTTGTTTTTAACGTGGGGTCAACATACCTTTTCAACCAACATGGGATTCCCTGAAGTTTAATACAAAACTTTGTGTGAATGTACCTTTTTATGCCAGGGGAGAAAGACTAGTTTTCAGGAGATCTCAAAATGGTTCATGAGCTTAAAATGATTTAAGAATAACTGGATTAGTACATGTATTCTCATGCTTAGTTTTGTAATTGCTATAACAAAGAACTGAGTGCCACCAAGAGGCAACCTTAATATATTATGTTTTGCTTTTGCCTTATTGAATTTTTAGTTTAAAGTGAAGTTGTATCCATGTTGATTATGTGTCTCCCTTTTCTTTCATTGTTTGATGTATTTACAGTGCATTGTAACAGAAGATGGCAATCAGCACGTATATAAGAAACTCTGTCTGTGTGCTGGAGCTAAACCAAAGTTGATATGTGAAGGAAATCCTTATGTATTAGGAATCCGTGATACAGACAGTGCTCAGGTAACATTTTAAGGTTGGATCGTGAGAAGGAAAATAAAAGAATTTTCTACATTTGAATTAAAGTGTTCCACTTACAATTCCTAAACTGTAAGGGCAGAAGGGAAATTTTTGTTTCATGACCAGTAAACCACAGAGTGGTTATGTTTTATTCCTGCCAATTTTCTTTCTTTTTTTTTTTTTTTTTGAAACGGAGTCTCGCTCTGTTGCCCAGGCTGGAGTGCAGTGGCGCAGTCTCGGCTCACTGCAAGCTCCGCCTCCCAGTTTCACGCCATTCTCCTGCCTCAGCCTCCCGAGAAGCTGGGACTACAGGTGCCTGCCACCACGCCTGGCTGATTTTTTTTTTTTTTTTTTGTATTTTTAGTAGAGACAGGGTTTCACCATGTTAGCCAGGATGGTCTCGATCTCCTGACCTCGTGACCGCCCACCTAGGCCTCCCAGAGTGCTGGGATTACAGGCGTGAGCCACCGTGCCCAGCCTATTCCTGCCAATTTTATATTTTTAGTTGACACTATGTTTTTAAGTTCATGCTGATGTGTTATCAGCGTGAGATAACCCAGATATAATGACTGTGCTGAATATTAACAACTTATATTACACACACATTCATTACTCTACTTGGGGAATATGTGATTTGCAACCTAAATAATATAACAATTTTTTCCAAAAAGGTGAAGCGTATTCAAAATGTACTGATCTTATTCTCCAGCAAAAAAAATTCAAAAGATCTTTGTGGTACAAAATCATGATAGAATCATAGAACAGAAAAGGTCACTTGGCTTATTGTTCTGCCCTAGATAAACTATCCCAATAAGGTGAAACATCTGTTTTTGGAGCATTATACAAATTCCTTTTGGTAATTTAATTTAATTCAGGGCTTATTAACCCTTATTGCCAAGAAGCTCTTCCTGGTTTCACAATACTATGTCTAACCTCAAGTTCGTTGTTCTGTCTCATGACATGATGATTTTGCATTAATATAATTTATATTCTGAAAATTTAATAATGTTTTCTTTCAGCCTATTCTCTTAATAATTAGGAATTGAGAGAAAATTAAAGGAACTTGATTATCTTCTTATAAACAATTTAAGTTCATATTATCAGAGATTGAGCTCATAACTGTTTTAGCTCGGTCCTCTACATACATGAACTCATTGAATCCTCATGATAATCCTGTGTGACGATTATTACTCCCAATTTACAAATAGGAAACTGAGGTCAAGAGATTAAGTATGTATCTATACTAATTTAGCTGTTAAGTCTATCAGATACACAATTTAAACTTGTGCTTTTCACCTCTAGGTCCAGTGCTCTTGCAGATGTTTCTTAAATTGCAATATCCTCAATGAAGGACAAACTGAAATAAACTTCAGTTGTTTTTTTCTTGGAGAATTTTAAAGATGTCAGCTTCAGTGAATATTATAAGTTTGGAGATAAATTTAATATAAATTTAGTAGGAGGGCCAGATGTCATTCTGAAGCAGTGGGACTATTCTATACTTCTGAAAGTGCCCAAAGAATTACCACTGGCTTCTCTCTCTCTTTTTTTTTTAATATATCTATATTTATTATACTTTAAGTTCTAGGGTACATGTGCACCAAGTGCAGGTTTGTTACATATGTATACATGTGCCATGTTGGTGTGCTGCACCCTTTAACTGTCATTTACATTTACCACTGGCTTCTCTAAGCTCATTGTGATCTTTTTTTTCTGGGGGGTGGAGGCATCAATGTATCTGTCTTAGAATGTTAATAACATTTTTTTTTTTAGTAGAAGTTTGACATTATTGGGTGCGTGCTACTCCTACCAGCTTTGTCTGTGTCATCTCACATAATCCTTACAGAAACATTAGGATATATAGTCCCTTATTTCCATTTATAGTTGAAGGACCTGAGATGCAGATAGGGTAAGCAACTTGCCCAAAGTCATTCAGTTAGTAATTGCTAGAGCCAGTGCTTCCAGAGTCTGTGCTCTTAACCACTATGCTGCTGAGCTTCTCATTCCTAGAAGTTTTAAGTGTTGAGTAACTCTAGGGAAACTGAGAGTCTAGGTGAAAAGAAAGAATAATTGATTTGGTCAAATAATTGGGAATGTGGTAAGTTAATAGTGCCTCCTGCCGAAATTCTGAAGTACTGTAAATGTAATGACCTAAAAGGAAAGGAAAATCAGGAGAGGCATTGCTATAAAGGCAGCTTGGGATAAAGCATAAAGGGGGACTTTTGTTATATTAATTGAGAGGATGTACCCTGATACAGTGGGAAAGTGAGATTCATTTTTTTCCTTTACAAATTCAATAAAATATTTACATTTTTAGAATATTATCGAAGCCTCATATTTCAGATTATTGCCCACTATTACAAAATACTACCTCATTATTTTCTTTTTAACATAGGAATTTCAGAAACAGCTTACTAAAGCTAAAAGAATAATGATCATAGGGAACGGTGGTATTGCACTTGAGTTAGTGTAAGTATATATTTTTAAATATGATAACATTTAAATTGTTTAAAAATAATTTGTTTTTAAATTAAACAATTGCTTTGTGATTCTTGTGATTTGTTGGCAGACTGGAAAATGTTTTTTATTCTGAAAATCAAAGATAAATATAATTTTCATATGTTTTCAAGGGGAAAAATCCACCATATTTTTTTAGCTCTTGTGGAATCCGTAATTGTAGAAATTTTATTATAAAATATATATGTTTTGGGAATGCTTTAGGTCTCAAGGTGATTGGCCAAATTTGGCCCATAAATGTGTTTTATAAGTATATTTTATGTTTAAAAATAATTCAAATATTTACACCTTTTGAGATTTCTAGTGATAGCCCTCACCACTTTTTATTGCTTATATGATAAATCCTGCTACACTCATTTATGTTACCTGTCTGGCCAGTGTCACCCAAAATGTTTGTGACTCCTGTTTTAGGATATGTGGTTCTTGCAGCTCTTTTTTTGGTAGCTTGGGAAATGTGAACACATTAATTAATTTTCATCTTAAGACGATATTACAAGTTCAAAAACCATTGAGAAATATCCTGCTGTGTCCTGCAGAAGATTGATTCACTTCATGATTTTATCCTCTAGCAGATGATTGACATGAAATAGTCTGGATCTTTTTCAGGCCATAAAGTTGAGTCAAACCACAAAGAGGACAAATTTGAATCAAAATAAGGACTCTGCCAAAGCCATATCTTTGCTCACTTGCATTCAATCCAACTCTCAGACTAGGTTTTTGCCCCTCTTTTAGCGGATGATCTCACCCAGTGGAAGCCTGTAAGAGTTCTTAAATTGCCTGAGTACTATGGGTAACAGTCATTATTGTTATTATGAAGTTTGTGGCATTATATGGAGAAATACAGAGAAAGGGTCAAAACCAAAATGTGGGCCAAGAGGGAAGAGGTATAGATTTATTGTAAATGGGGCTTCAAATCCTTGTGTATAGTATATACATGCCAGATTTTCTCTATCAGCTCTCACCAAAGTATCACTTACTATTATTATAATTGTTATTTACATTTAAAAATTTTATGTTCAAAAATGTTCAGAGTCTTACATTTAATCCTATTCATCATTTTCTTTAAGTTGGAGATTGAAGACTGTATAATTGGATAAAACTCATAGTTTTGTATTTAGTAAGCTCTTCTTTGGTAATTAAAAATGGACCCACATAATGTTATTCTCTGACTTGAGGTCTGCTGCGTGATTAGGTCTTTGTCTCTCGTGAAACTTGGCATACCCATACCCTTTCTACACTGTGTTTCAGTGAAACTAATACTAATGTTCTTCATTATACATTTATTTCAGTTATTATCTGTTTTCTCCTTTCTAAGTGTAAGTTAATCCTTTCCTTTTCAAACAGATACTGTTTTTCATAACTTCACAAAACCGTAATATCTCATTGTCTGCTTCTGTAGAGTCATTTTCAAAATGAAAGCAGTATTTCCCCTCTGTGTGATGATAATCGTCAAACTGTGCATCTTGCTGAGAACATAGTTCAAGTCAGGAAAAGAGGATTAGAAGGTGTCCTAGGAGGTAGAGCAAGTACTGAAGTTTCTTGTGGTTACTTGTAATAACTTTGTCTGCTAGTCAGTCATCAGTATGCTGAAGTGCACTGATAGGTGTTATAGTGTAATATTACTTTAAATTTAAAAATGGTAATATAGAGAAATTCCCAGTTTTTCAAAAAGAAAGCATTACATGATAACTGTATGCCTGTATGTAAATTGAAATACAAACTTTATTACCAAATTTGTGTGTATTCCACTTTCCGCTGGTCAGTAATGCTATATGACCAGAGTAACATAAAATAGAATGTTCACCCAATAATCTTCTATGTTTACTGACATAGAAGAGCTGGAAAAACGAAGACTTATTAGGTAAAGCAAGGAGTTCCTTATCACCATATGTTGAAAAGTATGAATATCAAGTGACCTGGATTCAGATGTACTAAACCTTTTTTCGTAATCTGTTTATTGATTAGTCTTGAAAAGTCGTGTAACCTATGTTATATCAGTCTGTGAAATAAAGATGACAATACTTTGTACCGTAAAGAAATGTGAAAAATTAATACCTTAACTTTTTACAGTATTTTATTAGTATCGCAAGTTTAGATAAAATCCTATTATAGTTAGGATGGCCATATATCTTGTTTGTCTGGGATTGTCTCCATTTCCACCAGTTGTACCAAAAATGATTATTAGTAGCAGATAGTATCCCAGGTTAGGTGATAAATTATGTGATCACCTTAATTATAATGGACTTCAGGGACTTTGTGAAAGGAATATTGTTAGGAAAACCACTTCTTAGCATCTAAACCTAGAATAAAATATCACATGCCCATTACCTTACATTAGTGGTAAATAGTAATAGAAGGTGGCTTATATATACCATTTTCATTCTTTCCTTCCTCTAAGATCCTTGATCCTTGATCTTGATCCTTAAGATTTTTAGCTTATAACTCTGATTCTTTCCATTTTCTATCCCTTTCCGTAATGTGCTTTGAAGATATAAAAAGTTGTTACCAAATAAGTGACTGATTCTCAATATTATAGCTATGTGCCATCCATCCATTACTTGATTACACTATAACCAGATTTTTTAAAAAGCACTGCTTACCCCTGGGGGCCATTCATATAATAAGTGTATTGTAGAAATTGAACATTTTCTAATGATGTACACTGTAATGAAATTTTACTTGATATTCAGTACATGTATTTGTCACTTAAAGGTTCTTTCTGTAAACTGCTTCAGATTCTTTTACTATTCAATTTTTAATTCTTAACATCTGTAAAGAACGTTAATATTCCTCTTTATAATCAATCTTTCCCAGTTAGCCTTAAAAATGTATTCCCTACTTTTGCTTCAGGAGATCATTATTTGCAAATGCAAAGATTTTTTACTTAGACTTTTGAAATCACTCTTAGTAACTTTAACATTGTTTTTAGGTATGAAATTGAAGGCTGTGAAGTGATTTGGGCCATTAAAGATAAAGCTATAGGGAATACTTTCTTCGATGCAGGAGCAGCTGAATTCTTGACTTCAAAGCTCATTGCTGAAAAATCAGAGGCTAAAATTGCACATAAAAGAACCAGATATACAACTGAAGGTAAGTGTAGCACCTAGCTCATTAATTCTCATACAAAACTTTTTTAAAACCATATAGAAAAGGGCTACAAGAAAATTTAATAAAATAAATTTTGGAAATAGTAATATGGATATTTATATATCTTTACATGAAGTTTTCAGATTTTCTATTTTATATATATGTATGTATTTTATATATATATATATAATTAAAACAAGAAATTTAAAATAAATTGAATAACTCAGCCCATCTGCATCTTTGCAAACAGATACTACATTTTGGCAATACCTGAAGAAGTTTTGTAAAAAATGCAGTGAGTTGAAAAACTAATACAAACTTCATATTTTTTTAAGTTTGATAGCTTTGAAAAACTTTTAGATTATAAAATTAAACAAGAGTTTTGTACATTTTGGAGGTGCTAAAAATATATAAAATTATAAAAATTTGAAGGCTAATTTTCTTACCCTTCCAGTTAACCGTGTAACATCCAAAACGTAAGTTGAGTGTGTTTATACTCAACACACAACTGAAAGATTATCTGTTTTGTAACTCTACATCAGAAAAATATTAATGACTAAAATGATTAATATAGATAACATAGGTTAGTCATGCTGTAATGTATGTATATATATGAATCATTACATTGCCTAAATAAAAAACTTCAGAACACTAACATATTTCTCTATCTGGTAATTTTTATATTATTTAATTTCATCTCTTTAGGAAGGAAAAAGGAAGCTAGAAGCAAATCTAAAGCAGATAATGTAGGAAGTGCATTGGGACCAGATTGGCATGAAGGCTTGAATCTTAAAGGAACAAAAGAGGTATCTTTTCATATACTAATTGGTCATGTCTAAATGTAATTTTAAATTCTTGAACCATTTATTAAAGACTGGTAATAAATATATAGTCAACGAACTGTTAGGTCACTTTACTTAAAATCCATAGTGTTAGGAAAAGACCTCCAATGCAGTTGGTCCATTTGGCCACCAAAGAAAACTGAATGTCAAAGCATCGAAGACTGGATCTCAGCCTACGTTTTAACTCTTGAGGTGTGATACTGTAATATATATACAGTCATACCTTGGAGTATTGCAGGTTCAGTCCCAGACCATCACAGGAAATGATATACCACAATAAAGTGAGCCACACGAATTTTTCAGTTTCCCAGTGCCTGCAAAAGTTATGTTTATAACATACTGCAGTCTATTAAATGTGCATTAGCATTGTGTCTAAAAATACAATGCACATAACGTTAATTTAAAGATACTTTATTGCTTAATATGCTAACAATCATCTGAGCCTTCAGCAAATCATAATCTTTTTTTGGTGGAAAGTTTTGCCTCGGTATTGGTGGCTGATGACTCATCAGGGTGGTGCTTGCTGAAGGTTTGGGTGGCTGTGGCAATTTCTTAAAATAACAAGTTTGCCCCATCAATTGACTCTTCCTCTCGTGAAAGACTTCTCTGTAGCGTGCGAAGCTGTTTTATAGCATTTTGCCCAGAGTAGAAGTTCTTTCAAAAGTCAATTCTCTCAAACTCTGCTACTGCTTTACCAAGTATATGTAATATTTTAAATCCTTCATCATTTCAGCAATACTCACAGCATCCTCACCAGAAGTAAACTCCATCTCAGATAACTACGTTCTTTGCTCATCCATGAGAAACAACAACTCATCTTTTCAAATTTTATCATGAGATTGCAGCAATGTAGTCTCATCTTCAGGATTCATTTCTAATTACAGTTCTTTTGTTATTTCCACCATATCTGCCTTTCTCCATTGAAATCTTGAATCCCTCAAAGTCATCCATGAAGGTTGGAGTAAACTTCTTTCAAGCTTTTGTTAATGTTGATATTTTGACTTACTCCCTTGAATCATGAATGTTCTTAATAACATCTAGAATGGTGAATTCTTTCCAGAAGGTTTTCAATGTACTTTTCCCAGATCCATCAGATGCATCACTATCTGTGGCAGCTATAGCCTTATGAAATGCATTTCTTTAATAAGACTTGAAAGTAAGAATTACTCCTGGATCCATGGGCTGCAGAATGGATATTGTATTAGCAGGCATGAAAACAACATTCATCTCCTTGTGCATCTCTGTCTGAGTTCTTGGGTGACCAAATGCCTTGTCAATGAGTGTAGTATTTTGAAATGAATCTTTTTTTTTTTTTTTCTGAGCAGTAGGTCTCAATGGTGGGCTTCAAATATTCAGTAAACTATGTAAACAGATGTGCTGTGTATTACTCCATTCTCACAGTATATAAAGAAATACCTGAGAGTAGGTAATATTTATAAAGAAAAGAGGTTTAATTGGCTCATGGTCCCACGGGCTGTACAGGAAGCATGACTGGGGAGGCCTCAGGAAACTTTCAATCACGGGGGAAGGGGAATTATGCACTTCTTACATGGCCAGAGCAAGAGGAAGAGAGAGAAGGGGGCTGGTGCCACACACCTTTAAACAACCAGATCTCATGAGAACTCTAACATGAAAACAGCACTAAGGATGGTGCTAAACTATTAGAAACTGTCCCCATGATCCAGTCACCTCCCACCAGGCCGTACCTCCAACATTGGGGATTACAATTTGATATGAGATTTGGGTGGAGAACCAGGCCCAAACCATATAATGCTGTCATCCAGGCTTTGTTGTTCCATTTACAGAGGACAGGCAGGGTAGATGTAGTATAGTTCTTAAGGGCCCTAGAACTTTCACAGTGGTAAATAGGCATTGGCTTCAACTTCAAGTCACCAGTTACATTATCCCCTAACAGGAGAGTCTGCCTGTCCTTTGAAGCCAGGCATTGACTTCTCCTCTATAGTTGTGAAGGTCCTAGATAGCATCTTTTTCCACTGGAAGGCTGTTTCATGTACACTGAAAATCTACTGTTTAGTGTAGCCACATTCATCAGTTATCAATTGTATATTTTTGTTGTAGAGATGGCTTCTTTACTTAAACATCATGAACCAACCTCTACTAGCTTCAGCCTTTTCTTCTGCAGCTTCCTCACTTCTCTCAGCCTTTACAGAATTGAAAACAGTTAGGGGCTTACTCTGGGTTAGGCTTTGGCCTAAGGGAATGTTGTGGCTGATTTGATCTTCTCTCCACACCACTAAAACTTTCTCCATGTCAGCAAGAAGACTGTTTCGCTTTCTCATCATTCATGTGTTCATTGGAATACCACTTTAGATTTACTTCAAGAATGTTTCCTTTGCATTCACAATTTGGCCATCTGTTCAGGGCAAGAGGCCTGGCTTTCCATGTGCCTTCCTCAATAACCCTAATAATCATTGCTACCTTTTGATTTAAAGTGAGAGATGTGTGATCCTTACTTTCACTTGAACACTTAGAGGCCACTACAGAGTAACTGATTGCCCTGGTTTCAATATTCTTGTGTCTCCGGGAATAAGGAGGCCCAAGGAGAGGGAGAGACATAGGACAACAGCTGGTTGATGGAGCAGTCAGAACACAGAACATTTATCGATTAAGTTCACTGTGTTAGATGGGTGTGGTTCATGACACCCCAAGACAATTACAGTAGTACATCAAAGATTACTAATCACAGATCACCATAAAAGATCTAATAATGATGAAAACTGAAATATTGCAAGAATTACCAAAATGTGACAGAGACACAAAGTGAGCACATGCTATTGGAAAAATGGCACTGATAAGACTTGCTTGATGTGGGTTTGTCACAAACCTTCAATTTGTAAAAAACACACTATCTGCAAAACAGTAGTGAAGCACAATAAAATGTTGTGTCTGCAGTTTTCTGGCACACAACTCCTAAAATTTTTGGCATCTCCAAAGTGATGTGTCCTTTTGTATGCTAACGAGTTGACTGGTTAGCCCCTAGGTGGCTTCAGAATGGGGACTGGTCACAGGAAAGACCAAGACATGATTAGAGTTTAGACTTTCCAACCTACAGGAAGGGAAAGAGGTTGAAGGTTAAGCCAATCACTAGCAGCCAGTAATTTAATCAGTCACCTACATAACACAGTTTCCATGAAAACCCAAAAGGACTGGGTTTGGAGAGCTTCTGGATAGCTGAACATGTGGAAGTTGCTAGAGGGTGGTCTATCTGGAGAGGGCATAGAAGCTTCATGCCCCTTCTTATATGCTTTGCCTTATGTATTTCTTCATCTGTTTCTTCGTGACATCCTTGATAATAAACCAGTAAATGTAAGTAAAGTGTTTCCCCAAATTCTGTGAGATATTCTAATAAATTAATTGAACCTAAGAAAGGGGCTCGTGGGAGCCCCTTGATTTATGGTTGGTTAGTCAGACCAACTGGTAAAACACCCGGGGCATGCAATTGGTATTGGAAGTGGAAGACAGTCTTGTGAGATTGATCCCTCAACATGTGGGACCTGA